>NC_000016.10:89587067-90228345 GCF_000001405.40 Homo sapiens | reverse complement strand
GATCCCTCATGAATAGATTAATGTCCTCCATGGGGGTGAGTGAGTTCTGTTCTCACAGGAATAGATAATTCCTGCAGGAGTAGGTAATTAAAAAGAGCCTGGCTTCCTTGGCTTCCCTCTTGCTTTCACTTCTGCTGTGTGATCGCTGGTGCACCCCTTGCTCCCCTTCCACTTTCCACCATGAGGTGAAAAAGACTGAGGCCCCGCCAGATGCAACTGCCCAATCTCAGACATTCCAGCCACCAGTATTGTGAACCAAATGAAACTGTTTTACTTATAAATTACGCAGCCTCAGGTATTCTGTTACAGAAGCACAAAATGGACTAAGACACAAATCTAGGTAAAAACTTTGAAAATGAATAGAATCTGTAGGCTGAAGGCACATGAACTATACTTCATTATTGGATTCCATTTTATAAAGTTCTTTCCAACAGAAGCAATTGTGAACAATTGTAAAACCACAGTGTCTGTATCTGGAGTAAAACAATGACTTACATAAGTCGCAGATGGTGGGAACCAGCTTTCTCACTGTTGAAGTGGGAGGTTACAAATTAGCAAGACGAGAAGGCTAGAATGATTCCTGTGATAGTAGATCAGAGGTGGAGACATCAACGTAAACTTATGCTTAGTTTAATATAGATACACACAGTTCTACATAGAAAACTTTATAATTAGGTGTGTGTAGGTAGGTTAGACACGCACATATGCTTCCTAGCATTGCTAATGAGGGACAAGATACAATGTGCATTCAGCAGCCACATGTAAGTTTTCCCACCATTCTGAAAGGAATCAGGCTCTTTGAAGAAATGTCTGATACTAGAACTGGGACAGTAAATATAGGAGCCAGGATAATCTGGAAGTATCAGAAAGTAAGTACTAAAAAAATTAAAATATATCAAACAAAAATAAAAGCCAATAAAAACAGCTACCGATGGCCAACACAGGAAGGAATTGTGCAACATAATGCTATAGTGTCGAATAATAACTAAAGCTTAAAGTAATTATCTAGGTGTCTGTATTTGTATACCTACGTGAATAAGCAAATGGAGTTGCATAGAAATCTCCTTTGCAAAAGAATTCCAAATAACTGATGTAGACACTCAGCCATCAAGAAGGTGGAGCCAACTCCTCACTCCGTAAGTGTGGGCTCTGCATAGTGACTTGCTCCAAAAGAACACATGCAGTACGGACAAGGAGGAAAAATAACTTCACAGTGGAGAAATCTGACAAACAGTAGCTCTGCCAAATGATCCAAGTGAATATCAAAGCTGACAGTTCACCTTGAGAACATGAAGTGACAATGGGGGGCATTCTACAAAATTCCTGACCAATCCTCCTCAGTGCTATGAAGGTCATCATGAGATGGAAAGCCTGACACACTGTCACAGCCAGGAAGAGCCTATGTGATGACTACATGTCGTGCGGGATCCTGGATGGGATCCTGGGTCAGAGTAAGATAGAACTAAGGGAATCCAAATGAAATATGAACTTCAGTTAATAACAGTCTATCAGTATTGGTTCATTAACTGCGGCAAATTATGTAAGATATTAATAAGCCATGTGAGACACACTGATAGAAGATGTTAATAAGAGAGGAAACTAGGTTGCGGCTACATGGGAAATCTCTGCTTTTTTTTTTTGACGATTTCTGTGTAAGTAAAAAAAAGACGTAAAATAAAACTTTATTTAAAACACTGTTTTTTTAACACTTCCTTGTTTAATTATTTATACCATGAATTACTAGTAATTGACACTGTTAACTAGTCCTGTTTTTTAAAATAAGAGCAATTATGACACAAAAAATTAAACAGTGCAGACTGATATATAAATCAAAACAAATGTCCTTTACATGTTTTCTGTTACAGTAGTAACAATATGTGTAAACTTAATTATCATATTTTTTTCTTGTGCTGTGGTTGTGTCCTGGGTTCATTCTCTAAAAAGCTGTTCACCTTAGACCAGGAAAAATATTAACCATACAGACTCTCTTTCAAGTCATAGCTGAATATTTTCAAAAGAGTGACTTTGTAAAAACATGTTCCAATGACAAATTGATTCATTATGATGGGATCAATTATTCCAAAGACTTCCTGTCTTTATTTTCTTGCCATGCCTACCTTTTAGCCCTAATACAACAGAATCAAATATTGGCCAATGGGAAAAAATATTCAAAGAAAGAAAGAATGTGAACAGAACTTATGACCATGATGATTCAATGTTTTACCACAATGCTTTCTAAAACAAAAGAGTCTAAAAGGATATTCAAAGTCAATTTCCTCAGCGAGGATTTGCAGAAAATGAGGAAACTAGAAAAACAAAAATGGCGGGACATTCTACGGGTGATTTTAAATGTTGCTATGTTTTATGGGAAAAAATACTTTACCTTTTAAAGAATCACAAAGAATTATTGGAAACCCAAACTCTGGAATGTTTGCAAATTTAGTTGAGCTTCTGTGTAATTATGTCTATATAGGTAGCCATGAAGTTGATGATTTCTTAAAAATCTGTGCCTTATTTGTGTAATAAAAGACACAATGAATAATTAATACTCATAGGAACACTTACGAAGGGAAAATAAATCTTGGGGACTCAAAATCACTAAGCTAAAGGGAAAAGTCAAGCTGGGAACTGCTTAGGGCAAACCCGCCTCCCATTCTATCCAAAGACACCCGTCTGATCACCTAGATAAATGCATACCTGATTGCCTCACATGGAGAGGGTAATCAGCAATGCAAAAGAATGAAACCATTTGTCTCTTACTTACCTGTGACCTGGAAGCCCCCTGTCTGGCCTTCTCACCTTTCTGGACTGAACCAATGTACATCTTACACGTATTGATTGATCTCTCGTGTCTCCCTAAAGTGTATAAAACCAAGCTGTGCCCCGACCACCTTGGGCCCATGTTGTCAGGATCTCCTGAGGAGGCATCACAGGCGCACATCCTCAAGATTGGCAAAATAAACTTTCTAAAAAATCTGAGAGCTGTCTCAGATTTTCAGGGTTCACACATGTAATGTAGGATGTCAATGTTTATAAAAGGGATGTTATTCTATCTACTATTAGAAATATGCTGTCAATTAACCTTAAACTTTCTCAACACAATAAAAAATGTTGATGAGGTACAAATAATATATCTAGGCTTAAATAGTGTTGCAAGTTTTAATATGCCTACTTTTCAATTTTTCAATACTATCTTTACTAATTTAACACTGTAAGAAAAATGAGTAATTAAAACATGAATAAAAGTGTTTACAGGGGATGCACATGTTTCCTCCAGCCTCTGCCTATACCCAACTTTCATCCCAACTGTCCTGATGGTGGCTCTAAGCATTTCTCCTTTCTCTATACCAAGATATCTCCCCAGAAACAAACCCAAATCTTACTATATGTTATGGCACGCTATGATGATGAGCAGCGATGAGCAGCCGAAGCCTCAAGGAAGGGATGCTTTTGTAAAACAAGACTTGTGGAATATAACATGTGAAAGTAAAGCCCACGGCAGAACTCCCTCCTCAGCACACGGGGAGCAGACAGGAAGCTGTTGCCTCACCTTCCTCAATGGCCTACAGCCACATCTCCCCAGGTCAGTCTTAAGGACAATGAAACTCTGGTCTTCACTGTGGACACGCCACACTACCAGGCGCTCCAAAGCCATGGTGACCCACCCTCGGGTGGGTCCTGAGGAGAACAAAGCTCTGGTTCTAATCCTAACCCTAACCCTGTCCCAAGACTTTGACACTGAACCTAAATCCTGATCCCTATCCTGGTCCCTAATTCTGACCCTTACTTTGACCCTGACTTTGATCTCGACCCTGACCATGACCCCACCTCTAACCATACTTCCGGCCCTGACTCTGACCCAGATCCTAATCCTATGCCTAACCCTATTATTATCTTTACAATCTATCTCTACTCTTACCCTCTAGTGCTAAATAGCTGTACCCAAAAGCACTTTTAAATTATTTAACTTCTTTTCCATGAATTCTCTAAGGACATCCTAAAGGAGATGTCAATATGTATTTTGCATTCCCTCTGAGTGGTATGGCTTCAGATAAGAAGTTCTAATACTTTGCAAGACATAAAAAGTTTGGAGGGTGACAGCACTGGGTTGTTAGGGATGCATGTTGGCATTCGTTGTAGTCATAGGTGCTGTTCTCCAGATATTTTCAGTTCATATTTTATGAATGCATTCTGACTGTTCCATCCCGCCTACTTACATTTTCACATGGCCACATGACTTTTTTTTTTTGCCAATGGAGGTGAGAAGAAATAACATGTGACTTTTTCAGGAGAAATCTCCAAGAAACAGAGTGCTATTCCACATACTTTTTTCTCTTTTCTATAGCAATGGGGATCTTATTGATCGTCCCTCCTTCCGTCTGGATTCCTGTGTTAGGATGACACAGCACAGAGCTACCTCTCACCTGACCCATGATGAAATGTAAATAAATGAGGAAGAAGATTTTTGAGCCACTGAAATTTGGAGGTTGTTTGTCACCACAGTTTAACCTAGCCCCCATTGACTGATGCACGGCTGAAGAATGAGTCCGAACTGGATCTGGACAAGACATGTGAAGAGAGCTCCAGGCTGAGTTAAATTCAAGTGTTTTCTTAAAGATAACAGTGAGCACGATATGTTATTGGGGTGGGTGTGGGATAAATAAGGTATATCAGGTGAGAATAATAAGAAACTCAACTTTAAAAGAAGGTGCTGATTTGGACTGTAGACAGATTCAACTGCCCTGCTTAGCATTTGCGATTGTGATGGATGAACTAATTAAGAGCCCAAAATGAAAGCTTGGGATAAATATCTGAGGGTGTCTAATATCCCAGTTTTTCATCCTAGAATGGGCAGAGTCCTTGACCCCATTCTAGGGAGACTTCCAAAAGAAAAAAGACCTGCATTTCTTCAACAACCCACATAGAGAGACTTTCCTGCACTTTTGACCTGTGGCTAACACTCCTTACCTTTCATTCTGTCATCAGTGTTTTAGGGAAACACCTTTAACTCTCTACGATTTACAGGTTATTAAGTGGCGCTTACAATTCCCTCCAGAGGTGAAAAAGACATAATGATGGTGTCTGAGCTCACAGCAGCAAGCAGGCGTGTGTGCTCAGCAGCCACGTGGCTCATCTGCTAGGAGCTTGCTAAATACGATGTTCTACAACATTGCTTAACACAAGGGGAGACGCTCCTGACTTGGAGAGTTTAATTGCTCACCTACTTCTTTTTCTGCCCTCTTGGGCTTCTAAAATGAAAAGAACCCTGGGGTGATAAAGTGAGTCAAAGGGGTACCAGGTGCATCACAGCAAAATAGATTCCTAAAAAATCCCTGGCCTAAGATGATACCCTTGGCTGGATACGTTTGAATGTGCTGATAGTGGACATGGTAGAGTGAAGGTGGTTGAAATGTTCATATTAAAGAACTTCCACCCAGATTGCAAGAAAAGAGAGAGGAATGGAGATGGCAGCACGAGTCCCTACAATAAAAGCAGATGTTTTGAGACCAGTTATATTTCTTCCGACAAAAATTAAAGACAGAAACCAAAGTTTAGCCTGAGGCTACAATTAATTGGGCAATAAGCCGAAGGCACATGTGGCATAGACAGATTTAAACATTTCTCCCTTATATTAATACAAATACTAAAATTACAAATACTTTGATTCCAAATAAAACAAATGTTTAAAAAATTTAATGAATAAACACTGGGGTCTACAGTAGTATTTGAAGGAGATCTCACAAACAGGTTTCGTTTTTGAAGGTTAGAACTGGTGGTCTAGAGAATTCATTTCATTCCAGAGAGAGAAAGAGAGGAATTTCTTGGGTTCCTTCAGGAATGTGTCTAGCTTTGCCTCATGTTTGTTTGAACGATGGATACGGCAGAAGAAAGCATGAGGATTTCACAGATTTAAGGTGCAAAAAGTCACTGGGTTCTCTAAGAAGTCTGGGATTCTTCTGCTGCAAAAATAAGTTTGTTGAGAAAAAATGAGTTGGAGGAGGCTGTTATTGAAGTGAAGCAGAATTGTTTTTACTAATCTGCTTATTACCCACTCTGCAGTGTGGAAACAAATTATTCATGCACAAGGTCCTCTTACTGTTCCTAGAATGCAGTGGAAAGAGAACAGATTAGTTTTTCTCACTCAGAACACAACCCCTAGAAACATCCTACCTCAGATGAGATATTGCCTAATTATTTTCAAAGGACAGTGAAAAATTATGGATGTAATGTTTGCTGCAAAATTAATACATGCTAGAAACAGAAGCATCTGGGTCACAGCTATATTAGAGCTATCTGTGTTCCCCTGTCACTGAGATTAAAACAAAAATGTCCAATACAATCACTCACAGCATGGGAGAGGGGAAGTTGAAGGATGGAAAGGCCAGGCATAAAAGGATTTCAGAATTTCCGTCCATAAGGAAGTAGCTTTGTGCATTGTCTGTTACTGTGTGCAAGGTGAAGTTTGGAGAATGAAAACGTGCAGTAACAACGGCTCCTTTGTCCCTCTCACCTCTCCAGATACCAAGTTTCAGACATGTTGCATTTTAGTTGAAAGGTTGATATAATTTTTTTTAAAGAACACTTGCGGTGTTTGAAGTGACAAAGGCTGCTGTGACAAAAAAGCAGGGAAAGGGATTTTTTTTAAAAAGCAAACAACAACAACAAAAACCCCACAGAAAAGCAAACAACAAACAAACAAAAAACAGAGGAAGAAGTTGAACACCCTGGGCTGTGACTACTTCCAGGAAGGGGCTACAAGAGGCAGTTGGAAATTCTATTTGCTTTGCAACTGTGGGTCTTCCAGCCTGCTTCCTTTCTAAAGTATATTACTCTGCTTTTGGTTCATGAAATTATCCATTTCTGTTTTCTGGAACAGCTATGTATTTTCTTTATCTATCATCTATCTATCTACCTGCCTATCATCTATCTATCTATTTACTATCTATCTTTTCTACCTTTCGCTATCAAGAGCTTGGGTCAAGCAGGATAGAATTCCAGTGTATCTTCACTCTACCATTTAAAACAAGAGCTCTTGTAGGCATTCTCCATCACATCATAAACCTGAGCTTTCTAAAACAGGGTGTGGCAAACTACCATGCATGGACCAGGTCTGACACAGTCTGCGTTTGTAAGTAAAGTTGTAATGGGACACAGCCAATACATGTGTTATATAACGTCTCTGGTTACTTTCATGGTATAATGGAAGACCTGAGTCATTAAGAGAGAGACCATATGGCTTGGAAAACTTAAAATATTTAACATTTAGCCCTTTGCAGAAAATATTTGCTGACTCTTGTTTTAAGAGATCTCTGTTTAGAATGCTACCTATTGCCTTCTGGATAGAATCACAACTCTTTACCACGATCAACACAGCTTCAGCCCTGCTTCTATATCCAGCCTCATCTATTTCTGCTCCTCCTCCTTATTTTCCTTCCGGACATGCTGATGAATTGTCAGCTTCCCAGATGTGTGAGAATCTCTCCTCCCTTCCCAGCATTCTCATGCTCTCCCTCTGCCTCTCAAGAACTTCCTGCCCCATCTCTCATGACAAATCCCTTCTTCATTCTTTAAGATGCAGCCCCTTTGCTCCTTCCTTAAAGATGTCTATCTGGCTCTATTTTGGGTGACATGCTCCTTCTGCATCTCCCAGAGCCACCCTGTGTGTGTCAGCTACAGCATTTCTTTGCATCTCTGTGTCATATATCACCAAATCTGCCTAACCTTGAGTGAGTCACTGCATGACAACTTCAGACTCCACCAGCATTGTCCCCACCAATCAATTATTTTCAACCATTTAAAAATGTAAAAATCATTCTTGCTTCATGGGCCATACAGAAACAGATGGTGGGCAGAGTTGGCCCAGGGGCAGACCACTGTTTGCTGACCACTGCCACACTGTCTTAATCAAGGCAGCTTTTATGGTGAGCCATGGTATCTAGTAATTTCTCCCATTTTTGTCCCTTTTAAGGGCCCTTACTTGGCCCTTTGCATGTCCATATAAATTTTATAATTAATTTGCAGATGTCCACAAAAAAGCCTATTAGAATTTTAATGGGACAGCTAATGCTAGAAGGGTAATTTTAGGAGAAACAAGAGATGCTTATAAGTTGTGTGTGTGTGAGAGAGAGAGAGAGAGAGACACAGAGAGAGAGAAAGAGACAGAGAGAGAGAGAGACAGACAGAGACAGAGAGAGACAGGGTTTCACTCTTGCCCAGGCTGGAATGCAACGGTGCAATCATGGCTCACTGTAGCCTCGACCTCCTAGGCTTAAGCAATCCTCCCACATCAGCCTTCCAAGGAGCCAAGACTACAAATGTATACCACCACACCTACCTAATTTTTTTGACTTTTAGTAGAGATGGGGTTTCACCATGTTGCCCAGGCTGGTCTCAAATTCCTGGGCTCAAGTGATCCACCCACCTTGGCCTCCCAAAGTACTGGGATTATGGGTATGAGCCACCATGCCTGGCCTTTTAAAAAAGTTTGAGACAGGGTCTCACTCTGTCACCCAGGGTGGAGTGCAGTGGTGTGATCATGGCTCACTGTAGCCTCAACCTCCTGGCTCAAGTGATCCTACCACCTCAGTCTTCCATGTAGCTGGGACTACAGCTGCGTGCCACCACATCTGGCTCATTTTTTTTTTCTTTTTTAAGTAGAGACAGGGACTTGCTATGTTGCCCAGGCTAGTCTCAAACTCCTAAGCACAAGCGATCCTCCCGCCTCGGCCCCTGAAAGTGCTGGGATTGCAGGCATGAGCCACCACACCCGGCCAAAAGTTGCTTTTGAGGAGTTATTGCTGTGTGGATGTGATATAACCCTTTCTGTCATCTCTTCACAAAACTTTCTGTAAAACATAAAAATCACCTGGACCTTCAGAGATGAGTTTGTTTATTTTTTTATTTTTTTAAAAATTGCTAATTCACAGAACATGGAGATGAGTATGTTTTGAAGGCTTGGAAGCATGCAAGTGGGAGAAGAAAGGAGTCAGCTACATTCTGGCTGTGTGCAGAGGCAGGTCACTGTGGTGGGAGTGTTCCTGTCTCATGGACTCTGCAAATCACAATGCTTGGCATGGCCTCCCGACCCTGATGGCAGAGAAGCAAACACCAGTCGGAGAGCTGGGGTCCTCCCAGCCCTCTTGGCCCTGTGGCCAATTTTTTCTCCAATAGCCTCATAAAATCACATTATTTGAGTGTCCATGGCTCCAAAACAAGCAGGGATGCCCATGGACCCTGATTATCCATTGTCACCCTTCCCTCCAAACAGCCACCTCTCCCCTGGAGACAGCCCCATACTCCACTCAGACCTGTGCACTTCCTGGTATCCTTGTCACCTGCTTTTTATGTCTCATTTTACAAACACCAAATTGGAAGACAGCAGGAGCTGCCCCATAATACCAGTAAAGTGAGAAGCAGAGATAAACTAGTCCTAGACAGCCGACTCATGTTGGGGGCAGCCCACTCACAGTGGCCCTGACCCAACTCTGACTAGAGGCCACTTGCTCTCAACACCAGGGTGCTCAATGGTCCATCCTGGTACTCTGCTCTTCTCTCTCCACCTTCGCTTTCCTGCAGTCTATGCAGCCTGTGACTCCATCCATGGGCTAGTGACCCCCAGACCTTTTCCTGGGACCACAGGCCTGTGTCTCTATCAGCTGCTCAATACCTCCCCTCGAACATCCATGGCTAACACTGAGCTCCTGATACTCTCTCCCTACCCGCTTCTCTGTGGATTCCCCACCTCCACGAAGGACAGCTTCATCCTTTCAGCTACTCAGGCCAGAAGATTGAAGTCATCTCCTTCTCCAGGAAATCGTATTGGGGGAGCTACAAATATCCAAAATCCGATCGCTTCTCCTCCACTACACCCGAGGCCCGCCACCCATTTTTGCCTGAATTGCTGCAGCAGCCTCCTAACCGATCTCTGCTTTCACGTGGGCACCTCAGTTTTTTCCAGAACAACAACCAGAGAGATCTGCTCACACCCAAGTCAGACCAGGTTACTCCCCTGCTCTCATAGCATTTGGAGGAAAACCCAGAGTGCTCGTGTTGGCCGGCAGAGCCAGCCCCCATCTCCTCTGACCTCCTCCCCACCTCTTGCCCTCAGCACCCAGAGTGCTCGTGACGGCCAGCAGAGCCAGCCCCCATCTCCTCTGACCTCCCACCTCTCGCCCTCAGCACCCAGAGTGCTCGTGTTGGCCAGCAAAGCCGGCCCCCATCTCCTCTGACCTTCCACCTCTCGCCCTCTGCACCCAGAGTGCTCGTGATGGCCAGCAGAGCCGGCCCCCATCTCCTCTGACCTCCCACCTCTCTCCCTCAGCTAGTCCTCGAACATGTCTGATGTGGTCCCACCTTGGGACCCACATTGCTACTCCTCTGCCTGTAGGGGTACCCACAGTTATCCACACAGTTCACTCCTGTCTTTCAGGTCTTTGTGCAAATATCACCTTCTCAGTGGAGACTACACCTTCAGGACTTAGGCTGTGCCTGGCACATAGTAGGTGCTCTGTAGACACTGGTTGTAGGAAGGAATCTACAGGTTGAAATAAGGAGATCATTTCCCTGAGGTTCCGAAGCTCATATTTACTCACCATTTGTTGTTTACTGCTAATATTGAGCACTATCAGTAAAATACATAAAACCCTTTGCCAATCCAGGAAATGAAAATGACACTTTACTGTTTTAGTTTGCATTTCTCTGCTTACAAATGGATTACACGCATTTTCATGTGCTGTTGGCTACTTATTCATTCAGAAAACATACTAAGTGCTGGCTCTTTTTCATGTCCTTTATCAAGTTTGGATCATGTCATTTGCTGTTTTCTTTCTGATGTAAACTCTCAAAGTTTGAAGGGTATTGTCTTTTCCTGACACATACATTGTAAATAATTTTCTGGCTTACATTTTGACTTTTAATTTCATTCACGATGTTTTTAATGAATAATTTTAATTTTTATGAATGCAAGTTAAAATAATTCTTTCATTGTGGTTTCTGACATGTCATGCCAATAAGGGTCTTCTCCTCCAAGAGCACAGAAATATTTGCCAATACTGTCCTTAAAATCGGTCACAGTTTCATTTTTTATATATGCATTTTACTTCAATTGGGGCTTCATTTTACTGAATGCCCTATTTGAAGCAAGTTTCTCAGTTAATTCTTTTCTCAAAGTGCTAATTATGGTAGATTGCAAACATAAGTGGCCACATAATACTCCCACCTCCTTGGCCTCCTCTCCCAGGAGGAGATAGCCTCCATCTTTCCACTCCTTAATCTGGGCTTGGCCATGTGACTTACACTGGCCAATGGGATATTAACAAGTCTGATGTGCACAGAGGCTGTAGAATGTGCACTGGGGCTTGGTCTCTCTTGCTGCCCTGGAGACCAGCTGCCCCACGAAGGAAACAGAGCCAACCTGCTGCTTCCTGGGGGGAGACAGTCCCTCAGTCCCTCTGTCTCTACCAACCAGTTAACCTGCTGCTTCCTGGAGGAAGACAGTCCCTCAGTCCCTCTGTCTCTGCCAACCAGTTAACCTGCTGCTTCCTGGAGGAAGACAGTCCCTCTGTCCCTCTGTCTCTGCCAACCAGTTAACCTGCTGCTTCCTGGAGGAAGACAGTCCCTCAGTCCCTCTGTCTCTGCCAACCAGTTAACCTGCTGCTTCCTGGAGGAAGACAGTCCCTCTGTCCCTCTGTCTCTGCCAACCAGTTAACCTGCTGCTTCCTGGAGGAAGACAATCCCTCAGTCCCTCTGTCTCTGCCAACCAGTTAACCTGCTGCTTCCTGGAGGAAGACAGTCCCTCTGTCCCTCTGTCTCTGCCAACCAGTTAACCTGCTGCTTCCTGGAGGAAGACAGTCACTCTGTCTCTGCCAACCCAGTTGACCGCAGACATGCAGGTCTGCTCAGGTAAGACCAGCACAGTCCCTGCCCTGTGAGCCAAACCAAATGGTCCAGCCACAGAATCGTGAGCAAATAAGTGATGCTTAAGTCACTAAGATTTGGGCAAAAGCTGAGCATTTATCCCAATCCCAATACTGTTTGTCCTTCTGTTTATCTGTCTGTCCTTCTCTGCTCATTTAAAATGCCCCCACTGCATCTAGTACATTTTTATAGGATCAGGGATCTGCTCTTGGATTTATGTCATGTTCCCACCTCGAGGCAGCTTTGTAAGCTTCTGAGCACTTCCCAATTCCGGGTGACTTCAGGCGCTGGGAGGCCTGTGCATCAGCTGCTGCTGTCTGTAGCTGAGTTCCTTCACCCCTCTGCTGTCCTCAGCTCCTTCGCCCCTGGGCCTCAGGAAATCAATGTCATGCTGACATCACTCTAGATCTAAAACTTGGGCTCTTGGACCAGGTGCGGTGGCTCACATCTGTAATCCCAGCAATTTGGGAGGCCGAGGCGGGTGGATCACAAGGTCAGGAGATCAAGACGATCCTGGCTAACACGGTGAAACCCCGTCTCTACTAAAAATACAAAAAAATTAGCCGGGTTTGGTGGCAGGTGCCTGTAGCCCCAGCTACTAGGGAGGCTGAAGCAGGAGAATGGCGTGAACCTGGGAGGTGGAGCTGGCAGTGAGCCAAGATCACGCCACTGCACTCCAGACTGGGAGAGAGAGCGAGACTTTCTCAAAAAAAAAAAAAAAATCTTAGGTTCTTGGATGTTCGGGAAAGGGGGTTATTATCTAGAATCCTTGAAGCGCCCCCAAGGGCATCTTCTCAAAGTTGGATGTGTGCATTTTCCTGAGAGGAAAGCTTTCCCACATTATTCAGCTTCTGAAAGGGTTACTTGACCCACAGATGTGAAGCTGAGGCTGAAGGAGACTGATGTGGTTTCTCCTCAGTTTCTCTGTGCGGCACCAGGTGGCAGCAGAGGTCAGCAAGGCAAACCCGAGCCCGGGGATGCGGAGTGGGGGCAGCTACGTCCTCTCTTGAGCTACAGCAGATTCACTCTGTTCTGTTTCATTGTTGTTGTTTAGTTTGCGTTTTTTTTCTCCAACTTTGTGCTTCATCAGGAAAAGCTTTGGATCACAATTCCCAGTGCTGAAGAAAAGGCCAAACTCTGGAAAAAATTTGAATATTTTGAGCCAAATGTGAGGACCACAACCTGTGAGAACAGAAAATAAATCCTGGGACCCCAGACTCACTAAGCCAAAGGGAAAAGCCAAGCTGGGAACTGGCTTATGCAAACCTGCTTCCCATCTGGTTCCTAAATAAGATAGCTATTACACAAAGACAAAAAAGCTACATCCCTGCCTCTACCTCCATCGCATGCAAAATGTGTATTCAGTGAACGCTGACCAAAGACAGAAGAATGCAACCATTTGCCTCTGATTTACCCACACCCATTTTTTCCACTTCTTCCCCTTTCCCCAATACCCGCACTTTTCCCCTTTACTTACTGAGGTCCCCAGACAACCTTTGCGAAAAGCACGGACCACAGTTTTTCCTGTGGTTCTCTGTTCTTTTCTCAGGTGTGTCCTTAACCTTGCAAATAGATTTCTTGAAATGATTGAGACTCACCTTGGTTGTGTTCTTTGATTAGTGCCTGTGACGCAGCTTCAGGAGGTCCTGAGAACGTGTGCACAGTTTAGTCGGCAGAAACTTAGGGAAATGTAAGACCACCATCAGCACATAGGAGTTCTGCATTGGTTTGGTCTGCATTGGTTTGGTCTGGAAGGAGGAAAATTCAAAGTAATGGGGCTTACAGGTCATAGATAGATTCAAAGATTTTCTGATTGTCAATTGGTTGAAAGAATTATTATCTACAGACCTGCTATCAATAGAAAGGAGAGTCTGGGTTAAGATAAGAGACTGTGGAGACCGTGCATAGTTGCTTCCTGATCAGCTCTTTATTTGATTGAGAGTGAGGCAGGGAAGATTAGAGGGAAGCTTACAGTGGAATTCAGGGCTGAGGCTGCTATTCTTTTGCTCCTTGTAACTTCCTACAGTGTTGTCAGCATCCACATACTTCTCTGTGGGGTTGGTCTCAGAGCCAGGTTACCTTGTCTTAGGTCCAGTGGCACCCTGACTGGCTTGGTGTCCTCGAACAAGTTACCTAACCTCTCCATACCTCAGTCCCTCAGCTGTAAAATTAAAAAAAAAAAAAAAGAAGAAGAGTACCTACTGTATAGCATTGATTTGAAGATTGAATGAGCTGGTATTATACAACGTTTAGAAGCAGTGCCTGACACGCAAAAGGCTCTCAACAAATACTATCCTTTGCTAATATCCTGTGTGTCTGTATCAGAGCTGGTGGGGTGGAGGGACAGAAACAAGTGGGAGAAGGTAAAGAGATGGGCAAATGATCTCTAAAGTCTCTCTGGCACTAACACAATTCTTTATTATGTGTTTTGTCTGGCTCTTTATATTGATAGCTGTTCCAGAGGCAATCAATAGCTATTAGTCGGTTTTATTCTTATTTTTCTGTCTGATCTTACAGGGGAGCAAACTGTGGCAAAGTATGAACTTACTTCTCAGGAAATTAACCATTATATTGGCAATCACTGTGATTATTTGAACTTCAGCGTCTGGACAAATTTAGTCACATGAAATACAGAAGAGAGATTTCTCATGGTTAAAACGAAGCTCTCTTTATTTGCTTCTGCTAATTAAAAAATCAGAGCTAAAGATACTTAAACACTACAGTTAAAATGCCATGGTTGTCTATTGGCTTAACGAATTCTCTTATGAAATCAACTCTAAAATGTTATCCATCATAAATCATGAAACGCAATTTTTCTTATTCTCTTTAGAGCTTTACAATTCATCTTAAAGACCAGTGTTTACACTCTCTTCTGTAGGTTGTACAATAACTTTTGGCGAGAAAAAATAAAAGTCTGGCTTTCTGACTCATAGGTGTGTTCCCTTTAACAGAAAAAGAAAATATGTCCTCTTTAAAACTGATGATCATTGGTCACCTCAATTTTATTGAAGTTCACTTCTGACCTCTTTAGATGTAGTTCTCTACATAAAACTGCCCAACAGAATTCTCTGTCTGAATGTCTCCTCCACAAACAAAATTTTAAGAACTAACATTATCATCTTTCCTTCCAAATATGCTCTCCCTATGTCCCCAGGGCTCTCCATGTGTAGAGCTGAGACCATTTGCCACTCAGTTTCCTCACCCAATTAATTACAAGTCCCAACAATTTTCCGGTTTTTTTGTTTTTGTTTTTTTTTTTAGACGGAGTCTTTCTCTGTCACCAGGCTGGTGTGCGGTGGTGCAATCTCAGCTCACTGCAACCTCCGCTGCCTGTGTTCAAGCGATTCTCCTGCCTCAGCTTCCCAAGTAGCTGGGATTATAGGTGTGTGCCACTACATCCAGATAATTTTTGTATTTTTAGTAGAGAGGGGATTTCACCATATTGGCCCAGATGATCTCAATCTCTTGACCTCATGATCTGCCCACCTTGGCCTCCCAAAGTGCTGGGATTACAGGCGTGAGCCGCCATCCCTGGCCCAGTTTTGCCTTTTTAACATCCCTCAGCTCTTCAAATCCATTTTCTCTTCTCTAACACCTCCCCATTCCCCAGCTCGTAATGAACTCGTAAGTAGATTACTACAATCACCTCCCAAATGGTCTTCCTGGCTCCATCAGCCTTGTGACCTTCAAGTTCATTTTCCACATGGATGTCAGAGTAACTTTCTAAAATGAAAATCTGACCACGTTACTCTCTTGCCTAAATCCGCCTATGGCCGCTGTTAGGATCAAGTCTAAACTCCCGACCCTGGAACATCAGGTCTTCGTGCTCTGTTCACTGCTTCTCTACCTCACCTGCAACCAACACCACTCCCACATCCATATGCTGCTCACCGTGTATCAACATGAACAGGAGGTGGGTGTTTCAGTCCCCAGGAAGACACTGGGCCTTTTCAATCATCTACTGCTGTGTAATAACCACCCCGCAAACTGACCACACGATTTCATTTTGCAAGGGTTCCTTCCTTGGGCTGTGTTCAGCAAAAGGGTTTACTGAGCTGGCAGGTCCAAGATGGCCTCACTCACAGGACTGGCTGTTGATGGGAGCCTTGATGCTCTTGGGCTCACCCCTTATCCTCCAGTAGGTTAGAGCTTCTTACAGTGGTTTCAGGCAGCATCTGAAGACAGTAAAAGCAGAAGCTCCAAGGCTTCTTACATTCTAGCCTGGAAAATCACATCACATTGCTTCCTTCATATTTTTTTGGCAAATCAGGTTGCAAGGCTTGCCCAGATTAGGGTAAAGAGGCAAAGAGGCTCCTTTTCTTTTCTTTTCTTTTCTTTTTTTTTTTTTTTTGAGTCAGAATCTCTCTCTGTTGCCCAGGCTGGAGTGCAGTGGTGCGATCTAGGCTCACTGCAAGCTCTGCCTCCTGGGTTCACGTCATTCTCCTGCCTCAGGCTCCCAAGTAGCTGAGACTACAGGCACCTACCACCACGCCCAGATAATTTTTTTTTTTTTGTATGTTTTAGTAGAGACTGTGTTTCACTGTGTTAGCCAGGATGGTCTCCATCTCCTGACCTCGTGATCCTTGCAAAGGGACATGCAGACCACATTAGTGAGAATATGTGCCTGTATTTTGCAATCTGTAACATGGGCATAAACTAAATGTTTTCCAAAGGGAATAGGGCAAAACAAAAAGGACCTTGACCACTCCTTGGCCCTGAATAAATCCAGGAAGCCTAAGAGTATGACTATCCTGAGGTAGAAAGAGGGTCACATGCTGGATAAGAGGTACCTGGGCTCTCCACTTACAAGAAGAGAGCATGGTTACATTTATAATCACCATTCCCAACATGCTGTGAGTGCAGGCAGCTACCAGGAGGAGAACAAAGGAAATAACCAGGACACTCATCTCTAAACCTGTTAATTTAATCACACGGAACACTTCTATTTAAAATTCCCGAGAGTTAAGATGTAAGAATGCTTATCAAGGTAAATGCTGTTCACACTGCTTGGAGTGTCAGGCCTAGATCTCTATCCATCAGAAACAACAATATCAATAACAACAACAGCAACATGATGATGGGGCAATTTCTTAAAAGCACCGTGTATTTTATCGATACATGTCCGTTGCAGAAAATCCAGGTGAATCCAAAGAAGAAATAAATGTCTTCCACAATCCCATAGCCCAGAGCTAACTAACCACTATAAAGAACCCAGCGTGGTTTTAACTAATGGATCAAAAGATGCTCATCAAAGGCTCTGAGCTTTCCTGAGTGCTAACAGGAAACATCCAGCATCACTGGTCTCTCCAAGGCTGCAGGTGTCTTTGCCCATAGTGCCTGTTTTGTGTCAGGGAAAGAATCAACCTGGGAGCCAAGCCCAGGAATCAGGATGACCAAGACATACTGCACAAGGAGGGAACAAACCCATCCAAGGACACTCAAGGACAAATCAAGCAAATGAATTTAAGGGAGACATGCTCATGGTCTGCTTTGCTGCTCAGCATGGCTGGGAGGCACAGTGGAAGATCATGCATCCTGCCCCTGGGACTCCTCTGCCAGAGCCTGAGAGCTTTCTCCTGCCCACAGGCTAGGGGTAGGGCAGTTGGAATTGATCCATGCCTTCTAGCTAGACTGTGGGTCCCCTCAGTCTTGGGCATGGTGACAGCCCAGCATCAGACAGACGTCAGTATCAAACTAGAAAATTTAATAAATACTGTCAGATTTGTA
Organism: Homo sapiens; assembly: GCF_000001405.40. Lineage (NCBI taxonomy): Eukaryota > Metazoa > Chordata > Mammalia > Primates > Hominidae > Homo > Homo sapiens. The sequence goes on along the minus strand of NC_000016.10, from coordinate 90,210,702 downwards.
GACCCAAGAAAATATAAACTGCCAATCACGGAGGAAAAAAAATCTCTCAATGATCTTATCTTTATATGATTCCCTTGCTGCCTGGAGATTGACATTTCCTTGGGGATAATCTGGTCATAGGATTGGTGAAGGTGGAAGGGAGGCAACCTCCAAAGGTGGGGCCCTCTGCTCACCTGGGACAGGGAGGGCCTGAGGTAGGTGTCTGTGTGGGCTGGGGAGGAGGATGGGAGCAGTGCTTCTAGATGTTTCCACTTTCTCCTCATTAGATAATAACGAATGGGTGATTTCCCTAGTCACTGCAGTGTGAGGAAATCTACAAAATTAATTTCACAATACGCTTTACAGGATAGGTGGAGAAACACATGAAGCACAACTGCAGTGGGTTATAAAAAACGGCCTTTCGAGTTGAGCAATAAATTCGTTCAAGCAGCCATTCTGAAGGACAAACTGGCTCTGTATTTAAGAGGGGCATTCCAGCACTTCTCTAGCCACTGGGTTGACAATGACTCACCAAAGCCTCTGGTAGCCACCACAGGACACCCAGAGCATATGTTTTAAAGCTGAACACCAAACTGCGGACTTCGGGAGTAAGTGAACTGACTGGTTTTTATTTTGTTTTACTGCTTTTAACATTACAGTAACTGTTACAGGTTCCAGCAGGCTAACTGGGTGGAAATGAGTTTGGTTTCACTTAGTCTCTCTAAAGAGAAAGCAAGTCGGTAGACTAATACCTAATAAAAGCAAAGCTGCCAACAATTGAAATTGCCTAGGCTGCTCTGTGTGTCCCACATGCATGGGTGTGGGTGCCAGTGTGTGTGCGTGTGTGCATGCATGTGCATGTGTGTTGGGATAGAGTGGTAAGAAAATGGGAAATAATAAGAATGTTCAGTCCATAGCCCTTCATTATAAAAAGGTGAGCTGTAATAAATACTAGTGCCACATTTAGCCAAAACTTTACTCCAGCCAAAGGTGATATTTTCATGATAACATCCTGTGATTGCTTTGTTCTTCGTCTTTTATGTTCTTCCTAGATGGGCTCAGAACATACAAGAATTAAGTACACATCTTATTTTCCAGTGATAATGCTACCGGCAAATTCTGTTGTTTGTATAAACATCAGCCATGTTTATATAACTAAACTAGTGTTTTGTTTTGTCAATTCAGCAAGAAATTAGACCAAATGGTGGCTTAATGCTGCATTGATTTGGCTATCAATTTGTTTTCACTTTTCTGCAAAATAATTAATACATTATTAAATTGAATTGTGCTGATGCCACAGTTGTTCTTATCTCAAGTGTCTTAAAATTCATTTAATTTGTTTTCCCTTTGGTTTCATTATTCAAATTTTAACTTCAGTTCTCAAGATTTTATCTGATGGAAGAGATGGAGTCCATTACTAAGGACTCCATTGTGCTCCATCATGCCAGAGTTGTAAAATAGATCTTTTAAAGGAAATTTACTGTGATTTTTTTTCTATTTAAGAGCTTCCTCTCCAGTTGAGCATGTAAGAAAATTATACCAGGAGAATACAGTAAACTCTATGAGGCAAGCTATAAACATGTAGCATTGTGATTAGGGCTGGTTCTCCTTCTAGAGACATGGTAGGATTGCAATTTCATACCATCCTTGAAGTTAGAGAGAGCCACGTGACTCATTTAGCCAATGAACTGTGAGCAGAATGACATGTCACTTCCAGCTGAAGCTTTAACAATCTGAGAGACATTCATACATTTTCCATGTGCTGTAGCCTTATACCCAAAGCCTGGGTCCCAAGTGACCATGACAGGCAGAGCTCCCTGGTGAGCCACAGAGATTTAGAGAATGGCTGTTAACACAGCATAATCCAGCCCATCCTGACTAATCTGATATTAACATGTATAATAAAGAATTCTATCAATGCTGAGGGAAGATGACTAGTTAAGGTCCTAGGTTGCAAGTCTCAAAACCTCTTCTAAGGATTGTAGACAGGAAATTAAATGACTTCTAGTCCCTAGAGTTCCCAATCTCCTACCATCTCATCCTAATATGACAGAAGTAATTCCTGAGTTGCTTCTGAAACCAGAGCTTCCCTCAGAACCCTTAGCCTGCCAGATGGCTTCTTGGAGAGCCCTCACTCACTTTTCTCCTTCTGCTATTGCTGCTCATTCATTCCAGCTTTTAAAAATTCATCTTTATCCAGGAACCTCGCTTCTAGAAAAGTCATACAGGTGCTTCCAGGAGGCTACATGGGCACCCATATTTTTCTAGCCACTTTCATTAGACCAATGCAGCAGAGAAGAAAAGCCTCAATAATTATTATGACATGGCATGTTAGGATACCAAGTAAATTGCATTTGTAAAATGTGATTTTCTGTTGGTGTTCACTTCTGCTCTACTGACATTTGGTAAGTATTATTGACTGACTGACTAACTAATGTGGTCATTAGTCTTCATAAAGAAAGGCTCTCTACAAAAACAGAAGGATGCCCTTTTTCTGGCATTTAATACGTAAGAAATTGCCTCCAATAGAAACCAGAGTTGCCTGATTACTATCAGCACAGGAGAAATGTATTAATGTGCCTTTCTAGTAACAGGTTTTTAGAAAGTCAAATATAAACAAATCTGTCTATTTGTGTGTATGCATGTGGTGGTGGAGAGGGAAGAAAAAAGGAGGGGGAGAGAAAGAGAAATAAGAACCAACTTTATTATACTGTATTCAGGGGGAAGAAATTTTCCCAAGGTTCTAACAGAAGAACAAAGTGCCACTGTCAATAGCCTCAGTAGTGTTAGAGTTGCTTTTATTTATTTATTTATTTATTTATTTTTCTTTTTTTTATTTCTCTTTTTTTCTTCTTTTTTTTTTCTTTTCTTTCTTTTTTTTTTTTTTTTTTTTTTTTTGGACAGAGTCTCACACTGTCACCTGGGCTGGAGTGCATTGGTGCAATCTCGACTCACTGCAACTTCTGCCTCCCAGGTTTAAGTGATTCTCCTGCCTCAGCCACCCAAGTAGCTGGGATTACAGGTGTCTGCCACCGTGCCTAGCTAATTTTTTTGTATTTTTAGTAGAGATGAGGTTTCACTATGTTGGCCAGGCTGGTCTCAAACTTCTGACCTCATGATCCACCCACGTTGGCCTCCCAAAGTGCTGGGATTACAGGCGTGAGCCACCGCCCCTGGCCAGGATTGCTTTTACAGCCAGTCTTCAGGTGCCCACTGTAGGAACAATGTCATTTAACCCTCGGGATTATTCTGTGCCAAATATGGATAATGACTAATATCCAACACAGATATTCTCAGCTCAGAAGAGCAATTAGCAAATTCATAAATTAAGTGCTTGCTTCCTCTTTAGTCAAATACAAACGTTTGTTAAAAGATATTATTTTGCTTTACACTTTTTCTCTCAGAAATAAACAGATGCTTGAATTCCCACAGTGCTGCTTGAGCCTCACACCATGTCATCCTGCCAGGCACCCAGATCCAGTTCTAGAGTTTCACATGATCATGAGTGTTGGTTAATAAGTCAATGTGAACTGGGAGGGGAGATTTTTCAGGAGTGCCACAGGGCTCTCCCTTTAATCACATACACTCCCTGCTTTCATTGGAAAGTGTATAATGATGTCAGAGTGCCCCAGAATGGAGCTAGTTGGAAGACTGCCGTCATAGGGATGCCTTAGTGAATTAATAAGGTTTTAATTTCTGACTCTCAACTTTGTAGATGTAAAAGTTGATTTATCAATATGTGAGAAAGGATGAATCTTTCTGAAGGTTATGTCATCACACTCACTAAGCACACAGAGAATAATGTCTAGAATCTGAGTGCCATGTTATCAAATTGTACTGAGACTCTTGCAGTCACACAGGCTGACATGTAAGCATCGCCATGCCTAGTACAGACTCTCCCTGCAGATGAAATTATATGGGATGCTAAATTATAATGAGAACAATGTTTGGTGAGCCAAAACTACAACAAGGGAAGCTAATTGGATGAATTTATAAAAATATGCCTCAGCCAAAATAGCTTAATTCACTCTCCCTTATCATAAGGATAATCTTGCCTAAAGGGACAGTAATATTAAAGACACTAGGAATAACCTCTGTACTTTGGACAGTAGACCTGCATAGCCCATTAGGCCTCAATGAAGTCTTATGCAAGACCAGAAGCCAATTTGCCATTTAAGGTGATTCTCCATGTTTCTGCTCTAACTGTGCTTCACAATACTCAAAACACTAAATCAGGATGTTTCCTGGAGTTCAGGGAGCTGTCCGTGTTACTGAGCAGTTCTCAGCAACACAAAGATCCTACTGACTCCTCATCAGACTTCTTTCTCACTGGAATTTTACACCTGGGCTGTTAACACCAGGCCAGGTCAAATTCAAAGGAGAGAAAAAAGCTCATTATGAAGGGTAAAATCCAAAACACTGTGCATAAAGATATGTGTGCACAATTTTTATACATAAAGATTTCATAAAACCAAAGCATCAGGAAATGAAAAGAGATACAGAAAGAAAAATGATGGTAAATGAGACATTAATTTACCCTTCTAATCTCTATCACAGCAAAAAGATAATTAAAAAATCTATATGAGGACCACAAAATACACAAAAATTATGTAGCAAAGCCTATAGCCTGAAAAAGTAAACACTGAAATTTGTATGTCCATAAAATGTTTACAAAATTCAGTACATATTACACACCCCACCCTAAAAACATCTAAGCAAAGTAGAGAATGTAGAAATGCTACAGATTATATTCTCTGATTATGACACAACAAAACTAGAAATTACAGCATGGAAATTTAAAAGCTTTCTCTTAAATAATTCTATGTCAAAAAGAAATTCAGGCCGGGTACAGTGGCTCATGCCTGTAATTCCAGTACTTTGGGAGGCCAAGGTGGGCAGGTCACTTGAGGTCAGCAGTTCAAGACCAGCCTCGTCAACATGGCGACACCCTGTCTCTACTAAAAATACAAAAATTAGCTGGGCCTGGTGGCTCATGCCTGTAATCCCAGCTACTTAGGAGGCTGAGGCAGGAGAATTCCTTGAACCCAGAAGGTGGAGGTTGCAGTGAGCTGAGATTGCACCACTGCACTCCAGCCTAGGTGACACAGCAAGACTCTGTCAAAAAAAAAAAAAAAAGAAATCCAAATAAAATTTCCAGAATATGTGGAAAATAGTGACAATAAAAATATTACACATGTGTAATCCCAGCATTTTGGGAAGCCAAGGTGGCAGGATCACTTGAGACCAGTAGTTCGCAACCAGCCTGGACAACATAGGGAGACTCCATCTCCACACACGCCAAAAAAAATTTTAAATAGCCAGGTATAGTGGTACTTCTTGTAATCCCATCTACTTGGGAGGCTAAGGTGGGAGAATCACCCAACCTCAGGAGTTCAGGGCTTCAGCAAGCCATGATCATATCACTGCACTCCAGCCTCAGCAACAGAGCAAGATCCTATCTCAAAAAAAAAAAAAAAAAAAAATCACATGTGGGAAATAGCTATAGCACAATAAAAATAAATGTATTAGTATGAACAACAAAAAAGCTAGTAAAGGTTGAACAACAACTATCCTTAGGAAAGTGGAAATAATATATTAATAAATATGAAAGCAGGCTAGGCATGGTGACTCACATCTGTAATCCCAGCACTTTGGGAGGCTGAGGCAGGCAGATCACCTGAGGTCAGGAGTTCCAGACCAGCCTGGCCAACATGGTGAAATCTTGTCTCTCCTACAAATACAAAAACTAGCCAGGCTTGGTTGTGCACTCCTGTAATTCGAGCTACTTGGGAGGCTGAGGCAGGAGAATCTCTTGAACCTGAGAGGCAGAGGTTGCAGTGAGCCAAGATCATGCCACTGCACTCCAGCTGGGGCAACAGAGTGACACTCCATCTCAAAATAAATAAATAAGAAAGCAGAAACTAATAAATTAGAAAACAGAAACATAGAACTAATTTATAAATCAAAGCACTATGCCTTGAAAAGAGGGAGAAAAATTGTGAATTAAGGAAGGGAAGAGATGGTTGGAGAGGAGGTGGGAGAAGGCAGAGATAATTGAAGGAGCAAAAGCATCTGGAGAAGCAAAGCCACTGAAAGATGAACAGGGCTCTGAAAGAGATGCTTGATTGCTATCTTTTCAAATGACTGCAGTTCCCAGTGACATCATTTTTCTCCTCCCTGGAAGTCTGAGGGGCAGTTCACTTATCTCCTCCCCTCCCCTACTCCTCACCCCACACTCAAAACCTGTCTATGCTCCTTTCATTCTCATATGACAGATTTCAGATGGCATTCTTATTTCCCTGATTTCTTTTTGAGATAGCTTGCATTTCCCTCCTCTATATAAAGCCACCGTTTATCAAATGCCTACATGGACCAAGCAGTCCACAAAGGCTTCACAGACAGTTTTACTAAACTCATGCCAAAACTTTCAGGTTTTATACCTACCTTATAGATAAAGAAATTGAAGCTTATAGAGTTTAAGTAATGTTCCCAAAGCCTCGTGGCTAGTAATTCAAACCTAATTTCTGCCTACTCCAAAGTCTATTTTTCCTTATGATACTATACTGCCTCTCCATGGATAAAGACAGAGATCACATATTAATAAAATTTGCACAAAGTCGGCAAATTGTTGAAAGGGAAGGCTAAGATGATTAATAAAATCAAGAGCCAGATGATCTCAACAACCTGAAATAACTGGCTGACAACCAATTTGAATAACTCCCTGCGGGTGAAGTTCAAAGTACTATTTGGGTTTTTTTTTTAAAGTTTGGCTGGGTGCAGCGGCTCACGCCTGTAATCCAAGCACTTAGGGAAGCCAAGGTGGGCAGATCATGAAGTCAGGAGTTGAAGACCAGCCCGGTCAACATGGTGAAACCCCATCTCTACTAAAAATAAAAAATTAGCCAGGCCTGCTGGTGGATGCCTGTAGTCCCAGCTACTCGGGAGGCTAAGGCAGGAGAATCGCTTGAACCCAGGAGGTGGAGGTTGCAGGGAGCCGAGATCGCACCACTGCACTCCAGCCTGGGCGACAGAGCGAGATTCCGTCTCAAAAAGTAAAATAAAATAAAATAAAAAATAAAAGTTTGATATATTCAGAATCAGGGAGGTCTGCTGGGTGCAGTTCATTTGAAAAATTCCTCAGCATTTTAGTGATCTGTATGGTCCCTCTATCTGTCAGGGTCCTAGCAGGAAATTGTTGCACTCTCAAAGGATTAAGCAGAAAGAGTTTAATGAAGGATCTCTTTCCAGGGTTAAGGGAACTGCTAGGGTTTGGATATTTGACCACTCCAAACTCATGTTGAAATGTGATCCCCATTGTTGGAGGTGGGACCTAATGGGAGGTGTTTTGGTCCTGAGTGTGGACCTCTCACGAATGTCTTGGTGCCATCCAAGTGAGTTCTTGCTCGCTCTTTTTTTTCTTTTTGAGATGTAGTTTCACTCTTGCTGCCCAGATTGGAATGTAGTGGTGCGATCTTGGCTCACTGCAACATCCACCTCACAGGTTCAACCCATTCTCCTGTGTCAGCCTCCAGAGTAGCTAGGATTACAGGTGCCCACCACTATGCCCAGCTAATTTTTGGTATTTTTAGTAGAGACGGGGTTTCACCATGTTGGCCAGGCTGGTCTCAAACTCCTGACCTCAGGTGATCCACCTGCCTCGGCCTCCCAAAGTGCTGGGATTACAGGCGTGAGCCACCGTGCCTACCTAGTTCTAGCTCTCTTAATTCCCACAAGAGCTGGTTGTTAACAAGAGCCTGGCACAAACCCCTCTCTCTCGCCACGTGATCTCTGCACATGCCAGCTTCCCTTCCCCTTCTGCCATGAGTGGAAACAGCCTAACGCCCTCACCAGAAGCAAATGGTGGCACCATGCTTCTTGCACACCTTCAGAACTGTGAGCCAAATAAACCTCTCTTTAAAATTATTCAGCCTCTGGTATTCCTTTATAACAACACACACACACACACACACACACACACACACGCAAAAGCAGACTAAAACAGGAACTAATTAGAAATGGTGATGCACCGAGGGATTGGCACCGAGGCTCCCCAACAGGAACTGAGGTCATGGATAGAAGGACACATTCATGTTATTTTTTTCTAATGGTTAATTAATTATTTGCTCTTACTCTCAAAATTTCTGCCAAGGCCTCCCATGGACCAAACTCAACTAGAATCTAGGAAGCAGAGAACCTGAGTGTTGCATTCAGCAGAAGTCAGCTTCCTAGGGAATCTTGCAGGAAGGGTGAAGGTAGAGAATCTGGTGGGGAAGCAAGCAAATGCCCATCACATGCACTTTCCTCCAACAGAGCGACTCAGATGCTATAAAACTTGCTAACACAGTCTCAGGGTCTGATCACAGTAACATACAATCCAGGTTTTAATCATCAGAAATCACAGTCCTATTGTCTTCTGCACAGACCCAAACACACTTGGAGGTCATGTTCAATATGAATACCTCACAGAGAAGGAAATTTACACGCGAGAAGTACATCTGCAGAAAGCCAGCTGGCATGTCAACCATTCAAAAACTCAGGGTGTTCTGGATAAAGAAGACTCAGGAAGACAAGTATGAAGCATAATCTGTGACATTCCATGCGGCAGACATTAGACACATACAAGAGAGTTGTTGGAAAGCGGAATTTATCTTCATATAAACAACACTGAGCTAAATCTCAATATTTCAGATCTCTAGAACTATCCATCAGTGAAATAGATTGCAAATAGAAAGAGTAATACCATGTCACTTAAGAATACAATCATGGACGAGGCTGCCACCTGCTGTTGGGGGCCACTGCAGAAGAAATTCCAGAACACTGGACTGGAGAGCACCTCACTTTCCTTACAGCTCTAAGTTTCTGACTCAGTGACCTGATTCACTACCATATACACAAAGACCCACTTACACAAATGACTGTTCTTCACACTAGGCCCATGGAGACAGGGATAAAATTCTGAATTTGCTCAGATACCTTCTCCGCTACTGACATCTAGGCATTACACAATTCATCTCTTCATATTTAACCTTTGAAGTTTGCTACTTCTCAGAGAGACTAATGAGTAGTGAGCAAATATCCTGAAGCTGAGAATGCTTCTACCTCCTCTCAAAACAACGGAATATTCATCAAAACACAACAGTTCTGCACTTAACTTTAGGCCTTTTCTAACACCTTGTTTCTTGGCAGTAACTGTGGCCAGAATAGCTCTTTCCACAGATAAAGGACCTTTTGAAAGGATAGGGTCTCTAGATAGAAAAGCAAATGCCTCATTCCAGAAGGTCTTCAAGAAGAAAATGTTGTGGTGATAACAAACATAACTGATTATAATCTATTCTGTGAAAAAAGCTTATGAAACAGTAGATGTGTGTATCTAGTACATAAGAGCTGAATGTCAATATATATATAGATATATACACACACTCAAATAAATAATAGTTATCTCTAACTAGAGAAATTCTAGTTGCCTTATATTTTCTTCTTTTTCCTTACTATATTTTCTACAATAAACATGTGTTTTTAACAAGAAAAGTATTTTCTGGTGTGCTTTTTAATTTTCTTTGTTTAAGTGAGAGTGAGGCTACATAACTACATGGCTAGGTAGACTTTTAGAAAACTTGGCTGCTCTAGAAAATTGACATATCCTGATTTCTTCCATAGCTTGGATCTTGACCTAGAGGGAAATATAAAAGTGTTGACTTGAACCTGAGGGGTGCCATTTTCACTGCTGAAGTAGTTTCATGGATCATGAATTGGAGAAATGACTTCAGCAACATGGGTGTTAAAAACAGAAAGCACAAGTGACCCACAACAGATGATGGAGAACAAAGAGCAAGCTGGGAAAGCAGTGGCCTTTAATACAGAAAAGAAGAAGTATAGCCACAATAAATATTAGGCAGACAGCAGTTCAGCAGTTTATACTATTAAGCTGTTGTTTAGGGGAATAGTAAACTGACATGACCCTTGAGGTAGGTATATATAGGTAAATTCTATGTGTCCCTTGAAATAGGTGTATGACACAACTTCTGGCATCTACATGGATTTGGTCACTCTAAAGTAGCCATGAGGCTTAAGATAGTTCAGCTGTTTGGGGATAAGTTAAATCATTTGCCCTTGTCTTTCTGCAATTTGCATATCCTACAGTTATCATTGCCATTACTGAATGGCACAGAGAAAAATTCTGGTCTAAAGTGGTTCTCAAACCTGGTTGCTGGAGGGCCACCCTCAGTGATGATGATTTAATCTGTAGAAGAGTAGAACATTGATAGTTTTTATATATCTCCAGGTAATTTTAATATATAACTGGGGTGAGAATCATTGACATAATTGTAAGAGGATAATATTCAGGAAATATGGAGATAAATAATTTTCTTCTCGACATTAAAAAAATCTAATAAAAAGTTTTATCTTTTCCCCTAACTCAGGGTCATCAGCCTTCAAGCTTCAGTCTCTGTGTGTTCACAGGTGCTGTAAACACACGCATCACTACTAATATCCCACTTCAGTGCTATTGCTGCTCCCAAAACTCCAGGTATTTTTAAACTTATAAACCTCCAGAATAATGAGACCACTGGGTTCAGTAAATTGCTTTGTTTTGAAGCAGTATTAGACAAAGTGGGAGACTAGAAGATAAATCTGTCAATGACATGTCCTTTAAGACTACTTAGATTTTGTTGAATTTGTGGATCATTCCTTACTTGAGCAAATGGTAAATTAACTCTCTCTTTTCTCTCTCTCTCTAGCTGGCACACTTTTTCCAGTAGCCATTCTACTTGGTATGCTTACTTATCAGCTGTCCTCCAGGGGCCTCACATTAGATGTTTCTCTGACTAACCAAACATGACACACAGCTGAAGTCAGAAAAACCAGATTGATAATTTCACTCAAACTATTTTCCTTCATTCTAACAATTTACTGGAGTACACAATTGTGACTATTTTTAGCCATAGGAACTCATAGAAAGACCAACTTCATTAGACCTACAAAATCGAATTGTGTAACAGTATATGCAGTATGTGTAGGAATAAAAAGCATTTCTCAAATATGCAGTACTGGATTTTGCAAAAGCACCTTACACTTAGCTATAAAGGAGTGGAAAACACAAAGATGAGTAACTGCACCTTTCAAAAGACTAGAGCTATACCAATAATACAAAGGTGTAAACAAATAATGATGAGATGACAAAGGCTGAGTGTTTTCTATTTGGAAGCTATGTTGTTGAGTTATTTATGTATATAATTTCATGCAATCTTCATGTTATGGGGATGTTCTAATCCACTGTGACTCTGTCCTTAAATAAAAGGGAGATTTGGACATAGAGAGAGGCACACGGGGAGGATGCCATATGAGAATTGACACTGTGCTGTCACAAGCCAAGGAACTACTGGAAGGAGAGAAAGAGGACTGGAAGAGTTCCTTCCTTAGCACCTTTTCAGGCAGCCTAGCCCTGCCAGCTTCTTGATCTGGACTTCTCACCTCTAGAATTGTGAGGCAATAAATCTCTGTTGCTTAAGTTACCCAGTTTGTGGTACCTTATTACAGGAGCCCTAGGAAAATAATTCATTATATAATCTGCTAAGGTAGATATGATCATTGTCTCCAATTTCCATATGAAGAAACTATGCCTCAGGCATTGTGTCAGTTGTCCAAAATCATACATTCCTGACTCACTTCAATGAATTCTTCATTCAGCAAAATTTTTAAGGTACCTTAAAAAAATTATGTTAACTCTTAGGGCCTTGCTTTAAAGCTTCAATGGGCTTTTCCTTTGCAAAGAATAAAATCCTAATACTTAAGCATAGCTCTCTTTCCTGGCTATGTTTCTGACATCCTCTTGTACCATGCTCCTCCTTAATCATTCTGAGGTTACATCTTAAGTCCTTTCCCCTTGCCATTCCCACTTCTTGGAATACTTTCCCATCAACTCTTCAAAGAACTGCCTTCTTTAAGTATTTGGTCTCAGTTCCAATGTCACTTCCCTGTAAAAGCTTCCTGGCCATCAAGCCTTCTTTACACACTCTATTTTATTTTTTCATGGTTCCTATAACAACCTAATATATTCTCAATTGATTAACTGTTTTGTTGACTACTGCCTTCCATAAGAATGGAAAGAAAACGTGGCCAGGTGCAGTGGCTCACACCTGTAATCCCACCACTTCAGGAGGCTGAGGCAACATGGCAAAACCTTCTCTTCAAAAATTTTTTTAAAAGTTAGCTGGATGTTGTGGAGGCAAGAGGATCACTTGAGGATCACTTGAGTCCATGAGGTCAAGGCTGCAGTGAGTCATGTTTGCACCACTGCACTCTAGCCTAGGTGACAGAGCTAGTCACTATCAAAAAAAAAAAAAAAAAAAGAATGGAGAGAATGCTACATGAGAGAAAGGATCTTATCTATCATGTTCACCTCCCAAGAGGTGAACATATCCCCCAAAGCCTGATAGAGAGAAGATGCTCATTAATATTTAATGCATGACCATGTGCAGACTTGGGAGGAAAAATATGCCTCAGCCTATCAATATTGGATCCTTAATAAACAAGGATGTTTCTGCGTCATTTCCCCACAACACCGAACAAGTGTGGCTCACTGTGGATGTTTAAGCAAATGCATTGTTTTTCCAGTTATATATCTGGTAGAGATTAGGCCATTGATAGGAATGGGAAGACGATCTCCTTTTATTTTGATGACCCAGCATGGCTGAACACTCAGTGACTACCACTGCACTTTGTTGTACTTTCAGCATTAGAGATGCCAGCCCTGTAGGATATAAAACAGGAACATCTAGTCCTCAATTAAATTCAGAATTACTCAAGTCTTAGAAGCACCACTTGTCTTTTTTCAAGGGAGAGAAATGCTCAAGTGATGGGCTGAAGTGAAGGGAGGGAGTCACTCACTTGAACGGTTCCCTTAGGCTGTGTGGATGCAAACAGCATTAGACAATGACACTGACAGTGGGAAATGCACTGGAGACGATGATTGGCAAAGCTCTCCTTTTCTCCCCATCCACTATAGATACTGACAGCAAAGGGTTTGTCACAATGACAACTATACACTCCCAATATCACAGAAGAAGGAGGAATAAAAGGGTATATTATGAGTGACTGAAGTTTAGAATAAATTAATAAATATTATGTCCCTCATCCATAGAAACCACAAAGGTCTAGTAAGGCTAAGGATATAACAAGAAAATAATATGAATATTTGCTTCCCCTTCCTAGTGTAATAGAGTAAGTTACAAATGGCTTCAGGAAAGGGAGAGAGGAAGAAGAGTGGATGAGATACGTAAGAGTGCTTGAGGGCTAATTTTATGAAAGCTTTGGGAAGTTTTAAGAAAAAGAAAAGCTATTTTTCAAGGTACATGTGTGTATGCGTGTGTGTGTGTGTGTGTGTGTGTGTGTGTGTGTGTGTGTGTGTGTGAAAGACAGAAGAAAGAGGGAGACCTAAGAAGACTATGAGACACTAAGAGAAAAATTAAGGTAAAAAAGACACACACTTAGAAAAACACACATAGGGAGGAGGGAGGAGGTTAAGACATTTTACTATGTGCTGTGAATGGAAACTACAAACCATTTTTGATATATGCAATATATATACATATATACACACATATACATATGTATTTAAATATTTAAATTACATTTTCTCTTTTTTTAGAGATATGGTTTCACTATGTCACTCTGCCCAGGCTGCAGTACAGTGGTTGTTCACAGTCATGATCATAGCACATTATAGCCTTGAACTCCTGGGCTCAAGCAACCCTCCTGTATTAGTCTCCCCAGTAGTTGGGATTACTAGCATATGCCACCATGTCCACCTTTATGCTTTTTAAAGTGAAAAACCATACTAAGAATGAGGCAGCTCAACTTAATAATAAAAACATTTCAAATGTAAAGAAATTTACAAAAGAAAAACAATCAACCCCATTAAAATTGGGCAAAGGGAATGAACAGACACTTTTCAAAAGAATACATGCATGCAGCCAACAAACATACAAAAAAAAAGTTCAACATCACTGATCATTAGAGAAATGCAAATCAAAACCATAATGAGATACCATCTCACACCAGTCAGAATAGCTATCATTAAAAAGTCAAAAAATAACAGATGCTAGTGAGGCTATGGAGAAAAGGGAATGCTTATACACTGTTGTTGGGTGTGCAAATCAGTTCAATCATTGTGCAAGGAAAGTGATTCCTCAAAGAGCTAAAAGCAGAGCTACCATTCGACCCAGTAATCCCACTACTGGGTATATACCCAGATGAATATAAACCATTCTACCATAAAGACACATGCATACAAATGTTCATTGCAGCACTGTTCACAATAGCAAAAGTATGGGATCAACCTAAATGCCCATCAATGACAGATTGGATAAAGAAAATGTGGTACATATACACCATGGAATACTATGCCGCCATTAAAAAATGATATCATGTCTTTTGCTGGAATATGGATGGACCTTCTATTATCCTTAGCAAACTAATGCAGGAACAGAAAACCAAATACAGCATACTCTCAGTTATAAGTGGGAGCTAAATGATGAGAACTCATGAACACAAAGAATAAAACAGACACTGGGGTCTACTTGAGGGTGGAGGGTGAGAAAAGGAAGAGAAACAGAAAAGATAACTATTGGGTACTAGGTTCAATACCTGGGTGATGAAATGATCTGTACAATAACCCCCTGTGACACCAGTCTACCTATGTAACAAATGCCCCTAAACTTAAAATAAAAGTTAAAAAAAAAGAAAATTAAAATCTCCTTATCATCTACCTGGTAATATGAAAAACACATATCTTTCATTCATTCCTTTCAACTGATGAGGAAACTGAGGCATTGGGAGTTAGTAAAAGTCCACATTGAGATATGAGACCCACCACTGGCTGGACACAGTGGCTCACACCTGTAATCCCAGCACTTTGGGAGGCCGATGCTGGTGGATCACCTAAGGTCAGGAGTTCGGGACCAGGCTGGCCAACATGGTGAAACCCCCATCTCTACTAAAAATACAAAAATTAGCTGGGTGTGGTGGCAGGCACCTGTAATACCAGCTACTAGGGAGGCTGAGGCAGGAGAATCGCTTGAACCCAGGAGGTGGAGTTTACAGTGAGCCAAAATCATGCCATTGCACTCCAGCCTGGGCAACAAGAGCAAGACTCTGTCGGGGGAAAAAAAAAAAAAAAAAAAACCACCACCATCATTTTGCAAGTGTTACCACTATTGTGTGTTAATATTGTAGAAGTATTCCTAATTATGATTTCTTTGTATTCCTAATTGTAATAGCTTTGTATTTGAAAAATTATTGATTCATACTCTATATGTTATTATTTTGTATGCGATGACAACAGAATATGTTATCATGCTCCTTTTGTGAATCTCATTCATAATATAAAGTATAAATTTGTGATTTTGCTTTAATATGAAATATTAATTTCAAATATGTTATCACAATTTGATACAAACTATTGACAGTAAATCTGTGGATTAAGTAATGTCTTAGTAGGTATTGGGAAAATTTGAAACTAGTAACATGGAGGACTATTGTCATTGTTTATTTCAAAGCCAGTTAAAATTCTGCAAAGCAGTGTACATAAAAATAATTTCAAGAAATTTATAAAATACCGAGATTATGGTGTATAAACAACTTTAGATTCTTTGTTTAAGAAATTCTGCCAGTTTGTAATATATGCTTCATTCAAAGTAGCTAAGGGCTGTACCTGGCTAATAGTAGGCACCTAATATTTGTTGAAAAGGAATACTGAGTAGCTGGGACCTCCTGAGTAGCTGGGACCACACACATTTAACCTGTATTTATAAAATTACTGTTTAGAGAATAACATTTGATGGAATCATGCTTTTACTTTCTGCTTACGACTCAATTGTTTGTACTGACATTAACATCCCAAATCCTTAGCATGGCCTACAAGGCCCTGAGCAATGTGGCACCTGCTGAAGCCTGCTGCCTCATTTAATAACTCTTTGTCTCTTGCCCAGATCCAGCCACTCTAACATTTTTTAGCTCCTGGACCAAGACAAGCTCTTCCCAGAACCTGACCTTTGTACCTGTTCTTTATTCCTGGAGTATTTTTCCCCTGACAAATTACTTATCATCTATCATAATTCAGGTTAAATGGCACTAACTCAGGGAAGGCTTCCCTAACTGCCTCCCTTCTCCAACCAAATTAGGAACAATTATATGGCCACATAGTATCGAATCAAGTTTATAATTTTAAAATAATTGGGAGATTTTGTTGTTTAACACTTGTTTTCACTATAAGACTGTAATTACATGCAAGTAAGAACCATGCCTGTTTGTTCACTCCTGCCACAGTCAGAATAGTGCCTGGAATATGCAGTAAGGGCTGAACACACACTAAATAAATGAACAAGTGAATAAATGGATATTGTCTCATTTTTAGAACAGAGTACTAAATGGATCATGAACACTATCTGGTATGTCACGTAGGTAATTTACAAGGGCTACAATTTCAGCTCAGATTTACCTTTTCCTGGATACAGGTCTTGATAGGTCTCTTGATGTCATTTCACTTCAGATTCTTCTTTAGAAAACTTGGACAATAGCATTTGCTGTCTTGTCCAAATTGTTACTAGGAATCAAGAGAGATATCTGACGTGAAATGACATTGGAAAACATTAAACACGATTGAAATAATGCTAGCCAATATGGTTATTATTAGAAACCAATTACATTTTCAACTTAAAAATAGTAATACTTATTGCAGACTCAAATGTGCTTATTCTAAAACAAGTAAATGTTTGCCTATGGTCTGAGATTCTAATCCACGGAGTTCATTCTAATCCACATTCAACACTATCATGTACCAGTGGGCCTCATAACCCACCTAGCCCTGTGATTTTTCAGGTTCACTTTTCTAAACTTGTGAATTAAATATTTATTTTCTTAGTTCAGAAGAGGAAAAAAACTCTTGTAATTCTTGCCCATTTCAGGAGAAATCTTGCATATGAAAACAAGAGATAAATATACACAACTGAGGGCTGTGGTTTAAACAAAATCTTGAGAATGTTTTTTGACCTTATACATTTGTGCTTTAGTATAACAAAATGATATAGACAAAGGTAACTTTTAATAGAACCAGTCACTAAATTAAAAAAATGACAAATTCTTCTGCTTAGCTAAGCAACAGAGAAGGTAAAATACTAATTCAATTCATCAATTTAAGCAATACTCATTAAGAGCCAAGTATGTGCTTACTGAATAAGCTGCTAAGGTTTGGTGGTTACAGAGTGTGCGGTGAAATGATGTCTACATCACAGTCCAACATTCACAGAGTTTAAAAGCCTACCAAGAATCAAGACAGACACAAATACCTAACATAGACGTTTGTATATGATAAGAGAGCCAGAGTACAATTTAGGAGAAGAAATATTATGGAAGGAAGGTTCATTTCCATTAGACCAGAAAAGACAGCACATTTGAAGGCCTGAATAAGAAATATTCTGGATAAGATATTGTGGCTGCTACCAGAATGGCTCTTGATGATCTCTACCTCTTGGTATTTATACCCTTATATAATCTCTTTCCTATAGTGTAAGCTGGTCCCAGGTACTTGTTTCTATTGAATAGAATAGAACAAAAGAAATGAGATGCCACTTCTGAGATTAGATTATAAGATACTGTGAATTTCTTCTTGTGCCCTCTCCCTCTCTCTCTCTCTCTTGCCCTCTCATTTGAATGAAGCCAACTGGCATGCTGTCAGTGGCCCAGTGTAAGTCCTGTTACAAGAAATTGATGATTACCTGTAGCCAACCCTAAGTGAAGAACTGAGGTCCTCAGTCCTACAAATGGAGAGAAACTGAATCTAGCTAAGAACCATGTGAGTGAGCTGGGAAGAAGATCCACCCTCAGTTGAAATTTAAGATGACATATTGAGCAGACATACTGAGACACACTGAAAGTAAGAGAGCAGGAGGAAACAAAACCAGGGTCATACAAAGAACACAACTGATTTTGAGATTCTCACATAAGTATTACACCTTCAGTGAGCACGTGTACTAGAAATTTAAAAAATAAATAAAATAAACCTTCAAAGTGAGCTAGCAAATAAATTTCCCTATGGTCTCAGCTCTGAGTGGAGAGAGAAAATGTTCCCTGTGGAGTTTATAGCCAGAATCCAGCTCTCAAACAGGTTTCAGCCTGAACTCACACAATCTGTGTGGCTTCCAAATTTGCAAGCTGAGAATTTAATTCAAAGTGGTCTCAGGTTGATAGCAGTCCAAAATGCTAGGTAGGAAAAAAAATCCTCTCTGGACAAATAAATCATCAAAGCAAGCTCATAAGAGCAGGTTTCAAAGGTCATGAGCTTCTAACACACACACAAAAATCACACACACAAAATGGGGGTAGCAGCAACATGGGTAGCGTATTCAAACTTGAAAAGACTTTAAATATTTGTATTATTAGATGTAGATTATGAAACACATATTTTAATGTGGTTAATTTTTTTAAGGAATCAAAACTATGAGTAAAGACCAAGAAAATTGTGCTGGATGGCCACTTCCACCATGGCTCCCCTCCTATTTAAGTCTGGGTACTGTGTCACCCGAAGTCTTCAGGCACATTGTTCCAGGTCTGGGTTTGCCTATGAAAGAAACTCATGAGAGCTGGAAATGAGGAGTGAAGAGGAGGTCTTCAAATAAAGCAGGCTTAAGGATTAGACATAGCAGGTTTGACAGATGTGATGGCTTGCAGAATCCTTTATGAGCTCCCACTGTCCATCTGGATAAGATTTACAGACCTTTCAGAAATTCCTATAAGCTTGGGTTCTGTGCCCACACTCTAGACTGTCAGGCTAAGATCTCTGATATAAAATAGACCTCTTCTGATTTTGTCTAGCTGCTTTTCTAATATCTATTCACCAAGCTCTTCCAATAATAGCATAAGGCCCTAATTAATATTAAACTTTTATCATTATAATACATAGGATGTCTTCTGTTTTCCTGATCAAATTCTGACTACTATTAAAATATAAAGAATTGTCCAGAAATATATAAAAAAAGAATCACACATTGATCTTCTTTAAATGAAAATATAACAATTGTATGGACTAGGATGATTACAGTTGTTCAGTTCTGACTGTTATTTGAAGAAAAAAGCAATAAGAAGCCTCAGCAACTTAACAGAAGGAGCTGCCATTTACTAGGAGAAAAGATTGTGGATGAGAGTGTAGCAAAGGTCAGAATTCTGTGAAGCTTGAGATGTTTATTATAATGAATTATCTTTTATACTCACTACAATTTCCTAACAATTTTGGGGTTTATATTTTTGAAAGAGATATACCTTTAATTTTCTTTCTTTGTACTATTGTTAGGTAACTTTGATGTGCAGATTATACTACAGTGAAAGTTGCCAATGACAAGGCAAAGTCACTTACATCAGACCCAAAGCAAAGTGGAGCCGGGTCATGAAAAAGGGGATCTTGTGTGTCTGTCCACGATAAGCACTATCACAAGGACTTTCTATAAACTCACAAGAAATTTCTGCCCACCCAGCACACTCTGTTTGTCCAGCTCATCCTGTAGGTGTCTCTATAATAGGACCTATCATAAAAAATTCCTCAAGACTGCAGCATTTCAGATAAGCCACCCTCACAAGAACACTTGCCTAGCAATGGCTGTTTCTGCCAGTAAGTTAACACCAGCTCCTGCATCAGACCCTGTGACCAATGATGTTTGTTTCAAAACAGCTTGCATGGACTTCTTTTTGTCTTTACATATTTTCCTTACCTCAACCTCTTGGGATGCACCTATGATTGATCATAGCACAAATATCTCAGATTATAATCCTTGTTTATTTCCAAATAAATTTATTTCTTTGGAGATCCACTTTTTCTGTTATTATACATTGACACTGTTATTATGAAATTGGTTGGGTGATGTGTCTTATTTTCTTGTCTCCAGAAGAATTTCTGTAACAGTGCAATTAAACGTTCTTTGCATGTTTGCTAGAACTCACCTGTAAAATTGTCTGAGCAACCAAAGCCTGGTTTTTGTGTTTAGTTTTTCTTTTGTGATTGGGGAGGGGGGTTTATCGTACTGATTCAAGGTGTGAAGGTAACATCATTTTGATTTTATACATCTTCTTCAGTCCATTTAAGCATGTTACATAGCGTTGTTTGTTCTTTTCATGATATTCTTTACAGTAGTCTCCTAAATGTTCCCTCTGCTTCTGCCATGAGCCCCTACAATCAACTCAGAAGCTATAGAGTTTGTTTAAAACATGTAACATATTATGCCACCTTTCTTACTGTAAAACATCCCATGGTTTCTCGTAGTATTTATAGTAAAAGTGAAATTTTTATGATGGCTTGAGAAACTTTTCCCATTAGATGCCCAAGTGCTGGTCTGGTCTGATCTTCTCATCTTCCCTTGGGTGATTCTGTGGCAGTCACACTAGCCTCCTTGCTGCTCCACAAAAACTCCAGCATGATCCTACTTCAGGATATTTGCCATTGTTACTGCATCTGCCTGGAACCTTTTCTCCCATATAAACATAGAGATTGCTCTTGCCTGTCCTTCAAGTCTATTCTTAAATGTCCCATTCTCTGTGAAGCTTTCCTGCCCACCCTATTTAAATTACAGACTTCACTCCCAATTCCCCATCTACTTTAAGAGTCTTCATTTATCATTCCTTGACAAACTGTAAATATACATGTTCACTTTTTTATCGTCTGTCTCCAAATACTGGCATGTTAAGTTCTGTAATGTAAGATATTTCTGTTTGGTTCACTGGTGTATTCTTAAAGCATGTTACATACTAGGTATACTCAATGAATATTTGTTGAATAAATATCACATTGGGCTTATTCCAGAAATTCAAGCTTGTTTCAATAGTTAGAGCAATCTACAAATGTAATTCATTACATTAACTAATTAAAGGAGCTAAATCACATCACCACCACAATAATGCAGAAAACCACATTTGATACAACTCAATATTCATGTCTGCCTAACAAACATCTCATGATACTAGGAAAAGAGGAAGGGATATATTATTTTCATGTATAAAGCACTAACCATTGTAGCATGCGAATATACTCAAAATTCAATGAAATTCCTATCAAAATCTTAGCATTCCTCTTAGTCCTCAACAAAGCATTTCTAAAATGTGCATAGAAGACCAAAGGGTCAAAAGAGTCAACTTCTGAAGAAGCGCAAAAAGACAGTTGAGGAAATCTTAAAACATGTTATTGAGCTTAAAGTTGCAAAAATAAACTCATGTACCATAATTCATGAGTAGAAAAATAGACTAGTGGAATAACATAAAAATAAAAACAATGCTTACATAAAATGTTGTAACTGATTTGGATGTCATTAGAAATCAGTAAGTAAATAGATGGACAATGTAATGAAAGATGCTAGGCAAATAATGTGGTAGGGAGAATAATGGCCCTCAAAGATGCCCATGCCTAACCCTGGAACCTGTGAATATGTTACACTGAATGCAATAAAGGCTTATCAGATGTGATTAAGGATGCAAACCGAGATGGAGAGATCTTCCTGGGTTACCCAGATGGGCCCAGTCTAATCACATGAGTTCTTAAAAATGGAGAACCTTTCTTAGCTGAGTCCAGAGAGAGATGTGACAATGAAAGAATGGTCAGAGAAATGTGACATTGCCAGCTTTAAAAAGAGAGAGGAGAGGCAATGAGAAAAGGAATGCTGATGTTCTCTAGAAGATAGAAAAGGCCAGGATATGGATTCTACCCTAGCCACCATAAAGAAACATGCCTGTCGACAACTTGATTTTAGTTCACTAAAATTCATGCCTGATTTCTGACTTGTGTACACTGTAAGATGACAAGTTTGTGTTATTTTAGGTCACTTAGTTTGTAGAAATTTATTACAGCAGTAATAGAACAAGTGGTTATCCATATGAGGCAAATTAGATTGGATACCTATCTCCAATAGAAATCAATTCAAGGTGAATTCCAGGAAAATACTTAAAACATTTAGATTAAAAATAAATGAGAATTTTTGTTACTTTTGGTAGGTCATAGGACCAAGAAAAACAAACATTAAGGAGGAAAAATGAACATATGACTACATCAAAATATAAAGCTTCTCTATTTGGAAGATATCATAAGGTGACAAATCATAAACTGTAATATTTACAACATATATATAAGTGAATAAATATACATTTAGAATATATATGAACTCCCAAAAATCAACAGGAAAAATAAGACATAGAACAAGCAAAATGCATAAACAAAAGAAGGCAAAACAAAAATAATGACTCATAATTATATGAAAAGAAGCTCATCTTCATAGATGAGCAGATAAATGCAAATTAAAACCACCCTGAGATGCTTTTTACATCCATGAGCCTGATAAAAGTTAGAGTCTAAAAGTAATAATTAACAAAGATGGGAAGTAACAGAAAATCTTGTCCATTACTGGTTAAAGTATAAACTGATACAGCTACTTTATAGAATATTACATTATAGAATAAAGTTGTGAGTATGTATATGCAGTGACTCAGCATATTCATTGCTAGTATGTACTCAAGAGAAACTTACAGGAGTGGACTAGGAAGTAAATACAAAATGATTACAACATTGTTTGTTATATCAAAAAATAAAAAAGACACCCAATTTTCCAGCAAAAAAATAAGTAAAAATAAATCCTGGTGTATTCTAACAATGGAATAATATATAGCCATTAAAATAAATCAACTATTACTGTACATATGAATGTAAGTATCAGCAAAACATATTGTTTAGTGAAAAACTAAGAAGCTGAAGAAGAATATATACAATATGGTTACATTTATATGAAGTCCAAAAACTTGCAAAATAAAGAAATGTATTTAGAAATAGATTCACATGTGAGAAAACTAGAAGAAAATTAATGAAAGGATAAGAGGGATAGCAGTAATTCTGAGTAGTTGAGGGAATTTCAATTGGAAAAAAATAATATCATATTCTTTAAGTCAGGTAGTGGGTATTAGCATTTGTTTTACCATCGTTCTTTATTCTTATAGCTACACTATATATTTTCAATGTATTTAATGTATTTTTTGCATAATTAAATATTATGCAATAAAAATGAGAAAACAAAAAAGTAGAAAATGATAAATTACAATAAAGAAATGGAGAAAAAATTATAATCTAGTTGAGTAATGGTATATTACATAGCTATTTTCTTAAGTAGATGTATGTACATGATGTATGCACGATTGTACATACATGTTCTTAATTATATATAAATATATATGTACATATTTTTAATATAAAATACTAAACAAAGTACACCAAAATATTAGCTCCTATGTTAGTGAGATAATGTTTTGTTTTTTTGTATTTTAAGTTTTACATAGTAGGTGTATTTTTCTGTTTTCATACTGCTATAAAGAACTGCCCAAGACTGGGTAATTTATAAAGGAAAGAAGTTTAATTGGCTCACAGTTCAGCACAGCTTGGGAGGCCTCAGGAAATCTACAATCATGGCGGAAGACAAAGAGGAAGCAAGCCAGCTTCTTCGCAAGGCAGCATGAAGAAGTGCCGAGCAAAGGGGAAAGAATCCCTTATAAAACCATCAAATCTCGTGAGAACTCACTATCACAAGAACAGCACAGGGGAAACTGCCCCCATGATTCAATTACCTCCACCTGGTCTCTCCCTTGACCTGTGGGGATTATGGGGACTATGGGGATTACAATTCAAGATGAGATTCAGGTGGGGATACAAAGCCTAACCATATCAGTAGGCATGTATTGAATTTTAAACTCAGAGAAAAATACTAGTGTTTTTATAGGATTCTTACTAAAGAAAAACCAGAAAGTAATAAACCATCTACGCTAAGACATAAAATTCAGTTGTTTAGTTACAAGATAGAATGTGGCCTTGTAAGAAAGCAAATTAACTTCTAACATACAAAGCCTTAGAGAAGATTCAAGTGACTGACGGATCTTAAACAGAGCTATTATTACAACTCGAACTGCAGTAAAATATCCTCAGCAACGTAGATGTGTGTGTTTCACTAGTCAGAGCAATACAAATTTAATGAAACTCCATTGGTGGTGTTTTTAATCAGACAATTTCTGAAGATGTCCTGGCTTATTCACAGATGCAAGCCAAATCTCTAGAAGAGTACCATAATAAGAAAAAAAAGAATACAGGCAATTGAGAGCTGTTCCAAAGTTTAGGGAGTTTTTGTAAGGAATTAATAAATAAAAATGTTCTTGAAAGAGAGAAATTAATATGCAGTTCATACTGCCAGAATTGCAGGCAATTTATCAAAGTCCCCTAATCCTCCAAAATCGCTATTTTTTTTTGACACACACTTTACAGTACAGAAGAAAATGTCTCCGGCAATAAATCACAAAGTTAAAATTACCTAGTCTACAATTAACTACACAGTGATGGTAAATCATTTTCTACCAAAAGAAAGAAATGTCTTGTCTATTCAGGTTCTGCTCTACTTAAAACTTTTCCTTGTTGGCGAGCAAGTGGTTAGAAAATCATATTTTATACGTACATTCAGCTTAACTATCATTCAGCTCAGGAAGATGACTCAGGGCCTTATCCATACCTTCAAGTTTGCTCTTAGCAAGTAATTGTTTCAGTATCTATATCAAAAATGGCTTAAGCCTGCAACATGTTTCTGAATGATTAACAAGGTGATAGTCAGTTCTTCATTGAATCCTGGATGCTTTATTTTTCTTAATAAGAGGAATTCATATGGATCAGCTAGAAAAAAATTAAGAGGAAAATCACAAGGAAAGTTATATATTATATATCTATTATATATAATATTATATATCTATTATATATAATATTATATATCTATTATATATTATATATTGTATATCTATTACATATATAATATTATATATGTATTATATATATTATATATTTATTATATATATAATATTATATATTATATATCATTTCCAAATTCCCCAGCGTTCATATTTGTCAGTGCAAGTAAAGAGCCTTACTGCTGATGAGGTTTGAGGTATGACCATTTGGCCAGAATTTATGAACTCTACATGTCGCTTGATGTGTGCCTCAGGGTATACTTTTTTTTTTTTTGAGACGGAGTCTTGCTCTGTCGCCCAGGCTGGAGTGCAGCGGTGCGATCTCAGCTCACCGCAAGCTCCGTCTCCCGGGTTCACGCCATTCTCCTGCCTGAGCCTCCTGAGTAGCTGGGACTACAGGCGCCCGCCACTATGCCCTGCTAATTTTTTGTATTTTTAGTACAGACGGGGTTTCACCGTGTTAGCCAGGATGGTCTCGATCTCCTGACCTCGTGATCCACCCGCCTCGGCCTCCCAAAGTGCTGGAATTACAGGTGTGAGCCACCACGCCCGGCCAGGGTACACTTTTAAGCAGAGACACTACTTTGAAGGTCATAAAAAATATAATAAGAGATAAGGCTAATTTCCTTTAATAATAATAAAATCCTTTAATAAAAATATAAAGGAATAATATAATAATTTTCTTTAATAAAATATAATAAGAGATAAGGCTAATTTCCTTTAATAAAATATAGTAACTACATACCAACAGAATTCCAAAAAAAGAAATGGAGAGGAAGGGAGCATGGGTCATTAATCTTGTCAAAAATATAAAATTATATACGAGGAATTCCTAGAAACTGTTTTCCTTGTCTGCGGCCATTGTGCTGCTGCTACACAACTACCGCAAGCAGCCCTTCACGCCCTCCTCCCAGTACAAAGCTAATTGACTTGTGAGAAATGTTAAGCTTGGAAGAGTCAGCATCGCTGCACTTATTTTTTATTCTACTCTGACATTAGAATAATCCTTGAGTGGGGGAAAGGTTAAAAACCCCCCTGGATAAGTGTTACTAATTAATATTGATTGTTTTAAACAATGTTTGGATAATTTTTCCTTGTCCCTTGACATAAACTTGATAAATAACTGAGAAGTGAGAAGGAGATTAGTGGGTTGATTAAATTCCATTCAGGTACTTAAAGTTAGCTCCAAAAATTTAGCTATTTGTAAATTGTCATGCATTGTTAATGTATAAGAGATGTAGATTTCATTTATCTTTGGTGGAGCGAGATGAAGCAGTGAATCATTGAAGACTGAAAGAAAGAAAAAGGTCTTTTCCCTTTTCTTTAAGAAGCATCATTAGTTAAAAACATGTTAGTTGATACCAGAGAACTATATTTAAAGGGACAGCAATAAGCAAATTGATTACTCTGGTGATTATTGGAGTGACATTGCCTTTTAGTTGTACTTTCACAAAAATTCACAATATTTGCCAAAGTCAAGTTATCCATTACACTATTAATTTGTCATTCTTTTGTTTATATAGTCAATATCTCTATCTCAATTGGATCTATCTCAACTGCTTCTAAACAAGCCACCATAGTCTCTCCCATTTCAACAATCTCTTCCAAGTACCACTTCATTTCTTCTTTTCATATTTTTGAAAACTTTTGAAAAACTACCTATTTTCCTCCTCCATTTCTTGTTCATTCCATTCTAGTGGACATGGAATCTGTTCCTCCTCCAAAACGGAATTTGGTAACCCTTAAATTACTCAACCCAAAACAATATGTTGTCTTTATCTTTACCTCTCTGTGGCATTTAATGATAAGACCACTACTTTCTTCTCTTTTACCCTTCTTTCTTGAATTCAGTCAAACAACATACTTACATTTTTCATCTTATTCTCCATCTTAGAAACCACCTCAGCTTTCTCCATTCAGCTATAAAATTGTGCTTTTCCTCAAAGATTAATCTGCCTCTCCTCTCACTCTATACTATCTCTGTTAGCTAATTTTATTTGTGCACATTGCTTATACTGGGCATTATATACACATATGCATGTGTGTACATGTGCACACACACACTGTATGGGGACATGTATATATATATATGTGTGTGTGTATATATATAGTATATATATAAATTACAATAACATAAAGGTGGCATTTTAAATTAGTGGAAATTACCCTGATTTGATCACTACACATTCTATACATGTAAAGAAAATATCACTCTGTATCCCAAGAATATGTACAATTATGGTTTGTCAAATGAAAAAGTTCATACATTGAACAATTTTAGATAAATATCAAACTTTCTCTGAAACTGTAACTGTAAAATGTAAAAAACAGTAATTGCTATATTGCTTATTTCTGAGTAGAAGAATATGAGACATTTCCCTAATCATTATGTGTAATTACAATTACATATATATATGTAATTGTAATTACACATAATGATTAGGGAAATGTCTCATATTCTATATATATAGACAGAAAGAGAGAAAATATATGAGGGAGAGAAGGAATCTTTCCATCTCCTTTGAGTTCCACGGTGTTGAGAGTCAGGACAACTGCAATTGCTTCATCATGCCTGCTTGCAATTATAGGGCTTTTGAACCATTTGTTCCCTCCTTAGATATCCTCATTTTTTTCAGATTCTTGCTTAGAAGTCACTCCTCCGTGGACCTCCTCTGACATATTAAACATTGCAGTCCATTATAAGCTGCAAGAGGACAGGGATTTTTGCCTGTTTTATTCCCTACTGTATCACCAGGGGCTACAGCAATATCTGACAAACAGTGGGCATGTAATGAATATTTGTTAAGTGAAGTAATAAATTCAATCAAATCACATCACCTGTTTAAAGCACTTCATTGGCTTCACATTGCACTTAGAATAAAGAGAAATTCTTTTTATACAATATACAATATATTTTATACAATATAAGTTCCTGCAGAATGCAGACACTTTCTACTTCTCCAGCCTCTTTTCGACTCCTCTCCTACTAGCTTCTGTATTTAAGCCACATTAGACCTTTCTTCAGTTTTTTATATAGACTTTGTCGCATCACACCTCAGAGATTCTGTACATGTTCTTCGTCCTGCCTAGAAAGGATCGTCCCTCCACTTTCGCCAACTAATCCCTGCTCAACTTTTCATCTCAGCAGGAGGCCCATTCTCTTTGGCAATCCTCTGGCCTCCAGCCCATTTATTATATGCTCACATGTCAACATGTACTTCGTACAGCATGTAACACAATTGCACTTTTATATTTTAACAAATTATATTTCCCATATTGAACTGTAAGTCTCCTGAAAGCAGGAATTTTGTTCTTGCTCATCATCAACTTTTTCAACATCCAGTGCACCATTTAGAACTTAGATGTAGTCAATACAGGTTTGTGGAATGAAAGAGGAAAAGAAAGAATTAATATTCCTTTAAATTAGGATGGCAAAGATCGTATATAGAAAATTGGCTAAGTTGTGGTCCATTCATGTTTGCTCCCAATTAAGGAGCACAGCTATGAAAAGGAAGCCTTCAAATTAATAACCAATAGATTTTTTTAAAAAGAAAACTGGCCAGGTACTGTGGCTTATGTCTGTAATATCAGCATGTTGGGAGGCCAAGGCAGGATTACTTGAGCCCAGAAATTCCAGACCAGCCTGAGAATTTGGCAAAACTCTGTCTCTACAAAAAATACAAAAATTAGCCAAGTTTGGTGGCATGTGCCTGTAGTACCAGCTACTTGGGAGGCTGAGGTGGAAGAATAGCTTGAGTCTGGGAGGTCAAGGCTGCAATGAGCTGTGATTGCACCACTGCACTCAAGCCTGGGTGGTAGAGTAAGACCCTGTCTCAAAAAAAAAAAAAAAAAGAAAAATCACTAAGCAAAATAAGACATGTAAAGGATCATGTCAAAGGTAAGAAAAATTAGGGGAACATTAAAAGCTTTCTTCCCAAGCCACTAAATCAACTTGACTAACAAAATTACCACTTGATTTAGTATTAGAAAATTACATTACATATCAAACATAAACCCATTAATCAAATACTAAAGAAACTTCTGAGTTAAATGGTATAATGTTAGCTTATGCCAGAGCTGACCTTGAAAGATTGTTCAAATATGGCTCAGTGTGATTGAAAGTTCTGTGTGAATACGTTTTTGGAAAGATCCAACAGCAACACCTTAGTGTATGTTTTTGAAATAAAATGTATCTGAGTAGCAGCAAAGTTATTCTCAAATTTCCATTTTATAGCTGGAGATGTTATACCGTGACGTATATGATAGGACCCAATATGGATCAATCCCTTTTAGAAGTCAATCAGGAAGAGGGGAGCAGTTAAAACAGTTGCTTGGTTTACAAACATTAGAACAATTTTCTTATTCACACCATCTGATTATTGTATTTTATTTTTTCCCCAATGTTTAGACTACACAATGAGTTAAGAATGATAAAAATAAGCTCACCAACATACTATGTACATATTTACCAAAATCTGTGCATGCTTATACATATAAACACAGCTGATAATTTATTAGTTAGGCTCATTTGTAATTTTTGTCACTATAGACCAGTTTTTTATTTAAATTGATGATTAGTATACATTTTAAATGATTAGTCAAAATAAAAAATCTAAAATGTGCTCTAAATACCTCTTAGGTCAGAAAAAAAAAGTCAAAAGCTAGAGTATAGAGAAATTAAGAAACGCCCTAAATTTCTAATCTGACAAAAATTCATACAAGATTTAAATATTTTAATGGAAAATAGAACAGAACTAATTATTGAAGAAA
The DNA here is from genome assembly GCF_000001405.40 of Homo sapiens. Taxonomy (NCBI): domain Eukaryota; kingdom Metazoa; phylum Chordata; class Mammalia; order Primates; family Hominidae; genus Homo; species Homo sapiens. The sequence continues at coordinate 90,181,155 of NC_000016.10, read as the reverse complement.
TTATAGAAAGGAAACAAAATAAACAGATTATATGGAGGATTTTTAGAAGATAAGTAAATAATATACTAGGAAAAAACAAGGGAAATATAATTGATAAATAAATACAGGTAAGAGTTCTTTTGAAATAATGATAAAATAGAAAATCTCTGTCAAAACTAAAAGGAAAGATGCATAAATATATAAATAAATGATAAAAAATGTTGCATACATATATGACTTTTTCAGAATCAAAAAATTTAAATTTCTGTAATAAAATTTAAATGTTTATAAATTTAAAAAACTAGAAGAAAGAATGTTGACTGTTCACAATACAAATAAATGACAAATATTTGAGGTGATGGATATGCTAATTATCCTTATTTGATCATTGGGCATTGTATACATGTATCAAAATATCACTCTGTATCCCATGAATATGTACAATTATTTGTCTCAAAAACAAACAAAAAAAAGATAATGGGAGAATGTTGAAAACTCAGAGAGAAGAGCAACTCTCACAGATAGGGATCCAGATAACATTAGCAGCTGATTTCTCGGCAGAAACCTTGAAGGCCAGTAGGCAGTGGATTATATATTTAAAATAATGAAGAAACCTGTCAATTGAGAAATATATAGCTGGAAAACTTATCCTTCAAAAATGAAGGAGAAATTAAGACATTTCCGGATTTTTTTTTTAAAACTGAAAAAAATCCATTTATCCCTGAATTTGCCATTCAGGAAGTGTTAAGTCCTTCAGGTTGAAATAAATGAACTCTAGGCAATAACTATATAAGTAAATAAGCAAGCTGTATGAATATACAAAGCTCTCTGGTAAAGGTAAATACATAAACAAACATAAAAACAGTCCTATTGTAATTTTGGTTTGTAACTCTGCTTTTTATTTTCTACATAATTTAAAAGGCAAATGCATAAAATGTAATTGTAAATCTGTTAGCTGGTATACAATGAATAAAGATATAATTTGTCACATCAATAACATAAAAAGAGTAGAGCTATATATATATAGCAGTAGAATTTTGGTATGTGATTGAACTTAAGTTGAAATAAATTCAAATTAAAATGTTATAACTCTAGGATGTTATATGTAATTCTCATAGTAACCAAAAATGAAATATACATAGAATATAAACAAAAGGAAATGAGACTAGAAACAAAATGTGTCACTACAAAAAAATCAACTAAAGATAAAAAAGAAATAATTGAGAAAATGATTGGCAAAAATCAGTAACTCTTACGTATTAAAACTTTCCATGCTACATAAATCTGAAAACTCTATTTCACATAAAACTGGAGCTGAAAGAAACAAATATTTACCTATAAAGTTAAAAGTTATATAGGGAACAAACACTAATTTTTTTTAGAAAAAATTATAAAAAGAGTAAAAATATGCCTTATACTACCGTAATTTCATGTTTTACAGCTCTGGGAAAATAGAAAATAAAATGTTCTGTTAGCATGAATCCCTCTGTGCCCCCAAAAAACCCTATGGATTGCATCATTATTACCTAAAAAGTCTATTCTCAAATGCAGCAGAGTGATATTTTTTACAAGGTAGATATTAATTTTAGATATGGAATAATATTGGTGATTTCAATTTTATAACACTGGGTTAAGATGAAAGAATGAGAAGACAAAGGTCCCTCAGCAATATAACTCACAAACATGTTCAGAAGCAGTAAGAAGTTACATTAATTATCTTTTGAAAGTCGATAATCTACATCTTTAATGTATGCATATAGCATAGCCAATGTACTATCGCTGGGTCCATTTATTCAATGAATAATTGCCGCTATGTGTCAGACATTTTTCTAGGCCTAGGAATGGATACATAAGTGAACAAAGCAAAGATTCTGGTTCTTGTAGAGTTTCCATTAAAAGACAATTTAGTAAAACTTTTCTTCCCCCAAATTATAAAATCTGTAAGATGATTTAACAACATGTGTAAAAGTCATTGTGGGCCAGGCACGGTGGCTCATACCAGGTGTGGTGACTCATAGCACTCTGTCACCCAGGCTGGAGTGCAGTGGCACAATCTCTGCTCACTGCAACCTCTGCCTCCTGGGTACAAGCGATTCTCCTGCCCCAGCTTTCTGAGTAGCAAGGACTACAGGTGCACACCATCACGCCTGGCTAATTTTTGTACTATTAGTACAGACGGAGTTTCACCATGTTGGCCAGGCTGGTCTCAAACTCCTGACCTCAAATGATCCGCCCACCTCGGCCTCCCAAAGTGCTGGAATTACAGATGTGAGCCACAATGCCCGGCCTTATTTTCTACAACTTTGGTAACTTTAGCATATACCCCAAATCTGTAAGACATAATATTATAATTCAAATGCAACTCATGGCTTCTCTTTGTACTCTTTCTCTAGCTTTTGAATTATTTATTCTAATACCAGTTTTAATTCTGACACAAAATCATGGGAGTTCTAATCAAAATCCAAACTTTTATCATAAAAACTATGAAGAAATTATGAGTAGAATTTAAAAAGGAAAATAGGCCTATTAATTAGATTTGTCTTTGTAGCATTTAACTCTATAATAAATAATATTTTATGCCTATGAGTCCCCAACAAAGCCTCCAGCTTCTATTTAGATATAAACTGTAAAAGTCACTACTGGATCCACAAGCAAGACTATGGTAAATAAATTTCTCCACCTAACCAGCTTCTTTTACATGATGTTACATGTTTCTTTTGTTTTTTCATTTTGGCAAATATTGATTGTCATCTTCGTGTTTGTCTATGTCCTAAGTGCTGGGATACAGAATCTGAAAAGATGGACACAGGACCTGCCTTCAAGTTCACCCCCTTTTTTTTTTTTTTTTGAGATGCAGTTTTGCTCTTGTCACCCAGGCTGGAGTGTAATGGTGAGATCTCTGCTCACTGCAACCTCCACCTCCAGGGTTCAAGTGATTCTCCTGCCTCAGCCTCCCAAGTAGCTGGGATTACAGGTCCCAGCCACCACGCCTAGCTAATTTTTGTATTTTTAGTAGAGACAGCGTTTCATCATGTTGGTCAGGCTGGTCTCGAACTCCTAACCTCAGGTAGTCGACCCACCTCGGCCTCCCACAGTGCTGAGATTACAGGCATGAGCCATCACGCCCTGCTAGGAGTTCACGCTTTAGTTGGGGAAAATATACAATAAGCAAGCCAATTTTTAAAAAGAGAACTGCAATTAGAGTTAAATGCTACAAAGACAATCTCACAGGAAGATGGGATGTAGAATGATAAGGCTCTCAGAATAGTAAGAGAAACTATTGCTTCTTACGATGTTTGTCTTTCTTTGTATCGGTGCTCAGCTGAGTCTGCAGTGCTTCAGAGGAAGCTTTCATTTTATAAAAATCTATGATTTCTCCTTCCAGTTGTTTTTTCTCTTCCTCGAGCTTCCTTATCTCCTCCTGTTGAATCATTTTAAGATGCTCGAACTTGTCCTGCAGCTGTGAAACCAATGTGCAGTTGTGACACCAAAGCAGTGTGGCTGAACACCTAAAAGAATATGCTTTTTTTCTGATTATCAAACAAACCCAAATCATCACAGTAGACCACGATCTTAATAACAATCTCAAAAACTCAGGAGTAAACACTCAGATATGGAATTTTTCTTTTCTTTCTTTTTTCCTTTTATAAGATGGAGTCTCACTCTGTTGCCCAGGCTGGAGTGCACTGGTGCGATCTCAGCTCACTGCAACCTCCATCTCCCAGTTCAAGTGATTCTCCTGCCTCAGCCTCTTGAGTAGCTGGGACTATAGGCATGCACCACCACTACAGGCGTGTGCCACCACACCTGGCTAATTTTTGTATTTTTAGTAGAGATGGGGTTTCACCATGATGGCCAGGCTGGTCTCGAACTCCTGACCTCAGGTGATCCTCCCGCTTTGGCCTCCCAAAGACTTTCTTTTTTTTTTTAATATAGAGACAAGTTCTCAGTACGTTGCCCAGGCTGGTCTCAAACTCCTGAGCTCAAGTGATCCTCCCACCTCAGCTTCCCAAAGTGCTGGGACTGACTGGATGCAGTGGCTCATGCTTGTAAACTCAGCACTTTGGGAGGCCAAGGTGGGAGGATCGCTTGAGCCCAGGAGTTCAAGACCAGACTGGGTGATATAACACAATAGTCAACTTCAACAGGAGAGAGAATCTGTAAACTTGAATATAGATCTTCCGAAATTATCCAGTCAGAGGACAGAGAAAAAAAGAATAAAAGAGAGAAAAGAAGGCTGGGTGTGGTGGCTCAAGCCTGTAATCCCAACACTTTGGGAGGCCGAGGCAGGCAGATTAAGAGGTCAGGAGTTCAAGACCAGCCTGTCCAACATGACAAAGCCCCATCTCTACTAAAAATACAAAAATTAGCCGGGTGTGGTGGCACACACCTGTAGTCCCAGCTACTTGGGAGGCTGAGGCAGGAGAATCGCTTGAACCCAGGAGGCGGAGGTTGGAGTGCAATGTGAGCCGAGACCACACATTACACTCCAGCCTGGGTGACAGAGCATGACTCTGTCTCAAAAAGAAAAAAAAAAGAGACAGAGAAAAGAAAGCCAATAAGACACCATTAAGCAAACCATTGTCAGGTTATGGGAGTTTGAGAAGGAAAGTAGAGAAAGGAGAATAAAGCTTATTTAAAGAATGGCTGACAACTGCCTAAATCATGGGAAAGATTTAGACATCTAAATCCATGAAGCTTAAAGATTCCTAAAGAGGTTCAAACCAAATAGATACTCACCAAGTCACAATATAATCAAATAGTCAAAAGTTAAAGAAACTTTGCAGGTCAGGACAGAATCGAATAATACATTCAAAGTGCTGAAAGAAAAAAACTGCCAGCAACTAATACTATGTCTGACAAAGCTGTCCTTCAGAAAGGAAAAAGAAATAATGTGTTTCCTCGACAAACAAAGCTGAGGGCATTCAGGACCACTAGGTCTACCTTAAAAAAATGCTTAACGGAGTTTTTCAAGTAAAAATGAATGAAGTTGGGAGCGGTGGCTCATGCCTGTAATCCCATTTTGGGAGGCTGAGGTGGGTGGATCACCTGAGGTCGGGAGGTCAAGACCAGCCTGGCCAACATGGCAAAACCCCACCTCCAGTAAAAATACAAAAAATTAGCCAGGTATGAAGGCCACTGAGATCGTGCCACTGCACTCCAGCCTGGGTGACAAGAGTCAAACTACATTTCAAAAACAAAAAACAAAACAAACAAAAAAAACAAAACTTGAGGCCTGGCCTTCTGCTCCTCTCCAACCTCCCCTTCTCTGGGCCCAAGCCACCTTGGCTGAGGAGGGGGCGAGGAGGTGTGAGCCCCTGCCAGGAACCCCCTGCCCGGACCAAGTGCTCGGCCCCCAGGCCTGCATTCAGTGAGGCCTCCCGTGGCGTCAGCATGTTCGTGTGGAGGAATGTGGAAGGTCACTCTGCGGCCGTGTTCTCCTGGTACTCCATCCCCTTCCTGACCCCTCCCTGCAGCCACACGAGGCCCAGCAACCTGCCAGTCACTCAGTGGCCTCCAACCAGAGAAAACAACCTGCCAAGTTGGCAGCCGTTGCTCATGAGCGTCCACCAGGTGGGACAGGGAGTGTTGACCCTGGGCGGCCCCCTGGAGCCACCTGCCCTGAAAGCCCAGGGCCCGCAACCCCACACACTTTGGGGGTGGTGGAACCTGGTAAAAGCTCACCTCCCACCATGGAGGAGGAGCCCTGGGCCCCTCAGGGGAGTCCCTGCTGGACAGTGAGACAGAGAATGACCATGATGATGCTTTCCTCTCCATCATGTCTCCTGACACCCAGTTGCCTCTACCACTCAGATGATGTCAGGCCCAGTCCCTCAGTGCCCTGAGCAAGGAACAGGACTCATCTTCTGAGAAGGATGGACGCAGCCCCAACAAATCGGACAAGGACCACATCCGGTGGCCCATGAGTGGCGCTCATGATCTTCAGCAGGCGGCACCAGGCCCTGGCGGGGCGCACCAGGGTCACCCCAACCAGGATAACCGGACCGTCAGCCAGATGCTGAGCGAGCGGTGGTACACCCTGGGGCCCAATGAGATGCAGAAATACGACCTGGCCTTCCAGGTGAAGGTGGCCCACTTGCAACAAGGACCGAAAGAAGTCCAGCTCAGAGGCCAAGCCCACAAGCCAGGGGCTAGCAGGAGTGTAACAAGGGCTCGTGGGAGCGGAGCATATCAGAGACGGGCACTGCCACTGCCCCTGGGGTGTCCTCTGAACTCCTGTCAGTTGCAGCCCAAACACTCCAGAGCTCGGATACCAAGGAGCAGCTTCTGTGGGGCAGAACGGCTGCACACAGTCAGGGAACCTGGCTCAGCCTGGCCCAAGCCTTCTCCCACAGCGGGGTACACAGCCTGGACGGCAGGGAAATAGACCGTCAGGCACTACGGGAACTGACACAGGTGGTGTCTGGCACTGCATCATACTCTGGCCCAAAGCCTTCTACTCAGCATGGAGCTCCAGGCCACTTTGCAGCCCCTGGTGAGGGAGGTGACCCGTGGGCAGCCCTGCTGCCGCCCACGTGAGCTGCTCATTCCCAGCACATGGCCAGCGAGGTCATAGCGAGTGACGAGGAGCACACGGTCATCCATGAGGAGGAGGGGGTGATGATGTCATTGCTGATGATGGCTTTAGCACCACCGACACCGATCTCAAGTTCAAGGAGTGGGTGACCGACTGAGAGTGGGGACAACTCTGGGGAGGAGCCAGAGGGCATAAAGGGCTTTGGTGGGAAGGTATTTGCACCTGTCATTCCTTCCTCCTTTACTCCTGCCGCCCCTTGCTGGATCCTGAGCCCCCAGGGTCCCCCGATCCACCTGCAGCTTTTGGCAGTCTATGGTCACACCCTGTCCTCCTCCTACACATACTCGGATGCTTCCTCCTCAACCTTGGCACCCACCTCCTTCTTACTGGGCCCAGGAGCCTTCAAAGCCCAGGAGTCTGGTCAACGCAGCAGAGCGGGCCCCCTACGGCCTCAATCCCTGGGGATGGGGGCCCAGGGACACCTTCCAAGGTGGCCTGTTTCCTCCCAATGGATCCTGCCACCTTCTGGTGCAAGAGACCTGAAAGTGTGGGCGACCTGGAGCTACCAGGCTCCTCAGTCATCAGGGTCCCTCCCAACACTAAGGCTTTCCTAGGCAGGAGCTGGGCTGAGCCACCCGGGGAGCAGAGCCTGAAGAGAAACTGACTGGGCTTTCGGGGTCGGGGCAGAGGGAACCCCACGGACATGGATCCCACACTGGAGGACCCCACCGCGCCCAAATGCAAGATGAGAAGATGCTCCAGCTGCAGTCCAAAGCCCAACACCCCCAAGTGTGCCATGTGTGATGGGGACAGCTTCCCCTTTGCCTGTACAGGTGGAGAAGCCGAGGACAGGCTCAGGGAACCGGAGACCGAGAAGGCACTGTCCTCTTCACTGCACGTACCCTGGACCAGTGCCGGCCCTGATCATGCAGCTCTTCCAGGCCCACTGCTTCTTCCTGTCCACTAGGCCACAGCCACCCTCCAGGCCCACTATGCACACATCTTCCCCTCCAAGGTTTGTTCTGCCCCTGCCCTGACTCCCAGCACTGTGGGGGTCCTGACCACACCTCACCTGGCTCAGACTCTTGACGCTGCCCTGGCTGCCCCACCACTGCTTCTGCCCGAGAGTCACGTGAGGCTGAGAGTAGGGGCAGGGGCAGCAGTGGTGCCAGTTGGGGGGCGGTCCAGTGGGAGGAGCCTCAGCCTCGCGGGCTGCTCCGTGGGACTGATGACTGCATGATCTTCTGGGCACCTCACGGATCTTCAACTGCAGGTGAAACGGATGCTGGTGGTGGGTGCAGGGCCGCTGGGAGCTGCTGCATGGTTCCCAGAGGCTGGACTGGGGCAGGTGCCAACTGAAGCTGCTGGGGCAGCATGGGCAGGATGTTCTGCACACAAACCTTGGAGAAGAAGATGTGTGCATAGCAGGTCCACTGCTGCTGCCCCTGCCCTGACTCCCAGCCCTGCCTGACCCCACCTCAACCTGCTCAGGCTCTGGCGCAACCCTGGCTGCCCTGCCACTGCCTCTGCCCCAGAGTTGGGGCCTTGACAGCCTGGTTGGAAGGGGACACCCCAGCCCTGCCTCAACACCTGGGGGTCTCCATAGCTACCACAGGCAGGTGGGCAACCCCAAAGATCCCAGGACTCACAGTACCCCCTGAGAACATGGACAGTATGTGGGGGTAGCAATGGAGGGCAGGATGGTTATCTTCTCCCAGGTGAAGCCATTTAATCCTTTCAGTTTGGGACGGAGTAAGGCCTTCCTCTTTTTTTTTTTTTTTTTTTTTTTTTTTGAGACCGAGTCTTGCTCTGTCGCCCAGGCTGGAGTGCAGTGGTGCGATCTTGGCTCACTGCAACCTCTTCCCGCCGGGTTCACGCCATTCTCCTGCCTCAGCCTTCTCGGTAGCTAGGATTACAGGTGCACGCTACCACGTCCGGCTAATTTTTGTATTTTTAGTACAGACGGGGCTTCATCATCTTGGCCAGGCTGATTTCGATCTCCTGACATCGTGATCTGCCTGCCTCCCCCTCCCAAAGTGCTGGGATTACAGGCGTGAGCCACCACGCCTGGCCAAGGCCTGCTCCTCTTATCTATACCCCCTACCCCTGCAGCTGTGCCGGGGGAAAGCTGGGCAGTTTCCCTCCTCCGAGCCCCTGTACATACCATGAATTGTGGGACCTTCAGAGCTTTTCACTTTTCGGAAAATAGCTCCTGCTGGGGCTACAAGATGGAGTGTGAAGAGGGCCTTGGGCCACAGGGAGGCGCCTGTGGACTAGGGGGAGTTCATGCACCCCTTCTTTCCCCAGAGGGGCTGGACTCAGGTGAGTATGGGGGTGGGGGCTCCTGCACTTCGACACAGGCAGCGGGAGGGTTTTCTCCCCATTCCCTCTGCACTCCCAACTTGAGCTATACTTTTTAAGAAAGTGATTCACCCTGCCTTTGCCCCCTTCCCCAGAACAGAACACGTTGATCGTGGGCGATATTTTTCATTGTGCCAAAAAGTTGCCATGACCGTCATTAAACCTGTTTAACACCAAATAATAAGGAAAATAAAATAAAAAATTCGGGCTTGGCGCAGAAACTCACTCCAAATAAATTACCTACCAAAATATTTACATAATGGTGGAAATATTCCAAAATTCAATATTTTGGGATTTATACACAAAAGATAAACAAATTAGAGGCCAAGAGGCTGCCGGAAGGGAAAAACGGGGCCTGGAATGGCCGACGTGAGGAATGAGCTGGGCCTAAAGAGGCCACTGGCAGGCAGGAGCTGGACCTGCCGAAGTGGCCGAAAGCCAGGAGCTTTGGACTGGGGAGACCGCAGTGAGGCGAGAGCTAGCTGGGCGTGGAGAGTCCGCTGTGAGGCCGAGGCCGAGGCCGGGCCCGTGCAGGCCTTCGAGAGGCAGGAGGCCGGGCCTGCAAAGGCCGCCTGGAGATCAAGTTCTGCGCCTGAAGAGGCTGCCAAAAGTCAAAAGCGGGGCCTGGGAAGGCCGCCGAGAGCCATGAGCTGGGCTGGGCCGAAAGAGGCCACTGGGAGGCAGGAGGAGCTGGGCCTGGAGAGGCTGACTCGAGGAAGTTTTGCACCTGGAGAGGCCGCCGAGAGGACGGAGCTGGGCCCGGGGAGGCCGACTTGCTGCTCTTCCAGGCCCACTTCCAGGCCGACTTGAGGACGACTTGGGCCTGCAGAGGCCGCCGGGAGGCTGGAGCTAAGCCTGGAGAGACTGACTTCGGGACGATTTGGGCCTGCGGAGGCCGCCGGGAGGCCCAAGCTGGGCCTAGAGGAGCCCACCGACCGGAGGCCGTTTGGGGCCTGCAGATGTCATCGGAGGGCCAGGAGCTGAGCCTGGAGAGGCCACCGCGAGGCCTGAGCTGGGCCTGGGGAGCTTGGCTTAGGGAAGTTGTGGGCCTACCAGGGCCGCTGGGAGCTGGGCAGGAGCTGAGTCCAAAGACGTTGTTGGGACCTGGAGTCGGGCCAGAGTCCGCCCTGGAGATGCAGCCGGGAGGAAGAGCTGGGCCCGGAGGGGGCGCCGGGAGGCTGCAAGTGGGTCTGAGAGGCCAACTTGAGGAGGCCTGGCCTCTGCCTCCCGCATTGCCCAGCTGTTCCTCCTGGCTGCATCTCCCACCTCCCAGCAAACAAGCTCTTTTGGCTCAGCTCCCGCCTGCGTTTGTAGACCCCGAAGTTTCTGCAACCAAGCTCTTCAGACCCACATCCCTTCTCCCAGTGACTGAACAGTCCCAGCTCCGGCTGGAGAAGGGCGTCTGCAGACCCCGCTGTTGCCTCCCAGGGGAGTCTCCAGGCCCAGCTCTCGCCCCACCGCGACCTCCCAGGCCCAAGTCCCTGCCTACCTCCCAGCAGCCCGAGTGCGATCCTGTTCCTCCCTCACGGTGGCCTGTTGAGGCAGGGGGTCACGCTGACCTCTGTCCGCGTGGGAGGGGCCGGTGTGAGGCAAGGGCTCACACTGACCTCTCTCAGCGTGGGAGGGGCCGGTGTGAGGCAAGGGGCTCACGCTGACCTCTCTCAGCGTGGGAGGGGCCGGTGTGAGGCAAGGGCTCAGGCTGACCTCTCTCAGCGTGGGAGGGGCCGGTGTGAGGCAAGGGGCTCACGCTGACCTCTGTCCGCGTGGGAGGGGCCGGTGTGAGGCGAGGGGCTCGGGCTGACCTCTCTCAGCGTGGGAGGGGCCGGTGTGAGGCAAGGGCTCAGGCTGACCTCTCTCAGCGTGGGAGGGGCCGGTGTGAGGCAAGGGGCTCACGCTGACCTCTGTCCGCGTGGGAGGGGCCGGTGTGAGGCGAGGGGCTCGGGCTGACCTCTCTCAGCGTGGGAGGGGCCGGTGTGAGGCAAGGGCTCAGGCTGACCTCTCTCAGCGTGGGAGGGGCCGGTGTGAGGCAAGGGGCTCACGCTGACCTCTGTCCGCGTGGGAGGGGCCGGTGTGAGGCAAGGGCTCACACTGACCTCTCTCAGCGTGGGAGGGGCCGGTGTGAGGCGAGGGGCTCGGGCTGACCTCTCTCAGCGTGGGAGGGGCCGGGGTGAGGCAAAGGGCTCACACTGACCTCTCTCAGCGTGGGAGGGGCCGGTGTGAGGCAAGGGGCTCACGCTGACCTCTCTCAGCGTGGGAGGGGCCGGTGTGAGGCAAGGGCTCAGGCTGACCTCTCTCAGCGTGGGAGGGGCCGGTGTGAGGCAAGGGGCTCACGCTGACCTCTGTCCGCGTGGGAGGGGCCGGTGTGAGGCGAGGGGCTCGGGCTGACCTCTCTCAGCGTGGGAGGGGCCGGTGTGAGGCAAGGGCTCAGGCTGACCTCTCTCAGCGTGGGAGGGGCCGGTGTGAGGCAAGGGGCTCACGCTGACCTCTGTCCGCGTGGGAGGGGCCGGTGTGAGGCAAGGGCTCACACTGACCTCTCTCAGCGTGGGAGGGGCCGGTGTGAGGCGAGGGGCTCGGGCTGACCTCTCTCAGCGTGGGAGGGGCCGGTGTGAGGCAAGGGCTCAGGCTGACCTCTCTCAGCGTGGGAGGGGCCGGTGTGAGGCAAGGGGCTCACGCTGACCTCTGTCCGCGTGGGAGGGGCCGGTGTGAGGCGAGGGGCTCGGGCTGACCTCTCTCAGCGTGGGAGGGGCCGGTGTGAGGCAAGGGCTCAGGCTGACCTCTCTCAGCGTGGGAGGGGCCGGTGTGAGACAAGGGGCTCACACTGACCTCTCTCAGCGTGGGAGGGGCCGGGGTGAGGCAAGGGGCTCACACTGACCTCTCTCAGCGTGGGAGGGGCCGGTGTGAGGCAAGGGCTCAGGCTGACCTCTCTCAGCGTGGGAGGGGCCGGTGTGAGGCAAGGGGCTCGGGCTGACCTCTCTCAGCGTGGGAGGGGCCGGTGTGAGACAAGGGCTCAGGCTGACCTCTCTCAGCGTGGGAGGGGCCAGTGTGAGGCGAGGGGCTCGGGCTGACCTCTCTCAGCGTGGGAGGGGCCGGTGTGAGGCAAGGGCTCAGGCTGACCTCTCTCAGCGTGGGAGGGGCCGGTGTGAGGCGAGGGGCTCGGGCTGACCTCTCTCAGCGTGGGAGGGGCCGGTGTGAGACAAGGGCTCAGGCTGACCTCTCTCAGCGTGGGAGGGGCCGGTGTGAGGCAAGGGCTCAGGCTGACCTCTCTCAGCGTGGGAGGGGCCGGTGTGAGGCAAGGGCTCAGGCTGACCTCTCGCAGCGTGGGAGGGGCCGGTGTGAGGCAAGGGGCTCACGCTGACCTCTGTCCACGTGGGAGGGGCTGGGGTGAGGCAAGGGCTCACACTGACCTCTCTCAGCGTGGGAGGGGCCGGTGTGAGGCAAGGGGCTCACGCTGACCTCTGTCCGTGTGGGAGGGGCCGGTGTGAGGCAAGGGCTCACACTGACCTCTCTCAGCGTGGGAGGGGCCGGTGTGAGGCAAGGGGCTCACGCTGACCTCTGTCCACGTGGGAGGGGCCGGGGTGAGGCAAGGGCTCACACTGACCTCTCTCAGCGTGGGAGGGGCCGGTGTGAGGCAAGGGGCTCACGCTGACCTCTGTCCGCGTGGGAGGGGCCGGTGTGAGGCAAGGGCTCACACTGACCTCTCTCAGCGTGGGAGGAGCCAGTGTGAGACAGGGGCTCACGCCTCTGGGCAGGGTGCCAGAGGCATGAGTTGGGCATCAACAGGCCATCGTGAGGGAGGAGCTGGGCCGTACGCGGGCTGCTGGGAGGCAGGCAGGGACTTGGCCCCGGGAGGCCGCCGTGGGGGCAAGAGCTGGGCCTGGAGAGGCCCCTGGGAGGCAAGGGCGGGGCCTGCAGAGGCTGTTCTCTAACCAGTGCTAGAACTGTACAGGCCACCAGGAGGCAGGAGGTGGGCCCTCAGAGCTTGGCTGGAGAAAGTTCGGGGCCTACAAAGGCGGTTGGGAGCTGGGCAGGAGTTGAGCCAAAAGAGCTTGCTTACTTGCTGGGAGGCAGGGCCGGGAGAGCCCGACTTCAGGACAACTTGGGCCTGCGGCGGTCGCCGGGAGGCCCAACCTTGGCGTGGAGGAGCCCACCGACCGGAGACCATTTGGGGCCTGGAGATGCCATCGGAGGGCAGGAGCTCATCCTGGAGAGGCCACCGTGAGGCCTGACCTGGGCCTGGGGAGCTTGGCTTGAGGAAGCTGTGGGCCGACCAAGGCCGCCAGGAGATGGGTAGGCACTGAGTCCAAAGAGGTTGTTGAGAAGCAGGAATCGGGCCTGGAGACGCAACCAGGAAGAAGAGCTGGGCCCGGAGAGGATGCCCGGAGGGTGCAAGTGGGTCTGGAGAGGCCGACTTGAGGAGGTTCTGGGCCCGGAGAGGCCGCCGGAAGGGAAAAACTGGGCCTGGAAAGGCCGTTGTCAGGAATGAGCCCCATGGGCCTGAAGAGGCCACTGGCAGGCGGGAGCTGGGCCTGCCGAAGCGGCCGAGAGGCAGGAGCTTTGGACTCGGGAGGCCGCAGTGAGGCAACAGCTAGCTGGGCGTGGAGAGTCCGCTGTGAGGCAGAGGCTGGGCCTGTGCAGGCCTTCGGGAGGCAGGAGGCTGGGCCTTGTCGAGGCCTGCAGAGGCCACCGAAAGTCAAAAGCGGGGCTTGGGAAGGCCGCCGGGAGGCATGAGCTGGGCTGGGCCGAAAGAGGCCACTGGGAGGCAGGAGGAGCTGGGCCTGGAGAGGCTGCCGAAAGGCAGGAGCTTCGCCTGAGGATGCCACAGTGAGACACCATCTGAGTCTGGAGGGTCCACTGTGAGGCAGAGGCTGGCCTGTAGAGTCCAACAGTAGACAGAAGTTGGGCAAAAGGCTGATTTGAGGAAGTTTTGGGCTTCAAGAGTCAGCCACGAGGCAGGCACTAGGCCTGGAAATGGCCTCACAGTCATGAGTTGGGCCTAAATGGGCCACTGTGAGGGAGGAGCTGTGCCTGTTGAGGCTGCTGGCAGGCAGGCAGAAATTTGGCCTGGGCAGCTGCCACGAGGCAAGAGCTGGGCCTGGAAAAAGCCCCTGGGAGGCAAGAGCAGGGCCTGCAGAGGCTGTTCTCAAGTCAAAGCTGGGCCTGTTGATGCCACCGGGAAGCAGAAGGTGGGCCTGGAGAGTTTGACTTGAGGAAGTTTTGGGCCTACATTGGCCGCCATGAGCTGGACAGGAACTGGGCCAAAAAAGGCTGTTGTGAGGCAGCAGTTGTGCCTGTAGACCCAGCCAAGAGGAAGAGGTGGGCCTGGAAAAGCCCCCATGAGGCAGAGGTTGGGCCTGTAGACGCTGACAGGAGGCAGGAGCTGGGCCTGGACAGGTCAACTTGAGATTTTGGGCCTTCATAGGCCACCAGGAGGCAGCAGTTGGGACTAGAGAGTCTGACTTGAGTAAGTTTTGGGCCCGGAGATGACGTCCTGGGACAGGAGTTGGGCGTGGAGAGGCCACCGTGAGGCATAAGCTGGATGTAGAGAGGCCAGTGTGAGGCAAGACCTGGGCCTGTCTAGGCTGCTGGGAGACAGGCAGGAATCTGGCCAGGGAAGGTTGCCATGAGACAAAAGTTGGGCCTGGAAAGGCCCTTGTGAAGCATGAGCTTGGCCTAAAGAGGCCACTGGGTGGCAGGAGCTGGGTGTGTAGAAGCTGCTGAAAGGTTGGGAGCTTGGCTTGGGGGGTCCACAGTGAGGTAGATGCTGGGCGTGAAGAATCTGCTGTGAGGCAGACGTTGGGACTGTAGAGGCTGACGGGAGGCAGAGGCTGGGCCTGGAGGGGCCACCAAGATGCATGAGCTGGGCCTGGTGAGGTCGACTTGAGAAAGTTCAGGGCCTGGAGAGAAGGCTGGGAGGCAGGAGCTGGGTCTAAAGAGGCCATTGTAACGATGGAGCTGTGCCTGTGGAGGCTGTTGTGAGGCAGTAGCCTCATCTGCGGAGGCTGCCGTGACGTAGGGTATGGGCCTAAATAGGCCATTGTGAGTCATGAGCTTGGTCTGTAGAGGCTGACTGGAGAAAGTTCTGGGCCTGGAGAGGCTGCCGGGAGGTAGGAGCTGGGCCAAAAGATGTAAGCACATTTGCATTTATTAGGCACTTTATTTCCATTATTACACTGTAATATATAATAAAATAATTATAGAACTCACCATAATGTAGAATTAGTGGGCGTGTTAAGCTTGTTTTCCTGCAACTGGATGGTCCCACCTGAGCGTGATGGGAGAAAGTGACAGATCAATAGGTATTAGATTCTCATAAGGACAGCGCAACCTCGATCCCTCACATGCACGGTTCACAACAGGGTGCGTTCTCCTATGAGCATCTAATGCTGCTGCTCATCTGAGAAGGTGGAGCTCAGGCGGGAATGTGAGCAAAGGGGAGTGGCTGTAAATACAGACGAAGCTTCCCTCACTCCCTCACTCGACACCGCTCACCTCCTGCTGTGTGGCTCCTTGCGGCTCCATGGCTCAGGGGTTGGGGACCCCTGCTCAAGTGCATCCAAAGCGACCCTTCCCACACCAGTCTTCACAGTGGTCCAGGGCAGCAACCACTTAGCTCCCAAGGCATGTGCCTCAGCTGGCATTTCGTCACAATCAACAGTAAGTGGTAGCTTGAGTCACTGTGAGGTCACCTACTGGAAATCACCAGCATCCCATTTCCCACTGGCAAAGAGCTCAGCACTGCCCCCTGGGAAACCAAACCTATGCCCAAATCCCATCTGTGTGGGTCTACCTCCTGGGACCCTTCCTAACATATTAGTCAGAGTCCAATCAGGAAGCATAAACCACTCAAAAGTTTAAAGTGGTAAAATTTAATACAGAGAATTATTCATTATAACAGGTGAACAGCATAATGAGAGATTGGCTAGCACAGAGTAAAGAGAACTCTAGAGAATATGGGACTAGCCCAGGCCAGGCATGGTGGCTCATGCCTGAAATTCCAGCCATTACAGAAGCTAATGCAGGAGGATTGCTTAAGGCCAGGAGCTAGAGACCGCTCTGGATGACACAGTGAGACCCTGTCTCTATCCAAAAGAAGAAAAAAGTTAGCTGGGGGTGGTGGTGCACACTTGTAGTCCCAGCTACTCGGAATGCGGAAGTTTGAGCCTGGGAGGTCAAGGCTGCAGTGAGGCATGATTATGCCACTACAGTCCAGCCGGATGACAGAGCAAGACCCTGTCTCAAAGAACAAAACCACAACAACCATTTACAGACAGAAAAGAAATAGAGCTAATAAGCTGAGGAAAGATGTTGAAATGTGACAAGTAAAGTAATATGAGGTCTTTTGTCTATTTAAAATAATCAAACAAAAAATGGCTTACGAAATTATAATACCCTGTGCTGGCAAAGGTGCAGTGAAATGGGCACTTTCTTATACTATGAGGGGTGGTTAAATTGTGTATAAGCCTTCCCGGGTAAAGCCTGTCAATTTTTTAAAATAATGGAGACAGGGTCTCACCATACTGCCATACTGCCTCCTCCAACTCTTGGCCTCAAGCAATCCTCCTCTCTTAGCCTCCCAAAGTGCTAAGATTATAGCTGGGAGGCACCCAAAACCCTGTCAATTTACATCAAGGGTAAGGAGAATGTCCATTCACCATGACTCACAGTAATCTTACTTCTGGGGAGACAATTCAATCTAAGCAAAAGGTCATCTGTACACACACAGTAAAAATCTGGGAGTAACTGAAGACAGAGTTGGTAAGTGAAATAAGAAACAGTTATAAGAAATTAAACTATGGTATCAATAGGCACCTGGTAAAAGGTCAGTTGATGTTAGCTGCTACTTTTTTGTTGTTTTGAGACAGGGTCTCACTCTGTCACCCAGGCTGGAGTGCAGAGGCCTGATCATGACTCACTGCAGTCTCAGCCTCCCTGGGCTCAAGTGATCCTCCCACCTCAGCCTCCCAAGTAGCTGGGACTACAGGAACATGCCACCACACTAGGCTAATTCATGTATTTTTCTGTAGGGATGGTGACTCCCCCTTTGTTTCCAAGGCCTATCGCAAACTCTTGGCCTCAAGCCATCCTCCTGCCTCAGCCTCCCAAAGTGTTGCGATTACCAGTGTGAGCCACCACACCTGGCCAGCTGCTACTTTTATCAATATTATTCTTATTCCACTCAATTAAAAATTATTATTTTCAAGGCTATGCAACAGTATGTATCCTACAGCGTAATTGTAAAAACATACACAGTCGTCATCCCTCAGTATACAGAATTAGTTCCAGCCCCCCATCTCTGCATATACCAAAATCCATGCTTACTCACGTTTCGCTGTCACCCCTCTGGAATCCACGTATACGAAAATTCCAAATGTTAGTTGGGCATAGTGGCAAGCACCTGTAGTCTCAGCCACGTGGGAGGTTGAGGTGGGAGGATCGCTTCAGCCTGGAAGGTTGAGGCTGCAGTCAGCTGCGATAGCACTACTACACTCCAGCCTTGGACAACAGAGGGAGACCCTGTCTCAGAACAAAAAAAATAAATAAATAAAAAATAAAACAGGTTAGAAACTGTGATGAGGTCTGTTGGACAAAATTCCATATAAGCAAAGTATAAATTAATAAAGCAAATCGTGATAAATTAGTACGATTGACTTTCTGGAGTTTCTGACAATAAAAGTAAGGAAAATGCAGAACACAAAGACAGAGAGTAAAAAGAGAAATTAGGAAAGCATTCTACATGTTGAATAGGAAGACACTGGCCATGTTCGTGCAGCGGCAGTATGTCGTGACATGACATACCTTGGAGAGAAGTTAACAGATGAGGAAGTTGATAAAAATCATCAGAGAAGCAAAATACTGGTAGCGACACTCAAGTAAACCATGAAATTTCCATAACTTATGTCAGCAAAGTGGGAATATTGTACAGTGTGTGTTGAAGTTCCTATACAACATTGTTTATCTGCCTTTTGTTTGTTTGTAAGGAATGTATATACTAAAAGTTCTTCTTGCTGTCAAAAGAATATGTGTGAATAAGTCATTTTAACTTATTCTTCTGTTTTTCTTTTATCTTCCTGCCATCATCCCACAGCCTTACTTTAGAAATTTCTTTTTTAGAAAATTGAACAAGTGCTCCCTGTGGTGGCACATACCTCGAGGATGGGAGGCAGGGGTGGAAGGGTCACTTGAGGCCATTAGTTTGACACCAGCCTGGCCAACAAAGTGAGACCCCGTGTCTACAAAACAATTTAAAAATTAGCCAAGTATCGTCATGTATACCTACAGTCCCAGCTACCTGAACTTACTGAGAAAGTTCAGAGCCTGGAGAGAAGGCTGGGAGGCAGGAGCTGGGTCTAAAGAGGCCATTGTAACGATGGAGCTGTGCCTGTGGAGGCTGTTGTGAGGCAGTAGCCTCATCTGCGGAGGCTGCCGTGATAGGGTATGGGCCTAAATAGGCCATTGAGAGTCATGAGCTTGGTCTGTAGAGGCTGACTAGAGAAAGTTCGGGGCCTGGAGAGGCTGCCGGGAGGTAGGAGCTGGGCCAAAAGATGTAAGCACATTTGCATTTATTAGGCACTTTATTTCCATTATTACACTGTAATATATAATAAAATAATTATAGAACTCACCATAATGTAGAATCAGTGGGCGTGTTAAGCTTGTTTTCCTGCAACTGGATGGTCCCACCTGAGCGTGATGGGAGAAAGTAACAGATCAATAGGTATTAGATTCTCATAAGGACAGCGCAACCTAGATCCCTCACATGCACGGTTCACAACAGGGTGTGTTCTCCTATGAGAATCTAACGCTGCTGCTCATCTGAGAAGGTGGAGCTCAGGCGGGAATGTGAGCAAAGGGGAGTGGCTGTAAATACAGACGAAGCTTCCCTCACTCCCTCACTCGACACCGCTCACCTCCTGCTGTGTGGCTCCTTGCGGCTCCATGGCTCAGGGGTTGGGGACCCCTGCTCAAGTGCATCCAAAGCGACCCTTCCCACACCAGTCTTCACAGTGGTCCAGGGCAGCAACCACTTAGCTCCCAAGGCATGTGCCTCAGCTGGCATTTCGTCACAATCAACAGTAAGTGGTAGCTTGAGTCACTGTGAGGTCACCTACTGGAAATCACCCGCATCCCATTTCCCACTGGCAAAGAGCTCAGCACTGCCCCCTGGGAAACCAAACCTATGCCCAAATCCCATCTGTGTGGGTCTACCTCCTGGGACCCTTCCTAACATATAACCTTCATAACATACTTGAGAGGCTGAGGTGAGACAATCGATTTAGCCCAGGAGTTTGAGATCAGCCTGGACGACATAACTAAATCTCATCTCTACAAGGACGAGGTGGGAGGATCAGTTGAGCCCAGGAATTTGTGGCCAGCCTGGGCAACAAAAGAAGACCCCATCTGGCCAACATGGCCAACCTGGCCACCACGGTGAAACTCTGACTCTACAAAAATGATCTGGGCATGGGTGACATGCATGTGTAGTCCTAGCTACTTGGGAGGTTGAGATGGGAGGATTGCTTGATCTCAGAAGGCCAAAGCTATAGTGAGCTATGATCACATCACTGCACTCCAGCCTGGATGGCACAGGGAGATTCTGTCTCAAAAAAAAGAAAAGAAATATATATTTAATCTCTGTCCCTGGTTCCTGGCACAGAGCTTCTAAAGCTCTTACAAAGACCTCAGTGATAGATGTGACAGGAGCATCTTTTGTTTTAATATTTGGTCTTGGTCCCAGGTTTCTAACACAAGAGCCTCTAAGAACTTTGGGATCTCCAGCATGGTAAGAATGCATTTGGGGATGTTGTTGAGATGACTGGGTGACTGCAAGCTCCTAAATTTCTTCAAGAGGAGGGCTGATTACCATGAAACCACATGGTAAGAGGCTTGGAACTTTCAGCCTCATGCACTGAACTCCAGGGGGAAGAGGGGCTGGAGACTGACTTAATCACCAACAGCCAAAGGTTTTATCAATCATGCTTGCATAATAAAGCCTCCATAAACACCCCGAAAGGGGTTTGCAGAGCTTTCAGGGTTGCTGGACACAGGAGATGCTGGGAGGGTCGCATGTTCAACAGAGGGCATGGGAGCTCTGTGCCCCTCCGAACTTAACTTTCCCTGGGTATCTTTCTTTTTTTTGAGACAGGATCAGGCTCTTTTGTCCAAGCTGGAGTGCAGTGGCACAATCTCAGCTTACTGTAACCTAAGCCTCCCCAGTCCCCAGCTCAAGGTATCCTCTCATCTCAGCTTCCCTAGTAGTTGGAACTCTAGGTGCACAACACCACACCAGTTATTATTATTATTTTTTAATTTTTTATAGAGACAGGTTTTCACCATGTTGCCCAGGCTGGTCTCAAACTCCTGAGTTTAAGCGATCCTCCCACCTTGGCCTCCCAAAGTGCTGAGATTACAGGCATGAGCCACTGCATCCAGCATGCACGTCTCTTTCATTGACTGTTTCTGAGATGTATCCTTCACAATGAACCAGTAATAGGAAATGAACTGGCCAGATGTGGTGGCTCACATCTGTAATCCCAGCACTTTCAGAGGCTGAGGTGGGAGGATCACTTGAGACCAGGAATTTGTGGCCAGCCTGGCCAACACAACAAGACCCCATCTATACAAAAAATAAAAGAAACTAGCCAGATGTGGTGGTGCAGGCATGTAGTCTCAGCTACTAGGGAGGCTGAGGTGGGAGAACCACTGGAACCCAGACAATCAAGGCTGCAATGAGCTATGACTGCACCATTGCACACCAGCCTGGGCAACAAAATAAGACCCTCTCTCTCAGAAAAAAAGAAAATAAACTGTTTTTCTGAGTTCCGTAAACTGTTCTAGCAAATTATTAAACCCAAGAAGACAGTTACGGGAACCCCCGATTGGTAACAGGTTGGTCAAAAGTATGGTGACAACTTAGGACTTGCCATTGTCATCTGAAGTGAGGATGGCCTCGTGGGACTGAGCCCCTAACTTGTGGGGTCTGTGCTAACTCCAGGTAGTGTCAGAATAAAGTCATGGGATACCCAGTTAATATCCAGAGCACTGAAGAATCTGGTGTAGAAACTCCATACATACATTCAGTCGGAAGTGTGTGAGTAGAGACAAACATGGGCTTTTCTGTCACCTACCTGCTTAACTGCATAGGAGAGGCAATATGTGGTGCTCATGAACAAAGCAAACATTAAAGTCAGACCAGACCCAACATTTGACTCAGTCTTAATATCCAGGTGAGCCTGCGCAAATCATTCATTATTCCTAAGGTTTTCATCACTCCATTCATAAAATGGGGATAACTGTGGCACCTACATGTGATTCTGTGAGAATTAACAAAATATTATGCTTGGGGTTATTGTGATCATTATACCTGTTCCAAACTATTTGACAAGGACAGTGATGGATGAAGACATCAAAAAATCAGAAACTGCAATGAGGTCTCTCAGGCAAAATTCCATACAAGCAAATTACTGTGTCTACAAAGCATTCCTGCCACACTTAATTCACCATTCCCTGAACAAAATATGCCATCTTCATTGTTCAGGTCTGTACAGTGCTGGTGTCCCTTCCCGGGCAGTTTGCGCTATCCCATCCCGGCCCATTCCCCATCCCTCCACCTCCCCCTTCCCTCCCCACTCTCATACAACTCTTCCTCATCTTTCAGGACTTGGCTTCAATGTCACCTTAACTGGAAGCTTCTCTCACTCTCCAGAAGAGCTTCCCATTGCACCTGATGCATGGGAAACATAATTTGATCATTTTTAAGTTACAGTCCAAATCTTTTTGTACCTGAATAACATGTTGCCCAGTCAGTCTCTCTTCCTGGATTCACAAGTCTTTCATGGTAGATCCAGCTGGAAGTGACAAAAAGACATCTTTTGACATAAAGGGATGACACAGACAGACATAAGTTCTTAAATGTCTTAAATGTTATGTGAAAATTAAACAGAATTCAAAGACTTGTGGGGAGCACTTAGGAAGTTACTGGGAATGTCATAAAGGGTTAATTTGTATTTTATTTTATTTTTTGAGACAGTCTCATTCTGTCACCTAGGCTGGAGTGCAGTGGTGCAATCAGGCTCACTGCAGCCTTGACCACCTGGGCTCAAGTAATCTCACTTAATTTTTATTTGGTTTAAGAAACTCTTGGTTGAGGGTGGTGGCTTATGCCTGTAATCTCAGCACTTTGGGAGGCTGAGAGAGGTATATTACTTGAGGCCAGGAGTTTGAGATCAGACTGGGCAATATATTAAGACCCTGCCTCTACCAAAAAACAGAGTGAATGTGTGGAAGACAATTTTTCCACAGACTGGGAATGAGGGAATAATTTCAGGATGATTCAAGTGCATTACATATATTGTGCACTTTATTTCTATTATTACTACATAGTAATATATAATGAAATGATTCTACAACTCACTATAATGTAGACTCAGTGGGATCTCTGAGCTTGTTTTCCTGCAACTAGACTGTCCACCTGGGGTGATGGGAGACAGTAACAGAATATCAGGCATTAGATTCTCATAAGGAGTACACAACCTAGATCCCTCGCATGCACACTTCACAACAGAGTTTGTGCTCCTATGACAATCTAATGCTGCTGCTGATCTGACAGGACATGGAGCTCAGGTGGTCATGCAAGCGATGGGAGGGGCTAGAAATACAGATGAAGTTTCCCTTCACTCGCCTGCTGCTCACCTCCAGCTCTGTGGCCCTGTGGTTGGAGACCGCTGCTCAAGTGCATTTGAAAGGAACCATCCCACGCCATTCTTCAGAGTCATCTTTACTGCTGCAGTGGTCAACTTGTAGCACCCCTAAGCTTGCAGGACATATGCTTCAACTGGCATTTCACAATCAACAGTATGTGGCAGCTTGAGTCATTGTGAGCGCACTTCCTGGAAATCACCAGCATCCCATATCCCATTGCAAGGAGCTCAGCACTGCTCCTTGGATAACCAAACCTATTCCCAAATCCCATCTGTGTGCGTCTATCTCCTGGTACCCTTCCTAGCATCAATTCTGTATTTGTAGGAGTCCAATCAGGAGACACAAACCACTCAAAAGTTTAAACTAGAATGAGCAAGATGGCTCACACCTGTAATCCCAGAACTCTGGGAGGCCAAGGTGGGTGGACTGCTTTGAGCTCAGGAGTTTGAGAACAGTCTGGGAAACATGGCGAAACCTCGTCTCTACAAAAAACACAAAAATCAGCTGGGTGTGGTGGCACTTACCTGTAATCCCAGCTACTCGGGAGGCTGAGGCAGGAGAATTGCTTGAGCCTGGCAGGTGGAGGCTGCAGTGAGCAGAGGTTGTGCCACTGTACTCCAGCCTGGGTGACAGTGTGAGACCCGGTATCAAAAAGAAAAAACATATATATATATATATGTAAATTTAATATAAAAAGTATTAATTTTGGCCAGGCAAAATGGCTCATGCCTGTAATCCCAGCACTTTGGGAGGCCAAGGCAGACAGATCACCTGAGGTCAGGAGTTCGAGACCAGCCTGACCAGCACAGAGAAACCCCATCTCTACTAAAAATACAAAATTAGCTGGGCATGGTGGCACATGCCTGTAATCCCAACTACTCGGGAGGCTGAGGCAGGAGAATTGCTTGAACCCAGAAGGTGGAGGTTGCGCTGAGCCGAGATAGCACCATTGCACTCCAGCCTGGGCAACAAGAGTGAAACTCCATCTCAAAAAAAAAAAAAAGGTATTAATTTTTACAGAGGATCAGCACAATGAGGGACACACTAGCACAAAGTAAAGACAACTCTAGAGAATACGGAACTAGCAGAGGCCAGGCATTGTGGCTCATGCCTGTAATCCCAGCAATTTGGGAAGCCTAGGCAGGAGGATCGCTTGAGGCCAGGAGTTGGAGACCAATCAGTGCTAAATAGTGAGACTCTGTGTCTACCAAAAAAAAGAGACATTAGCCAGGTGTGGTGGTGGTGCACACCCGTAGTTCCAGCTACTTGGGAGTCTGGGGTGGGAGAAATCCCTTGAGCCTGGGAAGTCTACACTACAGTGAGCCAAGATTGTGCCACTGCACTCCAGCCTGGGTGACAGAGTGAGACCCTGTCTTAGAAAGAAAAAAGAAAAGAAAGTGTTAATCCCCCTATGGGAATCTCCTCTTCTCCTGCCCTCTCTGGAACCTCACTTGTCAGTTCTTCCTCCCACTTTCCTGTATCTTTAACCTATCCCCCACTTTTAGCTCCTTCCCATCATCATTTAAATTACTCAAACTTCTTCTGTTTTAAAAACCTCTCCCTAAACTCAGGGAGAGGTCTTCTGCACACACATTGAGCCATCTGCTCTTCCTGGTGCCTTCTCTACAGCAGCCTGAGCCATGTCTCTAATCTATGAATCTCATCATGTTACTCCCCCATTTACATCACTTCTCCTTGCCTCAGGGATTAAGTCCAAACTCCTTAACAGCCCCTGCTCTGCCCTGCCTTGCAAGGCAGCCTCACTGCTTGCCCCTCTCCATTACATCTGCTATGGAGTCCAACTGAGCCTCATCTGCCCCTTGAACGCACACTCTTTCTCCTCTGGGAGTCTCTGAAGTGGGTAATATCCTCTGCTTATAATATGCTTCCCCTTAAACCTCTACTCTCTTCCTAGCTAGCTTTGACTCCTCTGTCACTTGTCCGCTTTGGCATCACCTCCTCATAGAAGACTTCTATGACTCCCGAGATTCTCAGGAGCATGGCAGGTGAAGTGCTCCTCCCATGAATGGATGGAGATTAAGGAGTGTGTGTTATTCATGCTTAATTCACCAGTGCTTAGCTGAGTACCTGGCATAAAATAGTTACTGTGGTGGCCAAAGTAATAACCCCCACCGCCACCAATTGCTCATGTCCTATGTTACACAGCACAATTACATAGGAAGGGGGAATTAAGAGTGCAGATAAAATTAATGTTGCTCATCAGCTGACCTTAAAACAAGATTATCCTGGAGTATCTAGGAGAGCCCATGTAATCACAAGCATTCTTTAAAACTGGAAGAGGGAGGCAGAAGGTTAAGAACCAGAGACGGTGGGCACAATGGCTCATGCCTGTAATACCAATACTTTGGGAGGCCAGGGTAGGAAAATCCCTTGAGTGCAGGAGTTCAAGGTCAGCCATGGCAACATACTGAGGTCCCATCTCTACAACAAAATAAAAACAAAATTCACTGAGTGTCACGATGCTTACCTGTAGTTCCAGCTACTGGGAAGGCTGACATGGTAGGATTGCTTGAGCCTGGGAGTTTGAGGCTATAATGAGCCATGATAGGACCACTGAACTCCATCCTGAGTGACAGGGCAAGGTCCTGTTTCTGAAGAAAAAAAGGACATTGGAATCAGGGCCCTCTCCATGCTGAGGTGCCTACAAGGCATCTCTCTCTGCAAATGAGTAAACATCACCCTCCAACTCCTTACAGAGTGGAGCAACAGGAAAACTCCTTCACCTCATTTCTGTGCTGCTTGGGAGGCCTGGACAGCCCAATAACCAGCTCCTCGCTGATGAAGCAATCAGGAAATGGCTCGAGTTGAGCTAAGGAGAATTTGGATCCTTCCTTTGGTTCTCAGTAGGCAGGGTAGGGGCCAGGCATGGTGGCTCATACCTGTAATCCTTGCACTGTGGGGGGCCAAGGTGAGAGGATTGCTTGAGGCCAGGAGCTCAAGACCAGCCTGGACAACATAGCAAGACCTGGGTGGCATACACCTGTGGTCCCTACTACTTGGTAGGATGAGGTGGGAGGATTGATCACTTGATCCCAGGAGTTTCAGGCTGCAGTGAGCCATGATCACACCACTGCACTTCAGCCTGGGTGACAGAGCCAGACCATGTCACAAAAAGTTAGAAAAAAAAAAAAGAGAGGGAGAGAGACTATACACAGGCACCACCACATTTGGCTAATTTTTAAATATTCTGTAGAGACAAGGTCTTGCTAGGTTGCCCAGGCTAGTCTAAAACTCCTGGCATCAGGCTGGGCATGGTGGCTCATGCTTGTAATCGCAGCACTTTGGGAAGCTAAGGCAGGCAAATCACCTGAAGTCTGGAGTTCGAGACCAGCCTGGCCAACACGGTGAAACTCTGACTCTATCAAAAATACAAAAATCAGCTGGGCAGTAGTGGCGTGTACCTGTAGTCTCACCTACTCGGGAGGCTGAGGCAGGAGAATCACTTGAACCTGGGAGGTGGAGGTTGCAGTGGACCCCATCACTGCACTCCACCCTGGGTGACAGAGCGAGACTGTCAAAAACAACAACAACAATAACAAAAACAAAAACAACAACAACAAAAAAAACTCCTGGCATCAAGACATCTTCCTGTCTTAGCCTCCCAAAGCCCTGGGATTATACTGTTTCCTATAATTGAAGACACTTGTTCTTATACTGCTTTAAGGTATAAAGGAAGAAAAAAAAAACAGATAATGACAAATGTTGGTGAAGGCCGGGCATGGTGGCAGCCTGTAATTCCAGAACTTAGGGAGGCTGAGGTGGGCAGATCACTTGAGGCCAGGAGTATGAGACCAGCCTGGGCAACATGGTAAAATCCCACCACTACAGAAAAATCTAAAAATTAGCCAGGCATGGTGGCGTACACCTGTAATTTTCAGCTACCCAGGAGGCTGAGATGAGAGAATCACTTGTGCCTGGGAGGTCACGGCTGCAGTGAACTGTGATGGCATCATTGCACTGCGGCCTGAGAGACAGAGCAAGCCCCTATCTAGAAAAAAAAAATGTCAGTGAAGATGTGGAGGAATTGGAACCCACATACATTACTGGTGGGAACATAAAATTGTGTAACCATTTTGTTTGGGTATTTCTTTTCTTGTCATTTTAATTGGATTTTTAAAAAATCAAGACGGGGTTTCACTATCTTGCCCAGGCTGGTCTTGAATTCACGGGCTCAAGCCATCCTCCTAGCTGAGCCTCCTGAGTAGCTGGGATTACAGGTGTGAGCCATTGCACCCAACTGGTATAGCCACGTTAGAAAACAGTCTGGCAGTTTCTCAAAAGGCTAAATGTACAGTCATCCTATAATGCAACAATTTCACTCCTAGGCATATATCCCAGAAAAATAAAAATATATGTCCACACAAAAACTTGTACAACAATCTTCATAGCAGCATTATTCATAATGACCAATACATGGAATACATGGAAACAACCCAAATATCCACCAACTGATGAACAGATAAACAAAATGCAGTGTGTCTCTACCATGGAATACTGCCATAGAAGGAATGAAATATTGATACACACTATGACATAAAGGAACTTTGAAAACACTGTGCTAAGAGGGAAAAAAAGCCACAAAAGATCACATATTGTACAATTCTATTTGTCCAGATTAGGCAAATCTATAGTGACAAAAAATTAATCAATGGTTGCCTAAGGCTGGGGGCAAAGGTAGGTGGGGAGAGTAGGAGGTAGTAGCTAAGGGGTATGGATTTCTCTATAGGGTAATGAAAGGTTCTAAAAGTGACTGTGGTGATCGATGCACAGCTCTGTGAATATTCTAAAACCTACTGAATTGCAGATTTCAATAAATAAAGTGAATGGCATTTGAATATTTTAATAAAGCTATTATTTAAAATAATAATAATAGGGGGCTGGGCACAGGTGGTCATGCCTGCCTGTAATCCCAGCACTTTGGGAGGCTGAGGCAGGAGGATCACTTGAGGTCAGGAGTTTTGAGCCCAGTCGGAGCAACATGGCAAGATCCCGTCTCTATGATAAAAAATTAGCTGGACATGGTGGCACATGTCTGTAGTCCCAGCTACTTGGGAGACTGAAGTGAGAGAACCACTTGAGCCCAGGAGTTTGAGGCTACAGTGAACCATGATCATGTCACTGTACTGTAGCCTAAGCAACAGAGCAAGACGCTGTCTCTGAAAAGGAAAGAAAACAAATGCAAGTTTTTATCACTTTGTGAGTGTAGCCAAGTTGGAGGAGAAATAGACAATAATAAAAGAGCACTGAATAATGACGGTGAGTGGCTGGTTAGGCTCAGTTGCTAGCTAAATGGCTTCTAAAAAATTCAATAAAGTTACAGCTCTGGGGACAGTCATGTAGTCAAAGAATGAAGGCGAAATTCATTACAATTGCCCATGGTCTTTATTTACATGCCTTCTAGTGAAAAATTCCTAAGTGCCTAAACAGCAAGTCTGCAATGATAGCAGCTGTTTATTAAAGACTACAAAAAAGAAATGGAGGCCGGGCGTGGTTGTTCACATCTGTACTCCTTGAATTTTGGGAGGCTGAGGCAGGCAGATTGCCTGAGGTCAGGAGCTCCAGAGGAGCCTGGCCAATATGGTGAAATCCCATCTCTACTAAAAATACAAAAATTAGCTGGGTATGGTGGCGGGCACCTGTAATCCCAGCTACTCGGGAGGCTGAGGCAGGAGAATTGCTTGGACCCAGAAGGTGAAGGTTGCAGTGAGCCAAAATCGCACCATTGCACTCCAGCCTGGGTGACAAGAGAAAGACTCTTATCTTAAAAAAAAAAAGAAAAAAAAAGAAATGGCATCTTCTTCAAGAATTACATCGTGTTTCATGATAAAGAAGCTCTAATTTTGCATTTGTTCAAGTATTGATGAGATTTACCCAATATGACACCCATCTTGGATAAAATGCAAACAACACAATTTCATTTTGTCATTAACAAAACCGATTAAGTAGTCTAATATAAATTGCGATCTTATTAAAAACTGATCAGATTAAAAAAATTATGGAATTATGGAGCCAATAAGATGTTACAACCTGTTCCAAGGGGAATTCCAAAATCCACACATATCTGAGACCATCAAGTATGATGAAATATATTTGATTACTATATTGAAAAATAAACTGATTACATAGCCAACAATTGGACAGGGGTCTCCTCATCCACAGCCACACAAACCCGATCATGCAGCTATGTGGTTACAAGGCCTACATAGCCTAGAAGGGACTGGTCTGACTTGAGATTTCATTTGTATTTGTATTTTGAGACAGGGTCCCACTCTGTCACCCAGGATGGAGTGCAGTGGTATAATCATAGCTCACTGCAACCTTGACCAACTGGGCTCAAGAGATGCTCCAGCCTCAGCTGCCCCCATACCTGGGAATACAGGCAAGTACCACCATGTCAGGCATTTTTTTCATTTTTGTAGAGAGAGAAGACTTGCTATGTTGCCCAAGCTGGCCTCAAACTCCTAGAATCAAGAGATCTGCCCATCTCAGCCACATGAGTAACTGGGGCCATAGGTACATACCATCATGCCTGGCTATATTTATTTTATTTTATTAAATTTATTTTTTTTATTTTTGTAGAGAGGAGGTCTTGCTGTGTTGCCCAGGCTGCTCTCAAACTCATGGCCTTAAAACATACTCCCATCTCTGCCTCTCAAACTGTTGGAACTATAGGTGTGAGCCACTGTACCTGGCCTGACTTGAGATTTCTTTTATCTAGCATCCTTTACTTGGTAGGATTGGGAAAAGCAGTAGTGTTTTTTAAAATTACTTAATAATTCAATCAGAATCAAACTCAACCTTGACCACTGCCTTCTCTCACAGCTCACATCCAGTCTGTCAGGAAATCCTACTGACTGACTTCAATATGTATCCAGGCTCTAACCATCTCTCACCACCACCATGAACCCCGTCAGGATCACTATCATCTCCCACCGGGATGTTGCCACAGCTTGGCCCCCATGCTTCTACCCAAATCTTCCCATAGTCTTTCTCAACTCGGCAGCCAGGTCGTGCTTTTAAATCAGGAGACGGATCATGTCGCCTCTCTGCTCAGAAGCCCTTGGTGGTTCCCATTTTAGTCAGAGTAAAAGCCAAAGCCCCAGCAATAGCGTCCCAGGGCTTACACGATCTGTACCGATCCCAGCCCAGCAACTCCCTGGCCTCCTCGCTGACTTCGCTCCCTCTATCTCTTTGCTCCACTGGCCTCCTTCCAGAGCCTCAGACACACCAGAGAGTTTCCTCCTAATGCCTTTATCCTGTTGACTCAGCCTACAATGCTCTTCCCTCAGCACCTTGGCCAGCTCCATCACCTGCTTCAAACTTTTGCTCAGTATTCACTTATGAGGCCAACCCTGACCACTCTACTTAACACTGCCATCTGTCCCCATTCCCACCATGCTCATTTCTTTCTTTTTGAAATAAGGTCTTGCTTTATTGCCCAGGCTGGAGTACACTGGTGCAATCACAGCTCACAGCAACTTCAACCTCCCAGGCTTAAACAATCCTCCCGCCTCAGCCACCCTAGGAACTGAGACTACAGCTGCATGCCACAACACATGGCTTTTTTTTTTTTTTTTGAGACGGAGTCTCGGTCGCCCAGGCTGAAGTGTAAGGGTGCGATCTTGGCTCACTGCAATGTCTGCCTTTTGGGTTCAAGTGATTCTCTGCCTCCCAAGTAGCTGGGATTACAGGCACCCACCACCACACCTGGCTAATGTTTGTATTTTTAGTAGAGATGGGGTTTCACCATCTTGGCTAGGCTGGTCTTGAACTTCTGACCTCGTGATCCACCCTCCTCGGCCTCCCAAAGTGCTGGGATTACAGGCGTGAGCCACTGCGCCTGGCCTTTAAAAACATTTTTTTTTAGACATGAGGTCTCATTATGTTGCCCAGGCTGGTCTTAAGCTCCTGGGCTTAAGCGATCCTCCCACCTCAGCCTCCTAAAGTTCTGGGATTACAGGCGTGAGCAACTGTAACATGAGGTCCCAGCTTCATGTTCATTTTTTGTTGTTGCTACAACAAAGTACCCTACATTTAGTGGCATCAAACACCACAAATCTACCATCTTACAGTTCTGGGGGCCAGAAGCCCAACTAGGTCTATCAAGGCTAAAGTCAAGGTGTCAGAGAGGCTGCATTCCTTCTGGGGGAGGCTCTAGACAGAATGTGCTCCTTTGCCTTTTCCAGCTTCTAGAAGCCACCTCCATTCCTTGACTTACCTCGTGACTCCATATTCAAGGCCAGAAGTGCAGCATCTTCAAATCTCCCTCTCTGACCTCTTCTTCCATTACCACATCACTTTCTCTAATTCTGACTCTCCTACCTCATTCTCTTATAAAGATCCTTGTGATTGGTGGGTATGGGGGCTCCCATCTGTAATCCCAACATTTTGGGAGGCCAAAGAGGAAGGATTGCTTGAGGCCAAGAGTTAGAGATCAGCCTGGGGAAAATAGGAAGATCCTGCCTTTACAAAATTAAAATCAGCTGGACATGGTGATGCATGCCTGTAGTTCCAGCTACTGGAGAGGCTAAGGTGGGAGGATTGCTTTAGCCTAGGAGGTCAAGGCTGCAGTGAGCTATGATCACATCACTGCACTCCAGCCTCAGTGGCAGAGTGAGACTCTGTCTCCGATATAAGAAAAGAAATATACATTTGGTCTCTGCCCGTGGTTCCTGGCATAGAGCTTCCAAAGCTCTTATAAAGCCCTTCGTGACAGAGGTAATAGGAGCATTTTCTGTTTTGATATTTAGTCTTAGTCCCAGGTTCCTGACACAAGGGCCTCTAAGGTCTTTCAGATCTGCAGCATGGTAAGAATGCATGTGGGATGCTGTTGAGCTAACAGGGTGGCTGCAAGCTCCGAGACTGCTTCAGGAGGAGGGCTAGCTGCCAGAGAAAGCAACCACATTTTTTTTTTTTAAACGGAGTTTGGCTCTTGTAGCCCAGGCTGGAGTGCAATGGCACAATCTCAGCTCACTACAACCTCCACCTCCCGGGTTCAAGCAATTCTCCTGCCTCAGCCTCCCGAGTAGCTGGAATTATAGGGATGTGCCACAACGCCTAGCTAACTGTTGTTATTTTTAGTAGAAACGGGGTTTCACCATGTTGGTCAGGCTAGTCTCAAACTCTTGACCTCAAGTGGTCCATGTGCCTCAGCCTTCCAAACTGCTAGGATTACAGGAGTGAGCCACCGCACCTGGCCCCAACCACATTTTTTGAGGCTTGGGACTTTCAGCCTCACCTGCTGAACTCCAGGAGGCAAAAGGAACTGGAGATTGACTTAACTACCAATGGCCAGTGATTTTATCAATCATGCCTCCATAAACACCCAAACAGCAGGGTTTGGAGAGCTTCTGTGTTGCTAAACACAAGGAGGTCCTGGGAGGGTAGTGTGCCCAACAGAGGGCATGGAAGCTCTGTGCCCCTCCCCACTTACCTTGTCCTGTGCATCTCTTTCATTGGCTGTTCCTGAGATGGAGCCATTACATTGAGCCAGTAATAGAAAATAAGGTGGCCAGATGCACTGGCTCATGCCCGTAATCCCAGCACTTTGGGAGGCAGAGGTGGGCGGAATCACTTGAGCCTAGGAATTTGAGACCAACCTGGGCAACATAAGAAGACCCCATCTATACAAAAAATAAAAGAAATTAGCCAAATGTGGTGGTGGGAACCCTGTAATTCCAGCTACTTGAGAGGCTGAAGCAGGAGAATCACTTGAGCCCTGGACGTTGAGGCTTCAATAAGCTATGATTGCACCACTGCACACCAGCTTGGACAACAGAGCGAGGCCCTGTCTCTTAAAAAGAAAAGAAAAAAAACTTGTTTTTCTAAGTTCTGTGAGTTGTTCTAGTAAATAATTAAACTCAACAAGAGGGTCATGGGAAACCCTGATTTCTAACTGGTTGGTCAAAATACAGGTGACAACCTAGGACTTGCAACTGGCATCTGAAGTGAGGGTGGTCTTGTGGGACTGAGCCCCTAACCTGTGGGTTCTGTGCTAACTCTAGGTAGTGTCAGAATGGAATTGTGGGATACGCGGTTGGTATCCAGAGAGTTGGAGAACTGGTGTAGAAACTCTGCACACACATTTGGTCAGAAGTCTGTGAGTAGAGAGAAACGTGTTGCAGGAAGTCAGGGACCCCAAACGGAGGGACTGGCTGAAGCCACAGCAGAAGAACATAAATTGTGAAGATTTCATGGACATTTATTAGTTCCCCAAATTAATACTTCTATAATTTCTTAGGCCTGTCATTACTGCAATCTCTGAACATAAATTGTGAAGATTTCATGGACACTTATCACTTCCCCAATCAATACCCTTGTGATTTTCTATGCCTGTCTTTAATCTCTTAATCCGGTCATCTTCGTAAGCTGAGGATGAATGTCCCCGCAGGACCCTGTGATAATTGCGTTAACTGCACAAGTTGTTTAAACAATATGAAACCTGGGCACCTTGAAAAAAGAACAGGATAACAGCAATTTCAGGGAACAAGGGAGATAACCTTAAACTCTGGCTGCCTGTGGGCCGGGTTGAACAGAGCCATATTTCTCTTCTTTCAAAAGCAAATAGGAGAAGTATTGCTGAATTCTTTTTCTCAGCAAAGAACATCCCTGAGAAAGAGAATGCATCCCTAAGGGGAGGCCTCTGAAATGGCCGCTTTGGGGACGGCTGTCTTTTACAGTCATAGATAAGGGATGAAATAAGCCCTGGGTTCACGTGGCGCTCCCAGGCTTATCAGGACAAGGAAATTCCCGCCTAATAAATGTTGGTCAGATGGGTTGTCTGCTCTCAAACCCTTTCTCCTGATAAGATGTTATCAATGACAATGCGCGCCCGAAACTTCATTAGCAATTTTAATTTCGCCCCGGTCCTGTGGTCCTGTGATCTTGCCCTGCCTCCATTTGCCTTGTGATATTTTATTACCTTGTGAAGCATGTGATCTCTGTGACCCACACCCTATTCGTACACTCCCTCACCTTTTGAAAATCACTAATAAAAACTTGTTGGTTTTGCGGCTTGGGGGGCATCACGGAACCTGCCGACGTGTGATGTCTCCCCTGGACATCCAGCTTTAAAATTTCTCTCTTTTGTACTCTTTCCCTTTATTTCTCAGACTGGCTGACACTCAGGGAAAATAGAAAAGAACCTACATGAAATATCAGGGGTGAATTTCCCCCGATATCACACTGGCTCTTCTCTCACCTGTCTACCTGCTTAACTTAATAGGAGAGGCAATGCATGGTGCTCATGAACAAGGCAAGCATTAAAGTCAGACCAGACTAACATTTGACTCAGTCCTAATATTCAGGTGAGCTTGGGCAAATCACTCATTAACCCCAAGTCTTCATCATTTTGTGCATATAATGGGGATAACTGTGGCACCCACCTGTTTTTGTGAGAATCAATGAAATATTATGCTTGATGTTATTGTGATCATGATACTATCTGACAAGGGCAGTGATGCATGATAACATCAAAAAATTAGAAACTGTAATGAGGTCTCTTGGGCAAAATTCCATACAAGCAAATTACTGTCTCTACAAAGCATTTCTGCCACACTTAATTCACCATTCCCTGAACAAAATGTACCATCTTCATTGTTCAGGTCTGTATAGTGCTGGTTTCCCTGCCTGGGCAGCTCACTCCATCCCATCCCAGCCCAATCCCCATCCCTCCACCTCCCCCTTCCCTCCCCACTCTCATACAACTCTTCCTTATCTTACAGGACTTGGCTTCAATGTCACCTTAACTGGAAGCTTCTCTCCCTCTCCAGAAGAGCTTCCGATTGCACTTGATGCATGCACTATTATTTGATCATTTTTGAGTTACAGTCCAAGTCTTTTTGTACCTGAATAACATGTTGCCCAGTCAGTTTCTCTTCCTGGATTCAGAAGTCTTTCATGGTAGGTCCAGCTAGAAGTGACAAAAAGACATTTAAAAAAAAAAAAAAAGAGGGATGACACAGACAGACATCAGCACTTAAAAGTTTTAAACGATATGTGAAAAACAAAATTTAAGGGCTTCTAGGAGAAATGTAGGAGGGAAGGTGTTACTGGGAAATATGATAGAAGGTTAATTTTTATTTTATTTTATTTTTAGAGAAAGGGTCTTGCTCTATCACCTAGGCTGGACTGCAGTGGTGCAATCACAGTTAACTGCAGCCTCAACCTCCAGGGCTTGAGCAATATTCCCATCTAATTTTTATTTTGTTTAAGAAATGCAGTCTTGCTCTTAGCAAAGCTAAAGTGCAATGGTGTGATCATAGCTTACTGCAGCCTCAACCTTCTAGACTCAAGTGATCCTCCAGGCTTAGCCTCCCCAGTAGCTCGGACTACAGGTGTGCACTGCAACGTGTAGCTCATTTTTTTTTTTTAATTTTTAGTAGAGACAAAGTGTCACTATGTTGACCAGGTTGGTGGTGATCTCCTACACTCAGGCAGTTCTCTCACCTCAGCCTTCCAAAATGCTGGGATTACAGGTGTGAGCTGCCACACCTGGCTGAGGGGGTTAATTTTTAATTATATAAAGAGCTCAAAGCAAATATTAGAAGGAGCCTAAATGCCTCCAGCAGTTGACTGGTACTGGTAAATTGTGATACATCCATATAATAAAATATTATGCAACCATGAAAAGGATTAAGATAGATCAATAGGTATTGGCACAAATGTCCACGAAATATGAAAATATGAAGTGATGTTCAATCACCATGTACGTATCTTGAAGGATATGGCCCATTTTCTCAACTGCAATTATTTCCTGAGATAAGATTATGGGTCTAAAGAGTGAAGGACATTTTTCACTTATTTAAAAGTATTTATCATTTTTATAATTTAATAAAAGATTAAACAGATCATTGAATTAGTAAAAGACAAAGTAACTCTATAAATAAATGGAAAAGACACAGATACCCCAGGCATGGTGGCTCATGCTTATAATACCAGTACTTTGGGAGGGGGTGGTGGGGGGATTGCTTGAGGCCAGGAGTTCCAGACCAGCCTAAGAAACAAAGCAAGACCTCCTCTCTAGTAAAAATAAAAAAATAAAAATAATTGGCCAGGCATAGTGGCATGTGCCTATAGTCCCAACTACTGAGGTGGAAGGATCACCTGAGCCTAGGAGGTCAAGGCTGCAGTGAGTTGAGACTGTGCCACTACACTGAAGCCTAGGAGACAGAGCGAGACTTCATCTCAAAAAAAAAAAAAAGGACAATAAAGAAATAAAGCTAATAAGCTAACATAAGGAAAGATAAAATATGTGACAAATAGGCTGGGCACATGGCTCACAGCTGTAATCAAGCACTTTGGGAGGCCAAGGCGGGTAGATCATGAGATCAGGAGTTCGAGACCAGCCTGATCAACATGGTGAAACCACGTTTCTACTAAAAATACAAAAATTAACCAGGCATGGTGGCATATGCCTGTAATCCCAGCTAATAGGAGGTCTTTCATTTATCACACAGAAAATAACTTGTTAAATTATAATACCTGTGTGGGCGAAGGTGCAGTGAAATGGCCATTTTCTTGTAGTATTAGTGGTGTTTAAAATGTATATAAGCCTTCCAGCATAAAGCTTGGAAATTTTTTTTAAATCATACAGACAGTGACTCATTATACTGCCTCCTCCAACTCCTGGCCTCAAGCAATCCTCCCACCTCAGCCTCCCAAAGTGCTGGAATTACAGGCTGACAGCCACCATGCCTGAAAGCTTTGCAATTTACATCGAGGGTAATAAGAATGCTCATGCCCTGTGACTCACAGTAATCTCACTTCTGGAAATTTCACCTTTGGATATAATTCAACCTAAACAAAAGGTCATATGCACAAACACAGTGAAAATCTGGGAGTAATTTTTTTCTCTTTTTTTAAAAAAATATGGAATGCTTCACAAATTTGCATGTCATTCTTTCACAGAGGCCGTGCCAATCTCTCTATTGTTCCAACTTAAGTATGTGTGCTACTGAGGCAAGCATGAGTAATTTAAGATAGGGTGGTTAAGTGAAATAAGGAAGAATTATGGAGAATTTAAAAATCTATGCTATTTATAGGCACCTAGTAACAGCTCAGTAAATATTAGCTGCTACTATTATTATTTTTATGGTAATTTCACTCAATTAAAAACTGTCGTTAAAAATTACCATTGTCATGGAACATAATGTCTCCTACTGTATAACTGTAGAAACAGATACAATTTGTCCCTTGGTATATGGGGGGATTAGTTCCAGCTCTCCCATTTCTGTGTATACCAAAATCCACGCATACTCAAGTTTTCGAAGTCAGTCCTGTGGAATCCACATATAACACAAATGGGAAAATTAGTGAGGTGTGGTGACAAGCACCTGTAGTCCCAGCTACTTGTGAGGCTGAGGCAGGAGGATTGCTTGAGCCCAGGAGGTTGAGGCTGCAGTGAGCCATAATTGCACCACTACACTCCAGTCTGGGCAACAGAGTGAGACAGAAGGTTGACTTTTTAATAGAATTTTTCTGTTCACTTGAAGATATGGTCAGGATTGTGGCATATGAAAATTCTTCATAAAATAACTATCTAATCCAATTAATGCTGGAATTGGGAACAGCAGAAGTGTCATCTCAGAGCTACTCACAATGAAAGGTGATGTCTGGGGCTCAGGTGTGTTGAGGTCCCCATGCCTGGACTATGGGTGCTGAGTGGGATTTACTTGTCCATCCATTTTCTATATTCCAGCACTGGGAAACTAGGGACAGTACTTGTTCTCAAGGGAATCTTCAGCTTAGGTGGCTCTGTAAAAGAGAAATTACATCATTGAAAAATCGTCGCAGGTCAGGTGAGGTGGCTCATACCTATAATCCCAGCCCACTGGGAGACTAAGGCAGGAGGATTCCGTGAGGCCAGGAGTTCAAGACCAGCCTGAGCAACACAGTGAAACCTCATCTCTACAAAAAATTAGAAAATGAACTGGGTGCGGTAAAACATTCGTATAGTCCCAGCTACTCTGGAGGCTGAAATAGGAGGATCGCTTGAGCCCAGGAAGTGGAAGCTGCAGTGAGCTCTGATCTCACCACTGCACTCTAGCCTTGGTGACAGAGTGAGACCCTGTCTTAAGACACACACAAACACACACACACACACACACACACACCCAATCTCACTCTGTCCAGCCTTGACTAATCAAAAGGGCCTTCTGGTTACAGAAGAGGTATGCTCTTTTGTAGGACAGGGAGAGACCAGCAAGCTTGTTCACAGACTTTTCCTCATCCTCTGCTTAGTTTTCCAAGAACCCTCACAGTGGAAATGGAGTCTCTGGGAAAATGACCTAAATCTTTGGGTTACCAGGGGAGAAATATGCCTCCTTTGTCAATTAATAAATGGAACATCTGCCTTAAAATCCAGGGAGTTCTGCTAGAATGAATCACTCCCTAAGACCCTGACCAATGCATGGAACATGAAAAACTGAAGTTTAACTGGGCGCGGTGGATCACGCCTGTAATCCCAGCACTTTGGGAGGCTGAGGCGGGCGGATCACCTGAGGTCAAAAGTTCTAGATCAGCCTGGCCAACATGGTGAAACCCCGTCTCTACTAAAAATACAAAAATTAGTTGGGCATGGTGGTGGACACCTGTAATCCCAGCTACTTGGGAGGCTGAGGCAGGAAAATCGCTTGAACCCGGAAGGCGGAGGTTGCAGTTACTTCTAGAAGAATTTCCATTAGCCCTTTGAAATCCTTCAACATTCATGAAGGCCAAAGAGTTTTCACCTAATTTAATCTGATGGGTATGTGACCAGAGTCTTTCTAGGGAATAGAGACTCCCAAACAGTTCGACTGGGAAGTGAGGAGAGAATTTATTACTCAAAACCAAAGGGAAATGAAAAGAGGCCAACATAGAATGTCATTATTCTTTCTTGGTGGGGAATGGATTCCAGAGTCATTCTGTGACCTTTACATGACCTCCTTATTAGCATCTAAAAGCTTCCAGTGTAGGATGCAGCCAGCTAGGTTCTCTTCTAATGTAATAAAATTTGCTTCGGCAAATCTTATGCAGAGCCATCTCCAGGCTCCAGAAACAACAGGCTATAAATTACTGGATCTCCCATTTGATACAATGAAGTATGAGCATGGTCCTGAATGACTCCTCTACATACTACTCTGGGTGGCTTGAAGTGAATTTGATACAAGAACTGGAGCGAGGGCAAAGCAGAGCTAGATCTAGGATTAATGTGCTTGGGCCCAGCTCCTCACTACTCACCTATGAGTCTAGTTCCAGAACCCAAGTAGAGGATGGGGAAACAAGGCTCCTGACTTTTTTTCCCTAATGTCTGCATCTCTTTCACATTTCTTATCTCCTTGCAAAGAAACTAAACAGGCTCAACTGAAATAACTAAATGATTAAACCCTATACAGAGAATCTCCAAAGACTGACAAAATATCATTCAAGACTGTTACACAGACAACCTTGAGGATGACTTGATGTACCAGTGATCTACAATATTTGGGATCATTCCAAATTCCCATCAAGGATCTGCCTATATCAACAAAGGAGCCAAGGACCAACCATTCAAATGGGCCCTGCTGCCAAGCCTTTTTTTTTTTTTTTAAACAATGCCATCTCTTCATATTGTTCCATTTAACAAAACTGCAGCCCTTCATCTATCCTTAAGTCCCTTGGCCAGTGGTACAGAGCCAGAGTATGCTACTCCCTAGCAGGAAATCAACAGGATGACCTACTAAACACCATTCAGAAGATGCTAAGACCCATGAATTGCAACAGGAAAGAAAAGACAGAGAATTAGTCAGACAGGTACATGCTGTGCCAAAAATGCACTACAGCCCCCACCCAATTCTGCCTAATCCTAGCTGGGCTGACACCAACCTGATGAGACAGGCCTATAAGATCTCAAACTAAAACAGAAACTCCTGAACTGGGTTCTTTCGAGCCCAGGAAGCAGCAGTAAATCATTAAAGAACAGATGAGTTCTTAAGGTGAGGGAGAGTTTCAGATAAATGGAATGCTGGTAGAACACAGGGCCCAAAGGAGCAAAAGTTAACCTAAGCCCAGGTAGAACCTTGTTTACTAGAGTATTAGGCATGGGTTTGGGCAACTATTCTAACCAGAGAAACTGGCTTCAGTGAGGGCAAGTTGGCAATCCAAGGTATAGCATGCATAGGGCTGGCAAAATTCAGGGTGACTGAAGCAAAAGCTTCATAACCAGAAAGACCACATCTGGGGGTAGAGCACAAAACTCTCAAGAGATGAATCTTTGTAAGAGTGAGGCAGAACTATATAGCAGTTTTAGGAGATCTGTTGGTGCCCAGCAAGAGCTCCAAACGGGCTATATGCAGGGATGCAGGCTGTAGTCTCAGGAGAGGAGGTTCACAAAAGTCATTCAGTCCAAGACCTCAAACTGTGTTCTCTACTAAAAGGAATCAAGGTTCCCTAGAGAAATGGCTGACTCCATGTATGGTGCAGTATATTGATCCTGGAACATCTGTTTTGCCAGAAAGCAAGGAAGCCATCAAAGTCCAACAGGATCACTTCAAAAAGACATGAAAGTCAACTTGAAGAGATAATTATTAACCTAGATGAGACAATGTAAGCATCCAAAACAATAAAGACTGCAATGGCCTGAAATACATCAAATGCAAACAATAATCTATGAGTTCATAATGGTATTCAGAAAAAAAAACTACTGGTCATTAGAGGGAAGGTTACTAGGTCACTAACTTACTACTCTGAAAAGTGACTTAAGATGAGAGGTAGGGTGGAAAATTAGCTATTTATTCAGTCTTTCCTGTACAAACATAAATTTTTAGGGAGATTGAAGCAGATGAAACAAATCTGGAAAAATGGAGGTAACTGCTTAATCTGCGGGTTGGGTGCATGGAGGTTCAACATATTTCTTTTGTGTATATTTGAACCCCCTACAAAAAAAGCACAAGAGAGAATGTGAGCCAAGCAGCTTAGGGTTTAGGCAAGGCTTCTGCCTACAAGAGACACTAGGATATGAGGGGTAGTTTTAGCCCTAATGGGCTGAGCCAACTGGAGGTATATAGGGAAGTGCTAAATTGCAGAGGTATCATGTTGCCCAGCACTTGATCAAATCCTAGATCCTAGGTCTGCTTGGTAGCATGCTTCCTAGGTAGTGGATCTGAGGCTACCTATAGAACTTCCTTTGCAGTCATAGTTCGCTCAGAAACTACAAAAGTGCTTGCTCTTGAAAATGGAGTCTTTGTCCATTTCATGCTTCTATAAAAGAATACCACAGACTGCATAATTTATAAAAAGGAAAAAAGGAAGGAAAGAAAAAAGGAAGGGAGGAGGGAAGGAGGGAAAAAGGGAAGGAGGGAAGGAAAGGAAGGAAGGGAAAGAAGGAAAGGAAGGAAGGGAAAGAGAGAAAGAGGGAAGGAGGAAGGGAGGGAAGGAGGGAGGGAGGGAGAGAGAGAGGGAGGGAGGGGAAGGGAAGAAAAGGGAAGAGAAGGGAAAGGAGGAAGAAAAGGAAAGGAAAGGAATAAATTTTATTTCTTAACAGTTCTGGATGTTAGGAAGTCCAAGGTTGAGGGGCCTGCATCTGGTAAGGGTCTTCTTGCTGCATCATCCCACTACAGAAGGCAGAAGGAAAAGAGAGTGCAAGAAAGCAAGAGGGCAAAAGGGGCTGAACTCTGTTTTATA
Source organism: Homo sapiens (assembly GCF_000001405.40). NCBI lineage: Eukaryota > Metazoa > Chordata > Mammalia > Primates > Hominidae > Homo > Homo sapiens. The sequence goes on along the minus strand of NC_000016.10, from coordinate 90,139,919 downwards.
ATAAGCCCACTCTGTGATTACTAATCTATTACCACAATAACAACATTAACTCATTCATGAAGGCTATTTTATTAGGCCCCACATCCCAACTGTTGCATTGAGGATTGAGTTTCCAGCACATAAACTTTGGGGGACACATTTAAACCATAGCAGAGCACTTAGGTTAATTCAACTAAGAGGAGCTGGGAAAATCAAAGGCATGAGAAAGACAGCAAAAGCTAGCAGAGAGAAATGCATAGGTTAAGGAAAAAAGTCACAGTGAATCCTGTAGTGCAGGCTACTTTATGAAAAGCACCTAAAAAAGATCTCATTAACTCCCCCAGCTCACCTCCACGCACATCTAAAGAGCCACACACAGCACCACCAAAGGCAGCACAATGAGAACAGCATTCTCCTCAACAGACAAGCTGGGAGTATCTAGACACCTGACCTCAATAGCTCCAGAACAGCCCTAAAACATTTCCTCCCTAACCACCACTCAAGTCACCAGCTTGGAAAGTATTAAGAAAACCCAAATCCTGACACACCACTATGAAACAACTTAAAACAGCAAAGAACAACCCATTTAAACAGCAATGCCAGCTGTTGGGAAAAAAAGGAACAATGAGTAGAGGAGAAACAGACCTCTCGGGGTCCACCAAGACCCAGTCTCTCAGCTTCAGCACTTTTAAATGCAGAATCCATACCCCTCTGGGGCCTGTGGAGCTCCACAAGGCATGTCGTCCTCAAAGATAAATGAGCAGGCAAGCTGGCTAGAAAACCACTAAGGGTATTTATTCTTTAAAGAATCTTTACAGGGTCAAAGAAGAATGGGTCTTAACTGGCTATGTGAACTCCCCACAGATTCTGAGGATGATGTCAGTATCCCTTTCCAGATGTGTTTAACACTTTGCAGTCACTTGTATTCCTGCTACTGAGTGCCAGTGCTTTGCTAATTTGAACTGATTCCAGCTCACGCTGAACCCAGCTCCCTGGATGTTACCATTAGCCAAGACTGTCACCCATACTGTACCCTTTCAAAGAGTCCTAAAAACAGCTCTTCACCTACTCTTCCAAGACAAGTAAAAATGTCTGCCAAAGAAATGGGGAAAAAAGATTCAGAGAGTGAAAACAATTAATATACTAACAAGAGAGCAAAAAGCAAAGGGGGAGGAGAAACTAGGAAAATCATATATGGGCTCTCACCTATTTCCAAAGCTGGGCTAATGTCCTTTTGCTTGTGTCTGAATAAGGCACCAATTTTAAGCTGCTAATGAAAAAAAAAGAAAAAGAGAAAGAAGCAGGCCCAGGCTGGGCGCAGTGGCTCATGCCTGTAATCCCAGCACTTTAGGAGGCCGAGGCGGGTGGATCACCCAAGGTCAGGAGTTCTAGACCAGCCTGGTCAACATGGTGAAACACCATCTCTACTAAAAATACAAAAAATTAGCCAGGCATGGTGGCGCATGCCTGTAAATCCAGCTACTAAGGAGGCTGAGGCAGGAGAATTGCTTGAACCTGGAAGGCAGAGAATGTGGTGACCTGAGATCACGTCATTGCCCTCAAGCCACGGCAATGAGAACAAAATTCGGTAAAAACAAAGCAAAACAAAACAAAACCACCATAAAATAACTCAGACTTAATTAAATACAACCCTAGTGGTGAATGACTAAAGATGGATTACTCATAACAGAGACAACAGTCCAATAAGAATCCAGGAATCTTACCTTTTAATAACAAAAAAATCCTTTCCTTCTAAAGTAACATCCTCTCAAGGCCAGGAATTCCATTAGTAGAAAGCCTTCCTAAAAAACAAAATTCCTGGCCAGGCATGGGTTCACGTCTGTAATCTCAGCACTCTGGGAGGCCGAGGCGGGAAGATCACTTGATATCAGGAGTCGAGGCGGGAAGATCACTTGACGTCAGGAGTTCGAGACTGGCCCGGCCAACATGGTGAAACCGCATCTCCACTAAAAATACAAAAATTAGCCTGGTATGGTGGTGGGCACCTGTAATCCCAGTGACTTGGGAGGCTAAGGCAGGAGAATTTCTTGAACCCAGGAGGCAGAGGTTGCAGTGACCAGCAAGGTTGCGCCATTGCACCCCAGCCTGGGCGATAAGAGTGAAAACTCCATCTCAAAAAAAAAAAAAAAAAAAAAAAATTCCTTTGGGAAGGCCTTCTACATAAAAATCTTCAACATGAGACTGGAAAAAAGGGTATGGGATCATCACCGGACCTTTGGCTTTTACAGCTCGAGCTATAAGAAAAAAAAGAAAAAGGGATATCATTTAAACACAGTATGTAGAAAAGAATAATTATTGAATCTGTACTGGTCTTTAACTTTTACACTTTGATCTTTAATTCTGTTATTGTGATTGAGTCCAAAGAAAAACAGTATGAGTAAAATAAAAAGAACACCAAAAATGCTAATATTCTGTTTACCGAAGTCTGTAGTGAAATATCCCATTAAATCCAAGTGCAGTGACACACCCATAATCCCAAGCACTTTGGGAGGCTGAGGCGGGTGAATCTCCTGAAGTCAGGAGTTCAAGGCCAGCCTGGCCAACATGGTGAAACCCCAACTCTACTACAAATACAAAAATTAGGCAGGCGTGGTGGCAGAGGCCTTTAATCCCAGCTACTTAGGAGGCTGAGGCAGGGAGAATTGCTTGAACACAGGAGGTGAGCTTGCCATGAGCTGAGATCATACCACTGCACTCCAGCGTGCGTGACAGAACAAAACTTCAACCTCCAAAAAAAAAAAAAAAACAGCTAGCAGGTGACATTTGCTATAGGGAGACTAGGGATATGATCTTGCTGCAATCTTTCCATTTTAGTAAATCTAAACAAGTGTGAATCCATTCTGTTTCGTCCCCACTCCACTCCAGAGCCAAAACAAGAAAAACAATTATATTTCTAGTTCTTTAAAAACATATCTAACTAAATCATCTAATTAAAAGATAATATGCATGGTTCCATACTCTAAAAGAAAACTTATGTCCTGCATATCATGGACATTTGATGAATGCTTATTCAGTTGACTGGTGTAGACTTCAATAATAACCTGTTCAATGCATTATGCCAGATGAATCTTGCATCTCAAAAGTAGAACAAATATTGTTCTTTCAGTTTTGTCTACCCATAAATGCAATATTTACTAATAAAAAGAAAATGAGTTTATTGTTCTAGAGAGTATGAGAATTTTGACAACATGAATTCTCCTGTCCTAGGACATAATTAATACTTAGAGGCATACTATTTCATGTGGAAGCTACCATTAAATCAATGTTAAGTGTTAATTACCTCACATAATCTTCTAATCTGACTTGACTGAAGACGTACCTGACAAAGTTGATTTATCAAGTTGTAAATCTTCACCTGTTGAATTCATAAGTTCATGTCTGAAAGGTGAGAATAAATACTTAATATTCATTAGGCAATATTCAGCAAAGTAATATCCACTAGTACATATTTAATATTTCATCATGAACTGCGGGTGTGAAGAGAAAAGACAGGCTGGGCACAGTGGCTCACACCTGTAATCCCAGCAGTTTGGGAGGCCGAGGCAGGCAGATCATGAGGTCAGGAGTTCGAGACCAGCCTGGCCAACATGGTAAAACCCCGTCTGTACTAAAAGTACAATAATTAGCTGGGCATGGTGGCAGGCACCTGTAATCCCAGCTACTCGGGAGGCTGAGGCAGGAGAATTGCCTGAACCCAGGAGGTGGAGGTTGCAGAAACCATTATCACGCCACTGCATTCCAGCCTGGGCAAGAGAGCAAGATTCTGTCTCCATCAATCAATCAATAAAAATATAAGAAGGAAGCATTTACTGTGTATTTATATGTCTGGTATTATGTGAAGCACTTTACTATCTTATCAAATCTTCGGGACAGATCTTCAGTTCTCATGACCACAAAAGAGGATACTAAAGCTCAGACAGGAGAAGAGACGTGGCCAGCCTGTGTCCCCAGGGCCTATGGTCTTACCACTAGGTTACAGTGTTTCCAGATATCACATGTTGTGAGATTTTTGCTTTAAAATGAACCAAAAAAAAACCAAAGGTGAAAAAGGCATAAGCTATTAAAAAGTGGGAGAAACACTAAGAGAACCTTAAGCATGTAACTAAAAATATTATGGAAATGTTATTGAATACATTAGCAAATTTAGTGCTAGGTTTTCATTGAGGAGTAGGTTATATTACTCATGATGAAGAAAAATGTTCATTTTAAGTATATTAACATAAATACCATCAATATTGTTTATCATGTTTAAATGTTCACTTAAAGCAATTCAGTTAAAATTCTGCATATCATACAATTTTATAGTTTGCTAGTAGGTTACAAGTAAATAGTCACCCAAATAAAAACATCATGTTTTCCACTGGTTGTTGCTCTTTTTTAGGTGAGTATTTGATACATACCAACAGAGAGAGGATAATAACAAATCGCTAATTTCTTTCATCACTATATAAAGGTGGCTTCAGGATAGAATAGTATCAGTGTAATGATGAATTTGAAATCTAACATCAATTCAGTGATGCATCAAGATAAAAGTAGAGACAACAGGGGCACCTTGGTGAGTACTGAACATTTTATTTATTTATTTATTTTGAGATGGAGTTTTGCTCTTTTTGCCCAGGCTACAGTGCAATGGTGCCAACCTCGCCTCACTGCAACCTCTGCCTCCTGGGTTCAAGCGATTCTCCTGCCTTGGCCTCCCGAATAGCTGGGATTACAGACATGCGCCACCACACCCGTCTAATTTTGTATTTTTAGTAGAGACGGGGTTTCTCCATGTTGGTCAGGCTGGTCTCGAACTCCCGACCTAGATATCTGCCTGCCTTGGCCTCCCAAAGTGCTGGGATTACAGGTGTGAGCCACCACGCCCAGATGAATTCCAAATTTAACAAAGCAGACTAAGAGAAACAATTCATTTAAAAAAATAATATTTGGCCAGGCATGGTGGCTCACACCTATAATCCCAGCACTTTGGGAGGCTGAGGTGAGTGGATCAGGAGGTCAGCAGTTCAAGACCAGCCTAGCCAAGATCATGAAACCCCGTCTCTACTAAAAATACAAAAATCAGCCAGGCGTGGTGGCTGGTGCCTGTAATCCTAGCTGCTCGGGAGGCTGAGGCAGAGAACTGCTTGAACCCGGGAGGCGGAGGTTGCAGTGAGCCGAGATCGTGCCACTGCACTCCAGCCTGGGCGACAGAGTGAGGCTCCGTCTCAAAAAAAATAAATAAATAATTCAATGAAATTCCTAAGATCCAGGGCTTTGCAATAAATATGTAAATAAATTTCCAATCTCCATACTGAAAGTTTAAAAGAAATGCTAACTAATAACTAAAGAAATACAACTTTTCCTCAGCTTTGCAGCAATCTAGAAACAAAGTGTGTAGACACTACAAAGCACCTTACAAGGAGAAACATATAAGGATGGCATGACTCGCCGGCAGCCCTGGGATTGTCCACGGTACCCCCATGATGAACAGTAACTCCACTGTGTAAACGCCCATGAACCTAAGATTACAAGACTTTTCCAGTTTAGACATACCATATTTTCTTTCAGACAATTCTTCAGTTTGTTTACGTAGATCAGCGATACGATGATTCCATTTCTCTGAAAACCAAGCAAAAGTTGCTTCTCAATAACACGTCCCTATGTCAGAGCAGCACTAACATATAATGACTGATTTCATATATTTTACATTCTAACAGTCCATATCATTTTACTGCTTTCAAGAAAAAATTTCCCCTTCTTGGTGGTTCTTAGAATTGGTTTAATGGGAGACTATTAGAGAAGCTGAAAAGCAGGAGGGCAGAAAAGTTCAATCAAATTAAACACAATAACAGGGAGGTCACAATGAGGCGGTCTCCAGGGGTCTTTTAGCAAACTTCCTAAAACATGTCTCAGCTGTGTGAAATAAGACTTTACAGCAGCCGGGTGCAGTGGTGCAGGCCTGTAATCCCAGCACTTTGGCAGCAGAGGCAGGCGGATCACTTTGAGCTCAGGGCAACATAGCCAAAACCCCCCTCCCTAGCCCCCCCCCCCACCCCGTCCCTACCAAAAATACAAAACAGCAGGGCATGGTGGCGGGCGCCTGTAGTCCCAGCTACTCAGGAGGCTGAGGCAGGAGAATCACCTGAACCCAGGAGGCAGACATTGCAGTGAGCCAAGATCACGCCACTGCCAGCCTGGATGACAGAGCAAGACTCCACCTCAAAAAAAACAAAAACAAAAACACAAGGTTAAGAGGGACCCCCGACCTTACAGATACAAGTTTAAGAGGGACCCCTAAGCAAAAAATGCCAACCCTTTTTCTCCCAATCATTGAAACACCAGGAGGGTGTAACAGTTTTGCAGCCTAGCTGTAGCAGGCTGATGCCCCCAAGATGCCCATATCCTAATCCCGGGAACTGGTGAACATGACCTTATATGGCAAAAGGAACTTTGCAGATATAATGAAGTTAAGGGTCTTTGGCTTTTGGGGTTGATGTACTCACTCGGATCCTTGTAAGAGCAGAGCAGGTGATGGAGAGGGTGGGAGGTGTAGTGACAGAAGCAGGAAACTCCAGTCATTCGAGACGGGCAGCACAAGCTGCGGAGTGCAGGCCACCTCTACGGCCAGGAAACGGATTCTCCCGCAGAGCCTCGGAAGCTACCGACCCTGCTCCCACCTTGACTCAGTAGGACTTACTGTAGAATTCTGGCCTTCAGACCTGTAAGGGAATACATTTTGGTTGTTTTAAGTCACTAAGTGTGTGGTAATTTGTTGCAGCAGCCACAGGAAACTAGTATTGTAGTGAAGCCTCAAAACCCCCCTGAAGGGGCTGGGCTCAGTGGCTCATGCCTGTAATCCCAGCACTTTGGGAGGCCGAGATGGGTGGATCACTTGAGGTCAGGAGTTCGAGACCAGCCCAGCCAACATGGTGAAATGCCATCTATACAAAAAATACAAAAACTAGCCGGGCATGGTGGCACATGCCTGTAATCTCAGCTACTCAGGAGGCTGAGACAGGAGAATTGTTTGAACCCAGGGGGGCAGAGGTTGCAGTGAACTGAGATTCCACCACTGCACTCCAGCCTGGGTGACAGAGCGACGCTCCATCTCGAAAACAAAACAAAACAAAAAAACCCCACCTGAAGGTTTCCAGTTCTGCCAGCACTCTCCCACCCAACCCCCAGAAACAGACATTCCATTGCTGTGGGCCACGGACAGGCAGAAGGAAGCACCTCCTCATGGCAGAGGCCTACCCAGGAGAAACCCAAGGGAAGGCACTACTGGGCTGGCCCCTCTCTGCCAAGGCCATATTCTTTTTTTTTTTGAGGCCAGTTTCACTCTGTCTCCCAGACTGGAGTGCAGGGGCACAATCTCGGCTCACTTCGACCTCTGCCTCCCCAGTTCAAGTGATTCTCCTGCCTCAGTCTCCTGAGTAGCTGGGATGACAGGAGTGTAGCATGCCTAGCTAATTTTTGTATTTCTAGTAGAGATGCGGTTTTGCCATGTTGCCCAGGCTGGACTCGAACTCCTTGCCTCAAGTAGTCCACCTGTCTCAGCCCCGCAAAGTGCTGCTATTATAGGAGTGAGCCACTGCACCCAGCATTTGCCAAGACCTTTGATGGCAGGCTTTTTCCAGGTGATCAGTCCTTGTCTGGTCTGGCTCTGCCCCACTCTCCTTCTAACCTAGTTGGAATCCCTAGCTACTTTTCAGTAGAGGAGAGTGTGTACCCCAATCCCAGCTTGGTTCAGATCTGCATTTAACTCATGGAACCTGGCTGCTCCCCAGGTTCTGAAGAAAAAAACGGTCTCTCTGTGGGTATGATAAAGGATGGGCCTGTCCCCAGGACCCTGTGAGAGGGAAGCCCAATGTCCCACCAGGTTGGCAGGGCTGGGGAAGGGAAAGTGTTATGGCAGCCCCAAGAAAAAAAAGAGGCAGCAGAGGGAGCAGGACAGCGCTCACATGGAACTCATGCCACTGCCTGAGGGGAGGGAGGAGTGCACGCCAGTGACGTCAGGGGGCAGAGAGGCGCAGTTCCAGGGCGGCTTTCCCCCTCACTTCCTGCCATGTTACTCTGATCGCCTCCAGGTGAGCCTGCCCACTTTGTGCCCAGGGGCCTGTAGAAAACCACAGCTCCCCATGGTTATGGCCCCAGGAGTGGGGCAGAGCAGGGAGGAGTCCTGGACAGAGGAGAGGCAGGGGCAGGAGGGAGTGGGCCTCAAACTCCAGGAGGGGGCCCTTCTCATGGGTCCTGCTTTCTGGCTTCTCCTTCCTTACCCCTGGGCTGATCACTTGGGGAAGAACTGAGACAAAGTTTCTCACCCTCAGGCCCAAAGGGTTTAATTACTGGGCCCTTAGGGAGGTGTGAGCCCCCTGAAAGGATGCAAGGTTTTGTTTTGTTTTGTTTTTTGAGACAGAGTTTCGCTCCTGTCGCCCAGGCTGGAGTGCAGTGGCGTGATCTCACCACACTACAACCTGCGCCTCCCAGGTTCAAGTGATTCTCCTGCCTCAGCCTCTGGAGTAGCTGGGATTACAGGTGGCTGCCACCACGCCTGGCTAATTTTTTGTATTTTTAGTAGAGACAGGGTTTCGCCATGTTGGCCAGGCTGGTCTTGAACTCCTGACCTCAGGTGATCCGACTGGCTCCGCCTCCCAAAGTTCTGGGATCACATCAGCCACTGTGCTTGGCCACAATGAAAGGTTTTGTGTGGAGAGCATGTACATGCCTTTCTGGGAAAACAGTCCACAGCTCTTATTCTCAGCAGGCTTCACGGTGAAAAAAGGTTAGAACTCTTGCTACAGAGCTGTGGAAGCAGCCAGGTGAGGGGCCTGCCAAGGGCACTCTGGGCACTACCTGGGCACTCTCGAGCCCATCATCCCCTAGGCAGGCTGCACTGCTTGGTATTTGCAGAGCTGAGGGGGTGGGGCATGTGGGGACTGTGAAATCGCCCTGAGATGACCCACAGTCCTCAGCTAGGAAGTGAGCGCTGCATCTCCTGCAGCGTCCTCCATCCCTAGAGCCATGGGGCCAGGAGAACCGGCCCTTGCAGCAAGTGAAAAGCCTATTATTGATTCCCTCCCTAGCCATGTAGACAGTGAACCAAGACACTCATATCAGGTAAATGCCTTGTTCTCTGTTACCAAGGTAACCAGTAGGCATTCCCAGATACAGCGAAGGTCCTCACACCAAGATATGCACCTGGCCACCTGAGGAAAGAGAAAGGACTATCTGAGGGGACGGGGCTGAGCTGGGTGTGGAGTGGTCCTTGTGGGTCTTGGAGAGTGGGAGGGGGAGCAGCATGAGCCAGGCCTCGAGGCAGAAGGACAACCAGGAGACAGCCTGGAAAAAGTGCTGGACCCACAAGGGCTCAAGGCTGGCCAGAGGGGAGGTGGGATAGGCTGTAAAGTCCTGAGGTCTGAAGATTGGCCCTGGCAGGAAGAAACCAGGTAAGGTGGGGTGTTACCTACACCCTCGGGGCCAGATGCAGGCCAGAGCCAGCCAATTACCAGGCCCTTAGGGAGGTGTGAGCCCCTTGAAATGATGCAAGGTTTTTTGTTTTTGTTTTGGAGACGGAGTTTCGCTCTTGTCACACAGGCTGGCACCTTTGCCCAGAGCAGGCACCAAGACTTCTGGCTCTGGGTGTGACCTCAGTCTGGGTAAAAGCCCCAGCCCCCACCAGCACCACCTACCCCCTAGACTACTTCAGGTGCTGAGCCCAAGCCAGGGGCAGGAAGCTAAACTGATGCCTAGGGTAATCCCAACAAAGTCCCTGGTTCCCCGCAGCTATGGGGCTGACGGGGAATTACAGCCCAAACCCCAGATGCTGGCTCTCAAACTAACACTGAGCCCTCAGTGCCCACAGGGAGATACAATCAGCGCACTTTCCAGATGGGGAAATGGGATCAGAGAAGTGCAACAGCCTTGCCCAATGCCCCAGACCAGGGCTCCAGGCCCAGAGTGTTCTTTTGTCACTGTGTTCAGAGGGCAGCAGCTGCTGTGATGTACCCACCTGAGCCTGGCAGCTTTCTCCAACTTTGGAAGCCCAGGAGCATGGCCCCTGTCCACAGATGCACCTGGCATGAGGCGTGCCCAGAGGGACAGAGGCAGATGAGTTTCGTCTCCTCCACTGGATTGTGAGGGCCTAGAAGGAGACAAGGGTCTGCTTGGGAAGGCAGTGAATAGCGAGCAGCCTGAGGCAGTGCCCCTCTGGATGGATGCGCAGTGCCTGGATGGAACCTGGCTCAGACAGAGCTCAGTTCTGCAGGTCCCTGAGGCATGGAGAGTTCACAGCTACCAAGTGTAGGAGTCTGGATTCAAAGCCAACGGCGTGACTCCAAAGTCCCTGCCCTAGTCCCTGGACCACCCTTGCAGGCCCATCAGATGCCCAGGCCAGCAGCACAGCCGGCCAAGACCAGGGAAACTTGGGGAGCCTCAGAGCACCCCCAGGTATTCCAACCTAACCCTGGTGCCCCGCCTCTCACCACCCTTCTTCCTGCTTTAACCTCAACCCCTACACAAAGCCTGGGCCACTTAATGTGGCATCAAACAGACGCCTCAATAAATCAGTCTAATCTCGAAAAAAAAAAAGACTTAACAGATATACAATTGCACGTTAGAATGCTAAAGACCATAAACATATAACAACTTAAAGTACATATAAATTCAATATATATCCAATCATTGTAACTATGACACAGTAGAATATTAAAATACTATTTTCAAAATGTATACAAGCTTAATGTTCTATGTATTCAAACTATTTATTCAAAATACAAATCATCAACATACATTGCCACTAATATTCAGTCCCTTCACAGGACATGATTCACTGGGAGTTAATAAATTAGCAGCCAGCAGGCAGTGACACACCGCAAAAATGAAAACCAAGAGGTGAAATAGTTCTGAAATAAAGGTTTTAAAGCTAACAGAAATCACTGAATTACTAAGTCATTAGCACTAATTTTGAGCCAACTAACTAATTAATATGAGATGATACAATGTCCTATACTTTGGTAAATACAGACTATGTTTAAACAATGTCTGTAACGTGACTTGTAAAATGCTCCTGGCTTTACAAAGATGTGATTAAGATGTAGTAACACATGCTAAACCATTTCCCCCTGCAGAGCATGTGGTAACTTTCATCAGTCACACTGAGAGTCCAGAAGATAAAGGAAAAGGTCATGGATTTCGCTGAGAACTTACCAGAGTTGAACTCCCTCATTTTCCGTTCCCCAGCATTGGCAGGTTCTGGGACTGGTGGCTGTGGTGGCTCGTTGGTCTTTGTCTCTTAGAAGGTGGGGAATAATCATCATCTTGAAAAAGAAAAAATGGTCATTACTGAAGGAACCATCTTAGGTTACAGCCACCTCTGGGTCAATTCCCAACATTCAAAAGCTGAGCAGGGCTTTAAAGCTATCTTATTAATAATTATTTCTGTATTGCGAACTTCAGCATACTTTTTTCTAGTTACATTTGAAATGTTATTCTTTTGGGATGTGCTCAAGTGAGTACTGCTTTTTCCTCTGCCTTGCTTCATTACTTTTTAGTTTCCTTCATTTGAATCATCATTGTAAGTCTCCCCTTCTCCTCAAATAACTTTCAAATTGCTGCCAAGAACTACGTTCTATCTTAAGGCTTTTGAGAAAAAACTTTCAATGAAGATAGCCGCCTAAAGTTATACAAATATAGAAGAAACGGGATAAAATAAAGCTTAGATTGGAAAAAATATTTAAGATTCTACAAAATTCACGCGTAAACAAGGGAAGCTGAGTAATTGTATGTTCAAATACTTTTAACAAGTGCAAAACATGTAGGCTTAAAGAAATAGAGCTGGCCAGGCATGGTGGTTCACGCCTGTAATTCCAACAGTTTGGGAGGCCAAGGCAGGCAGATAACTTGAGGTCAGGAATTCGAGACCAGCCTGGCCAACAGAGTGAAACCCTCTCTCTACTAAAAATACAAAAATTAGGCCAGGAGTGATGGCTCACGCCTGTGATCCCAGCACTTTGAGAGGCCGAGGCGGGTAGATCACCTGAGGTCAGGAGTTTGAGACCAGCCTAACCAACATAGGGAAACCCCGTCTCTACTAAAACTACAACATTAGCCGGGTGTGGTGGCACATGCCTGTAATCCCAGCTACTCGGGAGGCTGAGGCAGGAGAATCCCTTGAACCCAAAAGGCAAAGATTGTGGTGAGCCGAGATTGTGCCATTGCACTCCAGCCTGGGCAAAAACAGCGAAACTCCGTCTCAAAAAAAAAAAAAAAGAAAAAATTAGCCAGGCATGGTGAAGTTGCAGTGAGCTGAGACTGCACCATTGCACTCCAGCCTGGGTAGCAGAGCAAGACCCTGTCTCAAAAAAAAAAAAAAAAAAAAGAGAGAGAGAGAAAGAAAGAAAGAGGGCTACATTATTTATGAAACAGATACTGTTAACTCAGTCACCGGAAAGCCTGTGTATAAATGAGCAGTGAGATATTCAAGCACAGCACACACACACTTCTCAGGACAGCTGTCGTGAGTGTTCCATGCTCGTTTCCTTCTGGATACATCAGCAACTCACTCTGCTATGATCCTGCAATACATCTCATGTTAGAATTAGAGACATCTGGGCCAGGCACAGTGGCTGACGCCTGTAATCCTAACACTTTGGGAAGCCGAGGCAGGCACATCACCTAAGGTCAGGAGTTCGAGACCAGCCTGGCCAACATGGTGAAATGCTGTCTCTACCAAAAATACAAAAAATTAGCTGGGCATGGTGGCGCGCGCCTGTAATCCCAGCTACTCGGGAGCCTGAGGCAGGAGAATCGCTTGAACCCGGGAGGTGGAGGTTGCAGTGAGCCGAGATCGTGCCACTGCACTCCAGCATGGGGGACGGAGCAAGGCTCTGTCAAAAAAAAAAAACAGAAAAAGAAAAAGAAAAAAGAATTAGAGACATCTGGATCAAATCAGCTGCCAGTCTCGCAAAGTGTCGGGTAACATCCTATTAAGCTTGCTGCTTACACATCATCTATAAAATACTGAAAATATCATTTTAAGAAATCTTTTTTTTATTTTGAGACAGAGTTTTGCTCGTTGCCCAGGCTGGAGTGCAATGGTGCGATCTCAGCTCACTGCAATCTCTGCCCCCTGGGTTCAAGCAATTCTCCTTCCTCAGCCTCCTGAGTAGCTGGGATTACAGGCATGCACCACCACGCCTGGCTAATTTTGTATTTTCAGTTGAGACAGGGTTTCTCCATATTGGTCAGGCTGGTCTCGAACTCCTGACCTCAGGTGATCCACTGACCTTGGCCTCCCAAAGTGCTGGGATTACAGGTGTGAGCCACCATGCCTAGCCAAGAAACCCTTATTTTAAAACAAGCCAGGCGCGGTGGCTCATGCCTATAATCCCAGCACTTTGGGAAGCCAAGGCAGGTGGATCACTTGACGTCAGTAGTTTGAGACCAGCCCGGGCAACATGTTGTAACCCCATCTCTACTAAAAATATATTTTAAAAATTAGCTGGGCATGGTGGTGGGCACCTGTAATCCCAGCTTCTCAGGAGGCTGAGGCAGGAGAACCACTTGAACCTGGGAGGTGGTGGTTGCAGTGAGCGGAGATCACGCCACTGCACTCTAGCCTGGGTGACAATAGAAAGACTCCATCTCAAAAACAAAACAAAACAAAACAAAACAAAAAACCACTAAAAAAAAGACTCCATTTCAAAAACAAAACTAAAACCAAAAACACAACACAAATGTAGTACACAAATGAAAATAATTACTGTGTTAAACACAGTTTCATAGAAAATAAAAGACCAATCAAATACAATAAGCTGCCTTTTTAGATGGGTATGTTATTCTTCTTTCACAGCTAAAGAAACAGGCTCAGAGAATGTTATTTGATTGGACCGTGTTGCATTTCTGGACAGTGCAGCTGAGATCAGACTTTGTGTGTAACTCCACTAGCCTACCAGGGTGCCTCTCATAAAGGTAAGAAATGTAAATTTGGCCTAATATACAAAGTTGCCAGGGCAGCACTGGGTCAATTCTACATACAGTACTTCTATGTTCATCAAGGGAAACCTTAAGGGAAAGTGAAAATGCTTCTAGAAGGCGACTGGACACCAGCGCCTTTGCTTGTTGCCTTTGGGCTCTTCTTCTAAGGCCAACAGTGACCTGAAATTATTGACTGGCTTTTCCAATCAAGTGGACAAAATGGTACCAAGGTCACCAACATCGATGTAGAACATCGATGTTCTACAACATTGCTTAACGCAAGGGGAGACGCTCCTGACTCAGAGTGTTTAATTGCTCACCTACTTCTTTTTCTGCCCTCTTGGGCTTCTGAAATGAAAAGAACCCTGGGGTGATACAGTGAGTCAAAGGGGTGCCAGCCGCATCACAGCAAAATAGATTCCTAAAAAATCCCTGGCCTAAGATGACAGCCTTGGCTGGATCAGTTTGAATGTGCTGATAGTGGACATGGTAGAATGAAGGTGGTTGAAATGTTCATATTAAAGAACTTCCACCCAGATTGCAAGAAAAGAGAGAAGAATGGAGACGGCAGCACGAGCCCCTACAATAAAAGCAGATGTTTTGAGATCAGTTATATTTCTTCTGACAAAAATTAAAGACAGAAACCAAAGTTTAGCCTGAGACTACAATTAATTGGGCAATAAGCCAGAGGCACATATGGCATAAGACAGATTTAAACATTTCTCCCTGATATTAATACAAACACTAAAATTACAAATACTTTGATTCCAAATAAAACAAATATTTAAAAAATTTAATGAATAAACACTGGGGTCTACAGTAGTATTTGAAGATCTCACAAACAGGTTTGGTTTTTGAAGGTTAGAACTGGTGGTCTAGAGAATTCATTTCATTCCAGAGAAAGAAAGAGAGGAATTTCTTGGGTTCCTTCAGGAATGCGTCTAGCTTTGCCTCATCTTTGTTTGAACTATGGATACGGCAGAAGAAAACATGAGGATTTCACAGATTTAAGGTGCAAAAAGTCACTGGGTTCTCTAAGAAGTCTGGGATTCTTCTGCTGGAAAAATAAGTTTGTTGAGAAAAAATGAGTTGGAGGAGGCTGTTATTGAAGTGAAGCAGAATTGTTTTTACTAGTCTGCTTATTACCCACTCTGTAGTGTGGAAACAAATTATTCATGCACAAGGTCCTCTTACTGTTCCTAGAATGCAGTGGAAAGAGAACAGATTAGTTTTCCTCCCTCAGAACACAACCCCTAGAAACATCCTACCTCAGATGAGATATTGCCTAATTATTTTCAAAAGACAGTGAAACATCATGGATGTAAATGTTTGCTACAAAATAAATACATGCTAGAAACAGAAGCATCTGGGTCACAGCTATATTAGAGCTACCTGTGTTCCCCTGTCACTGACATTAAAACAAAAATGTCCAATACAATCATTCACAGCGTGGGAGAGGGGAAGTTGAAGGATGGAAAGGCCAGGCATAAAAGGATTTCAGAATTTCCGTCCATAAGGAAGTGGCTTTGTGCACTGTCTGTTACTGCGTGCAAGGTGAAATTTGAAGAATGAAAACGTGCAGTAACAAGGGCTCCTTTGTCCAACTCACCTCTCCAGATACCAACTTTCAGACATGTTGCATTTTAATTGAAAGGTTGATATAATTTTTTTTAAAGAACACTTGCGGTGTTTGAAGTGACAAAGGCTGCTGTGACAAAAAAGCAGGGAAAGGGAATTTTTTTTTAAAAGCAAACAACAACAACAGAAACCCCACAGAAAAGCAAACAACAAACAAACAAAAAACAGAGGAAGTAGTCGAACACCCTGGGCTGTGACTACTTCCAGGAAGGGGCTACAAGAGGCAGTTGGAAATTCTATTTGTTTTGCAACTGTGGGTTTTCCGGCCTGCTTCCTTTCTAAAGCATATTACTCTGCTTTTGGTTCATGAAGTTATCCATTTCTGTTTTCTGGAACAGCTATGTATTTTCTTTATCTATCATCTATCTATCTATTTACCATCTATCTTTTCTACCTTTCGCTATCAAGAGCTTGGGTCAAGCAGGATAGAATTCCAGTGTATGTTCACTCTACCATTTAAAACAAGAGCTCTTGTAGGCATTCTCCATCACATCATAAACCTGAGCTTTCTAAAACAGGGTGTGGCAAACTACCATGCATGGACCATGTCTGACACAGTCTGCATTTGTAAGTAAAGTTGTAATGGGACACAGCCAATACATGTGTTACATAATGTCTCTGGCTACTTTCATGGTATAATGGAAGAGCTGAGTCATTGAGAGAGAGACCATATGGCTTGGAAAACTTAAAATATTTAACATTTAGCCCCCTGCAGAAAATACTTGCTGACTCTTGTTTTAAAAGATCTCTGTTTAGAATGCTACCTATTGCGTTCTGGATAGAATCACAACTCTTTACCACAATCGACACAGCTTCAGCCCTGCTTCTATATCCAGCCTCATCTATTTCTGCTCCTCCTCCTTATTTTCCTTCTGGCCATGCTGATGGATTGTCAGCTTCCCAGATGTGCAAGAATCTCTCCTCCCTTCCCAACATTCTCATGCTCTCCCTCTGCCTCTGAAGAACTTCCTGCCCCATCTCTCATGACAAATCCTTTCTACATTCTTTAAGATGCAGCCCCTTTGCTCCTTCCTTAAGGATGTCTGTCTGGCTCTATTTTGGGTGACGTGCTCCTTCTGCATCTCCCAGAGCCAGCCTGTGTGTGTCAGCTACAACATTTCTTTGCATCTCTGTGTCATATATCACCAAATCTGCCTAAGCTTGCATGAGTCACTGCATGACAACTTCAGACTCCACCAGCATTGTCCCCACTAACCACAAGGCTTAGACATTCGTCCAGTATGCTCGGGGTTGTGGGGTGGTAGCAGTAACCGGCTGGTGACCATCATTTCTTACATCAGAATCAAATCTGTAGATCTCTGCCATTCATAAGTATTTGGAGTTTAAAATTAGCATAAAGATTTTCCTTAAAATAAGAACAAATGGCTTGAGTAGGCTTTTGGAACACAGGATGTTTCCACTGGTTCATTTCTGTGTTCAATATTCCCACATGAATCTAAACACGGCTCTGCTCTTAGTAGCTATGTGACCCTAGGAAAGTCACTCAATCTCCCTCAGCTAAATTTTGTTGTGTGAGTAATGAGGAGAGAGTTGTGATTTGTATTTAGTGAAAAATAACAAACAAAAGGCATTTAGATTTCTGGAACCTGGTATGTAGTAGAACCTCATGAAATACTAGCTCTGTTGAAAAAACTAGACTGAAAGAAGCTTACAAAGTCAACAAGAGTTTGAGGCAGTGAAGGACTTAGAGGAGGAGCTGCTGCTGCAGCCTGTAGCTCCTGGAAGCCCGTTTTGTCCATGATTTAGCAGGAATGCATTACCCTTCCATGAGGAGGCACTGCCCACAGAAACCAAGGCCATTCTTTGAAGACAAACATGTCTTAATAGCCTTTACATTATGTAATAGTGTAATACAAATAATAATTTATTATTAGTAATAATGTGAAATTATTTACAGTACCCTAACCCTAACCCTAACCCCTAATCCTAACCCTAACCCTAACCCCTAACCCTAATCCTAACCCTAACCCTAACCCTAACCCTAACCCCTAACCCCTAACCCTAACCCTAAAACCCTAACCCTAAAACCCTAACCATAACCCTTACCCTTACCCTGACCCTAACCCTAATCCTTACCCTTATCCTACCCCTAACCCTTAACCCCTAACCGCTAGCCCTAACCCTTAACCCTAACCATAACCCTAAAACGCTAACCCTCATCCTCACCCTCACACCTCACCCTCACCCAAACCATAATCCCTAACCCCTAACTCTTAACCCCTAACCCTAACCCTTGACCCTAACCCTTGACCCTAACCCCTGACCCTGACCCTTAACCCTAACCCTAACCCCTAACCCTTAACCCTTAAACCTTAACCCTCATCCTCACCCTCACCCTCACCCCTAACCCTAACCCCTAACCCCTAACCCAAACCCTAACCCTAAACCCTAACCCTAAACCCAACCCAAACCCTAACCTGAACCCTAACCCGAACCATAAACCTGAACCCTAAATCCGAACCTGAACCCGAACCCTAACCATAACCCAAACCCGAACCCAAACCCTAACCCCTAACCCCTAACCCTAACCCTACCCTAACCCAACCCTAACCCAACCCTAACTCTAGCCCTAGCCCTAGCCCTAGCCCTAAGCCCTAAGCCCTAAGCCTAACCCCAACCCCAACCCCAACCCTAACCCTAACCCTAACCCTTCCTCAGCCTCTCAACCTGCTTGGGTTATAGGTATGAGCCCGGGTGCCTGGCCAAACATTCCATTTTATATGTATATGCTAGGAATGGATAATCTCTACACCAAATTATGAAAATTCTACCTTAAACAATACCAATAGCAATATTATACTTAGGAATAAATGGAATGAAACGACAAGACTTAGATGAGGGAAATTATAAGACATTACTTAAGGAAATTAAACTTCCAGTAAATGTAAAAATGTATCTTATTTGTGGATTTGTAGACCACATTGTTAAGTTTCCCAAAGTACACAAAGCAATCCGTGGATTCGATGTTATTCCTACAAAAATCCCAAAGGCCTTGGGACAGAAGTGGATAAGCTGATCCTGATCACATCCCAATTTCAAATTTTATTACAAAGGAAGAGTAATAAAAACAGTGGGATCCTTGCACAGGAATAAACAGAAAGATCAACTGAATTGAATTGGGAGTCCAGACAGAAAACAATACCTCTATGCTCAACTGATTTTAGACAAGGTCCATTACCAGTAAATTGGGGAAAGAATCCTGTCCTCAACAAGTGATGTAAGGCAACTTGCTATCCACATAAAGGGAAATGAAATTGTATCCTTACCTCATACCACATAAAAAATTAACTTACAATGGATCAAAGACCAAAACAGGTGAAAACTAAAAACTCTGGAAGAAAACGTACAGTTAAGCATTCATGACCTTACACGTAGCAATAGTTTCCTACATCTGACACCAAAAGCACAGACCACAAAAGGAAAAATAAATCAATTTATTTCCTCAAAATTCACAACTTTTACGTCTCAGAAGACATGAAGAAAAAAGTTGAAAGACAAAATGTTATAATAGGAAAAACAACTGTCTTATAGTATACTCTCAACACTCAACACAGAACACTTCTGTTACCAGATACATGGGTTTTTTCCCCACACAGACCAAATCTTGGGTACCAGCTGCGTGTCCTACAGTGCAATCCAATTGTGACAGTAAATGGAGAAAGCATCAGACCCCACAGGCTAAGGGCTCAGTCCTAGGAATACACGTCATGCCCCTTGTCGCTTGCAAATTTAAATGACAAACACAAGGATGGTAAAAAGAAAGTGACTTTATGCCAGAGCTTAGCTGAAGGGAACATACAGGCTCTTGCCTTAAGGGAAGCGCTTCCACTTTCTGGGCAGAAAGCTGGGCTTTCGGACTTGCCAGAATGGCATGCAGGGGATGAGGTGAGGAGGTGCGGGGTCTATGGGACATGCTCTGATGTTTTCTCCATTAGGTGGTCTTGCTAGCACCACCACGGGCAGAGCCAGGTTGTAAACTGACTGTTGTCTGCTGCCAATCTACTGGTGGGGGAGAGATATGGAAGTGCCAGTTTGTTTCAAGGTTTGGTCCCTGGAACTTATAAGTAATCACACAGTTGGAAAAGTTTGCAGTATAGGAAGTGTCTGGTGGAGAGACAGTAAAGCTTATAATTGCATTCCTAAAGAGCTAAGTGCAGGAACAGCAAAATGGTAAAACTAATTCATTTCTTCTTTAAGAAAATATGGGTACTAAGTTACAAGACTGTAACCACTTAAGATGCCAACCACAAACAGTAGGTTCCCAGGTTACCTTCTGTCTGACTTTCCTACAGATTGGAGACTCCCACAACACCCTTATTGGGTTCAGCAATTTGCTACATCACATTACACAACCCATGAAAGCAGTGTACTTACTATTCCTGACTCATTACCAAGGATCTTTTAAACACTACAAATGAAAAGCCAGATGAAGAGATGCACAAGGTGAGGTATATGGAAGGAATGCAGGCCTCCCATGCCCTCGCCAGATATGATCCTCCCAGTATCTCTTGTGTTGGGAGAGCAACACAGATGCTCTCCCAACCCTGTCCTTTATTACACAGGCAGATTGGTTACGTCTGTGGCCATAGGTGATCAACTCAACCATCAGCACCTCTCCCCTTCACAGAGACGGGACGGGGGAAGAAATTTCAAATTCTCTCATGACAAGGTTGCTTCCCTTGGCAGCCAGCCCCACTGAGGCTGTCCAGGTGCCCCCAGCCATCAATCATTTCATTAGCGTACGAAAGACACATTACTTCGTACATTCCCAAGGCTTAGCGCTCTGTTTCAGGACACTGCAGCAGAGACCACACATTAACTCTTATTACGTTCCAACAACCTATAAAATGGAAGAAAATGTCTGCACATTAGATACTTCATCAGTGTCTGTTATCCAGAATGTATAAAGAACTTTTACAACTCCATAGCAAAGACAACCCAATCTAAAAATTGACAAAAGACACACTTCACCAACAAGCACATGAAAAGATGCTTAACATCATTACCATAATTAAAACCATAAAGAGATAACCCTTAACTCACACAAGAATAGTTATACTAAAAAATAACAAGTGTTGACAAAGATGTGCAGAAACTTGAACTCTTAAACACTGCTTGTGACAATATGAAATGGTGCAGCCTACGTGTAAAATAATTTGATGTTTCCTCATAAAGTTACAAATAGATTTACCATATGAGTTAATGATTCCATTCCTAGGTATATACCCCAAAGACCTGAAAACAACTGTTCAAACAAAAACCTGTATGCTCTTTAAATGTGTCAAGGTCATAAATATGCAGGAAAGTCTGGGGAACAGTTCCAGGAAAAGAAAACTGGATCCTAATAAAAAAAAAAAAAAAAACATTATACTCCCAAGTGTGGCATGAGGTAAAACTGAAGTGAGTTTGTGGACCGAATTATCATGTAGGAACAACGCTGATTTCCTGATCTAGGGGTTATGTGGTAGTTACCTGGGAGAGTGTCCATGCTTTCAGTACAATATACCGGAGTATTTTGTGGGACACTGCAAATCTGGTACAGCAATAACTGTTGGGGAATCTAAGGGAAGAAACAAGCTGTACTTTGTACTACTACTGGAAGTTGCCTAGACATATGACATTATTGGAAAATAAGTTACTTTTTAAAACAACCATGTCAATACCATGCCAGGAAAGCAGACACATCATCAAAATCCATTACAGAGGCTATAGTTCAGCCAAAGCTGTAAAACCCTTAACAAAGTCTCAATGTCAACAGAGTCCACTTAGTAGATATTATTATATTTATTAGTATTAGAGGCCACTGTGTCAATATATTAGTGTTAGGGCATGGTATGGATATTTAGATTAGTGTTAGGGAACGGTGTGGATATTGTATTGGTGTTGGGGAATGGTGCAGATATTACATCAGTGTTAGGGCATGGTGTGGATATTATTGCATTAGTATTAGAAGAGATGGTGTGGATTAGATCAGTGATAGGGCATGGTGTGGATATTATTACATTAGTATTGGAAGCGATGGTGTGGACTAGATCAGTGATAGGGCATGGTGTGGATATTATTACATTAGTATTGGAAGCGATGGTGTGGATTAGATCAGTGATAGGGCATGGTGTGGATATTATTACATTGGTATTGGAAGCTATGGTGTGGACTAGATCAGTGATAGGGCATGGTGTGGATATTATTACATTAGCACTGGAAGCGATGGTGTGGATTAGATCAGTGATAGGGCATGGTGTGGATATTATTACATTAGTATTGGAAGCGATGGTGTGGATTAGATCAGTGATAGGGCATGGTGTGGATATTATTACATTAGTACTGGAAGCGATGGTGTGGACTAGATCAGTGATAGGGCATGGTGTGGATATTATCACATTAGTATTGGAAGCGATGGTGTGGACTAGATCAGTGATAGGGCATGGTGTGCATATTATTACATTAGTATTGGAAGCGATGGTGTGGATTACATCAGTGATAGGGCATGGTGTGGATATTATTACATTAGCATTGGAAGCGATGGTGTGGACTAGATCAGTGATAGGGCATGGTGTGGATATTATTACATTAGTATTGGAAGCGATGGTGTGGATTAGATCAGTGATAGGGCATGGTGTGGATATTATTACATTAGTACTGGAAGCGATGGTGTGGACTAGATCAGTGATACGGCATGCTGTGGATATTATCACATTAGTATTGGAAGCGATGGTGTGGACTAGATCAGTGATAGGGCATGGTGTGCATATTATTACATTAGTATTGGAAGCGATGGTGTGGATTACATCAGTGATAGGGCATGGTGTGGATATTATTACATTAGCATTGGAAGCGATGGTGTGGACTAGATCAGTGATAGGGCATGGTGTGGATATTACTACATTAGTATTGGAAGTGATGTTGTGTATTAGATCAGTGATACGGCATGGTGTGGATATTATTACATTAGTATTGGAAGCGATGGTGTGGACTAGATCAGTGATAGGGCATGGTGTGGATATTATTACATTAGTATTGGAAGCGATGGTGTGGACTAGATCAGTGATAGGGCATGGTGTGGATATTATTACATTAGTATTGGAAGTGATGGTGTGTATTAGATCAGTGATAGGGCATGGTGTGGATATTATTACATTAGTATTGGAAGCGATGGTGTGGATTAGATCAGTGATAGGGCATGGTGTGGATATTATTACATTAGTATTGGAAGCGATGGTGTGGACTAGATCAGTGATAGGGCATGGTGTGGATATTATTACATTAGTATTGGAAGCGATGTTGTCAACTAGATCAGTGATAGGGCATGGTGTGGATATTATTACATTAGTATTGGAAGCGATGGTGTGGATTAGATCAGTGATAGGGCATGGTGTGGATATTATTACATTAGTATTGGAAGCGATGGTGTGGACTAGATCAGTGATAGGGCATGGTGTGGATATTATTACATTAGTATTGGAAGCGATGGTGTGGACTAGATCAGTGATAGGGCATGGTGTGGATATTATTACATTAGTATTGGAAGCGATGTTGTGGATTACATCAGTGTTAGCGCATGGTGTGAATATTATATAGGTGTTAGGGCACGGTGTAGATATCATAGTAATGTAGAGCACAGTGTGATTATTATATTAGAGGCCACTGTAAGAATATATATTAGCAGCCACTGTGTCTTGGACGTTGACAATGATATTAGGGTGTACTCCAAATAGTGAGATTTGGGGGCTTTATTTTTCTAGATGAATTTCTTCCTCTGCTGAGTGCTCTAAAGACTCACTCCTTGGCACTCAGGGCCGTGGACAGGAGCTTTTTACTCACCAATGAAGAACACCAAATTAACACGACCCCCGTGCTGCCCTGAGGAAGTTGAAGCTCCTCGCTGCTTCTGGCACTTCAGCGGGAAGTTGGTTGGGGCGGGATCGCGCGCCCTCTGGTGGCGCCATGGTTCAGCACAGACGCTCTTGCTCACAGTTTCGCGGCGGATGTGCGCCCCCTCCTGGCTGTCCTGAAATACCTATAAAATTCAATATTCAGTTTATTCAGTGTCATAATTTTGGAAATTCAAACCGAAATAAAGGCCAGTATATCCATACCCTTCCCATAAATGGTGATGGAAGAATTATTTGGAAGCCATATAGAATGAAATGACTCTATACACAAAGTAAAACACAAAAACCTACTCAAAATAGTCCAGAGACTACAACTTCAAATGCAAAACTATAAATAATCTAAAAGAAAACCTAAGAGACATTGGATCTGGTGTTGAGTTTTAACACACAGCATCAAGTGCCAATTCGTGAAAATACTGAGAACAGACTTTATAAAACTAAATTTTCTACTATGAAAAACCCTATTCAGAGAACAAAAAGACAAGACACACTGTCAGAAGATATTTACAAAATACAAACGTGATTTTAAAAACTGTATTGAAAATACACAAAGAACTCTTCAAAGGAACACTAAGAAAACTAAAAACCCAAATAAAACTGGGTAAATATCTGAACAGACATCCAGCCAAAGAAAATATATAGATAGCAGGCCAGGTGTGGTGGCTCATGCCTATAACCCCAGCACTTTGGGAGGCTGAAGCGGGTGAGTCACCTGAGGTCAGGAATTTGAGATCAGCCTGGCCAACATAGTGATACCCCCTCTCTACTAAAAATACAAAAAAATTAGCCAGGCATGGTGGTGGGTGCCTGTAATCCCAGCTACTTGGGAGGCTGATGCAAGAGAATTGCTTGAACATCGGAGGTGGAGGTTGCAGTGACCCAAGATCACGCCACTGCACTCCAGCCTGAGTGACAGAACGAGACTCTATCTCAATAAAATAAAAAAAAAAAGAAAATATACTGATAGCACATAATCACACAAAAGGATGCTCAATATATCTCATTAGGAGACTGCAAATTAAAATAATGCTGAGATATCACTGCACACCTAGTACAACTGTGGGACTCTTAAAAAAGCTCAACAGTAACAATTGGAGGTTGAAGAACAATAGGTACGGCCATTCATTACTGGCAGAATGCATGAATGGGTACAGCCACTTTGGGAAATAGTTTGACAGTTTTTCCCAAAGATAAACAAGTCTTACCTTACAATCCAACAAATGCACCCCTAAATTGTGTATGTTTAGACAGCTGCTTTGAAAAATTATGTTCAAACAAAAACTAGCATGTAATTATATACGAGCCACTCTACTCATCATGGCCAAAACTTGAAGTAGTCAGAACGTTCTTCAATAGCTGAATGCATAATCAATTTGAAGTACAACCATGCAATGGAATACCATTCACCAACAGAAAGGAATGAACTGTCAATCCATGAAAACAAATGAATGAATCTTGCATCTATGTTGCTAAGTAAAGGGTGGCAGTATGAAGATGCTATACATTATATGACTCCATTCATATAACATTCTGGAAAAAGCACAACCAAAGAGATGATAGTCAGATCAGTGACTGTCTGGGGTGGGGATTTGAAGTATTCTGTATGCTACTTCAGTAGTGGATATCTGACACTATGCATTTGATAAAACCCACAGAATTTTAATGCACAAAGAACAAATCACAAGCTACACAAATTAAATTATTTAGGATGTGGAAGTATCTAAGGACAAAATACAGAGTGCAACCAAGAATCTAACTGTATTACCAATGTATGTTGCAAGTGGTGGGCCAAAGGTGCTGAGCTGGAAATGAGTAGAATCCATAGACTAAAAACAAAACGTACTATATACACGAACAGTGGACTCTATTTTATAAAGTTATTTCCCATAGGGATAATAGTTAATTTTGAAACTACTATATCTGTAAAAAGAAAAATAACCATGATTTTCCTCTATACTATCAACACTCCACTTTTAACAGCAAATTGTGGGGGGTGGGGGGTGTTTCCCATACCAACCAATATTCCAACTCTCTGGAAAACAATTGGGTATCCTGTAATTCAACTGTGACACTGATTACCTGGAGTTAGTATACACCCTACAGGTTAACGGCTTAGTAACACCAGACTGTCCACAACCTCAGATGCCAATCACAAGTTGTGAATCCCCAGTTTACCCAAACTTCTATATGACTTGGCTAGAAACTAGGCATTCCTACACCCCCTCTTCAGGTTTGACAATTTGCTATGATGGCTTATGGAACTAGGAAATACTTACTTATGTTTACTAGTTATTATGGTCTCAATGTGTGTACACCCCCACCCCAAATTCCTATTTTGAAATGTAATCCCCAAAGGGATGGTATTCAGAGGTAACCGAGAGGTGATCGGATCATGAGAGTGCTGTCCTCATGAATGAAACCAGTGCCCTTATAAAAGCATCTAGGAGCCCGTTTCCCCATTCTGCCATGTCACGACATGCTAGAAGGCACTATCTATGATAGATGAGCCCTCACTAGACATCAAATCTGTCAGCCTTGATCTGGAACTTTCCAAATTCCATATTTTAGGAATTTTTATGGAAGCTTCATCATGTAGACATGACGGATTATTAACTCAATTTCCAGTCCCTTCACACCCTCAAAGGATTGCATGTTAAGCTAAAAGTTACAACCTTCTTATCATGGCTTGGTCTTTCTGGTGACCATCCCCATCCTGAAACCATCCAGGAACCCACAGAGTGTCCTTATTAGAACAGAAGCCATTCCTATTATCCAGGAGATTCCAAGAGATTTAGGAACTCTGCGTCAGGAACCAGGGCCAAAGACCAAATATTAGAACACAAGATGCTCCTAGCACCCCTACTGTTCAGGAAATTATAATAGTTTTAGAAGCTCTGTACCAGGAACTGCAGACACAGACCAAACATATATTTCTTATTAAGTCCCAACCTGGAATCTTGATCAAGAATGAATTCCTTGTTCCCAATGGTACAAGGGATGAAATAAATGGCAGATAGTAGGAGCCAGGTTCCTCATTATTACAGCGAGAAGTTACAGATAAAAAATAGGGAAGCCTAGAATGATCTCTGTCATAATGAGTCAGAATATATATATACAACGTAAGTATAAACTCACATTTAGCTTAACATATACATAGATGGTTCCACATAGAAACCTTTATAATTAAGTGGGTACATATAAGTTAGAAGACACACATATATTTCTTTGCACTGTCAGCTGTAAGTGTCATGATGCAATGACCACATTTAGTGGCCAGATGTAAGTTTTTCATACCATTCTCTAACAAAAGAAATCAGGGCTATTAGAAGAAATAGCTGAAACTAGGACTGGGACAGAAAATATATGAGCCAGGGTACTTTTGAAGTAACAGAAATAAATTATAAAAAAAACATGAAATTATGTAAAAGGAGCCAGTGGAAAGAGCTACCAATGGCCACAGGTATGAACAAAGAGCAACAAAATACTGTACAATTAGATAACAACCAAAAGATTAAAGTAACTATCTGTGGACCCATACTGGTATAAATAAATGATTAAACAGATATGCAAATGGGCTGAATAGAAATCTCTTATACAGAAGAATTCCAAATACCTGATACAGACAGCCATCAAGGAGGTGGGGCTAACTCCCCACTCCTTTAAGTATGAGCTCTGCCTGATGACTTCCTCCAAAAGCATACATACAATATAGACATGGGAAAAAAGTAACTTTACAGTGAAAAACCTGAAAACACTGCCTCAACCAAGTGATAAAAGTTAACATTAATGGTGATAACACATCTTGAGAGCATGAAGTGACTAGACTAGCACTTGCAAACCAAAAATAAAATTCAAAGATCTTTCCCCCAACCACCTCTCCACCAGGGGACACCAAAGTTAACCTGGAAGACTGGTTCAGGCTATGATGGGAAAGAGGTGGTCAGACATGCCTCATTATGCCCTCCTCCCTTTTGGAATTCAGGAAAAGCCAATCAGCATTTAACATCAACACAACCTTAAATCTGATAAGAAACATTTACAATCTATTCTCTCTGAAGCCTGCTACCTGGAAGCTTCATTTCCATGATAAAACCTTGGTCTCCATAACCCCTTATCATAACCCAGACACTCCTTTCTATTGATAGTAAGTCTTTCAACAAACTGCCAATCAGAAAAATTTTAAATGTACCTATAACCTGGAAGCCCCCCCCCCACCCTAATCCATTGGGTTGTCCCACCTTCCTGGACCGAACCAATATATATCTTAAATACACTTGATTGATGTCTCCTATCTCCCTAAAATGTATAGAACCAACCTGCACCCCAACGACCTTGGGCACATGTTCTCAGGGTCTCCTGAGGGCTGTGTCAAGGGCCATGGTCACTCATATTTGGCTCAGAATACATCTCTTAAAATATTTTACAGTCTTTGACTCTTTTTGTGGACACACTACACATCTGCTCTGCTTCCCCCAAACCCCTAAACCCAGGCTGATTATGAGAAAAACCCCAAGTAAACCACAATGGAGGACATTCTACACAATACCTGACCAATCCTCCTAACACTGTTCCAGGTCCTCAGAAGTAAAGTCTGAGAGATTGTCACAGCCAAGAAGAGCCTGACATGATGACTAAATGTCCTATGGGATCCTAGATAGGATCCTGGGAGAGAAAAAGGCAGAACTAAGGGAAACCAAATAAGATGTGAGCTTATTTAATAATATAGTAATATCCAGTCATTAAGTATGACAAGAAATGATGTAAGATGTTGGTCAGGAGTGGTGGCTCATGCCTGTAATCCCAGCACTTTGGGAGGCTGAGGCAGGCGGATCACCTGAGATCAGGAGTTCAAGACCAGCCTGGCCAACGTGGTGAAACCTCATCTCTACTAAAAATACAAAAATTAGCCGGGCATGATGGCAGGCACCTGTAATACCAGCTACTCAGGAGGCTGAGGCAGGAGAATCGCTTGAACCTGGGAGGCGGAGGTTGCAGTGAGCCGAGATCACGCCACTGCACTCCAGCCTGGTTGAGACTCTGTCTGAAAAAAAAAAAAAAAAAAAAAAGATGTTAAACCTATCTGATACATGTTGGTATGTTAAAAAGCGGGGAAACTAGGTTGCGTCTACATGGGAAATCTGCATTTTCTTCCCAATTTCTGTATGAATCTAAAACTAATTTAAAATAAAACCTCTATTTAAAAATTGTAATTTTTTCAGATATCTGCTAAATTATTTGTACTAAAAATTAGTAATTGACAGTAACTACTCCTACTTTTAAAAATAAGAGCATTCATGATACTGCAAAGTAAATTATACAGACTAATATATACTTTCAAAGAAATGCCCCTTTTACATGTTTTATGTTAAGATAACATATATGTGTAAACATGGTCATATCATTTTCCTTATGGTGTAGTTCACTCTCTAAGAAAGCTGGTCATCTTAGAACCAGGGAAAAAAATTCACATTTTGGAGACTATTTCAATTTACGGCTGGACGTTTTCAAAGTATGACTTTGCGAAAAAAAAAAAAAAGTTCAAATTGATTCATTGTGACTGGATCACTTATTCTAATGAATGCTTGCCTTTATTTTGTTTCCCAGCATTCCTTTCAGCTACGATACAAAAGAAGCAAATATTTGCCACTGGAAAAAATATTCAAAGACACTCTTAGGTTAATCTATAGCTGATGACAGTCAGTCTAGTCTACATAGCAAGCAGCTTCAAGATATGATTACTTAGCTAAGCGGGAAATGGGACGTGACTGCTGCCTCATTCCCACGCCTCTCTGGACCTGATAATTTAGAGGAAGCTCACATTCGCAAGATAAAAATTTTCTTTTCCTTCTCAGTATTAAATATGCTGTCACAATAGAAGAAAGCTTTACTGACTTCTTAAATGACGTGTTGAGACCGGAACCCTAAAATGATAGTTACTGAGGATAGTGCTAATGCCCTAAGACCGGAAACCTAAAATGATAGTTACTGAGAATAGTGCTAATGCCCTAAGACCGGAAACCTAAAATGATAGTTACTGAGAATAGTGCTAATGCCCTAAGACCGGAACCCTAAAATGATAGTTACTGAGAATACTGCTAATGCCCTAAGGTTTTAGTCACACCCTCACCTAGGCAGGAACCCAACCAAAAGGGGAGAACTGTGGAACAAACTACGGGAGGTCATTGTTTCGGTCACCACTCCCGCATTAGGCCACACTGAGCAGGCAAAACCAGAATGGAGACACTCACGCTGAATGACACACAACGAAGCTGAAACTTTAAGGAAGTAGACAGATCCCAAAAGATCTCCCTTTTTCCCTGAAGAGATTCCAGTCTACCTGAGTCAGCATAAAGAAGTCCCCTCTGCTTTAATTCTTACCAAAACAAGTAACTTGAAGTAATCTGATGTTAACAAATCAGTTGTTATTTTCTATTGCTCTATTTCCGCCTTACACAACACAGTGTTCTGCTATTGCCCAGAGGGCACTGAGACCAAATAAAACTTGAAAATGCCACACTGAAAGCAAATAAGTACTAATAACTCAATTTACAACGATAACAAAGAGTGATACCAATGCCCAAAGTTTTGATCAATATCTCAAAATTGAGAGGCTGACCAAAAGGGAGGAATTCTTACATCAAACAACATTTGGGCTCTAGAAGCCTCCCAAGGAGTCCTTGTAAAGAGTCGCGGCCGGGCGCCGTGGCTCACGCCTGTAATCCCGGCACTTTGGGAGGCCGAGACGGGTGGATCATGAGGTCAGGAAATCGAGA
The DNA here is from genome assembly GCF_000001405.40 of Homo sapiens. Lineage (NCBI taxonomy): Eukaryota > Metazoa > Chordata > Mammalia > Primates > Hominidae > Homo > Homo sapiens. Next base: position 90,109,639 of record NC_000016.10, on the reverse strand, counting down.
CCATCATGGCTTACAAGGTGAAACCCAGTCTCTACTAAAAAAAAATACAAAAAAATTAGCCGGACTTGGTGGCGGCAGCCTGCAGTCCCAGCTACTCGGGAGGCCGGGACAGGAGAATGGCATGAACCCGGGAGGCGGAGCTTGCTGTGAGCTGAGATCGCGCCACTGCACTCCAGCCTGGGCGACAGAGCGAGACTCCGCCTCAAAAAAGAAAAAAGAAGAAGAACAAGAAGAATCGCAACCTAATTTAGTATAGAAACAAACTGTAAATCTGACTTGGGAATGTATCATGGTAACAAATAGCGGCGGTTCAGCCAATCACATCAGCCGAGTGTCAGTCAATGGCCGGCAGCCAGCTGTTCAAAACAAGTTCCAAGAAGGCAAATCCGGGCTGTAACCAGGTCTGTAACCAATCCAGCCACCTCTATACCTCACTTCTGTTTTCTGTATGTCACTTTTTTTCTCTGGCTATAAATATAACCCGCACATGTTGTGTGGCAGATCATTCTGAACCATTTTTGGTCTGGACTGCTGCCTGATTCTAGAACCACAAAAAAAGCCAATTAAGATCTGCAAACCCACATTTGTTGTAATTTTGTATTTTAACAGTTGTGCCCTACAAAAGACATTAAGCTGAAATTAATTAAAAATCATTTACGGTCATGATTAGGTCATAAAAAATTGTCAAACATAACAATTCTTCAAAAAAAGCTAAAAAGTATATTTTAAAAACATTGTTGATGGAAAAAAGAGTGCAAAAGTAGATAGGAAAATTATGTACAAAACTAAAAACAGAGGAGAAATTAAAAGTCAAATAATTGCATCAAACTGGAAACCTAGAAAAAATGGGTGATTTCCTAGTAAAAATACACATTAACAAAATGGGCACTGAAATAAGGCAACTATGAATATACCAATTAGCATAGAAAAGCTAAGAAAGGTCCTTAAAGATCTCCCAGTGGAAAAAGGCCCCAGGACCATCTGGGTCCATAGCTTAGTGTAAGCTGACTTAACTAAATGTGATTTTACACTCGTGCATTGCATACATACGATGGTGGTCCCATGAGATAAAAATGGAGCTGAAAAATTCCTTCCTAGCCATCTTGTCATAAGCTCATGGCTCAACGCATTACCTTTTCTCTGTTCTGATACCATGAAAGGAAAATAAATCTCAGGACCCCCAAATCACTAAGCCAAGGGAAAAGTCAAGCTGGGAGCTATGTCAGGCAAACCTGCCCTCATTCTATTCCTAAGATAGCTACAAAGATAAAAAGCTACATACCTCACTCACAATTTGCCCACAAAGAATTTCCTTTTGGACAAAGGACAGACAGCACTCAAAGTCATCCCTCACCTGAGACAGATGCATATCTGATTGCTTCCTCTGCCCTATTATTTATGTAAAAATGCAGATTCATTGAGCCAGACTAAATTGTGTATTCAGTGGAAGGCTGATGAAGGATTCAAAAGAATGCAACCTTTTGTCTCTAACCTACTTCTGACCTGGAAGCACCCCCACTTCCTGCTTACAGTTGTCCTGCCTTACGGGGCCAAATGACTGTACATCTTACACGTCTCATGTATCCCTAAAATGTACAAAAGCAAGCTCTACCCTGGCCACCTTGGACACACGTCGTCAGGACCTCCTGAGGCTGTGTCATGGGCGTGTCCTTAATCTTGGCAAAATAAGCTTTCTAAATTGACTGAGACCTGTCTCAGATATTCTGGGATCACAATCTACAATCACCATGGTGTTATGGTTGACTACAGCATTCAGTACAGAGACATGCTGTACAGGTTCGTAGCCTGGGAGCAATAGGCTATACTATGTAACTTAGGTGTGGAGTGGGCTACACCATCTAAGTTTTATAAGGACACTCTACAGTGTTCACACAAAGATGAAATCACCTAAGGACAGATTTCTCAGAAAGTATAACATCGTTACGAGATGCCTGAGTGTATTTTAAATGGTCAAAGCCTAGGAGAAAAAAAGAAACTTAACTCTTGTTATGGGTTAATAACAAAGCTTAAGAGAGTTAACATATTTCATCTAATCTAAGATGCCAATGATTAAAAGACATTACTTTATGCACCATCACAAATAGGTTGCCAATTAAACCGACTTTCTGAATAACACACAAATGTGAATTTACTTCTATTAATGCCAGGAAAGTAAAATGAAAAATAAATTATGGTTTTGACATGTTAAAGCAAATACGGCGGGGGTTAGCCTGAGGCCTTCCCTAAGCAAACAGAAACCGAACTTGGAGGCATTTGAACTGACTTAAAAAAATTAACAAACCAACCACAGTCAATGCCAAAAAGCCCAGCAGCCAGTTGGCTGTATGACTAGGGACGCTGAGGGAACCATCCCCACAACAGGCGGTGGCCTAGCTGGAGCCACTGAGGAGCCTCACTTAGGGGCCACCCTAAGAGCTCGAAGCCCCAAGCCGATTTCCGTTCTGGTGCTTCCCGCGTGATTCATGAACCATTCCTTTGCCGAAATAAAGTCCGCTTAAATTTATTTTACCTAAAATCCTTTTAACAGACAAAATCCAGTATTTACACTTAAAACACGGTTGTGAAAACTCACATCTACATCTGCTCTTCAATATTTTTCAAGTACTTTAACACTCTAAGAAAAACGAGCCACTGGAACGCAAATAAAAGCAAGTCGTGGGGTGCGCGTCTCCCTGGGGCTCTCCATGTTGCCCTCAGGGTTTCTCCCTTCTCTGTCCCGGATCCACCCCAAACAAACCCAAATTGGTCAAAAATTAAAAAATGAAACAACTCAGGTATGCTGCAATAATGAATAGCAAAGCCACTTAATGACGGGCCACTTTGTCAAATAAAATAAATACAACTTGAGAAAGTGGAGCGCGAGGCAGCGCGGCCTCCTCAGCACTGAGCCGGGACAGAAAGCTTTTTCCTCACCTTTCCTCGGGCAGCCTCGGGGACCATGAAGCCACAGCTTCCCCAGTCGTTCCTGAGGAGCTGAGGAGAAGGAGGCTGGGTCGTCCCTGGCCACGGTCCCCAGGTGTTCCTAGAGAGCCAGCGGCGTCTCCCGAGTAGGTCCTGAGGAGGAGGAGGCTGGGCCCTCTCAGGTGTCCCTGTAGGGATGACGGCGCCTCCTGCGTAGGTCCTGAGGAGACGGCTCGGTTCCGCCCCCTGGAGCCGCAGGCCGTCTGTGCCGGAACCCGGGCGCCTCTTGAGGTTCTGTGAGGCGGCATCGCGCCCCCTGACGGCCGTCGCAGGCGGTGCAGGATGCTCAGGTGCTCGCGGTCGAGCTGTGGCCTCGCCCCTCCGGTGGATCTCCGAAGTTCACTGTTCGGACAGTTACACGCCATGACTTTTGAAAAACCAGCTGAAGCCGGGCGCGGTGGCTCACGCCTGTAATCCCAGCACTTTGGGAGGCCGAGGCGGGCGGATCGCGAGGTCAGGAGATCGAGACCATCCTGGCTAACACGGTGAAACCCCGTCTCTACAAAAAAAAAAAAAAAAAAAAATTAGCCGGGAGTGGTGGCGGGCGCCTATAGTTCCAGCTACTCGGGACGCTGAGGCAGGAGAATCGCTTGAACCCGGGAGGGGGAGGTTTCAGGGAGCCTCCTCTAAACAGAAAAGACTGACCCCCAGTCAGTGTTTTATTTTCCCTGATGACCGCAGGCCATGAACTTATGGAACAATAAGGTAATTAGGCTCTTGGATCCAGGGAAGTAGCTCCATGCCACCTGCCCTCATTTGCTGAGCATTTTGGTTTCTCGGATCTGCTACTCAGTTTCCAGTCTCTTCCTCCCTGCCAATGCTGCCAGCGTGCCTCTTCTGCAAGCAGCAACCGCCTTCCACCTTCCATTCTCTCCTCTTTAGCCATCATCTGGCTGGACTTTTCAGAATGGACTGCAAAGGAGAATAAACTGGCTGAGTCTGAGGGTGCACTCACGTGCAAAGTTGCAAGCTTTAATGTACCCATCTTGGCAGATTTTGGCTCCTTAGAGTTCTTTCGCATTTGGGGATCTCATGTGCCCTCTGATGAGGTGGGCTCACTGACTGTCTGTGCTGGTGGCATCTGGCAGCACCTTGTCACGTGCACCTAGGTAAGAACCTGGCTGCACCTGATGCTTAGCCAAATGGGGAGCCCACAGTTCTGTGTATCAGGTGATGTTTAATCTCTGGAGGTTAATGAACGTGAGGGAGCGATACTGTCTGGGACTGTCCACATATTGCGTCTGAGTCACTGAAGGAAAAGAATGTGGGGTCTGTTTGCTGGGATTGGACACCTCCATAATCACATGCTCCATGAAATGCAGGCAGGAGATCTCGCTTTCTACCTCTGGGATGGGAGTGTGCAGTTTCAGAATGAGACTAGCCCACACAACTGACTCTTTATTTGGGAAAGAGAAATGAAATCAGATGCAGCAATTTAATATCCACTAAGATGATATCTTAATCACAAACACTCTTCTGGTTTTTAGAAATGTGAATGTTATTTACACTAGGTTAAAAAAACCTGAATATCCAACAGCATGACACTGACTAAAGAAATACTGGCGCACTCTGGAACCTTGCACACCACTTATTGGCATGGGAACAATGGGAACACGCCTATACAAAGATGTGCATGGAAATTAGAAGAATGCAACACTGTAGAACAGATGTGACTAGGTGCATGATCAAGAGCACACAAGACCAAGCCTGCCTCTGCACACACAAGACCGCGCCTGAGTCTGCACCACGTGACGGGACCACTGTGGAGCAAGCCTGGGAGATTCTGATGTAGGCAGCAGAGGCGTCACTTAGGGACCAGACTTCCGTGGGAAACCACCATCTCCTTCCAACCCAGATGCACTTCGTGGGAAACGCGAGCAGATGAAGGTCATGTAGGAGACGAAAGAACTCGCTCCCCAAGCCTGTAGGCCTTTGTCCTCCACCCATGGACCGAAGCATCTTGTTAGATGAGGGCCGCCCGCAGCCAGGGCTGGCGGAGAACCTGCCAACGAGCAGGTGTCCGTAAAGAACTGCTGACTGTCACTGTCCCTACTTGGGGGCCACTGGGGGATCTGATGCATCTCACTACCCTTTGTAAAGGAATTATTGAAAATGTCAGCCCTCTAACAAGGCATAGGTTGATTAGTTACAGGATTTAACATTTCTATTTTAAAAGGCAGCATTGAAGAATGTCTTTACAAAGGCTGTACAAAACCTGCCATATTCTTTGTCACACAGATTGACTCATGTGCAATGCAGCCATTTGATGAAACACTGGCATTTACCAGATGTAAACTTATTAGCAGACGACAACTAGAAATAGTGTGCTGGATGTGCCCGTTTATTTATATGAATATAACCATCTCTCTAGATGCATCGAAAGATACACAACATGAGATCCACTTTATTTCTACAAGTTTATGATCAGGTGGTCAGGACAGGGAAAGAAGAGGAAAAAACTTTAAATCATGGACCTTTATTCTTAGACACCTTTATCCTACATACACAAGGTACATGCATGGTTGAAATAACGGAAACAAGGTGGATAAAAGTGAAAGTAACTTAAACTGCTTTACCCAGGAATGCCCAATTCAGATGCTGCAGAGAAGAGCATGAGAACCGGGTGTCTTCAGGACAGGTGTGCATCTGGGAGCAGAGTGGGCATTCATCAGCAGGGAGGAGCAAGGCCTGGGTCGGGGGACACTGGGGCTGCTGTCCCAGAGGTTGGCAGTGTAGCCCTGAATCCCCAAGACTTCACTCAGTCTCCCCTCAACCACCTAAACCAGAATAAACTGATGTAGCAGGACTCCTCAAACACTGTGCAGGGTCTCCATGTCCTCGATGGCCCCTGATGAGCCACAGTACCCTCAGGTCCTAGTGAAGGAGCTGGTGCTGCCTCCTGCCTTTCCCCACATGGGGTCCTGCAGCTCATCCCACACAGCCTCAGATTCCCTCTACAGAACCTGCCCACAGATGTCTTCTGAGACCAGCAATACTGGGAGGCCTGTGGCCCAGACCCAGGAGGAACCAGCTGAGAGGCTCCGTGGAGGTATCGCTGATGGTGTAACCAGAATGAAAATGCCCACTTCTGTTCTGCTCCCTGAGAACAACTGTCAAGCCAGCATGAGTTTCCAGTTGGAACTTTTCCTTTTCTCCCCATGTTTGTCACTGTTTTAATGGACATCGCCTGGCTATTAAATCCCCCGATGAACTCACTTTGAAAATTATCTATTGCACTGGGCACCCTTTCAGGAATCACTGAGTGTTAATTTTCTCAGTCTGAGTGATAATTTATGAGTCAAACAAGGACAGATCTGAAGCCAGAGGCTGCTCCTGTTGGGAAATCCCTGAGGATGATGTTCCAGGGAAGCCTCCAGCCTTGGGAGTCCCGTGGAACTGAGCCAGCCCAGGTCATGAAGGGAGCTGGTGCCAGACACTGACTGGGGACCTGCTGGCCTCTGGGCAGACCGCTCTGTCGCTGCACTTGGCCTGCTGGGTATCCCTGTGCAGTCATACCAAGTCCTGTGCTCAGAAGGGCCCCAGAGTAGTTTAAAGTTCTGCTGCCGCCCCTGGAAGCTCATGATTTTGAACAACAACAACAACAAAAAACCCACGTTTTCCACTCGGCCCCACACATTATGTGGCCTGCGCAGCTGTCAGGCTGTGGCCACAGTGCTGGCATCTCTCACACAATGAAGGCTGCTGGAGTCCTGGCTGACTTGTTTTGACTCTTTTGTGAGGCCCACACCTAAGCTAAACACTCACGTGCCCCCACGCTGACTCCCCACACTCTAAAGCATGAATCTGCCCCTTCAGCTGGGAGAGGGTCCTCGTGTCATCTGGGTTTTTGGAGAGAAGGTCAAGGGAGCCTGGGTTCTAGTTCTTCAGTAATCAAGAGCAATGGTCTTACCTGTTCACAGGTCCCTGTGGCTGCTTTACAGAAAGCAGGAAGTGGCCACTTCAGCCACACGGCTGCATTTCCAGCTCAGTCCAGGCAGAGCTGCACCCTGCCTTGCACCTCTGCAGATCCTGAGGGGAGTCCTTAACTGAGCCAGGGCGAGTCCTGGGGGCACTCTGCCCCTGGGCAGGCCCTGAATCTCCTCTGCTCCCACACTCTAGAGTTCAACAGGTCTCAGGGGCTCTGCCTGAGGACTGTCCTTCAACCAGGTATTCGTAATTTCCCCAAGACCCAGGCTTGCTGAGTCACTCAGTTACCTGAATGCCTTTTTCACAAAGGAATGACTGTGCTGCTCCGTCTTCCTTCTTTTTTGTTTGCGAGGCCACAGGGAAATCTGGATCCTCTGGTGAAAAAGCAAATCCAGTTGCTGCTGCTGCTGCTGCTGCTGCTGCTGCTGCTGCTGCTGCTGCTGCCGCCGCCAGTTCTTGTAAATGTCCTCACTTGGTTTCTGGGCAGCAACTTCCTTGACTTGCCTGGGGAGCGGATCTGAGCTGCATTTACCAGGCCATGCCCAGGGGAAGTGATCAGTGTGGGACCGTGAAGCTGGATTTCCCCAGGAGCTCCCTCCAAGCTTCTGGGATGATGATAAGACTCGGGATGAACCAAGGATCTGGAACCATGGGACAATGTGAAGTCTAGACCCAGTGGAGGAAGAGAAAGGCTATGGGAAGGGCAGGCTTCACGTTACTGAGCATCCGCTACCTGCCACACACTTTCACGTGGACTTATTCTGTGTGTTTCTCACAGCACCCTTGAGAAATAGAGACTACGATCACATCTTTTACATAAAAGAAAACCACCATCCAGGGAGGCGAAGTCCCTTGCTCACAGACTGTCATGTGGGAAGCTCTCTGGATGCAATGATGTCCTCCAGTTGCAGTACCAGGCAAGCTGTCCCAGAGTTCATGGAGCGGAAAGGCTCGAGAAGCAACTGAGGATGCTCAAATCACAGGTTTATAAAATCCATTCGTAAAACACAGCAAGAAGCTGAGGGAAGGAGATGGGAGGGCCGTATGACCTGATTCCTGTGCTGTCAACATTCATCGGTTCTCTTCTTTCTCTGCTAGTCAACCTCACCCACTCAGGTGTGACCACGAGGACCAGAGCCGAGGTCTGGGCAAGAGTGCTCACAGCTTAAGGGCTTATGACACACACCGGCTCAACGGGACAGACATGGGACAAGTGTGCCTGATCATGGTGGCGTTGCCAAGAAGCAGCTGTCGCACTGCCATGGGTTCTACGTGTTTCTTGGGCAGAGGACGCATGGGACCAGAATGGGCACCAGGAATGGTGGTGAACAAAGGCCCCATGGTTCTGCATGTTTAGGTGTCTCTTGTATAAAGGCACATTGTGAATTGAACATTTAGTGCCCAGGAGCCTCATGCATATTAAGTATCTCTTGGCCCTTGTGTCTCTTCCTTCCCACATGTAACATACCTGTTCTCTGTAACTATCTATTCTGAACGTATCTAAAAACCATGTCTTGCCTGTGTTATACAAACCACATGCATACTCACGTTCTCTGATGTAGCTGAATGTTTCCTAAGGCCAGGGCACATTTCAGGGTCACATAGAGTGGAGAGAGGGACCAAAATAGCCTTGCTCTGTTTGACTCCCAGCCGAGATGTCTGCTGGGCAGCACTGCCTCTGTAGGCTCTAATGGGGGAAGGGAGCTCAGGGGAGCCTCTGGGGCTGGGCAGGCTACCAGAGGGTGTGGACATTTGGGTGGACCCTGACGGAGGACTTGGGTTTCCTTGGGAGGAAGTGTCAGGAAGGGCATCTGGGGCTGAGAGCACTGTGTGGGCAACAGAAGGAAGGAAACTGTGGCTGGCTGGGAAGGGATGGTACGGGGGACAGGGTGAGACTTCTGGCCCTGGGTGCTCAGATGAAGACCTGGGGTTGCCTAGTGGCTGGAAACACACACCAGCTGTGGCAACTTGACCTCTGGGATGTGAGTGTGCAGGCAGCTGCTGAGAACGGCTGTGGATTTGGAGATGTGGCTACAGGGAATGGGCAGTGGATTCATCTGGGAATTCTGCAGGCAGTGGCCCATAGAGGAAACAGCCTGGAAATGAGACTGCAGATACGTGCTAAAGAGGCTGGAGGAACAGTGACCCCAGTACAAGTTTATGGATCTTATCCACAATCTAAAGAAATGGAGGCCAAATGGCTTTTGAAATTCTAAGATACATGCAGAGGAAGAGTAATGCTTCATGGGAGAGCCAGACTCTTACTGGCAGTGACGCTACACGGTAGAGCTCTGTTCCTCCTGCCCATGTCTGTGGTTGGGGCTGAGGTAGTGCACAAACATGACGCTGATGAGGCCCAAGCATTGTTGGAAAAGAAATCAGCAGCTGCCACAAGAATCTTGAATCCGTGGCTGAAGACCTTGACTTTCTCTGGGACCAATGTGGTCAAGAACAAAGTAAAATCATGACAACAAACACTGTTCAGTTTTCCAAATATAAGCTATTTTAAATACTCTACATTTACCCTCAAAGACTGACATAACTTAGAATAACTTTTATAACAGCAAGGATGAGAACTAAAACTTAAATTGTAAATACAATTTTATTTATAAAAACAAAGTTAGCTTCAAATATTTTGTGAACTAGTAGAATTTTAACCTTCTGTCACATTTCCCAGCAAAGTAAATAATTCTTTTTTTCACTTCTAGTCTGTCAGAAGAAAAGTCTTAGCTGAAATGGCCAGAAACTCTGACGCACACTCCGGAGGCTGCTTCCGGGGCACCTCGGCACGGCCGCTTTTCCATCCCGGCCCTCACTTGATGCAGTCCAGCAGGGTTGAAATTGTTTGAAATGCTTGTTCCCAGTGCAGTAAAGAACTAGCACTTGAATGTAAATTTAATTTCCTCAGCAAGGCCATTTTTATTTTTTTTTAATTTCTGCAGAAAGTGTACACTCGCCAGCAGTTTTGCCACAACAGTATACTGAGCAAAGGAGACAGGGTCATTTATAACCTGATGCATCCACCCTACTGCTGTGTCCAGTTTCCAGAGGCTGGAACGGGACCTCACATTCTGTATTTGTCCCGATTGGCTAGCAACTTAGAACTTTTTTAAAGAGGAAAAGGCAGAGGAGAACGAAGGAAGGAGGAAGTAACTTGTGGAATGCTGAAAAAAGTAAAAACACCTTCGAATAAAGAAGAGGAACAGGCAATGACCTAAAGCTTGCTTGGACTAGTATAAGCATGCCAGGGCAAATATTTAGGCTAAATTGTGGGAGCTAAGATCATAAAGTACATTGATTTCTTTATTAGGGCTAGCAGATATTTAACAATGTTAGCACAGGTCTTTGAATAAATTTTGCTTCTAAGAGAAGTTACTATTTATTTCTAATGAGATGGGAAGGAAAGTCTTTGAAGAGGAAACTCTACTTTTTACAGAAGTAGGAACTTAGACTTACAGTTTGCACATTGACAAACTTGTTTTCCTTCCGTACACGAGGGGTTTATGATCCTCTGTTGCAACTGATTTGTCTTATGTAACTTCAAGAGTTACTCGTCAACCTACTTACTATTCTGGACTTTTCGGGAAATGGCAATTTGCCTTCCTATTTAGTGGGAGGGATACTGAGGCTGCACTTTTTCTTACCCCAAGAAGTGCACAGTGTCATTGCAATGTCAACATCAGGGAGATCTCAGCCAGTGTGAAATAATTAGATCGTCCACTCAAAATTCTTAGTTACAACTTTTTAATATTTTCTTCACACTTCTTAAAAGCAGCTTAACAAGAATTGCATTAGTCAGGGTTTTCCAGAGAAACAGAAAAGAGAGGAGGAGATGTCCAGAATTGTCTCGTGTGATTACAGTGGCTAGAATCCAAGGAAGAGTGGCTTGAGTCCAGGGGCAGAATTCCCTCTTCCCCTGGGAGGTATTTCTTCCTTTAAGGCCTTCAACTGATTGGATGAGACCCACCCACATTATGGAGCATAATCTGCTTTACTAAAAGTATACTGGCTTAAATGCTAATTTCATCTGAAAAATACCACAGAATAATGTTGACCAAGTACTGGGAGAGGCCTTTTCCTTCATCTTTTGGTAAATTGCAATCCCTGGGTATATTCACATTTGAAACTCAAATGTGGGCATTGGCTACTGCAGGCCTTTCCCGGCTCAATGGAGTGCAGACAGGGGAGGCACAGGAGTGACTCCACTGTGTGAAGAGAAGACTGATGAGGGCCCGTGTGGCACCTCAGGTAGGGTCTGCACTGTCTGGACTATGGTCAGGCCCCTGCCTGAGCCAGCCCTGCTCTCCAGTGTCCCCAAGGAATCCCTGAAACTAGCATCTCATGGAGGAGATAGATGATGCAGGAGGTCCCCTGTGCCCAGAACAAATGGTACAACAAGGCCCCTCTGTTCCCCAAACTGGTCTCAGCAAACTTTCCCCACAGCTTGGATCTGGGCAGGTCACAGGGCCCAAACCTCATGACCAGCAGTGCTGGACCAGGGGGCTAGAAGGGCAGGTGGAGCTCTCTGACGACATTGTGGAGAGGAGGGGTGCCAGGCAAGGGGTGTCCAGGCAGGGGGTGTCCAGGATACTGTCCTGAGAGCCTCTCCAGGGACAGGTGCCCTTAGGGGCAGAGAAAAATGCAACCGGGGAGACCAGAGGAGTCTGATGCAGATAAGGAGGGGCTCTGTCCAGTGATGTTTCTCCACAATGAGCTCTCCCGAGGACAAGCAGCCTGCTTTATAGGCGAACCCCACTGCACAGTGAGAAGATGAAGACTTCGGAACTCAGTTCCCTAGAACCTCTTCTCTCCCTGCATAGTCCGGCCCTATTCGTCCCTTCTGGTCTTGAAGGTCTTTAATGGAAACAAACCGCAAGGCCAAGGCCAGACCTGCCTGCCCTTCATGCCCATCTCCACGCAGCAGTTGAGTGTGGACTCTGCCTCCCCTGTCCCCTGAACAGTGAGTCCCCACCAGCCCCTCCATGGACACAGTGCCAGCTCTGCAGCCCTCCCGTCCCTCTGTCGATTCTTCTGCATGCAGGATGGGCACTGTGGCTGGAGGAAGGCTCCTGATCCACTGCTTTGGGGGAATCTGATTTAGCACTCTACAGGGAACCCAACAGAGATCCAAAGCTGAGTACGGATTCAGAGGAAGAACATTTCTGCTAAGCTTAGGGCCTCAGGGAGGACAGATAATTATCTAAAGTTGACAGAACAATCAATTTTCTGGGTCTGAAGTTTACAAACAAAATCCCTCTCCTTTGAAGGCAGATTAGCCATGGAAACACCTTCTACATTGCCTGCCTAAATGGTTTGTCTCTGCAATCAATCTCTCTATTCTTTAAAACAGAATTAGGATAATTTGCATAATTGTTTCTTGTCTCAGAGAAATCTTACGGGGAGGCTGTCTCCAGATAACCAGCAGCCTGGGCTCCAGGCTGGGTTGTTTCCCGACGCCAAACCCACAGAGGCAGCCTTGCGGTAAGGCTCCAGGCTCTAGAGCCAAAGGCTCTAGGTCAGAGGCTCCACCTGGGACGCCTGCGTCCTCCCTGCCAGGGCGGCAGAGGGAGCCACATCCCCGAAAGCCTCTGGCTTAGGGACCTCAGAATTCCCACCTCTGATAAGGTAATGAAATGAGCCAAAGTTGGTAAAAATCTGTGAACAAACTGGCCTACAGTGGCTAAAACCAGAGGGAGAAAAATAAGGTGACAAACCCCCAAACCAGCCATCCTGGGAAGTTTCAAGGGGCTGCATAGGGTTCTACATAGGGTTCAGTGCATGTCACAGGCCCAGCAACCACATCTGCAGCCCCCAGGACCTAATCCCCTTCTACATAGGGTTCAGTGCATGTTAGCAAACACTGTGCTCAATTCCTGCCTAGTCCCTGCCAGATACCCCATGCCCACCTCATTAAGAGAATGAGGCCACACAATCACACCCAGGCCATCGTGGTGATGGAGTGGCTGGGGTCCCACTTGCCCACCCTTCATTGCTGGTTCAGAGCCAGCTGTCTGACCACATTCCTACTCCAAGATGGGACTTTGGGGACATTAAAAGGGGTCAGCGACCCTGGTGGACAAAGTTCCAGAAACATGGCCAGCTGGTCCCCTAGAAGTTTGGTACATGGGGTAAGCCAAGGCTTTTCTTCAGGAACAGGTTTTCCCCCACGTCGCTGCCCAAGGCCCAGGGCATCCCCAAGTTCACGTGAAGCCTGCCTGCCATGTCCACAGCCCATGCCGAGCCCTCCTGGAGCCACTGGAATGCTTGTTCCTGGGCATGTGATAAGCCCAGACAGCTTCCGCCTTGCAGGACAACTATGCGCATCTGGCAGCAGTTGCCGGAGGGCCCATGGAAAGAAGATGGAGGTGAAACCAGATGCTGTGAGAACACTTTATTAGGCAAAACCGCATACTATACAAATGCTTTAAAATGCAGCAGGAGATGTGAAGACACAAATGAACAAGCGCACAGTGACACATGGCTGTCAGAACACAGTAAAGAATCCACACTGCTTCCCCACTTTACCTAGAAAAGGAGAGTTCTAGGCCACCTCCTCCTCGGCATACTCCTCATCCTCCTCCTCGGCCGTGGCATCCTGATATTGCTGATATTCAGACACCAGGTCATTCATGTTGCTCTCGGCCTCGGTGAATTCCATCTCATCCATGCCCTCGCCTGTGTACCAGTGGAGGAAGGCCTTGCGCCTGAACATTGCTGTAAACTGCTCTGAGACACATGTGAAGAGTTCCTGGATGGCCGTATTATTCCCAATGAAGGTGGCTGACATTTTTAGCCCCCGGAGTGGGATGTCACAGACGGCTGTTTTTACGTTGTTGGGGAGCCAGTCAGCAAAGTAGCTGCTGTTCTTATCTTGAATGTTGAACATCTGTTCATCCACCTCCCTCATGGGCATGCGACCCCTGAAAATGGCAGCCACCGTTAGGTAGCGGCCATGACGGGGGTCACAGGCAGCCATCATGTTCTTAGCATCAAACATCTGCTGGGTGAGCTCAGCCACAGTCAAGGCCCGGTACTGCTGGCTGCCCCGGCTGGTCAGTGGGGCAAAGCCGGGCATGAAGAAATGCAGCCGGGGAAACGGGACCATGTTCACGGCCAGCTTCCTCAGGTCAGCATTCAGCTGGCCCGGGAAGCGCAGGTACGTGGTGACCCCAACTCATGGTAGCAGACACCAGGTGGTTCAGGTCACCATAGATGGGTGTGGGCAGTTTTAGGGTCTTGGAACATATGTCATATAGCGCTTCGTTATCTATGCAGAAGGTCTCATCTGCGTTTTCTATGAGCTGGTGGACTGAGAGGGTGGCGTTGTAGGGCTCCACCACCGTGTCTGACACCTTGGGCAAGAGCAGGATGCTCAATGTGTTTATAATCCTGTCTGGGTACTCCTCCCGGATCTTACTAATGAGAAGGGTACCCATCCCAGACCCAGTCCCCCCACCCAGGGAGTGGGTCAGCTGGAAACCCTGCAGGCAGTCACAGCTCTCAGCCTCCTTTCTGACAACGTCCATCACTGACTCCATCAGCTCCGCGCCTTCGGTGTAGCGTCCCTTGGCCCAGTTGTTTCCGGCCCCACACTGACCTGTAAGACAGTACAGCCGGTCACTCGACGGCCAGGTATACGGTCATCAGTGGTCACCACCATAATGCAGAAAGCAACAGTGTCACGTGTGAGGTGAAAGCACCACTCGCCCTGCAGGTGGAGCAAATGAAACCCGCTCCCGCAGAGTAACAGGACAGCAGCTTCCCCTGTTAGAAATTAAGACAGGAGTCAAACCTGAGACGGGCTCACAGACCTCGCTGCCGGTGGCTCCTGCCCATTCTCAGGAAACGCAATAGCCACGGCCCCAGCTCAGCTCCCGGCAGGGACATCAGTAGCTCCTCACCTTGAGAAGACACCCGGGCCTTCCTCCCGAAGCCCGTTTAAGAGAGGCAGATTGAGCGACTCGACTCGGAGGACAGGAGGGTGTTCAGGGGCCCTGGCGCCACAGTTCCCACAGGATGACCTTGGAGCGTTCCTGGATTTTGAGCTGCCCTGGCTAAGGAGCCGCACCCCAGTCCTCGCCCGCAGCTCACGGGAAATGAAGTTGTCTGGCCTGAAGACCTGCCCGAAGGGCCCCGAGCGCACGGAGTCCATGGTGCCCGGCTCCAGATCCACGAGCACAGCGCGAGGCACGTACCTGCCACCTGCGTGGGGCGGGAGGGCATGAGCGAGGGGAGGGCCGCGTTCCCAGGAGGGCGGTGGGGGAAGGACGGGGGTCGCACCGCTGGCCTCGCGGTGGTGCACGTTGACGCGCTCCAGCGGCAGGTGGCTGTCCCCGTGGTAGGTGCCAGCGGAGTCGATGGCATGTTCATCAGAGATCACCTCCCAGAACTGCGGAGACGGGAGGGGCCAGACAGGCCGGGGCTGAGTCACGGAGGCGCCCCAGCCGCTCTCCCACCCCCACCCGCACCCCCATCCCTAGGCCGCCCTGTCCCTGGGGTCCACCCCGGCCGCCTCGCCAGCCACCCGGTTCCACCGTCCCCGGCAGGGAGCCCAGGGGCCGCAATGCAGGGGCACCGCCCCCGCCGCTGCCAACATCTTCCCCGGCCACCCGGCAGGCCCGGGCTGGGCCCTCAGAGCCCCGGCTGCCAACCTTGGCCCCGATCTGGTTCCCGCACTGCCCGGTCTGCGTGAGCACGATTTCCCTCATGGCCAAGGCAGGATTAGGGCGGCAGCAGAAGCGCGAGAAGGAGGAGCAGACGCGCAGCGACCCAGCCCGGCCTCCGCCAACGCTTAAATAGCCCCGCGCCCACCTCCCTCAGCCTCCGATTGGGCTCCCAGAATAAGCAACAGCTTTACTTCCACACAGGTGCACCCACCTGTGAATCCCCTGGCGTTGAACGTCTGTTGGAGAACTCAGGTGTCCTTGCGTGGTCCCTTCCACGTTGGGGAAAGCTGCTCAGCTGGAGAACTTCCTCCCACGTCTTTAGTAAGACTAAATCCCTAGCTGAGCTGAAACTGAATTTTCCTCCCATGTGGGAGGGGAAGACGCTTGTTTCCATATTCAGAGTGCCTTTGCACCTGTCCCAGATTGATGACATATTTTTGTAATTGATGAGTCTTTTCATCTATTAGGAGATCTGTCGTTAGGAAAGGCCTTCCACATGTTAACTCAACAGGACTTAATTATACGTTTTACTTTGGAGCAGTTCAAACCCGCAGTAAGCTATGGGTATTAGAGATAGTCAGGCCTCTGATTTAGCTAGAGTCTTCTTTAGGATTAGCCCTTTCACCTTTCCAGAGGACTGCGGTCTCCAGCAGAGTGAAGGTAATATTGGATTCTTAAAGCTGAGGATAGGTGTTGGGTTACACCTGCTGTGAAAGCTGGGCCATTGTCACTTTACAGGCTTTTGGATTACCCAAACTGAGGAGTTATTTCTTCTGGTAAACATTTTTCAGATGGGGTGGGGAATGCCTCGATCTAACCAGTGAAGGTATCAGTAAGCATTAGCAAATATTTGAATCTCCTGCAGAAAGGCTTCGGGGTAAATTAGAGTTGCCAGTTCTCATGTAGATAGGTTCCTCCATTTTGGACAGGTTTAACTGGAGAAGGAGAAAATTGCTGGCCGTTTGGGTCATGTCAGGCACAGAGCTCACAGGGCTGAGTCACCTGTTTTAGTGTCTTGAAAAGATTTACCCCTATGAACAAATGAGACATTAACAGAAACAAAGAATCCCTTCTAGAGTGAAAAGAATCATGAAAGTGCTGAGTTATACTCCTGTGACTGGTACTTGGCATTAGTAATTTATTACCATCATTCAGCCCGAGGGGCCCTGGACTGAAATGCAATCCCTGGCCCATTTCTGTTCTTCTTCAGAGTGTTCCGGCCCAGTTCTATGTATGCTGACCAGAACGCCCACAAGCTTCATTGGCCCTTTCAGTGCAGGGGCCTTGGCTGTGGCATCTACAAGGGCATTTCCTTTTACATGGTCAGTCTCTCTTTTGATGTCCTCTGCAATTAATTATAGTCACTTTTTGGCAGCAAAGCAGCATTCTAACAAGCTCAAAATCTGAATGATGTTGTATGGAAAAGCCCTTTGGGGTCAGGAGTCCCCACCCATTCCAAATTGCAGCATAAGCATGAAGCACTAAAAAATCATACTTGGAATCAGTGTAAATGTTAACTTTTAAATCCTTTCCAACTGCAGGGGCCTAGTAAGTTCAATTAACTCAGCTTTTTGAGCTGAGGTCGAGGCCAGCAAGGCTTGTGCCTTGATTCTCTTGTGCTGACTACTAATAGCATATCTAGCCCTGTTTTCCTGATGCATAAAACAACTTGCATCTGTTAACCACTCTTCCTTGGGATGGTCAAGGGGCTCATCTCTCCTACGTCTGGCCTGCTAGAATAAATTTGTTTCATAACCTGTGACATGCTTTGGCTGTGTCCCCAGTCAAGTCTTATCTTGAATTATAGCTCCCATAATTCCTATATATCGTGGGAGGGGCCCAGTGGGAGGTAATCGAATCAGGGGATGGGTCTTTCCCATGCTGTTCTCATGACAGTGAATAAGCCTCATGAGATCTGATGGTTTATTTATTTATTTATTTATTTTTGAGACAGAGTCTTGCTCTGTTGCTCAGGCTGGAGTGCATTATCATGATCTTGACTCACTGCAACCTCTGATTCCCGGGTTCAAGCGATTCTCCTGTCTCAGCCTCCCGAGTAGCTGGGATTACAGGCGCCCACCACCATGCCTGTCTAATTTTTGTACTTTTAGTATAGACAGAGTTTCACCATGTTGGCCAGGCTGGCCTCGATCTCCTCACCTCAGGTCATCCACTGCCTTGGACTCCCAAAGTGCTGGGATTACAGCTGATGGTTTTATAAAGGGGAGTTTCCCTACACAAGCTCTTTTGCCTGCTGCCATGTAAGAGATGTGACTTTGTTCCTCACCTGCCTTCTGCCATGAGTGTGAGGCCTCTCCGACCATGTGCAACTGTGAGTCAATTAAACCTCTTTTTTTATAAATTACCCAGCCTCAGATATGTCTTTATTAGCAGCGTGAGAACAGACTAATACAACCTGTATGCCAGAAAGGCTGGGAGCACCTGTGGACTCTGACAGGTAAGTAGTGGGTTTATGGTTTGCCAGGCTTTAAGGGTTATGTCTGGAGGGTCGGTCTAGCAATAAGGCCTCACACTTTCATAAATATTCTCCTATTATCCACTGGTGCCCTTTAGCTTCTAGGACCACCTTCCCTTGGTGTGGGGTCAAAAACCTGTAGGTGCTGTTCTAATGTTAGTTTATTAGCTTTGCCAACTAGAAAAGTGGTAGCAGCAATAGCTCTAAGACATCAAGCCTAAAAGTCAGAGGATTGCTGAGGAAAGTAAAAGCTAAACTGTTTAGGGCCTCTTTCCTGGGGCAGCCTCCAGGCTACTGCAAAACGGAGGCGGTGAGCAGAAAGGCAACAATATGCAGAGCACTCAGGTGAGGGACACAGAGCACAAGGTGGACAGTCCAAAAAGAGAAAGTGGCAAACATCTTGTTTAGCCAAATCCATTCTTCTCAATATTCCCCAGGGCCTCTAACCCTGTGGGCTTGGCCTCTAATCTGAGTATGACACCCCCAGGTCTCTAACTTTGGGCTGAGTCTCTCACCCTAATATTATACCCTAGGGCCTCTCACTTAAGTAACAGTGGGTAATCATTCTTGCCAACCTGAATGGCTTCATGACCCTAAAAGACAGCCCACTTGCCAGCTGATTGATTCTATGTGGATTGTTTTCCTTGGAGTGGGGGTCTTGTCTTGGTGTCCCTTCATGGTGTTGCTGAAAGATGTTGCTGGAAAAGAGGTTCCTGATACAGACCACAAAGTAGGATTCTTAGATCTTGTGCAGGAAAAAATTTGAGGTGAGTCAGAGAGCAAAGTGAAAGAAGCAAGTTTATTAGAAACGACTCCATTACAGAGTTGGACATCCTCAGAAAATAAGAGCAGGAATGCATTGTCTTTTGTTAGTGTCTCTACTCTAACTATAAAGAGAAAGAGTTATAATTAAACTTGGAAGGTGCAGATGTACTCATTAAAGTCGGGTCTATTCGTTTTAACGATGACCATTAACCCGTTGACCTAAGCTAGCTCATTAATATTATCTTTAACAAAAAATGCTGCACTCCTAGGATATTTATACATTTTTCAGGCTTGGTGGAAGATGTCTTGTATGGCCATAAATATTCTGCAATTGTAATTTGTGGCCAGTAAAAAAATGTGGCTATTTTCAGACTATAGGTATTAACCTTCTAGATGCCTTGTGAGTACCTAGCTACTCATATTAAGATAGAGAATTCTAGTCATGTTTATTAAACTGGAAGCTTGATAACCATGAGTTCCTCTAACACAGCAAGTCTACTCCTCAAGGAGAAAATGTATTTCTCAGGAATTTTGTGCATTTTATTTGATGGCATTTGGTATGTTTACCAAAATGGCAGAAAAGAGTGAAATTAGTCCTCAGAGATTTCTCAAGATTGGATATAAAGTAAACAAAATGATTATAGTTAATATGCAAGCTGACACAGTTGATATGCAAAAGAAATTTTGTTTGAAACACAATGAGATTTTTATTTTTATTTATTATTATTATTTTGAGACAGAGTCTTGTTCTACTGCCCAGGCTGGAGTGCAGTGCACCATCTTGCCTTACTGAAACCTCCGCCTCCCAGGTTCAAGTGATTCTCCTGCCTCAGCCTCCCAAGTAGCTGGGATTACAGGCATGAATCACCACACCCAGCTAATTTTTGTATCTTTAGTAGAAATGGGGTTTCACTCTGTTGGCCAGGCTGGTCTCAAACCCCTGACAACAAGTGATCTGCCCACCTTGGCCTCCCAAATTGCTGGGATTACAGGCATGAGCTACTGCTCCCAGCCACAATGAGGCTTTTAAATAATTCTGATTTCCTGCTGTTGAGCAGGGAGCTGAGCAAATTCAACAGATCATGAGCCTAAAGTAGAAGACTGAGGACAAACTCTAGAACACATGTGATTAAATTAATTACAATGGAAACCAAATCAAATTTAATAAGGCCATACCTCTTAGTTTCAAGATGTTTCCCCTCATTTTGAAATGTGGTGTTATTCAGTGGAAAAGAAAAATAGTGTTTATCTCCAGAGTAAAGAACAGGGTTCCCTGCAGGGACTGACTGACTGAGAGCTATGGCTCAGGATTAAAAATTCTCTTTTTTCCACTTACAAACTAAAAATTAATTTCTAAGCCCCTATTGACTAAATGGACCCCTCTTCTTGGATAAAAACGTTCCAAAGTTACCCTGAAAAGCTAGTTCAAGCCATGGGTCACACCTGCCTCATTAGACTCTCCTCCCTTTGGTTTTAATTGTAATTTTTAATTTTTATGGGTACATAGTTGGTGTATATATTTATGGGGGTACATGACATACTTTGATACAGGCATGTAATGAGTAATACATAATAAAAAACAGGGTATCCGTCCTCTCAAGCATTTATAGCTTGTGTTATAAACAATCCAATTATACTATTTTAGTTTTTATAAAATGTATAATTAAAATTTTTTTTACCATAATCACCCTGTTGTGCTATCAAATACTGTCTTGTTCATTCTTTCTAACAATTTTTTGTACCCATTTCACATCCCCACTAACCCCCTGTTCCCCCACTGCCCTTCCCAGACTCTGGTAACCACCCTTATACTCTCTATGACATCAATTATTTCAAATTTTAGCACCCACAAATAAGTGAGGACATGTGACATTTTTCTTTCTGTGCCTGACTTACTTAACATAAAGACTTTCAGTTCCATTTCTGTTACTGCAAATGACAGACTCTCATTCTTTCTTATAGCTGAATAGTACTCCATTGTATATATGTACCACATTTTCTCTATCCAGTCATCTGCTGATGGACATTTAGGTTTCTTCCAAATCTTGGCTATTAGCAACATTTGTTTTTGACTGACTTCTGGATAAAAGCCACCTTAACTGAGGTGAAATGATATCTCATTTTGGGTTTGATTTGCATTTCTATAATGATCAGTAATGTGGAGCAGCTTTTCACTTCAATATATTGTAGTGTATTAGTCTGTTTCTGCACTGCTATAAAAAAACTGAGACTGGGTTATTTATCTATTTATGTATTCACATGAAGTCTTGCTCTGTCGCCCAGGCTGGAGTGCACTGGTATGATCTCGGTTCACTGCAACCTCCACCTCCTGGGTTCAAGCAATTCTCTGCCTCAGCCTCTTGAGTAGCCGGGATTACAGGCACCTAACACCATGCCCAGCTAAGTTTTGTATTTTTAGTAGAGATGGGGTTTCACCATCTTGGCCAGGCTGGTCTTGAACTCCTGACCTCGTGATCCACCCGCCGCAGCCTCCCAAAGTGCTGGGATTACAGGCATGCGCCACTGCGCCTGGCGAGACTGGGCAATTTATAAAGGAGATAGGTTTAACTGAGTCACAGTTCCACATGGCTGGGGAGGCCTCAGGAAACTTAAAATCATGGCAGACGGGAAGCAGGCACCTCTTCCATGATGGCAGGCGAGAGAGCATGTATGTGAAGCAAAGGTGGAAGAGCCCCTTATAAAACCATCGGATCTCATGAGAACTCACTCATTATCAGAAGAACAGCCTGGGGGAAACCAACCCCATGATCCAATCACCTTCTACCAGGTCTCTCCTTCAACACCTGGGGATTACAATTCAATATGAGATTTGGGTGGGGACACAAAGCCTAACCATATCATGTAGCTATTAATTGCTTTTCAGATGGGTAATTTACAAATATTTTCTTCCATTCTGTGGGTTTTCTCTTCACTTTGTTTATTGTTTCCTTCACTTTAAAAAAGCTTTCTGACTTGCTGTAATTCCATTTGTCCATGTTTGCTTTGGTTGTCTGTGCTTATGGGGCATTATTTAAGAAATTTTTGCCCAAACCAATGCCCTAAAGAGTTTCCCCAGTGTTTTCTTGTAAAATTTTGATAGTTTGAGGTGTTAGGTTTAAGTCCTTAATTCATTTTAATTTGATTTTTGTATTTTGCAAGAAATAGGGTTCTAGTTTCATTCTTCTGCCTATGGCTTGCCAGTTTTCCCAGCCCTATTTATTACAGAAACTGTCTTGTTTTTTGTTGTATGTTATTGACAATTTTGTTGAAAATTAGTTTAGCTGTATGAGTTTGTTTCTAAGTTCTCTGTTTCATTCCATTTGTCTTTATGTCTTTTTATTCTAGTGTCATGCTGTTTTAATTACTATAGCTTGATAGTACAATTTAAAACCATGTAATGGGATTCCTCCAGTTTTAGTTTATATACTCAGAATAGCTTTGACTATTATGGTGTTTTGTGGTTCCATATATATTTCAGATTTTTTTTCTATTTCTGTGAGGAATGTCATTGTTATTTTGATAGAGATGGCATGAAATGTATAGATTGCTTTGGATCGTATGGACATTTTTTAAAATACTGATTCTTCCAATCTGTGAACATAGAAATAACTTTCCATTTTTTTGTCTTCTCTTTCATTTCTTTTATCAGTGTTTTACATTTTTAATTGTTGAGAACTTTTATTTCTTTGGTAAATTCCCACACATTTTGTTTTATTTGTGGCTATTGCAAATAGGATTACTTTTTTGAATTCTTTTTCAGTTTGTTGACTGTTGGCATATAGAAA
This sequence comes from Homo sapiens, assembly GCF_000001405.40. Classification (NCBI taxonomy): domain Eukaryota; kingdom Metazoa; phylum Chordata; class Mammalia; order Primates; family Hominidae; genus Homo; species Homo sapiens. Next base: position 90,087,038 of record NC_000016.10, on the reverse strand, counting down.
TCTTACTGATTTGTATATGTTAATTTTGTATTCTGCAAATTTACTCAAGTTATTACTTCTAACAGTTTTTTGACGGAAATATTACGCCATTCTCACATTGCTGTAAAAACAGTCGGTGACTGGTTAATTTATAAAGGAAATAGGTTTAATTGGCTCATGGTTCTACAGGCTGTACAGAAAGCATAGCACTGGCTTCTGCTTCTGGTGAAGCCTCTGACAACTGACAATCAAGGTGAAAAATAAATCCGGTGCTTGCACATCACATGGTAAGTGTGAGGGTGGGGGGAAGTGCTACACACTTGTAGATAACCAGCTCTCATGAAAACTTACTATTGTGAGAATGGCACCAAAGAAAATGATGCCAAACTGTTCATGGAAATCCTGCCCTCATGATTCAATCACCTCCCCACTAGGCCCACTTCCAACATTGAGGATTACATTTTAATATAAGAATTTGGTGCGAACACACACCTAAACTATATCATTTTGCCCCTGGCCATTCCAAATCTCATATCCTTCTCATATTTCAAAATATAATCATGACATCCCAATAATCCCCAAAGTCTTCACTCATTTCAGCCTTAACTCAAAAGTCAAAAGTCTCATCTAAGACAAAGCTAGTTTATTCTTCCTATAAGCCTGTAAAATAAAAAACAAATTAAGTGCTTCCAAGATACAAATGGGGCATAGGCATTGGGTAAATACTCCTATTCTAAAAGGAAGAAATCAGCTAAAAAAAAAAGAGGCCACAGGACCCATACAAGTCTGAAGCCCAGAAGGGGAGTTATTGAATTTTAAGGCTCCAAAATAATTATTTTTGACTCTATGTCCCATTTCCAGGGCACACTAATGCCTTGGGACGTTTAGACCTTGTGGCTTTGCATGGTTCAGCCCCCACAGCTGCTCTCATGGGCTGGTATTGCGTGCCTCTGGCTGGTTTTGTCTGCTTCTGGCTTTTCCATGTGCAAAGTGCAAGCTGTAGCTAGATCTACCATTCTGGGATCTGGAGGACAGTGATCCTCTCCTCACAGATCTACTAGGCCATGCCCCAGTGGGGAACCCACATGGGGATTGTAACCCTACATTTCTTTGCTGCATTGTTTTAGTAGAGGTTCTCCATGAGGGCTCCACCCTTGCAGCATGCTTCTGCCTGCACACCCTAGCTTTTTTATACATTATTTGAAGTAAAGGTGGAGGCTCCCAAGTCTCAGCTCTTGCATTTTGTACACTCACAGGCCTAACACCATATGAAAGCTACCAAGGCTTAAGGCTTGCACCCTCTGAAGCAGTGACTGGAGTTTTAACTGGGCCAATTTGTGCTACATCTGGAGCTGGAGCAGTGGCCAGGATGCAGGGAGCCATGTTCTAAGGCTACCCAAGGCAGCAGTTCCTGGGCCTGATCCCAGAAACTATTCTCTTCTTTTAGGCCTCAGGGTCTGTGATGGGGGGCTGCCTTTTAGATTTCTAAAATGCCTTCAATTCCTCTTCCCCATTGTCTTGGCTATCAACACTTGCTTTTTTTTTTTTTTAAGTTATACAAATATCTCTAACAAGTGATTGCTCCACAGCCTGCTCGAGTTCCTCTCTTGTAAAAGCTTTTTATTTTTCTGCCACATGAGTAGGCTGCAAAGTTTTTAAGCTTTTACGCTATACTTCCCTTGCAAGTAAAAATAAATTACAACTTACTTTTTTTTGCTCCAACATGTGAGCATAGGTTGTTAGAAGCAGCCAGGCCACATCTTCAATGCTTTAGTGCTTAGACATTTTTTCAACAGAAACCCTAAATCATCACTTTCAAATTCAAACTTTTATATATCCCTAGGGCATGACAGAAATTCAGCCAACCACTTTGCTAAGACAACATGAATGACCTTTGCTTCGATCCTAATAAGTTTCTAATTTTCATCTGAGACCTCCTCAGCTCAGCCTTCACCGTCCAAATCACTATCAGCATTTTCGTCAAAGCCATTCAAAGTTAAGAAAATCTCAACTTTCCCTCATTTTTCTGTCTTCTTCTGAATCCTACAAACTCTTCCAACCTCTGCCTGTTTACCCAATTACAAAGCTGATTCCACATTTTCAGGTATTCTTATAACAATTTTCCACTCCTTTGTGCCAATTTTCTGTATTAAGCTTTTTTCCCATCACTATAAATACCTGAGACTGGGTACCCAGGAGTTTCAGGCCAGTCTGGGCAACACAGGGAAACCCTCTCTCTACAAATAACTTAAAAATTAGCTAGGTGTGGTGGTGCATGTCTGTAGTCCTAGTTACTCAGGAGACGGAGGAGGGAGGATTGCTTGAGCCCAGGTGGTTGAGGCTGCAATAAGCTGCGTTCGCACCATTGCACTCCAATCTGGGAAACAGAGCAAAACCATGCCCAGAGAAAAAAAGAAAGGAAAAAGAAATTCCATTTTTAAAAATCAGCAGGCTGGACATGGTAGCTAACACCTGTAATCCCAGTGCTTTGGGAGACAAAGAGAGGAGTATCACTTGAGGCTAGGAGTTTGAGGCCAGCCTGGGCAGGAGAGAAAGACCCTACCTGAAAAAAAAAAAAAAAAATTAGCCAGCTGTGGTAGTGCACACCTCTAGTCCCAGCTACTTGGGAGGTTTGAGGTGGGAGGATCACTTGAGCCCACGAAATAGAGGTTGTAGTGAGTCATGATTGTGCCACTGCACTCCAGCCTGGGAGACAGAGTGAGGCCCTGCCTCAAAAAATAAAACAATTGCTCATAGGAGTATGGGTTTATTTCTGGACTCAGAATTCAGTTCCATTGATCTATTCCATTGATGATGCCAAAATCATGTTGTTTTTATTAATGTTGCTTTGTAGTAAGATTTGAAATTTGGAAATGTGAGCCTCTGAGTTGGTTTCTTTGACACTATGTTGGTTATTCTGCATCCCTTGAAATTTCATATAAATGATAGGATCAGCTTGTGAATTTCCGCCAAAAGTTTTCTTGAATTTATTTCAGCAATGTTTTGGAATTTTCCATGTATGAGTTTTTTTTTTCCCCCAAAACAGAGTCTCGCTCTGTCACCCAGAGTGCAGTGCAGTGGTGCAACCTCGGCTCACTGCAACCTCCGCCTCCCGGCCTGTAGTCCCAGCACTTTGGGAGGCCGAGGCGGGCAGATCATGAGGTCAGGAGATCAAGACCATCCCGGCTCACACAGTGAAACCCCGTCTCTACTAAAAATGCCAAAAAATTAGCCGGGCATGGTGGCTGAGACTACAGTCTCAGCTACTCAGGAGGCTGAGGCAGGAGAATGGCATGAACCCGGGAGGTGGAGCTTGCAGTGAGCAGAGATCACACCACTCCACCACACCACTGCACTCCAGCCTGGGCGACACAGCGAGACTCCGTCTCAAAACAAACAAACAAACAAACAAACAAACAAACAAAGCACTATGTCTAGGTATGACTGTTTTCAGAAGAGGTGTCATACTGGTATAACATATCATGGCATATCGTAATACTGATATGACACCCACAACACTGCTGTGACGTTCACAATGGAGATGATACCGGCAAGACTGCTATGGCACCCTTAAAACTGATGTGAAGCCCGCAAGATTCATGACACTCCTAAGACTCATATGACACCCTTAATAATGATATGACACCCATAAGGCTGATATGATGCCCATAAGACTGATGGGACACCTGCAACAGTGATATGACGCCCACGATACAGACAAGACACCCGCAATATTGATGACACTCACAGTACTACTATGACACCCCTAAGACTCATATGACACCTGTAATACTGATATGACAGCCGCAATACTGACATGACAGCAGGGCGCTTGGTACACAGCTTCCACTGACCTGGATTTGGATTGGTTTGGCCTCTATAATGAAGTTTGATGTCTCTGCTTTACTGACAAGGTATTAATGTGGTTGTTTATAATTTACAATAATTTCCTTCTTCTAGGATTATTGCAATAGCAAAGTTTAACTTATCCCTTCTCTTAGATTCCCCAGCAGTTACAGCAACTTCACACAAAATACTCCTATGTATTTTATCAAAGCAAAGACAGCCTAAAATTTTTTTTAATTTAGAAAAAAAAAGCAGCAGGGCATGGTGGCTCAGGCCTGCCTGCAATCCCAGCACTTTGGGAAGCCAAGGCAGGTGGATCACTTGAGGTCAGGAGTTTGACACCAGCCTGGCCAACATAGTGAAACCCCATCTCTACTAAAAATACAAAAACTTAGCTGGGCGTGGTGGCGGGTCCCTGTAATTCCAGCTATTCGGAAGGCTGAGGCAGTAGACTCGCTTGAACCTGGGAGGCGGAGGTTGCAGTGAGCCGAGATGGCGCCACTGCACTCCAGCCTGGGCAACAAGAGCGAAACTCGGTCTCAAAACACACACACACACGCACGCGCACGCGCACACGCACACACACACACACACACACCAAACCAAAAAAAACGAGCACTGATCCGGGGGCGCCTGTTTTCTCGGCCTCAGGCTGTGGCGCCTTCCCGTCCCCAGCCTCCTGACCGCGTCTCCTCTCCCGGTACCAGGGTCTCTCCCCAGAAACAAACTCACATCCATAACCTGCATCTTGGCCTGCGCTGGGGGTGACCAGCCCAAGCCCTCATGAGGGGACGCTTTTATTAATATAAAGTGAGGTCCTGCTACAAACGGCGGACAGGGAAACACGGCCGCGCTCCCGCCGCTACACTCAACGGCAACAGGAAGCTTTTTCCTCATCTTCGCCTGGGCGGCCCCAGGTGTCCCGAAGCTGCAGCAGCGTCTCCCTGTCTCACTGTGGACGCGGCCCCAAGTGTCCCCATGTCTCCCGAGGCCGCAGCCTCTCCCAGCCGCGTCCTGAGGGAGGAAGCTCTGTCCTCACGGTAAACGCCCCGCAACGCCGCCTTGCGGATCAGATACGGCTCAAGCGCGCAGCGCTCGGGTTTAGCAGGGGCTGGGCGCCCCCTCGCGGCAGCCCTCGGGAATCTCTGAAATTCAGCCTCCAGATTACTCCGGGCCATGATTTTGGAAATTTCAACTGAAATCGAGCCCACCATCACATGCCTTGATCAGAACGCATGGAGATTTTTAACAAGTAAAATAGATGGCCAGTAGACAAAGGTCAATGGATTTTCTTTTTCTTTTTCTCTTTCTTATTTTAGAGACGGAGGCTTGCTCTGTAGCCCAGGCTGGAGAGGCAGTGGCATGACCTTGGCTCACTGCAGCCTCCGCCTCCAAGGATCAAGCAATCCTCCCGCCTCAGCCACCCAAGCGCTGGGATTACAGGCGAGAACCTCCGCGCCCAGCCCTAGCTGATTTTTTTATATCACCAATAATGTATAGGAATAATTTGAATTTAATGAATTAAATTTTGGGTGTGCTATTGTAAATGATATTCTTTAAAATTTCAATTCATTGAGTATAAATCTAACAAAAGACAAACAAATATGCATTCAGGAAACTGAATCATGGTTGAGAGGAATAAAAAATATATAAATAAATGCAGATAGTCCTCGTTTAGAAACAATAACTTACTATTGTTATCTTTACCACAAAGCTAAAGTAATGAAGAGTGATATTGGTGACGGAATAAGCAAAAAGATAAATGGAACACAATAGAGAACCCAAAAGACCCGAATAAATACAGTTAACTGATTTTGTCATGGGGCAAACGCAATTCAATGGGGAAAGAAAAGTCTGTTCCACAAGTGGTGACAGCACAACAGAAACCATAGTGGGGGAATGAACAAAGACACAAACTTCACGGGTCAGCCAAAAAATCACTCAAGATAATCTATAGACTTAAATTTCCAAATATAAAATAGTAAAAGTTATAGAAGAAAACCTACATGGATTTGGGTTGGTGATAAACTTTTAGATACAATAGCAAAAGCTAGTCCATAAAAGAAAAAGAAATTGATAATGTGGACTTTATTAAAATTTGAAATGTCTACTCTGTGAAACATCCTGTTACAAGAATCAAAAACAAAGCCACAGACTGAGAGAAAATATTTATAAAACAAACCTGAAAAGGACTTATATGCAAAATATACAAAGAAATTCTAATGCTCAACAAGAACACAACACAATTAAAAGGTAGACACCTCACTAAAAATGATATAAGACAGCAAACAAGCATCCAAAAGAACGCTCATGGCACTTGTCAAGAGGGAAAAGCAAATTAATGCAACAATGGTATACCACTGAGCATCTACTAAACTGACTAAAATCTTTTTTTAATGCAATAAAAATTACAACAGGAGGCGGGGCACAGTGGCTCATGCCTGTAATCCCATCAGTTTGGGAAGCAAAGTCAGGAGGATCAACTGAAACCAGAAGTTCAAGACCAGCCTGGGCAACATAGTGAGACCCTCATCTTTAACAAAAATTAAAAAAAAAATTAGCCAGCCCTGGTGGCACATGCCTGTAATCCCAGCTGAGGTGGGAGAATTGCTTGAGCCTGGGAGGTAGAGGCAGCAGTGAGCAATGTTCATGCCACTGCACTCAGATTGGGCTACAGAGCAAGACTCTCTCTCAAAAAAACAAATAAATAAATAAAATTAAAATAAGTTGCAACAGGAACTCTCATTCAATGATAGTGGAATGCATAATGATACAGCAACTTCAGAAAACAATACAGCAGTTTATATTAAAGTTAAACATGCTCTCACCATAGAAGCACTCCTAGGTTTTGGGGGTTTTTTTTGTTTTTTTTGGTTGTTGTTTATCTGGTTTTGTTTTTGTTTTGTTTTTTGTTTTTTTGAGATGGAGTCTCGCTCTGTCACCCAGGCTGAAGTACAGTGGTGTGACCTTGGCTCACTGCAACCTCCACCTCCTGGGTTCACGCCATTCTCCTGCCTCAGCCTCCCAAGTAGCTGAGACTACAGGCACACACCGCCACGCCTGGCTAATTTTTTGTATTTTAGTAGAGAAGGTGTTTCACCGTGTTGCCCAGGCTGGTCTCAAACTCCTGAGCTCAGGCAATCCACCCACCTCGGCTTCCAAAAGTGCTAGGATTACAGGTGTGAGCCACTGCGCATGGCCAACTACTAGGTATTTAGATAACAACTTTATAAACTTAAGTCCAAACAAAAGCCAATATGCTGTTATGTACAGTTGATCTCTTCATAATGGCCAAATACTTTAAGGGGTCAGGATGACCTTCAATAGGTGAATAAATAACCAAGTTGGGTACATCCATGCAATAGAATGCTATTCAGCAAGAAACAGGGGTGATCTATGAAGCCATGCAAAGACATTGATGAATCTGACATGCACATCGCTAAGTGAAAGAAGCCACTCTGAAAAGATCACATAAGGTGTGATCCCATTTCTGTGACATTACAGAAAAGTGTGACCATAACTCGTTTTAGGCTCAAACTCCTGGGCTCAAGCAATCCTCCCACCTCAGCCTCCCAAGTAGCTAGGACTCCAGGCAAGTGCCACCACACCCAGCTAATTTTTTAATTTTTTGTACAGTTGGGATCTCCCTATGTTGCCCAGGCTAGTCTTGAACTCCTGGGCTCAAGTTAACCTCCCACCGCAGCCTCCCATGTAACTTGGACTTAAGGCATGGACCACTACACCCAGCTAATTAAAAAAACATAATTTGGTAGAGATAGGCCTCAAAATGTTGCTCAGGCTAATGTGAAACTCCTGGCCTCAAACAATCCTCCCTCCTTGGCCTCCCAAGTGTTGCGATTACAGGCATAAGCCACTGCACCCCACCTGATTTTTTAGTCAAATTATTGTTTGTTGTTGAGTTATAAGACTTTTTTTATAAGTTTCTGGATATTAACTCCGTACCAGTTATATGATTTGCAAATATTTTCTCCCTTTCTATATAGGTTGCCTTGTCACTCTGTTGATTCCTTTGCTACACAGAAGTTTTTAAGTTTGATGTACTCCCATCTATCTAATTTTGCTTTGGTTGCTTATACTTTTGGTGTCATATCCAGGAAGTAATTGTTCATTACAATGTTATAAAGATTTTATTTTTTTTCTTCTTGGAGTTCTGTACTTTTAGGTCTTACATTTCAGTCTTTAATTTATTTTGAATTAATGATAATAGATGATGCATTACACGGTAGCATTCCATAGAATGGAATGATCTGGTTGGGATCTGTGTCCAAAACTTAGTTGAAATGTAATCCCCAGTGTTGGAGGTCGGGCCTGGTGGGAGGTGATTGGATCACAGGACAAACTTCTTATGAATGGTTTAGCACCATCCGTCTTTGGAACTGTACAGTGAGATCTGGTTGTTTAAAAGTGTATAGCACCTCCCCATCTTTCTCTCTTCCTCCTGCTCTGGCCGTGTCAAGTGCTGACTCCCCTTTCGCCTTCAGCTGTGAGTGTAAGTTTCCCAAGAAGCCAAGCAGGTGCCAGCATCATGCTTCCTGTACAGCCCGCAGAACAATAAGCTAATTAAATCAATTTTAATTGGAGGAGACTCTGGCAGCAGCTGACGTCTGAGCCAGGAGACAGCAGTGGCAGCTTCCCTGTGGGACTTGGGTGCCTCCGTTCTGCAAGTCCTCCTGTCCACTGGCCCCTCCCAGGGCCCATGCCTAGCCACTCTGCAAGAGTAGGTGCACAGTGCAGCCTCTGCAGCCCAGCCTGAGTGCATTGCTCCACCTGAGTACCTTCCCCGTGACCCAGGAGCACATTGGATTCCCCAGCGCAGCGAGAGCCCAACCCCAAGCCATAGGACTTCCTGGTGTCCCCAGGGCTGTGGCACGTAGCTAGGGATACCGAGGGGGAGATCTGTGGCCAGCACTCGAACGGAGCAGGAGCCCCCACTCTCAGAGCACTGAGAGAGGTGAGACATGTGGGATCCTGGGCAACGAGGGAGCGAGGCATGCCTCCCTCCAGAGGGCCAGTCCAGAAAGGGGGCGACCTATGCAGCCTCTGCCCGAGGGAGCCCCGCAGCTCAGAACACCTAACAAAAGAAACGCAGGCAGGCGCCAGTGATCACAGGAGGCTCCCCTCAAGGTCCAGGAGCTGATGGGGGGCTATCGCTCTCCCGTCTCAATGCAAAGCACACCTGCGAACGCGAAGTACAGAAGAACCTTGCTGCTGGAGATAGCAGCCGTTCCTCTTAAGCACCATCTATTGGATCACAGCCCTAACTACAACACCAAAATTGGCCAGCTAATACAACATCTGTGAAACCAAGCACAATTCACCCACCCGTAAGGGCCCTGTACAGAACCCTGGCCCTCTGAAGCATCCAGAAACGAAGCCAGCTGACAATACCCAACTTACACCACAGTTAAAGGAACACCAACCCTCCCAGATGAGAGTCAGTGCAAGAACTCTGGCAATTCAAAAAGACACAGTGTCCCCTCAGAAGACCCAGGCCTGAGGAGGGAAGTGAGGAGCAGCCCCGACTCCCGGCTCAGTCGGAAACACCGGCGTTGGGGAAAACCAAGTAATAAAACCGCGAAACTGCGCCTGTGCGCGGGAGGATTCCAGATGGTTGCACGCAATCCCAGCGGGGTGGGGCAGGACCTTCCCCAGGGGCGGGACCTTCCCCAGGGGCGGGAAAAGCCAGGCCCCTCCCCGACCTCCTGAGCCCAAAACCGGGTTGTGCCCATGACTGACAGGCAAGGCTCCGCCCTACTCCCCGCCCCTTTAGCACCTCCTGACTGCCGATTGGCGGGCTCGCCTTGGTCTCAACGCTGATTGGCTGGCAGCACTACAGGCTGGCACCCACCGCGTCTCACCTCCTGAGCGGCTCCGAGAAGACGCCCGGCCAGGGTGAACACCGCGGCAGGAGAAAACGGGAGACTGTGAAGAGCATGGGGAGCCTTTGTCGTGCAGCGTGAAACCCTTGTAAACCCTCATCCCAAGACCTTCAAATTTTAGCCTAGGAGACCCCAGATCCCCTCACCCTGAGAAGCTCCAAATCCTCTCAGCCTCAAAAGACCCCAAATCCTGCCACCTTGAGGGATTTAAAATCCCCTCAGCATGAAACCCCCAAAGTACCTCAGCTTCAGAGACCCCAAATCCCTTCACCCAGAGGAACATCGAATCTCCTAATGCTTAGATCCCCAAATATTCTGAGCCTGAGGAGCCACAATTTCCCTCACCCTAAGGCACCCCAAATACCTCAGCCTGAGGAACCCTAAATATCTCAGAGAGACCAGATTTCCCCAACCACAGATAACCTAAATAGCCTGAAAACTCAACCCCGTCAGCTTCAAGGACCAAATAACCTCAGTGTCAAACACCCTAAAACCCATTAATGAGAGACCCAAATCTCCTTTACCCGAGACCCAGAATTTCCTCAGCCTCAAATATCCCAAATCCTTTCATCCCGAGGAACCCCAAATCCCCTTAACCTGATGAATCTCAAATCCTGTCAACTAGAGCACCCCAGATCTCTTCAGCCTAAAAGACCCCTAATCTCATCCTGAAAAACCACAAATACTATCAGCCTGAGGGATACCAAAGCTCCTCAGCTCAAGATACTCCAAATTCCCTCAACCTGAGAAACCCCAATTTCTTCAGTCTAAGACATCTCAAATCCCCTCAGCCTGAGGGACCCCAAATCTCAACCTGAGAGATAGCTTCCCCTTAGAGATGCAGACTGCTTTACTCCTGGATTTTTCTAGAATCCCCAGGTAGAGATCCCCAAATCCTGTCTATGCAAAATGTTCATTTTGCCTCGCTAAAACAGAACCCTGCTCCTCAGTGTGACCCAAGTCCCAGCAGTCAGGGGGCCTCAAGGTCTCCTTGAGACTCCTCTGGCTCTCACACCTCAGGACTCCCCTCAAACACCGGTAGCTACAACCCTCCAGGCACCTGTGCCACCCTTCTCCAAATGAGCCAAGCTGCAGGGGAACTAAAAGAACAAAATCCAGCTTACATTAGGTGGCAGCTCATGGCCAGTGGAGGCCTTCCCATCCCATCAGTACCCCCAGACCTCCCTGGGGTGCTCGAGACCTCACCAGGAACCCAGTCTTCCTGCTCTGAACACCCCAGCCAGATGGAGAAGACAGAGCCTTGTTCTGGGTAGTGCTCAGGGCTGTTGCCCCATCTCAGCACCTTCTCCTTCCACAGGAGCCTTTGGCCTAGGAGCTGGGAGACTCAGGGGCCCTTCCCACACTCAGAATTGGAGCAGGGCCTTCTAGACAGTCCCAGCACCATGAGCCCTGAAAGGTCCCAAGAGGAGAGCCCAGAAGGAGACACAGAGAGAACAGAGCGGAAGCCCATGGTGAGAAGTCGGGGAGGCGAAGCCAGACTCCCAGCAGGAGCTGATCTCTGGAGTGCTGCAGACTCCTGGCCTGTACCCTTGGGTGACTCTGTCTGAATGTGCATGGAATGGGGGCAGCTGGTCCTGGCCAGGACATGGGGGAGAAAAGAACACTAGCATCAGCGACTGCTCTGTGTCAGCAGAGAGCTAGGAAAATGCTCAGTGTCTGCTCAGTTAAACAGGACACAATCTGGAGAAGGAGGGAAGGTCTTTATGTTTCACAGAGACTCCCAGAGGCCCCAGGCTATGCCCTACACGCAGGGTAGAGGAAAAGGACCAGCTCGATGTGTATTAGTAAATCACTGATGGAATCTGTTACTTCCTCTAGGTCAAAGATGCCTTCAAAGACATTTCCATATACTTCACCAAGGAAGAATGGGCAGAAATGGGAGACTGGGAGAAAACTCGCTATAGGAATGTGAAAATGAACTATAATGCACTGATTACTGTAGGTAACAGGAAGTGCTGGGCACAGACCAGCCTGGGCGATATAAAACAGGTCTTTGGTCCCTATATTATTTTAATTATCAGGTGGCGGCATCTGCCCACAATTCCCTTTTGCACGGAGACAAATCTGGAGGGAAATATTGTTCTTTTGCGTCAGTGCAGGGTTGTGTGTGGATACTGACCATGCAGAGGTCACATCTTGACCTTGTTCAAGACTCTCCCAGCTCATCAGACTGAGCAGCACTGGCTTTGTGGTGCTTTCCATTGCCACTGCCCTTTGTTCCTCATCCCAGCTCTTCCGTTTCAGAGCAAAATTTTTTGCTTCTTTTCAGGTCTCAGAGCCACTCGACCAGCTTTCATGTGTCACCGAAGGCAGGCCATCAAACTCCAGGTGGATGACACAGAAGATTCCGATGAAGAATGGACACCTAGGCAGCAAGGTAAGAGGGAAGGGAAGGAGGATTTTTTTTTTTTTAAAGACGGAGTTTCGCTCTTGTTGCCCAGGCTGGAGTGCAATGGCGTGATCTTGGCTCACGGCAACCTCTGCCTCCCAGGTTCAAGCGATTCTCCTGCCTCAGCCTCCCAAATAACTGGGATTACAGGCATGCGCCACCACACTCAGCTAATTTTTTGTAATTTTGTTTAGTAGATATGGGATTTCTCCATGTTGGTCAGGCTGGTCTCGAACTCCTGACCTCAGGTGATCTACCCACCTTGGCCTTCCAAAGTGCTGGGATTACAGCCATGAGCCACCACACCTGGCCTATTTTTATTTTTTTTAAGACAGAGTCTTGCTCTGTCATCCAGGCTGGAGTACAGTGGTAGAATCTCGGCTCACTGCAGCCTCCACCTCCCAGGTTCAACAATTCTCCCACCTCAGCTTCTCGAGTAGCTGGGACTGCAGATGTGCACCACTTTGCCCAGCTAATTTTTGTATTTTTTGTAGAGATGGGGTTTCACCATGTTGGCCAGGCTGGTCTCGAATTCCTGGCCTCAAGTGATCCGCCTGCCTTGGCCTCCCAAAATGCTGGGATGATGATGATGATGATGATGATGATGATGATGATGATGACGATGATGATTGTTACTATTATTACAGACAAGGTCTCACTCTGTCACCCAGGCTGGAGTGCAGTGGCACAATCATAACTCACTGCAGCCTGAAACTCCTGGGCTCAAGTGTTCCTCCCACCTCAGCTTCCCAAAGTGCTGGGATTACAGGCATGAGCCACCGTGCATAGCCCCCAGTAAGATTTAGAAGTGACCTCCTGGCCAGGCATGGTGGCTCACACCTGTAATCCCAGCACTTTGGGAGGCTGAGGCAACCATATCACTTGAAGTCTGGAGTTTGAGACAAGCCTAGCCAACATGGTGAAACCCCATCTCTATTAAAAATGCCAAAAAAGATAGCTGGGCATGGTGATGGGTGCTTATAATCCCAGCTACTCAAGAGGCTGAAGCTGGGAAATAGCTTGAACCCAGGAGGTGGAGGTGGCAGTGAGCCGAAATCGTGCCACCACCCTCCAGCCTGGGCAACAGAATGAGAAGACTCCGTCTCGGGGGGAAAAAAAAGTGACCTCCTGAAACCGGCCTCGGTTTAGGTCTCAGCTACATTTCAGAATTTAACAAAGGAAAAAGAGTCTTCCCTCAAAAACATAAATGTTCAACAAACAAGCACAATGTAATCCCAGCACTTTGGGAGGCCGAGGCAGGCGAATCATGAGGTCAGGAGATCAAGACCATCCTGGCTAACACGGTGAAACCCCATCTCTACTAAAAATACAAAAAATTAGCCAGGCACGGTGGCGGGCACCTGTAGTCCCAGCTACTCAGGAGGCTGAGGCAGGAGAATGGCATGAACCCGGGAGGCGGAGCTTGCAGTGAGCTGAGATAGCACCACTGCACTCCGGCCTGGGCGACAGAGCGAGACTCCATCTCAAAAAAAAAAAAAAATTGTCATTCTTTTTTTAAAAAAAAGAAAACATTGTTTTTGCTAAACAATGTTAATAAATCACAGAACAAGTAAAGAAAACAATTAAACTGCAAATCCACAAAAAAGCTTTCTAACACCAATCTCATAATAGTTATTGAGTTAAATGTCTTAGAAGAAATAATATTAAGTAAAGATACATCATTTATGTACATTTCATCATACTATATGATCCTCTTATACCAAAATGTATCTACTTCTTTGTCTCGATTCTGGAGCGGGTTTGAGAGAGCTGTTTAGTTGCCCTGATCTTTCCCATATGTCACTGACCAGAGACAGCATCAAGTAGATAAAATAATGTACCATAATTATAAAATAGAAGTGCAAAGCTCATTTCCTCTTCTACTGCTTGGTTAGGAGAGTTTAGAAGTAAAAACAGTCAATCTGCCCAAACTGGAGAAAGCAACTTGGATTGGGTCTACGATTTCCCCATCTGTGGATTTGAGATTCCTTAAGACCTTAATGTAATGTAAGAGGAATGAAAGGCCAGCGTTTGCTTTTCTGCAAATGTTTTGACATGAAAAGAATGTCTCTTTAGAGGGAATCTATCTCCCGTGGTTTACCACACATCTATACATCTTTATCTGAACTCAGTTAAAATCCCCAATTTAAGTCAATTTATTTTTTATTGTGGAAATCAAACAACATATATTTACTCTTCTAACAATTTTTAAGCGTACAACTTTATTAACTGTATGCACACTGTTGTGCAATAGATCCCTAGAACTCTTTATCTTGCATGACTAAAACCCTAACCCATTGAACAATAACACTCCATTTCTTCCTCCCTCCAGCTCCTGGCAACTGCAATTCTGTTTCTATGAATTTGGTTACTTTAGATACCTCATATACGTGGAATCAGCCATGAAACATTTGTCTTTTTGTGACTGGCTGATTTAATCACTTAGCAGAATGTTCCCAAGATTCACCCATGTCACAGCATGTGACAAGATTTTCTTCTTTTTTAAGGCTGAATAATATTCTACTGCATGTATATACCACATTTTGAAAATCCATTCATTTGTCAATGGATGTTAGGTTGCTTCGCCTCTTGTCTATTGTGAATAATGCTGTAATAACTATCAGTGTGCAAATATCTCTTTGAGATCGTTTTTAATTCTTTTTTTTTTTTTTTGAGATGGAGTCTCGCTCTGTCGCCCAGGCTGGAGTGCAGTGGCGCAATCTCGGCTCACTGCAAGCTCTGACTCCCGGGTTCACGCCATTCTCCCGCCTCAGCATCCCAAGTAGCTGGGACTACAAGCGCCTGCCACCACGCCAGGCTAATTTTTTTGTATTTTTAGTAGAGACGGGGTTTCACCATGTTAGCCAGGATGGTCTCGATCTCCTGACCTCATGATCCGCCTGCCTCATGGGCTCGATCTCCTGACCTCATGATCCGCCTGCCGCGGCCTCCCGAAGTGCTGGGATTACAGGCATGAGCCACCGCGCCCAGCCTTTAATTCTTTTTAATATATTATATACCCAGAAGTGGAATTTCTGGATCAGAAGGTAGTTCTGGTTTTAATTTTTTGTGGAAGCGCCATACTGTTTTTTTACAGTGTCTGCACCATTTTACATTCCCACTACTATGGTTTGAATGTGTGGAAGTTCATGTATTGGAAACTTAATTGCCATTGTAACAGTATTAAGAGGTGGAGCCTTTAAGAGGTGATTTGGTAATGATAGCTCCAACCTCATGAATGGATTAATGCCATTATCACAGGAGTGGGTTAGTTATTGCAGGAGTGGGTTCCGATGAAAAGGATGAGTTGGGCCCTTCCCTGTCTTTCTCTCTGTCTCACATGCACACTTACCCTTCTACCATGTCATGATGCAGCTTGAAGACCCTTGCAAGATGCCAGTGCCATGCTCTTCAACTTCCCAGCCTCCAGAACCACAAGCCAAATAATTATTTTCTTTATAAATTACCCACTCTGGGCCAGGCACAGTGGCTCACGCCTGTAATCCCAGCACTTTGGTAGGCCAAGGCAGGCAGATCACAAGGTCAGGAGTTCGAGACCAGCCTCGCCAGCTTGGCAAAACCCCATCTCTACTAAAAATACAAAATTAGCCAGGCATGGTGGCATGCACCTGTATTACCAGCTACTTGGGAGGTTGAGGTAGAAGAATCACTTGAACCCGGGAGACAGAGGTTGCAGTGAGCCGAGATCACACCACTGCACTCCAGCCTGGGCAACAGAACGAGACTCCATCTCAAAAAAACAAACAAACACATAAATTTCCCACTCTCTTGCATTCTAGGAAAGCAGCAGAAAACAGACTAAGCTACCCACCAACAATAAGCAAGTGTTCTAATTTCTCCACATCTTCGCCAACATTGCTATTTTCTGGTTTTTTGACAGAGGCTATCATAACAGGATAAGGTGATATCTCATTGTGGTTTTAATTTTCATTTCCCTAATGATTAGTGATGTTAAGCATATTTTCATATGCTTCTTGGCCATTTATGTATCTTCTTTTGAGAAATGTCTATTCAAGCTTTTTGCCCATTGTATTAGTCAGCCCAGGCTGCCACAAGAAAATACCACACATTGAGTGGCTTAAACAACAGAAATTTGTTTTCTGACATTTCTGAAGCCTGGTAGTAAAAAATCAGAGTGCCAGCATGGTTGGGTTCCAGTGAGGGCTCTCTTCCTGACTTGTAGTCAGCCTCCAGCTCACTGTGTATTTACATGAATTATTTGTGTGCCAACAGCAGGAAGGAGAAGAAATTTCTCTCTTCCTCTTATAAAAGCAATAATACCTACTAGAAGATTTTTTTTTAGACAGCCTCATTCTGTTGCCACAGGCTGGAGTTCAGTGGTGCAATCTCGGCTCACTGCAAACTCCACCTCCCGGGTTCAAGCAATTCTCCTGCCTCAGCCCCCCACATAGCTGGGACTACAGGGGCACATCAGCTAATTTTTGTATTTTCAGTGGAGATGGGGTTTTACCATGCTGACCAGGCTGGTCTCAAACTCCTGGCCTCAAGTGATCTGCCCACCTCAGCCTCCCAAAGTGCTGGGATTACAGGCATGAGACACCGCACCCAACCAAAAGCACTAATGTCATCCTAAGGGTCCCACCCTCATGACATCACCTAGCCCTAATTACCTACCAGTGGCTCCATCTTTAAATACCATCATATTGAGGTATTAAATGTGCTTCAGCATATGAATTTGGGGGAAACAAAATTCAGCCCATAGCACCCATTATTTAATTATTTGTTTTGTTGTTGTATTATAGGAGTTCTTCATATATTCTGGATATTAACTCTTTCTTCGTTTTTTTGTTTTTTGTTTTTTTTTTTCAGACAGAGTTTCGCTCTTGTCACCCCGGCTGGAGTGCAATGGCGTGATCTCAGCTCACTACCACCTCCCCATCCCAGGTTCCAGCGATTATTCTGCCTCAGCCTCCCGAGTAGCTGGGATTACAGGCACACACCACCACACCCAGCTAATCTTCTGTATTTTCAGTAGAGACAGGGTTTCACCATGTTGGCCAGGCTGGTCATGAACTCCTGACCTCAAGTGATCCATCTGCCTCGGCCTCCCAAAGTGCTGGGATTACACCCATGAGCCACAGTGCCTGGCCTGGATATTAACTCTTTATCTTCTTTTTTTTGAGACAGAGGTCTCACTATGTTGCCCTGGCTGGTCTCGAACTCCTGGGTTCAAGTGATCCTCCCACCTCAGCCTCTGAATAGCTGAACTATAGTCATGTGCCACTGCACTCAGCAACATTAACCCTTTATCAGATACATGGTTTGCATATATTTTCTTCCACTCTGTAGGATGCCTTGACACTGTGTTGATTGTTTTCTTTGCTACACAGAAGTTTTTAAGTTTGATGTAGTCCTACTTGTCTATTTTTGCTTTTATTGCTTATGCTTTTGGTGTCATATACAAGAAGTTATTGTTCATTTCAATGTCATGAAGCTTTTCCTCTGTGTTTTCTTCTTGAAGTTCTGTACTTATAGACCTTACATTTCAGTCTTTAATCTATTTTGAGTTAATTTTTATATGAGATATGTGGTAAGAGTCTGTCTTCTCTTTTGCATATGTATATCCAGTTTTCCCAACACAATTTCTTGCAGACTGTCCTTTCCTCCATTGTGTAGTCTTGGCATCATTGCTGAAGATCATTTGACCATATACACGAGGGTTTATTTCTGGCCTCTCTATTCTGTTCCATTGGTCTATAGGTCTGTCTTTATACCAGTACCATACTTTTCTGATTACTGTAGCTTTGTAATATGCTTTGAAATCAGGAAGTGTGAGGCCTTCAACTTTATCCTTCTTTTTCAAGATTGTTTCGGCTATTCTGGGTCCTTAGAGATTCTATATGATTTTTTGGATATTTTTCCATTTCTGAAAATAATAGCATTGGCATTTTGATAGACAGGACATTGAATCTATAAATCATTTTGATAGTATGAACATGTTAACAATATTAAGTCTTCAAATCCACGAACACAGGATGTCTTCCATCTATTTGTGTCTCCTTAAATTTCTGTCGGCACTGTTTTGTAGTTTTCAGTGTTCAAGTTTTTGCCTCCTTGGTTAAGTTTATTCCTAATTATTCTATTCTTTTTGATGCTATTGTGATTGGGATTTTTTTCTTAATTTCCTTTTTGGATTGCTCATTTTTACTAAATAGAAACACAACTGATTTGGGGTGTTGCTTTTGTATGCTGAATTCATGTATTACTTCTTTTTTTTTTTTTTTTTTGAGACGGAGTCTCGCTCTGTCATCCAGGCTGGAGTGCAGTGGCATGATATCGGCTCACTACAAGCTCCACTTCCAAGGTTCATGCCATTCTCCTGCCTCGGCCTCCTGAGTAGCTGGGACTACAGGCGCCCGTCACCACACCCAGCTAATTTTTTGTATTTTTAGTAGAGATGGGGTTTCACCACGTTAGCCAGGATGGTCTCGATCTCCTGACCTCGTGATCCCCCCACCTCTGCCTCCTAAAGTGCTGGGATTATAGGCTTGAGCCACCATGCCCAGCCCAAATTCGTGTATTACTTCTAACAATTTTTTGGTAAAATCTTTATAGTTTTATTTTTTATTTTTATTTATTTTTTTAGATGGAGTCTCGCTCTGTCGCCCAAGCTGGAGTGCAGTAGCATGATCTCGGTTCACTGCAACCTCTGCCTCCCAGATTCAAGTGATTCTCCTGCCTCAGCCTCCCGAGTAGCTGGGACTATAGGTGCCCGCCACCATGCCCAGCTAATGAATCATTATAGTTTTCTGCATGTAAGATCATGTCATCTGCAAACAGAGATAATTTTACTTCTTCCTTTCCATTTGGATGCCTTTTATTTATTTTACTGGCCTAATTGCTCAGGCTACGACTTACAGGACTATGTTGACTAGAAGTAGCAAGACTGGAAATCCTTACCTTGTTTATGACCTTAGAAGGAAGGCTTTCAGTTTTTCATCATCGACTATGATGTTAAAAATTTGGCTTTTCGGCTGGGCGCGGTGGCTCACGCCTGTAATCCCAGCACTTTGGGAGGCCGAGGTGGGAGGATCACAAGGTCAGGAGACCGAGACCATCCTGGCTAACACGGTGAAACCCCATCTCTACTAAAAATACAAAAAATTAGCTGGGCGTGGTGGCAGGCACCTGCAGTCCCAGCTACTCAGGAGGCTAAGGCAGGAGAATGGCCTGAACCCAGGAGGCAGAGCTTGCAGTGAGCCGACCTCGCGCCCCTGCACTCCAGCCTGGGTGACAGAGCGAGACTCCATCTCAAAAAAAAAAAAAAAAAAAGGGCTTTTCTTATATGACCTTTTTACGTCGAGGTGATTTCCTTCTATTCCTAGTTTGTTCAGTGTGTTTGTCATGAAAGGTCAATTTACGTTTTAAAAATTAATGTAATAAACACCTTATTAGGTATACCTTTACAGATAGGCTGAAACAAAGATGAAGTTTTATCTATTTTTTTAAATCTTAAGAAAATTAGCAATGCCCCCAATAGAAGCATAGGCCTTAATGATACTTCAGAAAACATTTCCAAATTGCCCTTGGATAATACTTGGAATCATCACTCTCTGATTCAGAATTCTCTGTCTCTAATGAGAAACTCCAGAGTTAGGCCAAGCATAGTGGCTCACGCCTGTAATCTCAGCACTTTGGGAGTCCGAGGCAGGTGGATCACCTAAGGTCAGGAGTTCGAGACCAGCATCGCCAACATGGAGAAACCCCATCTCTACTAAAAATGCAAAAATTAGCTGGGTGTGGTGGTGCACACCTGTAGTTCCCAACAACTCACAAGGCTGAGGCAGGAGAATTGCTTGAATCCGGGAGGCGGAGGTTGCAGTGAGGGGAGATTGTGCCACTGCACTCCAGCCTGGGCGACAGAGGGAGACTCCATATCAAAAAGAAAAAAAAATCTCTAGAGTTTGGAAACATTTACCAACCAAACCACTGATTTCTCATCACCTCTTAGTCAAACCTCCTTGGATGGCCTTCAGAGGAGAACAGAGTAAACACCAGAAGGTAAGTATCTCCCAAATCCTGTTGACAAGAAACCTTCCTCATAGATCCAAATACAGGTAAGAGAAGGAGAATGTACAGACTATCCTAGGAACTACTGCCTTCCTCTCCTGATCTCTTTAGCGCAGTGTCTGCCATCATCATTATTTTAAGAGTTAATAAGAACAGCAACAATAATCGCTACCATGGGTTATTTTCTCAGTATTTTCAGACTTTTTTAAGCATTTTACATGAATAAACTTTACATATAGTACCTATTCAACTTCACATATAGTACCTATTAAGTAGGTACTATAACTATAGCCATTTTACAGGTTAGGAAACTGAGGTATAAAAATGTTCAGTTATATCCCTGGGATCACATTCAGTGTTGGTGCAGTCTAATCCAAAACTCCTTCTCTAAAGCACTTACAAGATCATTAAAAGTTTCATAGTTTTATAAAGTTTATGCTGTCTTACCCATATGTCTTTACATCATTCGTCCAATTGATTTTTCAACCTCAGTTTTTCTCTGTTGTAGTAAAGTCAGATTTGCACTAAAACACTCTGATTAAGGGAAGCTTCCAAGTAAATAGACAATTCATACTGTGGATGGTACCAGAAGAAGATAGGGTCCCTACCCTCATAAGGGACCCATTCTGATCAGAGGAAGCAGCTTCCAGCCCTGAAGGGTTTCAGGTTCGAAGATTGAGAAACAACAAATAAGAAAATGGTTTAGGACTTCATATAGGTTACACCCTATTAAGTAAAAATATATTCTT
This sequence comes from Homo sapiens, assembly GCF_000001405.40. Taxonomy (NCBI): domain Eukaryota; kingdom Metazoa; phylum Chordata; class Mammalia; order Primates; family Hominidae; genus Homo; species Homo sapiens. Next base: position 90,066,102 of record NC_000016.10, on the reverse strand, counting down.
CTGGAACCAATTTCAAATGCTCATTCCTGTAGAAGGCAGTAACAGCTCCTTCCTCTGGGCTCCAATTAGGGAACTGTCATGTTATTTGGAATTATTTGTTTAGCCTGCCTGCTGCCTCTTCATTGTGAGCTCTTCAGGAGTCTAGTCCCTTCCTGATTCTTCTTAGAACTCCCAAGCCCAGCTCAGGGCCTCTGAGAGCCTCCTGAGTGTTTTCTGAATGATTGATTCCAAGCTTATGAATTAAACTATAAGTAACAGGGTCAAGGAATGCTGAAAATATCTTTGAGTTAGATTTCAACTGTAGAGATATATCAGGACTATGAGATAATTTTCGTTTGTTATTTTTCTACAGGGGCAGGGGGTAGTTTGAGACAGAGTCTGGCTCTTGCGCCAAGGCTGCAGTGCAATGGCTCAATCTCGGCTTACTGCAGCCTCCATCTCCTAGGTTAGTGTGATCCTCCTGCCTCAGCCTCCTGAGTAGCTGGGACCACAGGCATGCACCACCATGCCCAGCTAATTTTTATGTGTTTTGTACAGGCAGGGTTTTGCCGTGTAGCTCAGGCTGGTCTTGAACTCCTGGGCTCAAGCCATCCTACTACCTTGGCCTCCCAAAGTGCTGGGATTACAGATGTGAGCCACCGCACCCAGTCTGTGAGAAAAATTATTTTTTTCTTTTCTTTTCTTTTCTTTCTTTTTTTTTTTTTTTTTTCAGACAGAGTTTCACTCTTGTTACCCAGGCTGGAGTGCAGTGGCGCGATCTCGGCTCACTGCAACCTCCACCTCCTGGGTTCAAGTTGTTCTCCTGCCTCAGCCTCCCGAGTAGCTGGGATTACAGGCGCCCGCCACCACACCCGGCTAGTTTTTTGTATTTTTTGTAGAGACAGGGTTGGCCAGACTGGTCTCAAATTCCTGACCTCAGGTGATCTGCCTGCCTTGGCCTCCCAAAGTGCTGGGATTACAGGTGTGAGCCACTGTGCCTGGCGAGAATAATTATTAATCTCACATTCATACTGTATTAAGTAGCTCAAAAAACACTTTGGTGAACATTATTATCTTTCATGTTCACTACAATATTAAGAATTAGTGCCGGAGGCAGTGGCTCACACCTGTAATCCCAGCACTTTGAGAGGCAGAGGTGGGCAGATTACCTGAGGTCAGGAGTTCAAGACCAGCTTGGCCAACATGGTGAAACCCCATCTCTACTAAAACTACAAAAATCAGCTGGGCATGGTGGTGGACACCTGTAATCCCAACTACTCGGGAGGCTGAAGCAGGAGAATCGCTTGAACCTGGGAGATGGAGGCTGCAGTTAGCTGAGATCGTGCCACTGCACTCCAGCTTAGGCAACAGAGTGAGACTCCCTCTCAAAAAAAAAAAAGAATTAGCATGGGCTGGGTGCGGGGGCTCTTACATATAATCCCAGCACTTTGGGAGGCTGAGGTGGGTGGATCACTTGAGGTGAGGAGTTCTAGACCAGCCTGGCCAAACTAGCGAAACCCCGTCTCTAATAAATATACAAAAATTAGCTGGGTGTGGTGGCACGTGCCTGTAATCCTAGCTTCTCGGGAGGCTGAGGTAGGAAAATCTCTTGAACCTGGGAGGTGAAGGCTGCAGTGAGCTGAAATCATGCCACTGCATTCCAGCCTAGGCAACAGAGCAAGACTCCTTTTCAAAACAAAACAAAACAAAACAAAACAAAACCATGTATGCCAACTTCTGGATCGGGAAACTAAAGAGAAATTAGCTAACAATACACCCTTATTCAAGCAGACAAGTAGAATTGGTACAGGAACTAACTAATCTAATTCAAAAGCCAAATATTCTTTCCAGGATATGGCAACATGCAACTTTGACTTCACTTTCTTAGTTGTCTAGATATATTTTTGCCAATCATCTCTTTGTTCTGTTCCGAACCTTACTGCCCTATTACCTCATTTTCCAGATGTGCTTTGTCCCTCTGTGCTTTTCTACATTTCCCCTTCCATCAAAAGTCTACTAGTTTATGGAAGATTCCCTCCTTCTCTCTGTAAGCCCTCATCCCCTTCTTTCACAGATCTTGCTGATTCTCCAGCTAGTCTTCCCAAGTATTCTTCCTCCTTCCCTTTAACTTACACAGAACGTTTTGAGAGGAAGTTGAAGGAAAGAGCCTTAAGACATGGGTTAGAGTCCCAGATTCACTACCCACTTAGACCTTGTCTTTTCCCTCTAGTATTTAGACACTCTAGGTATTTCCAAGGTTTGAACATTAACTACAGTCATATGAAAACATGTTGCAAGCCGTAAAGAACTAAATAAATGCACGTTGTCTTTTAATATGTGATTCTCACATTAAAGGGAATGCCCAAGGCGTCATTCAATAATGAATCTAGTTTGAGAGAATTGTCAGGAACGCCAAATTTACTGAATACAAGTGACTCAGAGCAGGCTCAGAAACCAGTGTCCCCTCCTGGAGAAGCAAGTACCTCTGGACAGCACTCTAGACTAAAACTGGGTAAGAAAAAATTTGAGGGGAATTTAGTCCCTCTATGTCCTCTAGAAAGGTTGGTGAGTATGGTCTACCTATGTGGGGTGGACTTTGGATAGGCCTGGGCTTAAGCTGGACTCAACTGTGAGACCAGAAGTTAGATGCAGTATTTTGTTAAAATTATTTATTTATTTGTTCACTGAGACAGAGTCTTACTCTGTCACCCAGGCTGGAGTGCAATGGTGAGATCTCGGTTCACTGCAACCTCTGCCTCCACGAAAATAGCGATTTTCATGCCTCAGTCACCCGAGTAGCTGGGATTATAGGTGTGCACCACCGTGCCCGGCTGATTTTTAGTAGAGACAGAGTTTCACCATGTTGACCAGGCCGGTCTCAAACTCCTGGCCTCAAGTAATCTGCTCAGCTCAGCCTCCCAAAATGCTGGGATTACAGGCTTGAGCCACCATGCCTAGCCTTGGATACAGTATTGAATAGCATGTAAGATCATTAACTTTGAAGTCACTCACTTGGGTTATAATCCACACAGAAGCATTGGGGCCTTGGGCAAATCTTATAAATTCCATGGGCTCCTGAATGGTAATCTGTAAAATGAGACCAAGTATATAGAGCTCATGTATTGTTTGAAATCATTAAATTAAATATAAATGAATTCATACATGTGAGGTGTCCAATAAGTACCTCTCTGATAATATATATTCTTTTGTGCGTTTCTACATTTCCTTTTCCATCACATGTCAACTAGTACATAGAAGATCCCCTATAGAGACTATACTTTCTTAGTGTTGTATGTCCAGGCCTTTGTTCAATGCCTAAGATGTAATGAACTCTCAAAAAATATTTTCTGAATAAATAAATGCATGAATGAACCATTTTGTAAGCAGAAAGGCTGGGAGGTTAATGGGATAATGAGAACAGCTAGAAACTAAAATTGAATAGGCATCTACAGTCAGTGTGGGTGTGGGGTCTAAGTCTCTCTGAAGCAGTAAACAGAGGGAGACTAGAGTATGTAGAAAGGTAGATGCTAATTTGATGGTAGGAGATTTCACATTTTCTTATGAAACAAGGACAAACACCCCAGACTCCCAATTTTACCCATCTACTCTTCTCCAACCTAGAACTCAGGAGGAAGGAGACTGAAGGAAAGATGTATAGCCTGCGAGAAAGAAAGGGTCATGCATACAAAGAGATCAGCGAGCCACAGGATGATGACTACCTCTGTGAGTGACCCTTTCAGCCACTCACACAGCTTGCTGTTATGTCCTGGTACAATAATTTCATCATTTGGCCCACAAATCATTCCCTTACTCGAATGAATTAAAGTACAGGATTGGGGCTAAATAATGTGAGTGCCACGCTCTTTCTGAAGCTCTTATATCAAGGAACATGCATTACAACTTTCCTAATCCCTGCTTCCCTCACTTCCAGATTGTGAGATGTGTCAGAACTTCTTCATTGACAGCTGTGCTGCTCATGGGCCCCCTACATTTGTAAAGGACAGTGCAGTGGACAAGGGGCATCCCAACCGTTCAGCCCTCAGTCTGCCCCCGGGGCTGAGAATTGGGCCATCAGGCATCCCTCAGGCTGGGCTTGGAGTATGGAACGAGGCATCTGATCTGCCACTGGGTCTGCACTTTGGCCCCTATGAGGGCCGAATTACAGAAGACGAAGAGGCAGCCAACAGTGGATATTCCTGGCTAGTAAGAAGAGCCTGCTGTTTCCCCTGTTCTGTCTTCCCACATCCCTTCTGTGCCTTTGATGGGACATCACCTTCTACATGTTAGGATATAGGTAGGGATAACATGGTTAGCTCTGTGTACTCAAGGGTCTTTGCATGAACATGGAACTCCTATTTAGAGATCACAGGGTACATGGGAGCAGAGTGGTACAAAGACAAAGAAGTGCATCCTCCCTTTTGGAGCTTCTGCTCTGATTGGACAAACCAACTCAGATGTGTAGATGATGACTAAGGTGCATGCCATGTGGTCTCAGTTGGCAGTTGAAGCTCTGCAGGTCCAAAGGCCATTGATGACCGTGGAGTAAAATAATTCTTCGGATTTTTACCCTCTAAAAAGTCTTTACCTTATTTTTTGAAACTCAGATCACCAAGGGGAGAAACTGCTATGAGTATGTGGATGGAAAAGATAAATCCTCGGCCAACTGGATGAGGTAAGGCCACTAGGTCTCTTAGTTTCAGAGAGAACCTCCATCTCTCACAAACCCGGACTTCCTTCCTTCTCATTATGCCTCCCTCAATGATTTTCACATCCCCTATTTCTATTTTTCTCCATACAATGCTGTTTTATACCATCAACTTTTAGAAATAAAAAATAAAAATATAGATATTATGATTTATTGGTATCAAAACACAAATATGTATGCTAGACAAAATTGAGGCACCAAGATAAACCTTGATAAGGTTAATTCATGCTTTAATTTATGTAATCCACATTTGTTAAACACTTAGTATGTTCCAGGTTAGGAAGTGAAGTTCACTACTTGAACAGAAGTGAACTGCAGGATGACCCAGCCCCTTTCCACAATGGGCTGTCGTTCTATCAGAGAATAGAAAAATGAATCAACTATTACTGTTCTATGTTATTGGGCCAAGAGAAAGAGACTTCTGAGTTTCTCTAGGAATCTGAAGAAGTCAGGTGAATGGCAGCTGAGTGAACTGTAGGGTGATTAGAGGAAGGCCTGTCAAAGAAAGATGGACTTGAGCTGAGTGTAGAATGATGTGAGCTAATCTAGAAGCAGAGCAACGTGATCAAGCACCAAGTTCTGTGGTATAAAACAGAATTAATTTAGAGTTTAGAGAAGCTAGAGGTCAATGTGTTTTATGGCCAATCAAGGTGGAGGTAAGTCTGGAGTTGGGCTTTGAAAAAATGGCTGATTAGGCACAGCAGGGAAGCATTCTAGGCAGGATGAGCATTGTAGTCATCCTGCCTGGAGGGAACTCACTGCCTCTTTCTTTCCCTTTGCCTGCCTTGACCCCAGGTATGTGAACTGTGCCCGGGATGATGAAGAGCAGAACCTGGTGGCCTTCCAGTACCACAGGCAGATCTTCTATAGAACCTGCCGAGTCATTAGGCCAGGCTGTGAACTGCTGGTCTGGTCTGGGGATGAGTATGGCCAGGAACTGGGCATCAGATCTTCTATAGAACCTGCCGAGTCATTAGGCCAGGCTGTGAACTGCTGGTCTGGTATGGGGATGAGTATGGCCAGGAACTGGGCATCAAGTGGGGCAGCAAGTGGAAGAAAGAGCTCATGGCAGGGAGAGGTAGGCATCACTATTACTCTTTTAAAAGGACAGGAAAGAAAGAATTATCCTAGAGAATTTTCATGATTGAACTCTTAAGTAGAGTAAAACGCCGTCTAAAGTCAGTAAAATTTTACATCAGTGGCTTCCAAAATTAAAGATTCATGTTATATGCCTTTGCCTCTTTGGAACAGTTTTTATATTTTTAAATCTTTGTTCCGATTTTATATTCAAAGTACTTCATGCACAAAGTATATAACAGCATACAGTGCTCAAAGACTTAAAGACAAAAATCAAGTTCTCAAACACCTACCAGCTCTCCCAACAAGGTAGTTTCTTCTGGCATTTCCTTGATATTTCTTAATGATACGCATATGTTGTTATTCATTCATTCATTATCTCAATTAGCTGTCATGTGAGTTCCTACTCTGTGCCAGACGATGTTGCAGGAAGTGTAAATACAGACTGATGAAGACAATCAAAAAAACTGCTCTTGAACAGATAACTTGTGAATTAGGGAACCGTACGAATACACACAGACATATGTGTAATATCAGACGGCGATTAGTGCTTTGAAGAAAATGAATCCAGAAAGAATACCTGGGATCAGTGTGAGACCTGGGATCGGTGTGAGAGCTGAGGTCAGTGTGAGACCTGGGGGTCAGTGTGAGACCTGAGGTCAGTGTGAGACCTGGGGGTCAGTGTGAGGTGACAGTAGAGTGTTGCAGGGGATTGTCAGGGAAGATTTCTCTTAGGAGACAGCATTTGAGAAGTGCAAGTGCCTGTGGGCCAAGGATTCCAGGCACAGGGCGCAGCTAGTGCAATGGTCCTGAGGCCAGAAAGAGTTCAGCTTTGGTTCATTTTTGGAAAATAGGCTGCCATGGGTCATCCCTTCAGAGCTGCTCCAGTTTCCAAGTGAGAGAAAATGGTGGGCAGGATGAAGGTGGGGAGCATGGCGGTAAGCCTGAGTAGGGATATATTTTGAAACAAGACTTCCTATTATATTTAAAATGGGTTCAGACTGAATGAAATAACTCAGACATGAATACTTGATGTGCAGCCTGACAAAGAGCATATTCTCATTTTATGATTTGTGGAATCTGAAACAGAAGCAGTCCATGCACCTAGTTGGCGCAGCAGGACCCACAGTCCTTTAGTCAGTGGGACCTGGACCACTCTGTGTTGGCCAACCTGAATCACACTTCCTGATGGAGAACCGGGCACATAACAGTCCTCAATTAAATATGTCCTTTTGAATGAGGATACTCAAATTCAGATTTGCTAACACATCTCTTTAACCACATTTGTGGATCTCCAGGCTGAGTGCTCCTAATAGATCCTTTTCCCCTCTTAGGAAGTCACTAAGGACAATCTCACCTAAGTCATCAAGAGTGTTATTTCTCAATAGAATAAAATAGCTGAAAACCTCGCGTCGCAAAAGTGCCCAGGGCCCAGGGAGGGAGCATGTGGCAGAGGTGATCAGGGAAGGCTTTACAGGACTTGGAAGATACCTGTGGCATGGGGGAAAGGTCACTGCAGTTCCATCTATGTAAGGAATGATGCTGCCCCTGATGCTGCTTGAGGTTACCCAGAGTCTGGCTGATACGTAGAAAAGGCCCAAGATGTGGGATTTCTGGATTTTTTAAGATGTAGTGAATAAAAGTGGAATGGAAAAATGGACTGTAAAGGTCCATCCAGCACTTGGTGGGAGAGAGCTTGCATTGTTAACATATGAAGAATGACTGGTTCTTCATTTGATCTTCATACCTTCATATGTAGTAAGGCCTGAACAAAACATCTACCCTGACCAAAAACTTCCTCTTTCAGAACCAAAGCCAGAGATCCATCCATGTCCCTCATGCTGTCTGGCCTTTTCAAGTCAAAAATTTCTCAGTCAACATGTGGAACGCAATCACTCCTCTCAGAACTTCCCAGGACCATCTGCAAGAAAACTTCTCCAACCAGAGAATCCCTGCCCAGGGGATCAGAATCAGGAGCGGCAATATTCTGATCCACGCTGCTGTAATGACAAAACCAAAGGTCAAGAGATCAAAGAAAGGTCCAAACTCTTGAATAAAAGGACATGGCAGAGGGAGATTTCAAGGGCCTTTTCTAGCCCACCCAAAGGACAAATGGGGAGCTCTAGAGTGGGAGAAAGAATGATGGAAGAAGAGTCCAGAACAGGCCAGAAAGTGAATCCAGGGAACACAGGCAAATTATTTGTGGGGGTAGGAATCTCAAGAATTGCGAAAGTCAAATATGGAGAGTGTGGGCAAGGTTTCAGTGATAAGTCAGATGTTATTACACACCAAAGGACACACACAGGGGGGAAGCCCTACGTCTGCAGAGAGTGTGGGAGGGCTTTAGCCGGAAGTCAGACCTCCTCAGTCACCAGAGGACACACACAGGGGAGAAGCCTTATGTCTGCAGAGAGTGTGAGCGGGGCTTTAGCCGGAAGTCAGTCCTCCTCATTCACCAGAGGACACACAGGGGAGACGCCCCAGTCTGCAGGAAGGATGAGTAAGTCATTAGTAATAAAACCTTATCTCAATAGCCACAAGAAGACAAACGTGATCACCACACACTTGCACACCCCAGCTCTGAGGTGGCTTCAGCGAAAGTCTGCTAACCCCTTACATTCCCCGAGAGTGTAAAGAGATCGGAAATAACTAATTAAACAAATCCGCCACTTTCATGACTAGAGTTGAGGAAGAACAGGGGATAGTTCTGTAAGTGTTCGGGGGACGTCAACATGTGTGGTTGTTTCCCGCACTGATCCCCTCCATTTTTTGTGTTTTGCCTCCTGTTCTAATTAATTTTGTCTCCATACATATCTGAACCCCAAGTGTGTACCTCATTCTTCCCTTATCACTGAAGGAAGGAAGAGTCCAGAAGGGCCACAGAGAACTCAAACGTTCAGTTCAAGTCTCCACAGGAATTCAACCCCAGAAAGACATAAACTTGGAGTCCATCTGGTTTAATTATTGGAGAATCGATTCCCAAGTCCAGGAAGAGAAATGTAGGGTTTTACAGAGTCGCAGCAGGAAAGAGAGCTCCCTGGTCTCCTGGGAAGTGTGACCTCTTCTAATGGACCCCTCTCCTCTGCTGCCATACTCCCCCTTGGCTCCCCCTGTCTCCTCTCCTGATTTCCTCCAATCTCTGTAGCCCCAGAAGTGAACGCCAGACAGGAACACGCATGTGTGTATATATGTGTTCACGTGTGCTATGTGTGTTAAGCCTGCATGCATGGGTGTGGGGGTATGTGCCCTCTGTGTACGTATCTGTGTGAGTGTGGGGGTTTCAAGGGTGTATTAGGAATAACGCTCAAAATCCTAAGGAAATTGAATACTCTGAGAGAAGAGAGACAGACCCTCTCATACTGTTTTATATTGTTTTATACTCAGAAAAGGAAAAAGAAGCAAAACTAAAGGCAGGTAGCCTGGCGCCTAGGAACCAGACCTGAAACCAAGGAACCAGACCCGAAACCAGGCCTGGGCCGGCCTGACCTAAGCCTGGTAGTTAAAATTCGACCCCTGACCTAGCAACTGATGTTATCTATAGATTATAGAAAGACATTGTGAAACTTCCCGGTCTGTTCTGTTCCACTCTGACCATCGGTGCATGCAGCCCCTGTCACCTACCCCCTGCTTGCTCAATCGATCACGACCCTCTCACGTGGACCCCCTTAGAGTTGTGAGCCCTTAAAAGGGACAGGAATTGCTCACTCGGGGAGCTCGGCTCTTGAGACAGCAGTCTTGCTGATGCTCCTGGCCGAATAAACCGCTTCCTTCTTTAACTCTGTGTCTGAGGGGTTTCGTCTGCGGCTCATCCTGCTACAAGAGCACTGGTTCAATTAGCTTTTAATATTTAACCTAACTACTCAGTCAGTGCTGAGACAGTTGTAATGGAGGCTGGTGTTAGTGAGACCTGGCCTGCCACAGCTACACTTAGCTCTCTTTCCTTTTCTTTTTTTTTTTCTGAGACAGAGTCTCACTCTGTTCCCCAGGCTGGAGTGCAGTGGTGTGATCTCAGGTCACTGCAACCTCCGTCTCCTACATTCAGTGATTCTCCTGCCTCAGCCTCCAGAGTAGCTGGGATTACAGTCACCCACCACCACACCCTGCTAATTTTTTGTATTTTCAGTAGAGATGGCATTTCACCATGTTGGCCAGGCTGGTCTCGAATGCCTGACCTCGTGATTCACCCATCTCAGCCTCCCAAAGTGCTGGGATTACAGGTGTGAGCCACCGCACCAGGCTCACTTAGCTCTTTTCTTCTACTAAAACATAATCTGAGAAGTAAAAATAAAATCATAAGCCCTCTGTATTATTCCATTTTCACATTGCTATAGAGAAACACCTGAGGCTGGGTAATTTATAAAGAAAAGAGGTTTAGTTGGCTCATGGCTCTGCTGTATAGGAAGCATAGTGGCTTCTGCTTGTAGGAAGGCCTTGGCAAGCTTCCAGTTATGGCAGAAGGCAAAGGGGAGGGAGACATCTCACATGGTGGGAGCAGGAGCAAGAGAGAGTGAGGAGGGCGATGTCTCACACTTCTAAATGACCAGGTCTCATGAAAACTCACTCGCTGTCATGAAAGCAGTACCAAGTGGGGATGGTGCTAAACCATTCATAAGAAATCCACCCCCATGATTCAATCACCTCCCACCACACTTCACCTCCAACACCGGGGATTACAATTCAACATGAGACTTGATGGGGACGCAGATCCAAACCATATCATTTCAACCCTTGCCCCCCAGATCTCATGTCCGTCTCCCATTGCAAAATACAATCATGCCTTCCCAACAGTCCCTCAAAGTCTTAACTCGTTTCAGCATTAACTCAAAAGTTCAAAGTTCCAAGTCTCATCTGACACAGGCAAATCCCTTCCACCTATGAGCCTGTAAAATCAAAAACAAGTTATGTACCTCCAAGACACAATGAGAGTACAAACACTGGATAAATATTCCCATTTCAAAATGGAGAAATCACCCAAAAGAAGGGAGCTACAGGCCTCATACAAGCCCAAAACCCAGCAGGGCAGTCATTAAATCTTAAAGTTCCAAAATAATCTCCTTTGACTCCATGTCCCACATCCAGGCATGCAAGGGGTGGGCTCCCAAGGCCTTGGGAAGCTTGGGCAGAGCCACTCTCATGGGCTGGCATTGAGAAGCTGAGGCTTTTCCAGGTACAGGGTGCAAGCTATTGGTGGGTCTGGAGGATGGTGGCCCCTTTCGCATAGCTCCAATAGGCAGTGTCCCAGTGGGGACTCTGTGTTGGGGCTCCAACCCCACATTTCCCCTCCTCTCCACTGCCCTAGTAGAGGTTCTCCATGAGGGCGCCGCCCCTGCAGCAGGCTCCTTCCTGGACATCCAGACTTTTCCATAGATCCTCTGAAATCTAGCCAGAGGTTCCCAAGACTCAACTCTTGCACTCTGTGCACCCACAAGCTTAACACCACATGGAAGCTGCCAAATCTTATGGCTTACACCCTCTGAAGCAGCCACCAGAGCTGTACTTGGGCCCCTTTGAGCCATGGCTGAAGCTGGAGTGGCAAGGATGCAGGGAGCAGTGTCTCGAGGCTGCCAGGGATCTGGGGCTGGCCCAAACCATTCAGCCCTCCTAAGCCTCCAGGCCTGTGATAGGAAGAGCTGCCTTGAAGGTCTTTGAAATTCCTTCAAGGCCTTCTCCCCGTTGTTTTGGCTGTTAGCACGTGGCTCCTTTTAACTTATGCAAATTTATGCAGCTTGCTTGAATCCCTCCCCTAAAAATGGGCTTTTCTTTCCTACCACATGGCCGGGCTGCAAACATTCTAAACTTTTACCCTCTGTGTCTCCTTTAAATATAAGTTACAATTTTAACTCATTTATTTGCTCACACATATGGGCATAGGTTGTTAGAAGCAGCCAGGCTACATCTTGAAGTCTTTGCTGCTTAGAAATTTCTTCCACCAGTTACCCTAAATCATCATTCTCAAGCTCAAACCTCCATAGATCCCTGGGGCAGGAGCACAGTGCTGCCAAGTTCTTTGCTAAGGCATAACAAAAATGACCTCTGCTCCAGTCCCAATAACTTCCTCATTTCCATCTGAGACCTTGTCAGCCTGTGTCACCATACATATCACTGTCAGCATTTTGGTCACAACCATTTATCCAGTCTCTAGGAAGTTCTAAACATTCTCTCATCTTCCTCTCTTCTTCTGAGCCCTCCAAAGTCTTCCAACCTCTGCCTGTTACCCAGTTCCAAAGTCACTTCCACATTTTCAGGTATCTTTACAGCAATGCCCCACTCCTGGTACCAATTTTCTGTATTACTCTGTTCTCACATCGTTACAAAGAAATACTTGAGGCTGGGTAATTTATAAAGAAAAGAAGCTTAATTGGCTCATGGTTCTGCAGGCTGTACAGGAAGCATTGCCATCTCTGCTTGGCTTCTGGAGAGGCCTCAGAAAACTTACAATTAAGGTAGAAGACAAAGGGAGAGCAGACACATCACATGGCCAGAGCAGGAGGAAAAGAGAGAGCGAGGCTGGAGGTGACACACTTTTTTTTTTTTTTTGAGATGGAGTCTCACTCTGCTGCCAGGCTGGAGTGCAGTGGCGCAACCTTGGCTCACTGCAACCTCTGCCTCCCAGGTTCAAGCAATTCTCCTGCCTCAGCCTCTTGAGTAGCTGGGACTACAGGTTCATGCCACCACGCCAGCTAATTTCTGTATTTTTAGTAGAGATGGGGTTTCACCATGTTGGCCAGGGTGGTCTCGATCTCTTGACCTCTTGATCTGCCTGCCTTGGCCTCCCAAAGTGCTGGGATTACAGGTGTGAGCCATCACACCCAGCCAACACACACACAAACCCCACAACTCATTGAACAGAAACCCTTGTTGCCAAGGGCACTCCAGAGAAAGTCTGAAAACTGAGTTCCCAGCCATGACTGGACAGGAGCCCAGACACACCTTGTTATACCCCCTTCCTCACTAACCACCATGAGGCTTTCTTCCCAAAGGGCTAAACAGCAATCAGCCCTTTGGGGAGACTCCACCACTGACATCAACCAAGTGCCAGACTATGGCCCTTCCATTTTTGCGGTTTCAACACAACTAACCAGCATTCCTCCCTGCTGAAAGACCATCGACCAGGCAGTAGTTCCAGCCAGTCTACACAGAATGACCAGGCATTCGTTCTAGCCTGTCTACAGAGAATGACCAGGCAGTGGTTCCGGCCAGTCTACAGAGATTCACCAGGCAGTGGTTCCGGCCGGTCTACAGAGATTCACCAAGCAGTGGTTCCGGCCGGTCTACAGAGAATGACCAGGCAGTGCTTCCGGCCGGTCTACAGAGAATGATCAGGCAGTGGTTCCGGCCGGTCTACAGAGATTCACCAGGCAGTGGTTCCGGCCGGTCTACAGAGATTCACCAGGCAGTGGTTCCGGCCGGTCTACAGAGATTCACCAGGCAGTGGTTCCGGCCGGTCTACAGAGATTCACCAGGCAGTGGTTCCGGCCGGTCTACAGAGATTCACCAGGCAGTGGTTCCGGCCGGTCTACAGAGATTCACCAGGCAGTGGTTCCGGCCGGTCTACAGAGATTCACCAGGCAGTGGTTCCGGCCGGTCTACAGAGAATGACCAGGCAGTGCTTCCGGCCGGTCTACAGAGAATGATCAGGCAGTGGTTCCGGCCGGTCTACAGAGAATGACCAGGCAGTGGTTCCGGCCGGTCTACAGAGATTCACCAGGCAGTGGTTCCGGCCGGTCTACAGAGATTCACCAGGCAGTGGTTCCGGCCGGTCTACAGAGATTCACCAGGCAGTGGTTCCGGCCGGTCTACAGAGATTCACCAGGCAGTGGTTCCGGCCGGTCTACAGAGATTCACCAGGCAGTGGTTCCGGCCGGTCTACAGAGAATGACCAGGCAGTGGTTCCGGCCGGTCTACAGAGAATGACCAGGCAGTGGTTGCGGCCGGTCTACAGAGAATGACCAGGCAGTGGTTCCGGCCGGTCTACACAGAATGCATAGTGAGGGTCGTTGCATCCGCTACTTCACCTTGGAGGTCGGAGGCCCAAAAACTCCACCCTTGAGTCATGCTAACAGTGCCATTTTTTGAACACTGGACCCAGGGAGAGGCAGGAAGCTCAATCATGAATGCACACATTTCTCCTCTCATACATATTCATGAGTTCTCGTATACCTTATGGGGGTATGTATATTTGGCCAAGCCATCCAGTGAAATCCCCATCTTATTCTTCTGTCCCTTGAAGAGCCTATTTCTGGCTTCTGGCCAGAGGCTATGCTTTCCAGCCTGTCCAAATGACCAGGCTGCAACTCTTTATGAGAAATAAAGCTTTCCTTTCCAAATCTGGGAAACCTCATGATTCTTCAGTTGACGAACCTAAAGAACACATGTAGAAGTGCCCTGAGTGATTTTTCCTATGAGAATAAAAGGGATCAGCTGAGATTGATTCAGTCAAGCTGAAACTCCCCAAAATATATGAGGCAGTAGAGAAATGGCTAGAGGCAGTATGTGTGAAATGAAGTTTAAATTTAGTTTCTGCACTCAGAAACAATTATTAGGGGCCAATTAAGTGAACAAGGACCCACAGAGAACTGCAGAACCCTCAGCACATGACAACTCATCCAAACCCTCACACTAGGAGACTCGTCAGAAGTACTCCAGCATAGCTTCCAGCAGCGTAGGGCTGCGCCCCCAGGATGACCCAGCAGCACTTCCACCCTTACGGCTTCCATTAAAACAAAAGCTCTGTGCAGGAAGGAAATTTTACCATGCTCCAGCCCAGGTGTCCCCAAACTTTTTGGCACCAGGGACCGGATTCATGGAAGACAATTTTTCCACAGATGGGCTGAGGGGAGGGTTGGGATGATTCAAATGCACATTTATAGTGCATTTTGTTTCTATTATTATTGCATTGTAATATATAATGAAATAATTATACAACTCACCATAATGTAGAATCAGTGGGAGCCCTGAGCTTGTTTTCCTGCAACTAGACGGTCCCATCTGGGAGACAGTGACAGATCATCAGGCCTTAGAGTCTCATTAAGGAGCACACAACCTAGATCCCTCACATGCGCGGTTCACAATAGGGTTCGTGCTCCTATCAGAATCAAATGCTGCTGCTGATCTTACTGGAGGCGGGCTCAGGAGGTAATGCAACCGATGGGGAGCAGCTGAAGCTACAGATGAAGCTTCGTTTGCTCGCTTGCCCGTGCACTCACCTCCTACTATGTGGCCCGCTTGGGGACCTCTGCTCTAGCCAACTTCTGATGATAGGCCCCAACCTCCCTTTCTTGGAGCATGTACTAAAAAGCTTACTGTTTGTAAATATGTCTTGCAACTCAGAAGGGCCTCTCTCAAGGCCTGAGAGCCCTCCCTTTGAAAGGTAATCATCAGGAAGGGTGAGGCCTCTATCTCCCAGTCTCTGCAGGAGAACAGAATCCTGTTTGAAGACAAAACTACAACAAACTCAGTTTAAAGATCTCAATTGACCTCATTTGCAATTCTAGAATCAGGCAACACTTCATTCCACAAAATAAAATAAGTGTTCCAATGAGTCATAGAGAGGAGGTTGGCTCTACAGACAGAAAAGTGTTGTTCAGGCCGTACAGTGTGTCTTTACTCGATATCTCAGACCACACACTGCAGACATCTTTATAATTTTGAAATGTTTTTGTATTTTATTATACCTTATTTAAAAACCAAAGATAGGCTACTTGGATATTTATTATGACAATTTTCTGGAAGATAAGAGTCTTGAAGATGATGCTTCTTTTTCAAATTTGCCTGAAGGTGCCATAAAGGACCTGGGGTGTTCGGCCGGGCGCGGTGGCTCACGCCTGTAATCCCAGCACTTTGGGAGGCCGAGGTGGGTGGATTACCTGAGGTCAGGAGTTCAAGACCAGCCTGGCCAACATGGTGAAACTCTGTCTCTACTAAAAATACAAAAATTAGCCAGGCGTGGTACCACACACCTGTAATCCCAGCTACTCAGGAGGCTGAGGCAGGAGAATTGCTTGAGCCCAGGATGCGGAGGTTGCAGTAAGCCGAGATCATGCCACTACACTCCAGCAAGACTCTATCTCCAAAAAAAAGGCCCTGGGGTGTGGAGCCTGCTCATCTCATTAAGGAAGTTTCTAGAGCACATGACATCCCAGTGGTGACCCTGGTTTTCAGAAAGGGGCAGATGCCAGGAGGTCAGGCATGGCTGAGGGTCTCAGTTTCCCTGGGAAAGGGGACCCTGCAGTCCCTCTTGGTCTAGGTGGGAGCAAGACGGGTGGGGGGTTACCCTGAAGAGGCCAGGAGAGGAATTCTGACAACCCCTTGGTCTGCCATTCTCCCTCCATAGGCCACTAGCTTCTCCTATGCAGGGAGAGTCTCAGGAGAGGGGGGAGGTTACGTGGCAACCCCCAAAAGGACTGATCATTGCTTTGTCACTTTATTTATAACATTTGAGACTTTCGAAAAAGTAATACAAGCCCACTAGAATTTCTCAGAGTACAAAATGTTAAAGAGTCAAAATAAATATACTCCATCTGCAACTGCTTATCTCGAGAGGTGGTCACTGGGATGACTGTTTTGTGTATCCTATTGTGAAATATTCCAATATATGGCCTCCCTGTGCCTCAGTTTCCTGCTTTGTAAGGTAGGGACAACAATACACCAGGAGGTTGTTATGAGGATTGAATTAGCTAATCCTTGCAATTCAGTGAAAGCTAGATACGAATTTACAAGCTTCCCCCCTCTTACACACTGTTTTGTCCTTTGTCACTAGTTGTTTTTCCAGGAGAATTCTCATCTTACACACAAATGGGCCTCATGCTTTTTAAAGGGCTGCAGAGTACCCTGGCGTTTATGGAATTTTCCCCACTGGGGCCAGTCTGGTTGTCTCTGGCCTCTGGCACCCATGGGCATTTGCCATAACAGTTGTGAGCCTCTCTTTAGGATTATCTCCTATAAACAGAAGCCACAACAAATGTCGTGTGTGTGGATCCCAAATAGATGTTTCCTAACTAGTCCCAAGGTAGTTGTAGCCAGAATACTCCCAACCTTTGCTGAGAGGGGTCTCCTCCCTTGCCTTTGAATGGCCTAATTCTTAATCTACAAATCACCCATGCCGAACACCCAAGAACTGGAAATGCAGCTTGACAGGAAGAAAGAAGTTCCCGGCCAGGCGCGGTGGCTCACGCTTGTAATCCCAGCACTTTGGGAGGCCGAGGCGAGCTGATCACGAGGTTAGTAGTTCGAGACCAGCCTGGCCAACACAGTGAAACCCCATCTCTACTAAAACTACAAAAATTAGCTGGGCATGGTGGCAGGCGTTTGTAATCCCAGCTACTCACCGCTAGAACCAAGGAGGCGGAGGTTGCAGTGAGCCGAGATTGTGCCACTGCACTCCAGCCTAGGCGACAGAGTGTGACTCCGTCTCAAAAAAAAAAAAAGTTCCCAGATCCCAGAGCAGGACAGCCAGTCCACCATCATGCGGGTGCAGCGTTTCCCAGATTTTAAATAGAGAATGTCCGTTATTTCATTAATACATTGTGGCAGGTGAACGACTGCCAGTGGCTTGAGGATAAAAGAATTTACCAAGACAGTTGTATGTAAGAGAAGGCAGATTTACTAGAGAAAGTAGGAAAATACGTTGCCAGAGAGAAGACGGGCAGCCAGCAGAAGAGAAACTGACTGCACAGAAACAAAGCCTTGCTGGAGAGTGTGCGTTAATAACCTTCAGGCGTCTGGTGAGACTGGGGCGCAGGAAGAATGTGTTATTTGCCGTGTGTCTGGAGGGCTGTGTGTCCTGGAGCATGAAGAAGGCAGACTAGTAGCTTGTCTGCTTTCTCTGTTTGCTTTCCCCTGCCTCCCTTTCCCTAATGAGGACTTCACATATATAACATATAGTCAAAATGTGTTCTCTGTATATTACGTAAGGTTAATACAACGATGGATACTCGCCGGCACACGCAGTTCTATGGCTTTTCTCACTTTCTGCAGGGCACGGGCCTCCACCCTGCGCTCATCCACCGCGCGTTGCGGGGAGGAAGGGCGGGGGGGAGGTCAGCTCAGAGAGCTTCACCTACGGAGCCATATCAACAATCTGAGGAGTCACCACTGCTCCCATTTTACAGATGAGAAAACCGAGGCAAGGTCACATGGCCTGTCGGGGGAAACTTACCCTGTGAGGGGCTTCCATGAGAAACCTGCGGGCCTCTGAGCCTCCCAGGGGAGAGATGGGCCCCGCGCCGTCCCCAGTCTCGCGCAGGTCTTCTTGGGACCCACCTGGCCCGCCCCCATCCCCTCCATCCCCCCATCCCCCCGTCCCGCCGTCCCCCCGCCCCCTCTCACAGCGGTCCCGCCCCCCGCTCCCTCTCACCGCGGTCCCGCCCCCTCTCACCGCGGTCCCGCCCCCTCTCACCGCGGTCCCGCCCCCTCTCACCGCGGTCCCGCCCCCTCTCACCGCGGCCCCGCCCCCTCACCGCGGCCCCGCCCCATCTCACCGCGGCCCCGCCCCCCGCCCCCTCTCACCGCGGTCCCGCCCCTTCTCACCGCGGCCCCGCCCCCGTCCCCGCCCCCACCACCCCCCAGCAGGTCCTCGCGACTCCGCTTCTGGGCCCCAGGTCTGTGCGCCCTGATTCGCCACCAGCGCACCTTCCTGGGCAAAGCCCCGCTGGGGCCCTCCTGGTGGGCACGAGGTGGTCCGGGGCGGGGTGACCGGCCCCGCCCTTCCCTTTGCCCGCGGGCGTCGCAGTCCGGCAGGGCAGGATGAGCCCCCGGGCCGTCCCGCGGCTGCTGAGGCTCCAGCGACACCTAGGCCCCCAGGAGGTTAGGGGGCCAGGCCTGGACCTGCAGGGCTCCTGTCCCCTCAGCTGCTTGCGTGGGGCTGAGCGTCGAGGGCCCAGGAACCGGGGCGCGGAGGAGAGCCCAGTTCCGGGAGAACCACCCCAGGGGCTGGAACTGAGGGCCTGGGGGGAAATGGCCATTTCGTGGGGCCGTGGGCGGGACAGTGGGTGTCCCCAGTGGGGCAGGGGAGCCACAGGGATTGGTGGGGGAGGGTCGGCAGGCACAGGCTGCGCTGTTTACGTTTGGTGCCTCATCAGCTGCCTGGGCACTTCCGGTCACCCTTGCCCCCTGTCCCCTGGGCAGCTCGGAGAACTCTGTCCAGAGGGCTGTTTAAGCCCCACAGCTGGTGTGGACGCAGGATTGGTGTGGGTAGGCGGGCACAGGGCTCCAGAGGCTCACCCTGGCCTCCTTCTCCTGGCCCAGGGCAGCAGCACGGAGCCTCCGGACAACCTACTGACCACCCACGTGCTGGACACCGCCTCAGGGCTCCCAGCCAGAGGCCTCTGCCTCCGCTTGTGCTGGCTGGAGGACCACGGCCAGCAGTGGGCGGAGCTGAGGACAAGGTAGGAGAGAGGCCCTGGGAGGGGGAGTGCCGCCCTGAGACAGATGGCGGGGACTAAGGGGCCAGGCAGTGAGGCTGGAGGGCGGAGCTCACCGCTGCCGACCCTCCTCTCAGCCCGGGTTGGGAGTGAGGTTAGGGGCTCTCTCTTCTGCTTCTCTCAGCCCGTTTCCTCCTCTGAAAATACAGGGATGAGGAGAGGAGCTCTTTCCTCCCTCCCTCCAGCCTCAGGCCCCTGTGACCCTGATGGGGTGGGAGTGAGTTTCTGCCTCTCCCTGGCAGCTGTGCCAGGGCGAGGGCGGGGGGTGGTGGTGAGGTGAGGCCTGAGGTGGCATCGAAGAGCTCACTGAGATCACGGGTAACCTTGTGCCAGGCAGTACGCTGGACATTATTTCCACTCTTTTCATTCTCCATACACCCCGTGGGCCAGCACCATAATTCACCCTTCTACACATGGGAAGACTGAGGTAGCAAGCCCAGGTGCGTGCTGGGATTCCCAGCCAGGCCTGAGGGGCAGTGTGTCCCTCAGCCTCCATGGGGTCTTGCCCACTGCCCCAGGCACAGGCTCTGCGCGGCACTTCCAGAGGCAGATGTCACCCACCCAGGCCTCATGGCCCCTGCGTAAGAGGCAGGCCCCCTCCCTTCCAGCCAGAAGGACAGGGCTGGGCCCATAGGATCAGAGAGAGTCTGACCCTGCCGCTCCTACAGTCGTGTGGTCCTTCACAAAAGCTGAGACACGAGGGGTCCAGGTCCCACCTGAGCAATTAGGACAGCACTGTGTGGGCTGGGCGTCCCGTGCAGGGTCACAGAGACTCATTACCCTCATGCACACACGCTATGTTTGTTGTTGTTGTTGTTGTTGAGACAGAGTTTCACTCTTCTTGCCCAGGCTAGAGTACAATGGCGTGGCATCAGCTCACCGCAACCTCCGCCTCCTGGGTTCAAGCGATTCTCCTGCCTCAGCCTCCCTAGTAGCTGGGATTACAGGCATGCACCACCACGCCAGCTAATTTTGTATTTGTAGTACAGACGGGGTTTCTCTACGTTGGTCAGGCTGGTCTCAAACTCCCGACCTCAGGTGATCCACCCACCTCGACCTCCCAAAGTGCTGGGATTACAGGCGTGAGCCACCACACCCAGCGTGCTATGCTCTTTTTCTTTTTTGAGATGGAGTCTCTCTGTTGCCCAGGATGGAGTGCAGTGGCACGATCTTGGCTCACTGCAGCCTCCACCTACCCAGTTCAAGCAATTCTTGGCCTCAGCCTCTCGAGTAGCTGGGATTACAAGCACCTGCCACCACCCCCGGCTAATTTTTGTATTTTTAGTAGAGACAGGGTTTCACCATCTTGGCCAGACTGATCTTGAACTCCTGACCTCGTGATCCACCCACCTTGGCCTCCCAAAGTGCTGGGATTACTGGTGTGAGCCACCTTGTTCGGGCCTGCTCTTTCTAATCACAGCAGAAGCGCACACTTTAAAGACCAGCTGGCAAGAATGATGGGAGGTTTTCCAGAAGTGACTATGGGCAAAGCCACGGTTATTCAGAACCCTGATAAGGGACCAGGGCACACAACACAGACGCTCCGTGGAGTTGGACAGGCCCACTCTGTGGGTGAAGGTTTGGTAGTTATTGACCCAGAAAGCCACACACTTTTTTTTTTTTTTTTTTTTTTTTTTTGAGATGGAGTCTCGCTCTGTCGCCCAGGCTGGAGTGCAGTGGCACGATCTCGGCTCACTACAGCCTCCGCCTCCTGGGTTCATGCCATTCTCCCGCCTCAGCCTCCCGAGTTGGGACTACAGGTGCCCGTGACCACGCCCAGCTAATTTTTTTGTGGTAGAGATGGGGTTTCACCGTGTTAACCAGGATGGTCTCGATACCCTGACCTCATGATCCGCCTGTCTCAGCCTCCCAAAGTGCTGGGATTACAGGTGTGAGCCACCACGCCCAGCCAGCCATACACAATATTTTAAGTGAAAACCACAGGTTATAAAACAATACAAATAGTATAATCCACTTTATAAGTTTTTAAACAAATATACTTATGCATAGAGAAAATCTGGAAAAATATATGCCAGCTATAAAGTGGTTCTTGCTCATGGGATAAATTGTGGGAGACTTTTTCCCTTTTTGCTTCTCTGTGTTGTGATTTCCTAAAGACAGGGCAGTGGTGTCCCTAGACTGCTCTGGAACTGCAGGACCTAACAGCCTCACTGTGTCTGCTCACCCAAGTCTGACAGGTGGCAGGGCAGTGTCTGAGGCCCACTGGGATGCAGACCCAGGAAAGCTGGGGTGGGGGGCTTCTGGTCCCCATCTCTGCAGCCTCATCCTCTCCCCAGCTACACAGACCCAGATGGTCACTGTCCTGGACCAGATGAAGGCAGGCACCTACAAGCTCACCTTCGACACTGAGGGCTACTGGAGGAAGAGGGGGCAGGAAAGCTTCTACCCACATGTGGAGGTGAGAGCCCCAGTGGGCTGGAGGGGGCTGAGGCTCATGACTCACTGGGATCTGCAGGCCAGGTCCTGCTGGCCGGGCATCATTTAGGCAGTGGGCAGACTGGTCCTGGGCGGTGGCAGGTAGGTGAGCTCACTTGCTTTGAGCTCCCAAAAGAAAGGTGTCCAGGCAGCAATAGACTCTACGAGGACACACCCGTCACTCACCTGCCCAGGGTCAGGCTTTGTGGGGAGGCTGGGCCAAGGGTGATTCATCCCCTCTT
This sequence comes from Homo sapiens, assembly GCF_000001405.40. NCBI lineage: Eukaryota > Metazoa > Chordata > Mammalia > Primates > Hominidae > Homo > Homo sapiens. The sequence continues at coordinate 90,044,242 of NC_000016.10, read as the reverse complement.
TGTTGACAGAGGTTTTCATCTGAGCCAACTCCAGCTCTCTGGGCCTAACCTCACTGCCTCACCCCACACTGGAGCCGCCGCAGAAGCGCCTGACTTACTGGGCTGTGGCTTCTGTGGAGTGTCCCTCTGGTGCGGAAGGTTCACCCCATCCCAGACCCTCAGTCTGGGCTGCTGAATTCTCTCAGGTGTGTTGGGGCCAGATAGGTGGTTTGCTGCTATCCCCTTATACTCTCTCCTGGCCTCTCCATCTCAGGTTGTTTTAACCATCACCAGCAAGGCCCAGAAGTTCCACGTGCCCCTGGTCCTACATCACCTACCGAGGGAGTTAGAGCGAAGACTGGCAGCGGGAGGCTGCCTGCCCGTTCCCGCACGCTGGCTGCACCCACCCAGCCCTCAACAGAGCGGGCTTTGTGCTCATCAGGGAGCATTGGCTCACCACTTCCTAGGGAAGTCCCGGCCCCCTGGAGAATCCCACTGGGCAGCTGTGACTCAGGTGTCAATGAAGTTAGTGCCAGCACCTGCAAAGCTGTCCATTCGGTGGGACAACAGTGGCGCGAAGACAGGCAGCACAGCGCGGCACTGCCCCAACCCCCAGGTGAGTGCGGGGCACTCTGAGAAGGTGCCGCCGACTGTGGTCGGAGGTGAGACCAGGGAGTAGGCCTGGACACAGGCTGGACGTGCGGCACCCAGGGAAGGGAGCGACAGGGACACCATGGGTGAGGGTCCTGCAGGTGGTTCTCCTCCACAGAGCCAGGAAAGAGGATGGCAAGAACATGTGAAAAGCTTTCATTTGCTGATGATAAAATCTAAAAAACTTGCTGTCCTTGGTGTGATAAGGGGTGTCATCCCGAGTGTTCCTAGGCTGGTTCTCTGGGCTGTGGCCCCCCAGGGGGGCAGCTACGTCGGGGTGCCCACCAGTCCCGCGGGGCCCTGGCCCAGTGTCTGTCCGATCACAGCTGTTTCCAAGGGCTTGAAGCCCACGTTGTCCAGAGGGATCCCGAAGGCCAGCAGCTTTGCCTCATACGTGCGCAGCAGGTCGTTATGGGCCTGTGGAGACAGGGCAGTGTCAGGGAGCTGAGGGTCCCCACGCTCAGGACCACCAGAGCTGAGTGCAGCTCCATGGAGGGGCAGCGTGAGCATCACGGTGCAGAAGGATAAAGCCAAAGGCTTATCAGTCATTTCCCGTGTGGGACACAGCTCCAAGCACCTTCACTGCGTTGGCTCAGGTAGCACGACAGGGAGAGGCTGTCACTATTCCTATTCCACAAATGACGAGACGGAGGCAGAGGGCAGGGACACTCAGGGCAGAGCTGTGGTCTGGGAGGGCTCTGGGCCCTGGCTGGGTGTTTCCCACTCAGGTTCTTCACGCCCTCCCTTCCCCTGTTGAATGACGTCTGTTTCCTTCCCCGGTGGGCACAGCACCTTCTGACTCCCTGCCCAGGGGAAGGGGCTGACCAGGGAAGCGTCCAGGTCCCCCCCTACACCCATCCCAGCAGAGACATGGCCTAGACAGCAGTGCACTGCCCCAGACCACACAGAATCCAGATGCTCTCGGCTATGACTGCACCCTCACGTGGGGACAGTGACAGCTGCCTTGTCAAACGAGGTACGAAGTGGGCACAGGTGGGGTCCTCAGAGACCGTCTGCATTTAGAACAGTCTGGGCACCGAGGGGGTGCCCCTGAGGGAGGGCAGGGCACAGCCGTACCTTACAGACCTGGGCCAGCTCATACTGCAGGTCCTTGATGGTGCTGTTCTTCGACTCAAGAACATCCTGAGGAGAGAGAGGTGATGGGAGTTTGAGACTCATCTTTTGGCCGAGGCAACGGGAGCGGCCTGGGGACTCCAGTGGGCGTTCTGAGAGATCCAGCGAATAGCAGCCTGGTTTGATGGATGCATCCATCCACACAGGGTTGTCAGCAGAAAAAGGTCTCCAAGGGTGGAGAGAAAACAAGGAAGAAGCAGAGAACTGGGAGCTTGCACAACCTGCCTCTCCAGCAACAGTCCAGGCCAGGCACTGCCGCTCACACCTGTGATCCCAGCAGTGTGGGAGGCCAAGGAGGGCAGATCACTTGAGGTCAGGAGTTTGAGACCAGCCTGGCCAACGTGGCGAAACCCCGTCTCTACTATACGAAAAGTAGCCGGGCACGGTGGCTCACACCTGTGTAATCCCAGCTACTCAGGAGGCTGAGGCATGAGAATTGCTTGAACCTGGGAAACGGAGGTTGCAGTGCGCCGAGATTGAGCCACTGCACTCCAGTCTGGGTGACAGAGCAAGACACCGTCTCAAGAAAAAACTCAAAGAGCAGTCCAGACCACAAGAAATGCAGATGAGGTGAGGGCAGGCAGCGTGCAGCCACACTGTGGAGACTGGTCACTAAACACCACCTACATATTGCTTAAATTTCTTGAGGCTTGTGAATGTACTATCTCACTTTTTTTTCTGAGATGGAGTCTCGCCCCGTTGCCCAGGCTGGAGTGCAGTGGCGCGATCTAGGCTCACCGCAACCTCCGCCTCCCAGGTGCCAGGAATTCTCTGCCTCAGCCTCCCAAATAGCTGGGATTACACCCGCCACCAAGCCCAGCTAATTTTTGTATTTTTAGTAGAGACGGGGTTTCACCATCTTGGCCAGGCTGGTCTTGAACTCCCAAACTCGTGATCTGCCCACCTCAGCCTCCCAAAGTGCTGGGATTACAGGCGTGAGCCACCGCGCCCGGCTATCCCACTTTTTTGTAACAGAAAAAAGTAGTCTTCAGCAGCGCTGGCCCCGCCCAGATGTGGGCAAGGGTCTCACCACGTGGCGAGGCAGGGACTTCTTGGGCTCCTGCCTGTGGGGCACTGCTGGGCCCAGCCTGGCTTTAGAGCCGTCCCTGCTGCCCACTGACACAGCAGCCCCCTCACACCTGGCCAGCAGCAAACAGTGTCCCTGCGGGGGCCTCTGTCATTTCCCCAGAAGATTCCTCACTTAGAAGTCGAGGTAACAATGACCAGGAAAGGAGGGGTTGACCCACATTTAGCTCCATCCTCCATCCTCACCCTGGCGCGTGGGCGCAGCTGCAATGACCCTCACAGGCCACGACTGCTCTCTTCACCCTCATTTCGGTGGCTTAGCAGCAGGCTGGGTGCAGCCCTCAGCCAGGAGCTGGAAACACGCCTCCCCCACCTCCCAACAGTGGGACCCTCACTCCCTCACCTGCCTGTGCTCACTGGGCCCAGTGCTGAGCAAACAAAGATGAGTTTTCAGTCCCGGGGCCACAGTGCCTCTGGCCCAGGTGAGGCCCCTCCTATACAGCCTCACTACCTCAGGCCCTGAGAGCCAGGCCATCCCAGATGACCAGGGTCCCACAGGCACCACCGCCCACTGGGCCGGGACCCGTCGTTCCCCCATGTGCAAACACCAAGTCACCTCGGCCCCTCCCAGCCCCACCTGTGGACTCAGCCTCCTGGCGGCTCTCCAACCCTCTGCCCGTCCCCATTCTGTGCTGGCCCCAACCAGCCCCCTCCAGCCCTGTGCTCCCCATCAATAGCAGAGTGGGCCCTGATCTGGTTCCCCTGCCCAGCCCTTCCACAGTTCCCAACTGGCCCGAAACTGGCCACAGGAAACCCATGAATGCCCCTCCTCAGTGGCCGACCGAGGGGTCTCTGTGCCTATCCGAGGAGCAGCACAGAACTGAAGACTCTTGCCACAGGGATGAGGCCGCCCACTGGGGTCAGGAGCCTGTCTAGGGCCTACCTCCAGCTTGCGGGACACCAGCGTCAGGGCTGCAGGGTCCAGGTTAGAGGCAGCCAGGACCTCGTTGAACTGCACCTCCTTCTTCTCCACAGCGGCGCTCAGAGCCTGCAGCTTGCGTTCTAGCACGAGGTTCTTGAACCCTGTCTTCTGCTGCACCTCCTGGATGGCTGCGGTGAACTTCCGATAGAGCTCGTCCCGCTCCTGCTGCACCTGTAGGGACAGCGCTGGGGGTGGGCGATGAGGCCCCTCACCTGGGGACATCTCGCTGGGAAGATGCTGCCTCCCACCTCTGCACCTGCCTGGAACACGCTGCCTCCCAACAGTGCCCACTCCCACAGCACCGGGGTCAGTGTGTTGTCCACACTGCCTGCGCCCTGGCCCTTTGTAGAGCCATCCACGCAGTGGAAGGCAGGAGGAACACATCAGCATAAGCCCTTCTCTCAGGAAGGTGTCTCTGGAAGCCATAAGTGTCCTGGTAAGAGCTGAAGCAGCCCCACCCTGAAAGCTGCTTCATGGGTGGCCGAGGCCAGTCTTGCCCGAGTGAGGGCTGTGGGCTCAGGTGAGATTTGAGATCCAGGGCATCCAGCAGGCCGAGCTTGCAGGTGGGGCCCCTTGGAGGATATGCTCCCTTGGCCAGCCCCAGATCCTGGCATCACATGTGCTGTCCGCCCCACAAATGGTGGATCTGGAGCACGGCCTTGGAGCCAGCTACCTGCCAGCCAGTAAAACTGTTCTTTTTTATCTCCTAATTCTTCTACTTATTAATTGTGCATTCTAAAAAAATCTAGACTTTGTTGAAGACTATAAAAAAGTGAACACCCTGAGCAGCGTGTGGTGGCTCACGCCTGTAATCCCAGCACTTTGGGAGGGTGAGGTGGGTGGATCGCCTGAGGTCAGGAGTTCGAGACCAGCCTGGCCAACAGAGTGAAACCCTGTCTCTATCAGAAATACCAAACATTAGCCGGGCGTGGTGGCAGGCGCCTGTAATCCCAGCTACTCGGGAGGCCGAGGCAGGAGTATCACTTGAACCCAGGAGGTGGAGGTTGCAGTGAGCCGAGATCGTGCCATTGTACTCCAGCCTGGGCAACAAGAGCGAAACTCCATCTCAAAAATAAATAAATAAATAAATAAATAAATAAATAAATAAATAACTGCCTTGGTCTCTAAATTTTGCTGATAAATTTGAGCTCTCGGTTCTCTAGGAAGAGACACCAGCTTGGACACTGTCAGGAACCACATTCAAATGGAAGAAAATGTGACAGAAAACAAGGCTCCAACCCAGGCACGTCTCTGCTGTCCTCTTCCCAATAATGTCCACCTCAAAACCCACAGGGAGAAGGAAGGGCCCCTTGTCTAACACAGCAGTCCTCAGGATCTCACTGACTACCTTGCAGGTGCCCTTCCCTTAGGTGCCAAGAGTTGGCACAGCCTAGCAATGCACGTCGTGCAGGACCTGAGGTGTCTCTGAAGGTGGGGCTAGATCTGACAGACAGATGGGATATTTCTGAGAAGCGAATCCCACTACAACGGTTTGTGTTCAAAAATTTCAATTAGGTTAGAGAACAAAACAGCACATATAACTGCGGCTCAAGATAAGATGCCCTGGCCCCGCACACCACAGACAAAGCCTTGAGGGGCCCATGCTGCAGGGATTGGTCCTTGGCCAGAACTTTGAAACTGAACAGAGGCAAGGAGCGTCTTTAAGGGACAGAGACAGGACCGAGCACCCCTACCACTCACTGCGAATCTTGGAAGTGCCCACGAAATGAGATGTTTTCCACCCAGTCACTTCTGCAAAGGTTTAAACCTGTCAGATCTGGTGCAGGTGAGGATGGAAACGGCCCCTCCGCACCCTGGCAGGTGTGTGACTCAGAGCAGCCCTCTGGACAGATGATCAGGGTCCTCAGAACAGAACCCTCAGACTCAACAATCCCACTGCTAGGAACTGGCTTTCCTAAGAAGCAATCTCACACAAGTGCACAAAGACAAATTTAAAAGGATTGAGGCAGCAATGCTTATAGCAGCAGAGCATTAGAAACAGACGGGAGTCGGCTAAATGATCAAACGTTCACAAAACGCAGCACCAAGCAGCTGTGAAAAGGATGAGACCGCTTCCTATGTGCAGCCTGATACACTGTGAGATTAAAAAGCAAATTGTGCTTATGGCCTGATCCCGTGTTCGTAACATACAAAGTCACATCCACACGAGAGCATGCAGGAAACCTGGAAGGGAGCCCATAAAACTCGCCAGTGTGAGGACCAGCACTGAGCAGCCGGAGACTCATCTTCACTTACACTTAAGAGCCTCCCTCATGTGCTTTCAGAGGTGAGCTCTCGAGGGGACGAAAGTCATGTGTGATCCGTTCCCCATCAAGACCCCAGGCCTTCTGCAGAATATGCATGCAGAACAGGCCACAGGTTTTTGCCTCTTAGAAGCTGCGGAATGAGTTACAGGGAACAGGGCCTCCAGCTTCAGAACCCAGAAACCTGGCCAAGGCATCTGAAGCTGGTCCAGGGGCCACAAGGAGAGCCCCGTCCCTGGCTAGCAGGGGTGCCATCCCCACTGCAGGGCCAGCCTAGTGCCCGCTCACCTTGGTGAACTTGGTGAACCGTTGCTCTAACACCCACCGCCAACTGCAGGGCCAGCGTGGTGCCACTCACCTTGGTGAATCGCTGCTCTAACACTTCATGCTCCCACTGCAGGTCTTTCAGCTCTTTCTCCCTGACTTTCAAACGGGCTTTTGTGCACTGGAGGAAAAACAGGGAGTAGGGGACAGAAAGTATTCAAGATTCACAGTCATCCAAGTAACACGGGCTCCTGGGAGATGGCAAGGCCAAAAATAATCGCCAGAAAGACCTGGTTCCAGGACACAAGCAGCTGAGTCTCACCAAGGCCGGCCGGTAGCACGTGGTGAAGATGAGGGCCTTGTCTCCAAAACACCCCCAGACTTTACTTTCCCCAGGAGAACACGAGGCAGAGAAAGGAGAAATGCAGGCCTCCCCGTCTCCCTTCCTGCCCTAAGGGCCAAGCCCCTCCCTGTGATGCTCCTCCCTCCTGAGCCTAGGCAAGCTCATGCCAAGGAGGGAGAGGAATCCAGCGGGAAACTCACAAGCAGGATCTGCTTGTCCCTCTCGTAGTTTGCGAGCTGTTTCTGCATCTCGCTCATCTCCTCCCGAGCCTTCTGGAGAGGGTCTGCCAGGCGCTTGTTCTGCCCAGACACCTCTGCCATCTCCCTCTCCAGGTGGTCCTCCTTCTTCCGCATGTCCTCCATCTGCTCCTGCAGGCACAAGCACAGGCCCGGCAGGGGCTCAGCAGGCAGAACCAAAGGGGCTGTGGCCTGCATGGTGAGAGCTGGGTGCTCTCCTGCCCATCACCAGCTGCTGCCAGCCTCAGGCATGCTGGCACCTAGACGTCTTCTATGTATAAACAGTATTTCTGCAGCTTCAACTTATTCTGAGTTTTCTGGGAATGCAGCTTCCATGCAGACTGAAGGACTATACTTTGTTCAAGATTCCACCAAGGGCCGTTGTCTACTGTAGAAAATCCTGTCACTGCCAGCATGCAGTGACGATGACACCTATCCACCTGTCGCAGGCAGTGACTATGACACCTATCCACTCCAGCCACATCACGGCCCTCACTGCGGTTCCATCTGAGCTTTTACAAACCAGAACACACTTCATTACTTCCCCCTCTGCACTACGGTGAGGGCAATATCCTGACTGCTTTTAACAATAGGTAGAGATAGGTTACGTTATTTAGGAATTTCAGTTAAGGATATGAGAGGGGCATTGTCAAACAATCTTATAAAAAGTACTGGGTGTGTTGGGGTGGAGAGCTGGGGTCTGGATCCCCAGGACTCTGCAGCCCACATTCTAGGACAGGCAGAGTGTGCCTCCCCAGCCCAGCCCACGCACAGCACCTTGAGGGAGTTGATGAGGGCCAGGTTGTTGAGGGTGATGTCGTTGTAGTAGTTCTTAATGTCGGTGAAGGCCTCCTCGTGGCGCTGCATCAGCGTGTGGATCTGGCCATTCTTCCTCTCCTCCACTTCGTGGAGCTCAGTCTTTCTCCGCAAGTCGAGTTCGTCCCTCAGCATCTTCATCTTCTTATCATACTTGGCCTCAATTTCTGAAAGGCAGCAGCAAACAGCAGCTTAGCAGAGGAAGACGTGGTGCCCCTACGGCTACAGAACATGGAGCCTGTAAACGGGCCCAAAACGCCCACTGTGGTCAGAACAGCCTTGCAGGCAAAAGCTCTGCAAGAGAAGAACAAAGGGGTTTAGACTGAGTTTTTCTGCTGATGCTCACACTCAGCACACACACCACTGTCGGCCTGCCTTTGCCAGTGACAGGCATTGCTAATCGCTCCCTGCACTGGGGGTGCCAACAGCTGAATGTCAGCTGACCCCAGTGAGCAGTAACCGAGGCCTGTGTGGCCACCCAGCCACAATCAGCCTTTATTAGTAAAACACAGAGACTTCTGAAATTGGAGCCTTCTCAGACCAGGAGCCATGGAGAAGACTATTTTAAGAAGGCTGCCCACGGCACTGAATAGCTACCACCTGCTGATAACTACTGATTTTAGCTAGGAGTGGGAATGTGTGTGGTAATCACAGCCTCCCAAACTCACATGGAAATAGGTTGTTCTGGGATTCTGAGTGGGTCCACTGGCCTTGGAAACTTCCATGTTCTTTCTCTTGCATGCCTTGGCTGTTTTAATCCAGTTTTTGCTCCCTGAGTTAACAAGCTCTGGAGGTAAATTCCTCTCTGATGGGGCGGGGGTGTCTCTGGCACCTACACAATGAGCACACGGGAAACTGACCTCGAACTTGCCTCTCAAAATCATTCCGCATCCTGGTGATCTCCTCGGTGTGTTTCTGCACAGGGAGAAGCGGCCATTACTACACAGCCGGACACAGAGGGAAGCCCGCTCCCTTCAGGCTGACCCTGTTCCTCATGGTTTTGGTCACCTCCATATTCCCTAACTCACCTCCCTCAACTAAAGTCACCTCTAAGCTTGAGAGAGAACATGAACAGACGTCGTGAGCACTGAACCCGCTTGGTTCCATCGCCAAACCATCCCACAGCCTGAAGAGCAGCAGCCACATCCACACAGAGCTGTGGGATCTTTCCAGGTGCCGTGTGTAGCTTCCAACCTGCTGCACTGCTGCCTGAAGCAGCATATTAAAAGGATTCATTCCTGTCATCCCAGCACGCTGGAGGCCAAGGCAGGAGGATCACTTGAGGTCAAGAGTTCAAGGGCAGCCTAAGCAACATAGCAAGATCTTCTACAGAAAATTTAAAGATTGCCGGGCACAGTGGCTCACGCCTGTAATCCCAGCACTTTGGGAGGCCGAGCTGGACAGACCACCTGAGGTCGGGAGTTTAAGACCAGCCTGACCAACATGGAGAAACCCCGTCTCTACTAAAAATACAAAATTAGCCGGGCATGGTGGCACATGCCTGTAATCCCAGCTAGTCGAGAGGCTGAGGCAGGAGAATAGCTTGAACCCGGGAGGCAGAGGTTGTGGTGAACTGAGATTGTGCCACTGCACTCCAGCCTGGGCAACAAGAGCAAAACTCCATCTCAAAAAAAAAAAAAAAAAAAAAAAAAAAAGATTAGGTGGGTGTGGTGGCTCATATCTATAGTTCCAGCTACTTGGGAGGCTAAGGCAGAAGGATCACTTGAGACTAGAAGTTCGAGGCTGCAGTGAGCTATGATTGTACCATTGCACTGCAGCCCGGGAGACAGAGTGAGACCTCATCTCTAAAAATAAATAAATATATAGTTTTAATGAACAATTATTATATATTTAAATAAACATTATATATTTAAAATTTGCATAAAAAAATAAATTATTTTTAAAGCAGTAATTTTTCTTTTTTTTGAGACAGACTCTCACACTGTCGCCCAGGCTGGAGTGCAGTGGCACAATCTCGGCTCACCGCAACCTCCGTCTCCCAGGTTCAAGTGATTCTTCTGCCTCAGCGTCCCGAGTAGCTGGGATTATAGGTGTGCGCCACCACGCCCGGCTAATTTTTGTATTTTTAGTAGAGACGGGGTTTCACCACGTTGGTCAGGCTGGTCTCAAACTCCTGACCTCGTGATACACCCTCCTCGGCCTCCCAAAGTGCTGGGATTACAGGCGTGAGCCACCGCACCCGGCCTAAAGCCATATTTTTACCCAACAGGAAACTCTGATTATGTAACAATATCATATCCAGGACCTGGGTTAAGACCAGCTAATTCTGGAGGGCTCAAGACTTCGGCACTCTCAGGCTTTGCTGCGAAGTCAGCAACGTCACCAAGTTTCTTCCAGATTCAGTGGAGGCTGGACTGCTTCCAGGCGTGAGGCAAATGTGTTCAGAAAGTCTCCTCAACCCAGCAGCCAGGAAGAACCTTAGTGAGACACATCTCTCCTCTGCCCAAGTTCTCAGAGGGCAACAGACTCCACCAGGGTCAAAGTCCCAGTCCCCACCACGGCTTTCGAGGCGGACGAGCTCTGACCCGTCTCCAGTCCCCACCACGGCTTTCGAGGCGGACAAGCTCTGACCCTCTCCCACAGTCTCCTCCTGGTCACTCTGAGCTTTCCCACTGGCCCATCCCGTCTCCCAGCCGGTCAACTGCTTGTACAAAACCGCACCCCACCTCTCCCCACTTCGATCCTTCTATGGCACTCTTCCCCACCAGATACTCTGTTGTATCTGGCACGTTTATTTTGTCTTCCAACTCACCTGTTGTCTCTCCTTTCTAGACCAACAGCCCCAGTCGGGCAGGCGTTTTGTCAGAGATCAGATCAGGACCTAGCAGCTAATGGACACTCAGCAAATGATCTCTTTCCTTTTTGTTTTGTCTCACTCTGTCACCTAGGCTGGAATGCAGTGGCACAATCCTAGCTCACCACAGCCTTGACTTCCTGAGCTCAAGGGATCCTCCCGCCTCAGCCTCCCAAGTAGCTGAAACTATCGGCATGTGCCACTACACCAGCTAATGTTTTCTTTTAAATTTTTTAGACATGGGGTTCAACTATTTCACCCAAGCTAGTCTCAAACTATTGGCCTCAACCACTTCTCCCACCTGACCCTCCCAAGTGCTGGGATTTTGGGTGTGAGCCACTGAACCAGGTGCACAGATGAATTTTAATGGTGCCCTGGAAACCCCCAGCCTCAAAAGTAAAAATCAGACCAGCTTGTGTGACAAACTGTCACAGTGCCCAGGAGTCAACACACTGGATATTTTAATGGTTGGTTTGCATTCTACTAAATGCATATGATGCTATTCCCTAGGAAAAGTCTCTGGGTGTCAGGTGTCAGCAGCACATGAAAGATCCTAAGCTGGATTTTTTCTCTTCGGTGACGTCAATTTTTTGCTCAGGTCTGAGACAGAATTGTGTACTTGGTCCCAAAATGGGGTTTGTTTGGATGCATGCTTTAAAAAATTTTTTTTCAACAAATTGCAAAAATGCAGAAAGTCTTATGCAGAAATATGAATTCCCAGTTGCTGTTGAATAAACAGGAGTTCATGCAGCACTAGGCTTGCCGTCCCAACAACCTGTCAGCCTCCAGGTGCCCCCGCCACACCTACCAGCCGCAGGTTCTTCACCACCACCTCACTGGCCAGCTCCTGCTCCTTGAGCTCCACCTTCAGTGCCCGCATGTCCTTGCGCAGCACACTCTCCTGTATGCGGTGCTCTTTCTGTGCCAGCTTCATGACTACAGTGCCCTCAGCCTTCATCTCTGTCAGGTTGTTCTGGTGCTCATATAGCAGGTGCTTCACTTTCTGCTTGTACACCTGCAGGGCAATGGGAGTACCATCTGCTCACCTGCACCACACCTCCTCACCTTTCCGTACCTGTGCACACCTGGTCACCCATAGCACACCTGTACCACACCTCCTCACCTGTCCATACCTGTACACACCTGGTCACCTGTACCACACCTCCTTACCTGTCCATCCATACCTGTACACACCTGGTCACCCATACCACACCTGCACCACACCTCCTCACCTGTCCGTACCCGTACACACCTGGTCACCTGTACCACACCTCCTCACCTGTCCATACCTGTACACACCTGGTCACCCATACCACACCTGTACCACACCTCCTCACCTGTCCGTACCCGTACACACCTGGTCACCTGTACCACACCTCCTCACCTGTACATACCTGTACACTCCTGCTCACCCACACCACACCTGTACCACACCTCCTCACCTGTCCATACCTGTACACACCTGGTCACCTGTACCACACCTCCTCACTTGTACATTCCTGTATACACCTGATCACCTGCACCGTACCTGTAACACACCTCACCTGTACATACCTGTACCCCCCTGCTCACCTGCACCACACCTGTACCACACCTTCTCACCTGTCCATACCTGTACACACCTGGTCACCTGTACACCTCCTCACCTGTAAATTCCCGTACACACCTGGTCGCCTGCACTACACCTGTACTACACCTCCTCACCTGTACATACCTGTAGACACCTGGTCACTTGCACCTACCTGCTCACCTGCACATACCTGCCCCACGTGCTCACCTCCCCACACCTCACCTGCACATACCTCCTCACCTGGCCACGCCTCCTCACCTGCACACACATGCTCACTTGCATCCACCTGCTCACTTGCATGCCTCACCTTTACACAGCTACACATGCCTGTTCACCTATGCAAACCTGTACACTTGAGGCACAGAGCAGGACACCAAGGCTGGGAGGTGAGGTGCATCCCCAGCTCATGGGGTATTAAGTGGCAGAGCTGAGTTGCAAACAGGCCAGTCTGCCCCCAGAGCCCATATTCCTTCCATGTTGTGGAGGCAGCATTTTAAACCCTCAGGACCTGCAGGGTCTCTCCCTCAGGCTTTTATAAAAAACACCTTTAAGGCTGTGACTCCCAAAGCCAAGAACAGAAAATGTCCCACCTGCACCCTCACTGGATCCAGCTCCTCTGGGGCTCTGTGGTGACCAGGTTAGCACGTGCAGGCCGGCCCCACTCACCTTGATCTCCACCTGGTGCCTCTCCTCGGCTTCTTCCATCTCCCGGTCTTTGTTCCGCAGCTCAGCCTTCTTCTCCTCCAGCTGCCTCCGTGTGATCTCCCAGAAGGTGTGGATCTTGTCCCGCTCCAGCTGGAAGTAGTTTCGTTCCTCCCGCTCGCGGTCCAGCTCCTCCCGGATGCGGCTGACATGCTCCTCCACCTGGCCAGGTGCAGTGGGTCAGGTGAGGCACTGAGCAGGGGCCCATGCACGGCAACGGGGCGTGTGGCCGGCGAAAGGCAAGGAAGAAAGAGGGAGGACTCAACTTCACCTAAAAATAAACAGCTAAATGTAAAAAGTTAAAATATAAGGCTAGGAAGCTCCGGAGACAGAATGCATTCAGCAGGTGGCAGAATTCTCTTCAATTTGGCCAATAATCATAAAATAACTAGATCCTTTCATCCATTCCTGAGAATTGATGCCTAAAAAATTTCTCAAAAGAAATATAAGAGCATCTTGCTCAAAGATATTACCCACACCATTATTACAACAGCAAAAATATCAAAAAGGAAATAACCTAAGACCAGTTTAAACAGGGAAATAAGCGAGGCGCGGTGGCTCTCGCCTGCAACCCCAGCACTCTGGGAGGCTGAGGTTGAAGGATCCCTCGCGCCCAGGAGCTGAAGACCAGCTTGGGCAACATAGCAAGACCCCATCTCTGCAAAAACTTTTTTTCATTAACTAGGCATGATGGCACGCACCTATAGTCTCAGCTACTGGGAGAGCTGAGGTGGGAGGGTCACTCAAGCTCAGGGGGTTGAGGCTGCGGTTAGTTATGATCATGCCACTACACTCCAGCCTGGGTGACAGAGTGAGAATCTGTCTCAAAAAATACACAAACAGCCAGGCATGGTGGCTCCCACCACTTTGGGAGGATCTTTTGAGCCCCAGAGTTGAACAGCCTAGGCAACATGGCAAAACCCTGTCTCTACAAAAAAAAAAAAAAAAAAAAATTAGCCAGGAGTGGTGGCACATGCCTATAGTCCCAGCTACTCAGAAGACTGAGGTAGGAGGATCGTTTGGACCTGGGAGGTCAAGGCTGCCGTGAGCCGTGATCACACCACTGCACTCCACCTGGGTGACAGAGCAGGACCCTGTCTCTAAACAATAAATAAATAAATATGGAAATGGTTGAAAAATTAGAGTATATCAACTAGGAGAAATATCACATTAACCCAAAAAAAATATGCAAATGATGTAGCAGCATTTAAACAAATTCATATCATAATGCTAAATGAAAAAAAATTCACCTTTGAAGATATAATGTTAAGCAAAAAATATACAAAACCAGTAGACTCTAAAATCTCAAGAGGGTTCAATTGCGAATCTGCAAATAGGTTAAAAAAAAATGTAGGACAGGCTTCCAGCTTTCTCGGGAGCTCATTTCCCTTAAGAATCAGTTACTGCCAGGCGCGGTGGCTCACACCTGTAATCCCAGCACTTTGGGAGGCAGAGACAGGCAGATCATGAGGTCAGGAGATCAAGGCCATCCTGGCTAACACGGTGAAACCTCGTCTCTACTAAAAATACAAAAAAATTAGCCGGGCGTGATGGCAGGCACCTGCAGTCCCAGCTACTGGGCAGCCTGAAGCAGCAGGATGGTGTGAACCCAGGAGGTGGAGCTTGCAGTGAGCCGAGGTCGCGCCACCGCACTCCAGCCTGGGCCACACAGCGAGATTCCGTCAGAATCAGTTACTTTTCGGGCACAGCCCCAGGCCACTTACTGTGAGCCTTTTTCTTTCTCAACACCACATTCCCCACAGGGAAAACACATTTCTCACCTCAAAAGAAGACAAGACAACGAGCAAACAAGAAGGAGCAGCAGGAGGGGTTCTGAGCCGAGGATGCCGGGCAGACATGAGGGAGACACGCACCCCCGAATCCAACCAGTGCCTCGGCACAACGACAAATGTCTTCACGTCACAGACCTTTAGAGGCTCCTGGGCAGAGCCTGAACCAGGGCTCCTGACTGGTCTGTTTGGCTCACATGGTGTTGAGATTTTGCCATCACTCAATATTCAGATTTCTTATAAATATCCAGATTTCCAGCTTCTCTTGGAAAATCAGAAAAAAACAGCACTGAACTCCTAGGCCCACAAGGCACTCCCCAGTGAACAGATGAAACTGTCCTCTGCTGCGGGGCAGGAGTCTCCAGGTCACCCCCATCCCTCCCCACCTGCCTGGACCCTGAAGAAGCCTTCTGAGTCTGTGGCTCAACGTGCGATGTGCAGTGCAAGGGCCTGCCCCGTAGCCTGCCCCGTAGGCTGCCCCATAGCCTGCCCCGTAAGCTGCCCCGTAGCCTGCCCCGTAGGCTGCCCCGTAGGCTCCATGGCCACTGCCCCACAAGGCCTGTCTCCACAGGAATGGGAAGCGGACAGGGAGACGGGCAGCAGCTCACATGCTGGGACAACGCAGTGTTCAATCCATTCTCCATCCAGCAGCTCCAGACATCTTTCCAGAACACAAACCTGACCCCATCACCTCTCTGCTTAGCCACTGGCTTAAACTGCCAATGGTTTGCCTGCATGTAAAATAAAGCCATTCTTTACCATTGTTCAAGGACCTCTGCCTAGCTCCAACTTCAGGTCATGAGACTCTTTCAGTCTCCTTCGTATTGATTTTTTATCTTACAACTATCAAAAGAAGGTAAGATTTATTAACAATAACACAGAGTTGACACAGCCCTCATGTCCCATGTCAGGTGCTCACAGGCAGTCGTCCATGAGGGCAGAGGCCAGAGGGTGCACCGTGCTTGCCACACACTGCCGTCTCCAGGAGCCTTTTAGGTAAAATTGTAATTATGTAATTATGTTCTGTAGCCCTTAACTACATCCAAATGAAGAAGAGACTTAAACTAACTCCTACAAAGAAACTATAAAAACATCACCTCCTCCCCAAAATAAGCAACAAGAAAAAGGCAGCCCTGATGCTGTTACTCCTTGTTGGGACTTTTATCAAAAACAATGAATGACTGGCCAGGCGTGGTGGCTCATGCCTGTAATCCCAGCACTTTGGGAGGCCGAGGCGAGTGGATCACGAGGTCAGGAGATCGAGACCATCCTGGCTAACACGGTGAAACCCCGTCTCTACTAAAAATACAAAAAAAAAATTAGCCAGGCGTGGTGGCAGGTGCCTGTAGTCCCAGCTACTCGGGAGGCTGAGGCAGGAGAATGGTGTGAACCCGGGAGGTGGAGCTCACAGTGAGCCGAGATCGCGCCACTGCACTCCAGCCTGGGCGACAGAGTGAGACTCCGTCTCAAAAAAAAAAAAAAAAAAAAAAAAAAAAATGAACGATTAATCAGATTCAGATGTGATTTGAAGTAAATCATCCTTCTTTCAAAAACTTCCTTTTTGACATAATGTTTAATGGTGAATAAAATAAAGGAGAATGCTACATGTGTGTTCTACGATAAGTCTATACACATCAGGTGCAAAAAAAGGGTAAGATTGAAAGAGAATACACGAAATTAAAAACAGCTTTTAGATCAGAAAAGCATGTCCTTCCACACTCCTACCACCCTGTTACAAAGCTCTTTCACAGGCTGCACTACCTTTCTGAAAAGACATGGTGCAGCCGAAAGCTTTGCCGCTGATGGGAATTATGGGCCACGCGGGGGGCGTGTTCTGGCTTGGACAGAAGGGTGGATCCACATGGCAAGATGGACACTCGGCGTAGGCACCCTGCGTGGTGCCCGCCCACGCCCACCCGGGGACTGGGCCACAGCCCGCTCTGCTCACCTGCTCCTTGCTCATGTCCTCTGGAGCGAGCCCATCGACAATCGGGGTGCCTTTGGCTTTGCCTTTCTTCCCTTTCTTTTTCGGTGCCTTTGGTGGAAATAATGGGGTAAGAGAGACTCTAACAGCTTCCCCTTCTTGGCTGGCTCTGATTTGCTCCCAGGAACATTTGGCAGAGAAGGTTCTGGAACCTCTCTCCCTTCTGCTCACCTGGAGCACATCATTGCCCTGAGTGTTCCCACCCTTTACCACACACACATCCTGTTGTTGCATTTGGAGAAGCACAAAGGAGAAACCTTCCTTTTGAGAAGGAGAACATTCCTTCTAGAAAAGAGAGGAGCCGGGCGTGGTGGCTCACGCCTGTAATCCCAGCACTTTGGGAGGCCGAGGTGGACGGATCACGAGGTCAGGAGATCAAGACCATCCCGGCTAACACAGTGAAACCCCATCTCTACTAAAAATACAAAAAAAAATTAGCCGGGCGTGCCGGTGGGCGCCTGTAGTCCCAGCTACTCGGGAGGCTGAGGCAGGAGAATGGCTTGAACCTGGGGCATGGAGTTTGCAGTGAGCCGAGATCACACCACTGCACTCCAGCCAGGACGACAGAGTGAGACTCCATCTCAAAAAAAAAAAAAAGAGAGGAAACCTAGCCAGGTGTGCTGGTGTGTGCCTATAGTCCCAGTTACTCGGGAGGCTGAGGCAGAAGAATCGCTTGAACCCGGGAGGCAGAGGCTGCAGTGAGCCAAGATCCCACCATTGCACTCCAGCCTGGGCAACAAAGTGAGACTCCATCTCAAAAAGCAAACTGTAACTTAAAAAAAAAAAAAAAGAAAAGAGAGGGAACTCATTCCAAACCCACTCATTCCTTGGTATACGGTGACCAGGCGCAGTGGCTCACACGTGTCATCCCAGCACTTTGGGAGGCCAAGGCAGGACAATCACTTGAGCCTAGAAGTTTAAGGCTGCAGTGAGCTATGGTGCACCACCGCACTCCAGCCTGGGCAGTAGAACGAGACCCCGTCTCCAAAAACTAAGAGAGGGGGGAACCCATTCCAAACCCACTCACTCCTTGGTAAAAAGTAAAGACCTCTGCTGTGGATGCAAAACAGAGGAAAGACCCTCAATACCACACTGCCAAATGTTACCATGCTGGCGGCAACATTGGTGACCACCATGGAAAAGACCTGCAAGACACCATTCAGTAAGCTTAGGGAGAAATGCCTCCATAACCACGATCGGTTGTGACAACCACAAGTTTCCTTTCTTTCAAAGAGAAACTTCCTTCAGAGAAGCCTGGTCAAGAAAGCTTGGGCAGACAGCACCCACCACGAGAGCCCTGTAAATGGGCTGCCAGACGGAACTGCACATGGCGTCGTGCGTGGTTTTAGCAACTTTGACAAGGATGGGAGAGAACCTTCTAACCCCACCCCCTTGTGGAAGTTGCTGAAACCACGCATGACACCAGGAGCAGTTCTGTCTGGCCACCCATTTACAGGGCACTCAAGCAGGTAACAAATTTCCATATCCTATCCTGCTGACTTTGCTACTCCCAGTAGTCTTCAGCCCATGCTTTTCTGTGTCTACATGTCTCGGTAACCTTTTTTAAAGACAAAGTCTTGCTCTGTCGCCCAAGCTGGAGTGCAGTGGTGTGATCACATAGCTCACTGCAGACTCCAATTCCTGGGCTCAACTGATACTCCCACCTCAGCCTCCCAAGGAGCTGGGACCACAGGAGTTCACTGCTGCTGTGCCCAGCTATGTAACGTTTTTAAAATTACAAATTTCATGTGGAAATTTTATTTATTTTTTAAAAACATTAAAACCTAAATCCATTTATCTTTTTTTTTTTTTTTTTGAGATGGAGTCTCCCTCGTCATCCAGGCTGCCTTGGCTCACTGCAACCTCCACCTCTTGGGTTCAAACAATTCTCCTGCCTCAGCCTCCACGAGGAGCTGGGACTACAGGTGCCCGCCACCACGCCTGGCTAATTTTTTTTTGTATTTTAGTAGAGACGAGGTTTCACCATGTTGGCCAGGCTGGTCTTGAACTCTCTTTTTTTTTTTTTTTTTTTTTTTTGAGACAGAGTCTTGCTCTGTTGCCCAGGCTGGAGTGCAATGGTGCGATCTCAGCTCACTGCAACCTCCGCCTCCCGGATTCAAGCCATTCTCCTGCCTCAGCCTCCTGAGTAGCTGGGATTACAGGTGCCCACCACCACGTCCGGCTAATTTTTTGTATTTTTAGTAGAGACGGGGTTTCACTATGTTGGCCAGGCTGTACTCGAACTCCTGACCCGTGATCTGCCCACCTAAGCCTCCCAAAGTGCTGGGATTACAGGCGTGAGCCACCGCGACTGGCCCATTTATCTTCATTTATGTTTCATTTAGTCCTGAATGAAAACATTAGGTGGAGCCAGGCACAGTGGCTCACACCTGTCATCCCAGCACTTTGGGAGGCTGAGGCGGGCGGATCACTTGAGGTCAGCAGTTCAAGACCAGCCTGGCCAACATGGTGAAACCCTGTCTCTACTAAAAATACAAAAAAATTAGCCAGGCGTGGTGGCGGGCACCTGTAGTCCCAGGTACTCGGGAGGCCGAGGCAGGAGAATCGCTTGAACCCAGGTGGCAGAGGTTGCAGTGAGCCAAGATCATGCCACTGCACTCCAGCCTGGGTGACAGGGTAAGACTCTACCTCAAAAAAAAAAAAAAAAAGAGAGAGAGAAAATATTATGTGGAAATTTTAGAAAACACTGATGAGAAGAAAACAGAAATATCACCCATATTCCTTGGTCCAAGGATCCAACAGACCAAGGCCCATATTCCCACAACCTAACAGAAACAGAAGTAGTTTGGTTGTGTTTAGTGTTTGCTGTTGTGTTTGCTGTTGCATTTTTTTGTTTTTTGTTTTTGTTTTTGTTTTTTTTGAGATGGAGTCTTGCTCTGTCACCCAGGCTGGAGTGCAGTGGTGCAATCCTGGCTCACTGCAACTGGAACAGGAATTAAAAGAAATTAAAAAGTGTGTAAGCAGAAACTCAGTTATATATAAGAAAACCCAACTCCCCCTGAAAAAGAGAAAGAGCTGGAGTCCTTTAAAAATTAACTGCCTGTTTTTCTGCGGCTAGTGAGCCTTGTCTCTCCTCCCTTCCCAGGCATTGTGAAGACCCTGATTCTGTAGCTGTGCGGCTGCAAGGTCACTAGGCAGATAAACTCAAGTCGCAAAACATGTTTTTCCTTAAAAAGTAAGAAATGATGTAATGCATGTTTCAACTGAACAACTGCCTTTATTTCTCACATCTGAAGCATGCTTCCCCCTGCACAGATCTCCCTCTGCCCCACGAAAAGCTTAAAAGGTAACTTAACTCTTTGTTCAGGGCTCAGTCCTTTGGATTTTAATCTGACTGGGCCGGTGCACCTAAATAATTAATAAATATCCTCCTGAACCCCATCGGTCTCTCTAATTCCTTAAAAATCCCACTACACAACCTCTACCTTCCAGGTTCAAGAAATTCTCCTGCCTCAGCCTCCCAAGTAGCTGGGACTATAGGTGCGTACCACCACACCCGGCTAATTTTGTGTGTGTGTGTGTGTGAGTGTGTGTGTGTGTGTATTTTTAGTAAAGACAGGGTTTCACCATGTTGGCCAGGCTGGTCTCCAACTCCTGGCCTCAAGTGATCCACCCACCTTGGACTCCTAAAGTGCTGGGTTTACAGGCGTCAGCCACTACACCCTGCTTTTTTTTTTTTTTTTTAAGAGACGTGTTGCCAGGCTGGAGTGCGGTGGTGCGATCTCGGCTCGCTGCAACCTCCGCCTCCCAGGTCCAAGTGATTCTCCTGCCTCAGCCTCCCGAGTAGCTGGAACTACAGGCACACGCCACCACACCCAGCTAATTTTTGTATGTTTAATAGATATGGATTTTCACCATGTTGGCCAGGATGGTCTGGATCTCCTGACCTCATGATCCGCCTGCCTCGGCCTCCCAAAGTGATGGGATTACAGGCGTGAGCCACCGCGCCCAGACTCCTGGCCTAGTTTGGTAGTTTCTTTCATAGTCGGTTTTCAGAAGACCCTTCCTGGGTCAGAAAACCCATCTACTTAAATTTAATTCGTAATGTACTGCTCTCTTTTTAATCCCTCCACTCCAAGAAGGCTACCTCATCACAAAGCCCTGAAGGCAGTGGAGGAAGGTTCAGCATTACTTAGCATTTGGGACCTTCACAGCCAGCTGCAGGGACTTGGTGGGGCTCCCAGAGCTTTCCTCCCCCCACCAGCTGAAACCCACCCTGCCACACCTGCCCAGAAATTGAGTTACTGACAATTCCTGTACCACAAAGGGAGAGCCCTTTACAAGAGAAAGACAGACATGGAGCTGATGAGGCCACGAGCTCCGCCTTCCTCTTCTCGGTCTGGGCCTGACTCCTGCCAGGCTTTCCAAGGGAACAGTGGTTCCTGTATCCCAAGGTTGTGCCCTGGGCACTCCAAGGGCACTGGACCTGTCCGGGCCTCCTTGGTGTAGAGGGATCTCTAGCCACTCTGGTGTGCCCCAGGCTCTCCATCCGGGAGACCAAAGGTCTTAGGGTAATTCCTGCCTCCGGCTCTATTCCATGGGGACCCTGGTGCTCTGCAAAGCCTCGTGAGCTGAAACCCTAGGTCCCAGGGATCCAACAGACCGAGTCTGCCATTCCAGGATGAGAGTCCCCTTGACGCATGTTCACTCTTCTGGGGACCGTGCGCCGCCGACCCCGGGCCCTGGGCGTTCTATGACCACCCCTGTGAGCACAGGGCTCTGGACAGCCCAGGTCTCAGTCCCGAGTGCTGCCAGGCCCCGGGGCCGGGAGCATCCTGAGTTTGCCCCACGGAGACCCCCACAAGAGCACCGAGCTCTCAATTCCAGAAACCCAGCGCTCCAGGCCTCCCATTCCCAGGGTCTCCGTGTACCGAGGCCTCCCTGCCCCGAGGTCTCCGGGCCCCTGCCGAGGACCCCAGCCCCGCTCCCGCCCCTGCTCACCATGACGCCAGCGGACAGGCCCAGCGGCGACTCCGGGACCAGGGCGCCCGCCCCCGGAAGCCACGCCGTTTCCCGGCAACCGCTGGGCGATGCCGCGATAAGTCACAAGATCCTCGCGAGACTCCGCCGGGCAGCGGCCCTGCCAAAGGCGGGAGTGCGTCCCTAGAGACGGGCGTCCGGAAGGAACCCGGTTGTGAACGTTGGGAAAATGTCGCCGGCAGCCCAGAAGCCTTTCGCTGCAGGGCATGTTTTGCTTATTGCTGGAACCTAAGCTCCACGAGGGGGGAACCCTTCACTTCTATCCTTCAGCGCCTAGAACAGCACACAGCACGTGCTCAGTAAAGACGTGCTGATGAAGGACCATTGAAGGAATGATCAATCAGCCACCCAAGCCTCTGAAACTTTCCCCAAATGAGATTCAAATCTGGGCAAACACTCTATCCCCTGGGCCTCACTCACCCCACCCGCCCACCTTTGAAGGGCCCTCCCAGCTGCTGCGCTGGTGGGTTTACACACACCTCAAAAACGCAGAAATCGGAAAGAAAAATACGTTCCAGTTTAGTTCCAAATGTTTGAAATCAGTAAGTATTCCTTTCACAAAAATAAACTGCTCTTCCTGAAGAGGCCTCCTCCCCACTCCTCACGGATGAAAAGAAACCAGAGGCTTCCCGACAGGCCCTGCAGAAAACAAACAGCTGCCACTTTCCTTTTCTAACTAATCTCTTGTTCTGAAAACTGCTAGCCATTTTACAATTTCTAAAATGAATCTGCCATCCGTGAAACCACCCTGTTACCTACATACAACCATCTATGTCACCCAGAAAGCTGAGTTTGTCATAAACAGGTGCTTTTTTTTTTTTTTTTTTTTGGAGACAGGGTCTCCTTCTGTCGCCTAGGCTGTGATCACAACTCACTGCAGCCTCGACCTCCTGGGCTCAAGCAATCCTCCCACCTCAGCCTCCTGAGAAGCCAGGACTACAGGTGTGAGACACCATACCCAGCTTTTTTTTTTAAGTTTTTAATAGAGACGGGGTCTTGCTTTATTGCCCAGAGTGGTCTCAAACTCCTGGCCTCAAGTGATCCTCCTGCCTCGGCCTCCCAAAGTGCTGGGAGCACGTGAGCCCCACGCCCAGCCCTAAGCTCTCATCTTTAACATCTTCTTAAAAAGTGGTCATCTACTTGGGAGGTTGAGGTGGGAGAATCGTTTGAGCCCTGGAGGTGGAGGTTGCAGTGAGCCAAGATCACACCACTTCACTCCAGCCTAGGTAACAGAATGAGACCTGAGACCCTGTCTCAAAAAAAAAAAGAAAAGGTCTTGTAGCAGATCTTGTTCTCCCATGTGTCTGGGGATGAAGAGTACAGAATCCATGCTCGTAGAAAGTTGTGCTGGGGGCAAAGTGTGAGAAATGAAAGAAGGCCTGGTGGACCTAGGTCTTCCTGTCCAGCTGGGGGAGGAAGTTGCCACATGAGCTGGGTTTGCTCAGGCCTCAGGCACCCACACAGTGGTGGGAATCTGAGAACCACTGTGATGAGAGACTTCCTGTTTGCCCACCTAAGTCCTGATTGTTCTTGGAGAGGAGCAGCCAGTTGGAAGAACTGCATTGGCTCAGCTTGCACAAAGCAGTGATTTATTTATAGTAAGCCCTGAGGCCTCTGTGAAGTCTGGCTGGTCACTGTGCCTGGGCAACCAGGAGCCAGCATCACTGTGCCAGACTCCCTTGGCCTGAGAGGGGCCTCCTCCCCCTGGGACAGGGTGGTCAGACAGTGACGCTGGAGAGCACAGTGGGGGTAATTATTATAATTTAACACTTACTTCACAAAACCAATATGCTAGCAGCTTCATGCTGATTGGCTTTTTGCTTCAGAAGTCTGGATGAGTGTCCTGAATTAAATAGCTGTATTAACAATAATTCCTTTCAGCAAAAAGGGCAAGAATAGGAGGGTTAGCTCAGGATAGCCTAGACAGGGTACTCATTTTTCACAAGCTAAGAGCAATCCTGGTCTGTCGGTGTGGGCTGCAGAGATGAATCATTCAGGGAGCCCTGAATTGCGGCTCCCTGGGATCCCGACAGGGCCCACTGCGACCTGTTCTTTTCATATTGAATTCGAGTTCAGATTTTTAGAAAAGAGCCTTTTCTTCACATATGTGGCTTAAGATACTTTCATTCAGTGTCAAGCTGTGCAGCTCAGAAACCCAGATAAATGGCATCTGAGTTTCCTGCAAAATCCCAGAGCAAATGTTAATACAAACAAACCGACTGCCCTCTGTCTGATGTCTGATGCTTCCTGCCACCCACTATCCACCAGGTAAACCGCCTCAGGCCACGGCATCAACTCAGTGAAGGCCTGGATGCTGGGTTAACAAGAGTGTTTATGAAGACTAGACTTTTTCTTTTCTTTTCTTTTCTTTTTTTTTTTTGAGACATACAATCATAGCTCACGGCAGCCTTGGACTCCTGAGCTCAAGCTGTGCTCCCACCTCAGCCTCCCAAAGGGCTGGGATTACAGGCATGAGTCAATGCTCCTGCAAACGGACTTTCTTTGAGAGATAAATATTGAAGTACTTACAAATGCAATGATCTAATGTGTATATAATTTGCTTCAAAATGACCCAGCAGTGGAGGGAAGTGAATGAGGACAGAGAAGCAGTGGCCCAGGCCAGGAGCTGGCAATCGCTGAATCTGGGCGATAGGGACATGGGGGTCAGTTTCATCGAAACTGCCTTGGCGCTCTCTGCAGCCCGGGCCCGCCGCCCTCTCCTTACCTCCCATCCCCCATCCCGCCCCTTCCAGCCTCCCAAGCACACGCCCTCGCCCCCACCCGCCCCCCGCGTTAATTCGCGCCATCCAGGGCGCTCTGTGAGTCTGTCATTACCCAGCGCGAGTCAGGCCCCTCCTGTGCCCCTCGCCAGCCCCGAGGGGCGCCCGCACACAGTCGGCGCCCCACACGCAAGTACCTGGAAGAGAACAAGAGGACGCCAGCGGGCGCGGCCGCCAAGTGAGTGCGCAGGAGCCCCGGACGCCCGGCCGGGGTCGGGAGGGCGCAGCCAGGTCCCGGTGGTGTCCGCGGCGGGGCGCGGCCCGCGAGGGAAGGGTCGGCGGGGGAGGGGTCCGCTGGGCCAGGGGCCAGCAGGGGGCGCGCGCGGGCCGGGGCGGGGCCGCACCTGTCCTGCGGCTGGGGGGGCGCCGGGAGGGGGCCGGGGCCCGGGAGCAGCTGCGCGCCCCGCCCCGCCCCGCGGGCTCCTCCCTGCCGCCGCGGCCCCCCGGTTGCTGCCCCGATGCGCTGCGCCCGGAGCCGGGGCCGAGTCGCTGCCGCAGCTGTTGGGGCGCCCGGGCCAGGCGACGCCGCCGTCGCCCGTGCCCCTCCCAGACCGCACCGGCCGCATGGAGCCCCCGGAGGGCGCCGGCACCGGAGGTGAGTTCAGCCCCAGCCCCCGAGACCCCCGCGCAGCGCTTCCCCGCAGCGAGCCGCAGCCCCTCCCCCCAGGGCTCACCCTTCGCCGCTCCCGGGAGTCGCGAAGACCCCTTTGGCAGCTCGGGGTCGTCCGGCGGGCCAGGGGCACCTCCCGGGCGCGGTCCCCGCGCGGGGCTGGGGGCACACGGACCGAGTCTCCGCCCCCTTGTTCTCTGCGCTCCCGGCCCGGGAAGCCGTGCCCGGCACGCTCCTTGGTGGGTGGCCCGGAGTTTCGTCCTGAGCCCCCTCCCAGCCAAGCCAGCCGGTGACCCGGGGAGCGGGGGAGGGGGGTTCCGGGGCTGGAGTTTGGGGTCCCTGTCGGTGGGGCGTGAGGGCGACGCTGGCCGCTTGCAAGCGCGTCCGCTTTGTTCGCCCAGCCGCGAGTCCCGGGGGGCGAGGGCCGTAGACTCGCGGGCAGGGATCCTGCCAGGGGCGAGGGGCTGAGATGGGTCTTGGGGATGTGGGGCATGCACGGGCGCGGCCTGCCGGGGACTCCAGAGCTGCAAGGGTGGCTGGTCCGGGAGTGGCCCAGGCGCACGCTCATCGGGGAGGGTAGGTGCGCGTGGAGCGCTCCCTGCCCTGATGGTGGAGGCCCTACTGCAGGACCTTGGAGTCGGTAACGGGAAGAAAGCTCTCAGAACCTCCCCCCTTCCCGATCAGAGACTTTTCCAAAAGGGCTTTCGGGGTTCCATTTGCCTAGGTAGGAACTTGGATGCAAACTGCAGACTCCTCCACCTGCCCAGCCAAGCCCACCACCTCCTGGTTTCCTAGAGCTCCCATTCCAGGGAGCCAGCAGGTGCCTGAGGGCACAGGCAGGCCAGCCTGCCGCTCTGGAACTACATGGGAACCTCTCAGTCCCCCAGCCGCACACAGTGGCATCCTCTGGAGCCCGAAGGGCTGTCCCCGGGAGGAGCAGGTCCACCCACCCTGTGTATCTGCAGTCCAAGGTATAGGGACAAATGCCCCAGGGCTGGTGGGTTTGGGTTTTGATTTGTCATTTGTGGGAGGGACCAGAGCTCTTTCTTAACACTGATAGTCCCAGGCTCCTGGGTATTCCCAGTAGCAGCTTTGTGGACATAGGAAGCCTGGAGGTTGGGAGTGAGGGCTTGGGGGTCTCCGAGCTGTTTCCAGCTGTGAACTGTGGGCAGTCAGGCCCCTGTGAGCCTCAATTTCCATTTCTGTCAGTGGAGACAGTTCTGCTTCCCCTGCAGGGCTGTGGGAGCCCAAGGCATTTGGGAGTGGAGGTTAATATGTTTTCCCTCCTCCTTTGGGAAAAAAGGAGGACTTCCCAGCAGCTTAAAAGGCAGAGAAAGCAGGTTCAGTTTCTGAGCCCATCAGTCACTGGCTGGGGGCTTCAGACACCTGACTCAATCAGTGCACAGGTATTTACCTACAGGTCGCAGCTCTGTGCAGTACCCTGCCTGGGGTGGGGAGTTAGTGGGAAGACAGGGCCCTGTCCTCTGAGGGCTCACGCTCTTGACACCAACTCCTGTTTCCTTGTCTGCAAAGTGGCCAGTGATGCCTACTTTGTGGAACCTCATGAGATCACACATTGGTGACTCTGTCATTACTTATCACTTACTTTTGAAAACCTTACAAAAGTAGAGAGAACGGCGGGACAAAGGCCCATGTGTGACATCCCAGCCCCCAGGCCCACAGCCTCCTCTCCAGACTACCACCAACCTCCCTTCATTAGTGGTTTGAACCAAATCTAGACATATTATTTCACTGATAAATAATTCAGAAATATCTGTAAAATATGATTTTTTTTTTTTTTGAGACGGAGTCTCGCTCTGTTGCCCAGGCCGGAGTGCAGTGGCGCGATCTCGGCTCACTGCAACCTCCACCTCCCGGGTTCACGCCATTCTCCTGCCTCAGCCTCCCCAGTGGCTGGGACTACAGGCGCCCGCCACCACACCTGGCTGATTTTTTGTACTTTTAGTAGAGACGGGGTTTCACTGTGTTAGCCAGGATGATCTCGATCTCCTGACCTCATGACCCACCCGCCTCGGCCTCCCAAAGTGCTGGGATTACAGGCGTCAGCCACCATGCCCGGCAAAATAGGATTTTTATAAAGCATTATTAAAACACTATTTTTGCAACTAAAGGAATTAATGATTTCTTAATATGAAATGTACAGAACACGGAGGTGCACGTGTGCACAGGAATGTGACCTGTGCCCTCTCTGAGGGCCCCACCTGGAAGCCAGGGCTGTAACCCACCCCAACTCAGTCTGCCCAAGGGTCCACAGGGACAGAGGGATCCTCAGGAGGCTGAGAGTCTAGACACGGCCACTCCAGCATCCCTGAAATACTTTGGGGGTCCAAATCCAGAGAGGAAGGTGCTGGGGGATGGGGGGCAGGTGGCCCCTGCCTCTGCGACCATCTCTCCTTCCAGCCATTTAGTTTTATGATATTCATTCATTCACTTCATTAGCTCATCCGTCCATACAGTGGTGTGTGCCAAGTGCCTCCTCGATGCTCTGGACGGGGCCCTGGGCACACAACAGGGAACAGGATTTGGGCCAAGTTTCCCAGTCGAGAATGTGCTGGAAAATAGGTCAGCAGCAGAGCACAGGGCATCAGCAATCAGCCCTCAGGGAAGCCTGGGGGGCCGGGCTGAGGCACCCCAACTCCTGGCTCCCTCGCTGAGGTGCTCCTTCAGTGCCCACTCATCAGCGAGGGCACCAGCAGCCCCTGCAGGGGGGTTGGGTCCCCCTTGATAGGGGCTGTGCTGGGGTAAGGACCAGAACATTGCTGTGTCCCCACACTCTGGGGTCCTTCCTGGGACATCAGAAACACCTGCTTGCCTCTGCCCTGGCCCTGGAGACCTTGGGGGCTGCCAGCACCCGCCCCCATGCCTGCCTGGCATTGAGCCTCTGGTTCCCACCCTGGGAAAAGCAGCAGGTCTCGCCCGTGAGGAATTTTCTTCTTCCTACAAGCTTGTTGAGAGGGTGTCAGACAGGCCTGGGTGATTCCTAGCGCAGTCCCTCACTAACCGTGGGCTAGTTGATTCACCCTCATTTGTTTACTGCGCACCTACTGTGCGCTAGGTCCCAGGAATGCAGCCATGAACTAGATACAAGCCGCTTAGAGCTGATGCTTCTCGCTCTACCCAGTCCCAGCCTGCTCTGGGGCTGTGCCTGGGGGTCTGGCGTGTGGCCGACTCACAGTGTATGTGAGTCTCTGTCATTTCCTCCCGGCTTTGCCTATCAGTTCCAGCCAAGATCAACCTTTGTTTCCATTGAGGATTGTTTTTAAATTGAGATATTATTCACATATAAAGTTCACCCTTTTAAAGTGTACAACTCACTGTTTCAGTATATTCACAAAATTGTGCAGTCACCACCACTATCTAATTTTATAATATCTTCATTACCCCCCCAGAAAGAAACCCATACCCGTTCTCCCCTTCTCCACTGCCCACCCCCCAGCCTCTGACGATCACTGATGGAATGTCTACGCGCTTGCCTATTCTGGACATTTCCTAGGAACGGCGTCACACAGCATTTGTCCTTTTGGGCCTGGCTTCCTTCACTCGAATGAGGTGATCAGGCTCATGCATGTGATATCCGGTGTCAGTACCGCCGTCCTTCTTGGGTTGAATCTCACTCCATGGTAGGCACAGACCACATTCTGTTTATCCATTGATCCACTGAGGACATTGGATTATTTCCACTTTTGGCTACTGTGAATCACGCTATGAACATGCATGTGCAGCTGACTCTTGAACAACGTTAAGTGTTAGGGGTGCCCACCTCCCTCAAAGTCAGAAATCCACATAGAACTTTTCACTCCCCAAAAACTTAACTGCTAATAGCCTACTGTTGACCAGAACTTTACTGATATGGTCAACGAACACATATCTGTATGCTGCATGTATTACACAGTAGGCTCAGTCATTTGAGGACCCACGAGCATGCCTTATAGCAGCTGCACGCTCTTCATGCCAAGATCCATCGTGCCCCTCCTGGGGGCTCAGGTCTTGTCCCTGGTATCACATTCTTCTGGCCAAAAAATTCGTGTCCTGATGGCAGAAGCTGCATCTTCCAAATTTTCCTTCCCCAAAGCCCCAACACAGACCACGGCACCAGACTTTACAGAATAAAGACCAGGCCAAAGGGAGATGGGGAAGGACCAGACTAGACACCTGGTGGCTTCAAATGCTTACAGGACTGGATCTCATCAACGCTGACACCATCAGCTACAGATGTGTTGCTGTCTCAAGAATGTGGAAATAAGAAAAGATGCTTTTTTTTTTTTTTTTGAAACAAGAGTCTCGTTCTGTCGCCCAGGCTGGAGTGCAGTGGCATGATCTCTGCTCACTGCAAACTCCACCTCCTAGGTTCAAGCGAGTCTCCTGCCTCAGCCTCCTGAGTAGCTGGGACTACAGGCACGTACCACCACACCGGCTAATTTTTGTATTTTTAGTAGAGACGGGGTTTCGCCATGTTGGCCCAGACTGGTCTCGAACTCCTGGCCTCAAGTGATCCGCCCGCCTTGGCCTCCCAAAGTGCTGGGATTACAGGCGTGAGCCACCGCGCCCGGCCGAAAGGATACTTCTTAAGAGTCAACTATGATATTCATTCCACACAGGGCTGCTGTGAAGCTTCCACAGGGCTAGAGCTTTGTCCCAGAAGCTGTCTGTAGCCCCTTGGGACCCCAGGATCTATAATGAGGACTGCTGGCATTCGCATGCCCCCTCTCCAGTGCAAGATGGGGAAGGGGATTGCTGTTTGGCTGAGGTCCTGCTTGGGACCTCCATCTCAGCACAAGCAGAGGGTGCCTGCAGACTTACCTCCCTCTGGACTGTGCCCTTGCTGGCCTCGTCGTAAAAATGCAGGTATTGGCCCGGCACGGTGGCTCACACCTATAATCCCAGCACTTTGGGAGGCCAAGGCGGGCGGATCATGAGGTCAGGAGTTCAAGACCAGCCTGGCCAACAGGGAGAAACCCCATCTCTACTAAAGATACAAAAATTAGCCAGGCATGGTGGCGCACGCCTGTAATCCCAGCTACTTGGGAGGCTGAGGCAAGAGGATCCCTTGAACCCAGGAGGTGGAGTTTGCAGTGAGCAGAGATCGCGCCATTGCCCTCCAGCCTGGTGACAGAGCGAGACTCCATCTCAAAAAAAAAATAATAATAATAATAATTTAAAAATTCAGGTAGATGCTGTCCCACTCCATTCAAAACCCTTCAACGGCTTCTCTCAGCTTACTCAGTATAGAAACCAAAGTCCTGACGATCTCCACACGACCTGCACACACCACCCCTGCCCTGCCTCACAGCCCCCAGCTGTCCTCAAATGCACTCTGCTCAGGCCTTTATGCATGTCCCCCCCCGCCCCACCCAGTATCACACGGCTCCCTCCCACCTCCAGGCTCCTCCTCCAAGTTTGGTAGAGCACCCTCCCCAGATGCCCCCTAAAATGGGAGCACAGCCCCGCACTGCTCACTGGCACTGGCCGTCCCTCAGAAGGGCAGGAATCATCTATTTTGTCTATGCCATGTCCCCAGAACAGAGGGTGATTCGGAAGTCTTGGTTGGGTGAATGAATGAATCAGAGCCTTCGTCTAGATGAGGGGCCCCGCCCAGTGAGAGGGGGACTACAAGGGGAGACGCCACCTCTGTCCCACCTTCCTTCAGAGATCCACGTCCCCCCAGGTCAGGACCCAGGGAACCTAAGCCAGCAAGTGGGGACTTCCTGCTCCCTCTGCTGGGCCCTGAACCGGGATCCCTGGTTCCCATCTCCACGCCATGATCAGGAACAGGCTGACAGGTGATGGCTGAGAGCTCCAGCTGCGTCCCTGGCCAGCCCTGTGCTGCATGCTGGGGACAGACGCTGAGCTGCTCTGTGCCTCAGCTTCCTCCTCTCAAGTACAAAGCTCAGAGTCTTCCCCATGTAGCTGGGAGTTAGGGTGAGGTGAGAATGGAGTTAGTCAATAAACACAGAATGCTGGGACTGTACTAGAAAACCATAAGCCACTGTCTTTTTTTTTTTTTTTTTTTTTAAGGCAAGGTTTCGCTCTGTTGCTCAAGCTGGATGGCACGATCACAGCTCACTGCATTCTTGACTTCCTGGGTTTCAGGCGGACCTCCTGCCTCAGCTTCCCGAGTAGCTGCCACACAGGTGTGCACCACCACACCTAGCTGTCATTATTAACACAGAACCACCTGCCCCACCTGCCTCTGAGGGTGCTGTCCCCAGAGATTCTCTGCAGAACTACTCTGGCCCCAGGTTTCCTTGATATTAGGGGGCTGCCAGAGAGGAGGGGGTGGGAGGCCAGGGTGTATGATCGCTTGAACCCAGGAGTTCGAGACCAGCCTGGGCAACATGGCAAGACCCTGTCTCTACCAAAAAAATTTTAATTAGCCAGGAGTGGTGGTCCCAGCTACTCAGGAGGCTGAAGTGGGAGGATCGCTTGAGCCCAAGAGGTTGAGGCTGCAGTGAGCTATGGTTTTACCACTGCACTCCAGCCTGGGCAACAGTGAGACCTTGTCTCTTGAGAGAGAGAGGCCAGGTGCGGTGGCTCATGCCTGTAATGCCAGCACTTTGGGAGGCCGAGGCAGACGGATCACCTGAGGTCAGGAGTTTGAGACCAGCCTGACCAACATGGAGAAACCCCATCTCTACTAAAAATACAGAATTAGCTGGGCATGGTGGCTCATGCCTGTAATCCCAGCTACTCGGAAGGCTGACGCAGGAGAATCGCTTGAACCCAGGAGGCGGAGGTTTTGATGAGCCAAGATCACGCCATTGCACTCCAGCCTGGGCAACAAGAACGAAACTCCATCTCAAAAAAAAAAAAGAGAGAGGAGAGGAGGGGGTGCCCCTCAGGACAGAAGGAGGGGCGGGGAGGGACAGAGGTGGAGCTGACAGCTACACCCCAGAGTGCTGCTCTGGGGTAAGGGTGTCCATGGAGTTCATGCCTGGCCTGTAAACCTGGGGAGGTAAGAGCCCCTGTAGCCTTCCTCAGCTGGGGATCCTGAGAGCAGGGCCTCCTGGCCGGTGACGTACATCCCTGCACCTTGGTTCCCCACTCGTACCTGCTCTCAGGGCTCTGGGTCAGCCATGCCAGAGGGACAGCGCCTGCTCTGTCCTGGACCTGGCAGGTCTGAGGCCCCTGCCGCACCCTCAGGGCCGGCTGCAGCACCCTCCTGAGACTCGAGGCTAGGACAGGGCTACGCCCTCTGCAGCCACGGCCACTGCTCTGAGCTGTGTGGAAGCATTTTGGAATTGTGACCACAGCACAGTCCAGCAGGACATGAACACACTGTGGGCGGGGGCCTGGGGCTTTGGTCTACACTGTCTCTCCTTGAGGAAGGGCCCAAGGGCCAGGCTGGGTCTCCTGGAGTCCCCTCTCCTGGGCACCCCCTCAGCGCTATGGACAATGGTCAAGCAGGCTTCTTCCTGCTGGTGTCCGGGAGGTCCCCCTGCTCACAGCCTTAGAACAGAGTCCACATCTCACCCCCTGTCCCCTGTGCCCTCTGGGCGGAGAGGTATCCCTGCTGGGCTTGGGGGTGGGCCAGGACACCAGTAACTTGACCCTTTAGGATGCTCAGAAACCTCATTCCAGATGCCAGTGGAAAGGTGGAAACCAGATTCCGCGAGAGCCCCGTCCAGCCCGCCCAACCCCCAGGCCTGAAACGGGCCATGCCATGACACAGCACTCGGCTTCTCAGACAGGAGGCAGGTGGGCCACACAGAATGACCACACGGCCGACGGGGCGAGGGGACACTGTCAGGCCACAGGGCTGCCCCCAGGCACAGCCTAACACTCGGCTCGCTGCCAGGCCACCTGCCCACAACCACACTGCCCAGCTCTTAAGCCACTGGGGACCTCCCAGCCCTGCACCGGTGCCCCTCACTCAGGAGGCCGGGCACCTGCGGGCCTCAGCTCCCTTGGCTCTGCTGGGGAGGGGTGGGGGTGCACCGGGACGGACGCTCCAGGCCCACCTGGCAGTATCTAGGCTGCCAGCTAGTGCCACGGGGGAGGACAGGCCCACCCCTCACAGGCAGCTGCTGGCGCTGTGAACCCCAGCTGCAGCCCCCTCAGCAAGAGCCTCATGGCAGCAGCTGCTCCCCTCGGCTTCAAGCACACCCAGCTACGATCAGTGCTCACCGCTGGGGGCTGCCAAAAATACCCCACAGGGTCCTCAGGGTGCTGCTGGCAGCAACGGGAAGGCACCTATCCATCTGACAAGCGTGCGCTGGGCACCCACTCAGGTGGGAGGTGCTGGTGTCCCCAGAAGGCCCCTGCCATGCAGGGTCCAGGAAGCAGCTGAGGGAAGGAGGGCCATCTGGAAACAGGTTCCTGCAGGGGCAATGGGTGGGGGGAAGGAAGCCAGCGCTTTGTCTCTTCCCTGAGAGATAGACCCACAGGGCCTAGGGCCAAAGGGGGGCATGCACCCAGGGACAGGCCTGACTCTGACTAACAGGACTCACTGGCTGCCTGAGGCAAGTGAGGTGGCCGCTAGGACGGCGTGGCCCTGGATGAGAGGGTGAGCAGCTGAGGAGGGGCTGAGGGGATCTGTGGAGGGATGGACATAAGACTCGCCAATGTCCCCGGCTTTGGGTCAGCAGCCAAGGGGCCTCCTGCTCTCATCTGACAAAACAATTGTTAAGTATATAAAAGAAACAGTTGGGCCAGGCACGGTGGCTCATGCCTATAATCTCAGCACTTTGGGAGGCCAAGGCGGGTGGATCACGAGTAAAAATACAAAAAAAAAAAAAAAAAATTAGCTGGGTGTGGTGGCGGGCACCTGTAGTCCCAGCTACTAAGGAGGCTGAGGCAGGAGAATCGCTTGAACCCGTGAGGTGGAGACTGCAATGAGCCGAGATCGCGCCACTGCACTCCAGCCTGGTGACAGAGCGAGACTCTGTCTCAAAAAAAAAAAAAAAAAAAGGTAGTTACGTTTGTGAAAAAAAATGAGGCCAGGCTCGGTGGCTCACACCTTGTAATCCTAGCACTTTGGGAGGCTGAGGCGGGCGGATCACCTGAGGTCAGGAGTTCAGCCTGGCCAACATGGTGAAACCCCGTCTCTACTAAAAATACAAAAATTAGCCGGGCGTGCTGGTGCATGCCTGTAATCCCATCTACTCAGGGGGATGAGGCAGGAGAATCGCTCAAACCCAAGGGGCAGAGGTTGCAGTGAGCCGAGATTGCACCACTGCACTCCAGCCTGGGTGACAGAGCGAGACTCCATCTAAAAAAAATAAATAAACATGGGAGAAACCTGGAAGAATATTTGCTCAACTGTGAGGCATGGTTGGTGGCTAAGGGATCACAGAATGGCAGGCCTGCCTATTCCTCCTGGTTTGTAACTTTCATTTAATGAGAATGTATTATTCTGAACTCAAATACGACATCAGTTTTTAAAAGGAAAAGTCAGTCCACAGTGGAGAGGGGCTGTTCTGGTTTGAAGGGGACCAAGAGGCTGGACATGGAAATCCATGGGCGATCCTTCAGGGGACCCTGGGCCGAGCTAGAAATCAGAGGCCAGGACGGCACTGGAATGCAGCCACGCGGGCCCTGGTGGGACTTCCACGCCTGCATGGTCGGCTTTCATGGGTGCTTGCGTACCAAAGGTGATCTGGATCTCAGATTCCTTGTTCACTAGGGGAGGCCAGGGCCCAAGGGGAAGGAGCAGCCTCCTTGAAGCCCCTCAACCCCTTGTCTGGGTCCAGGCATGAGGCCACAAGCCCAGCCATCCCATCACCTGCTGGTCACTGCCCAGAGTTTCAAAGGACTGGATGTGCCAAGTCCTCACACCCAGCCCCGCGTCCTGGGGGGATGTGGGAGCCCTGTGGATCTCAAGGTGACACTGTGTCTTTGGATGCAGAGATCGTTAAGGAGGCTGAGGTGCCGCAGGCTGCGCTGGGCGTCCCAGCCCAGGGGACAGGGGACAATGGCCACACGCCTGTGGAGGAGGAGGTCGGGGGCATCCCAGTACCAGCACCGGGGCTCCTGCAGGTCACGGAGAGGAGGCGTAAGTACTGCTCCCTGCCCAGCGCACGCTATGGGGACCCCGTGAGCTCCCCCAAGAGACAAGGCAGCAGGGTCCACCTCCTGTCCAAACACTCCCTGGGGGGTCTAGGTCCGGCGCTGTGTGCTAGGCTCTTGCAGCTCTGGTTCTCTGAGCCTCAGCTGCACCATCTGTCAAGTGAAAGCCTTCTAGTCATGAGTATACGCAACACTCATCAGATCCTGCCGGTGTGGGCTTTGCAGGAAGCTGTGGTTCACCCACAGCCTTGTGGGAGGACACAGCACACTCTCTCCTAGACCCCCGGGGCTCTGAGCAGCCTTGTGGGAGGGCCTGAGGGCTGACTGTACCCCCTCTGCCCTCAGAGCCTCTGAGCAGCGTCTCCTCTCTGGAGGTCCACTTCGACCTCCTGGACCTCACTGAGCTCACCGACATGTCGGACCAGGAGCTGGCCGAGGTCTTTGCTGACTCGGACGACGAGAACCTCAACACCGAGTCCCCAGCAGGTGAGGCCGGCATCAGGGCTGGGCTGGGAGGTGTGCCTGGTGGGCTGAGGCCCCTTGGGAAGTCCTGGGAGGTGTGTGTGGTGGGCTGAGGGCCCTTGGGACGTCCTGGGAGGTGTGTTTGGGGGGTGAGGCCCCTTGGGACGTCCTGGGAGGTGTGGGTGGTGGGCTGAGGCCCCTTGGGAAGTCCTGAGAGGTGTGCGTGGTGGGCTGAGGCCCCTTGGGAAGTCCTGGGAGGTGTGTTTGGGGGGTGAGGCCCCTTGGGACGTCCTGGGAGGTGTGGGTGGTGGGCTGAGGCCCCTTGGGAAGTCCTGGGAGGTGTGTTTGGGGGGTGAGGCCCCTTGGGACATCCTGGGAGGTGTGGGTGGTGGGCTGAGGCCCCTTGGGACGTCCTGGGAGGTGTGGGTGGTGGGCTGAGGCCCCTTGGGAAGTCCTGGGAGGTGTGCGTGGTGGGCTGAGGCCCCTTGGGAAGTCCTGGGAGGTGTGTTTGGGGGGTGAGGCCCCTTGGGACGTCCTGGGAGGTGTGGGTGGTGGGCTGAGGCCCCTTGGGAAGTCCTGGGAGGTGTGTTTGGGGGGTGAGGCCCCTTGGGACATCCTGGGAGGTGTGGGTGGTGGGCTGAGGCCCCTTGGGACGTCCTGGGAGGTGTGCGTGGTGGGCTGAGGCCCCTTGGGACGTCCTGGGAGGTGTGTGTGGTGGGCTGAGGCCCCTTGGGACGTCCTGGGAGGTGTGTGTGGTGGGCTGAGGCCCCTTGGGACGTCCTGGGAGGTGTGTTTGGGGGGTGAGGCCCCTTGGGACGTCCTGGGAGGTGTGTTTGGGGGGTGAGGCCCCTTGGGAAGTCCTGGGAGGTGTGTTTGGGGGGTGAGGCCCCTTGGGACGTCCTGGGAGGTGTGGGTGGTGGGCTGAGGCCCCTTGGGAAGTCCTGGGAGGTGTGCGTGTGTTTTAGCAAGAATCCCTCAGCACTTCATTTCACCACGCTGCTATCTGCCCAACTTGAAGCAACTTCCCCGTCACAGCTGCTTAAAACTTTACTTTTCAAGTGAGCAACAGACGGCTAAAGCCACTGTCCCCTCAAAAGCAGAATTTAATGAATGTGAATTTTCATCATAAAATGGGCCAAGAACGAAAGGTGGGGGTGGTCACCAGCCCGGGCCCCTCCTCAGCTCACTTAACTTCCTCTGATTCCCACGGGAGCGTTGCCATTGGCCTGAAGGCAGCTCCAGTGTCCTCACACTGCCGAGCAGGGCCCCCAGCACGGCCATTGTCGTGTCTCCTTCCTAAGCCGTGACGAGAGCACAGGACTCATGAGGATGCGACAGCGCGTCCTCAGTCTCTGACAGTGACCAGTGAAGGACACTGACGTGACCTGTGTGAACTTCAGTAACTGTGAGAGCATCAGGGCCGAGCCTTCTCCGCATGGGACAGTTTGGCCCAGCCTCTGCTTCCCAACCCCCCAGGCCACTCAGGACCTCATTAAAAGGACCAGCCCCACTGTGACTCCTGCCGGTGGCCAGCTGCTCCCATGGTTCCTGGAGTTGTCAGGAAGGGGTGTCGGCCTGTGTGTCCCAGGCTGCTGCAGCCCCAGGTGTCTGGGAGGGAATGGGGCCTCATGAGTCAGCCCCCAGCTCACCTCCAGGACAAGGCCATTGCCTGACCCTGGCCAGTTCCCACCAGCTCCATGTTGGCGGCAACCCTTCCCACCCAGCCCGTGAGCCCAGGCATGGCTGTTGTGGCTGGGGAGGTGGAGTGAGGGGCTCAGACTCCAGCCCACCCGAATCCCCAGCCCCACAGAGCCTGCACCGGGGACTCACAAGGCCCATGATGGGGCAGAGGCTCCAAGAGGCCGGGGACACACAAGGCCCATGATGGGGCAGAGGCTCCAAGAGGCCGGGGACACACAAGGCCCATGATGGGGCAGAGGCTCCAAGAGGCCTGCAGGGCTCATGGAGGGTGGTTGGCTGAGGTGGGACACCTGCGGGGGGAACAGTTTAGGGAGGCCCCACCAGGGTCACTTAATGACCAAACAGGAGAGGCTCAGCCTAGACTATACAGTGACTCCGGGGAGCACCAGAAAAGACCCTGCCCAGGCCCCACCCAGACCACAACATCCACCTCTCTGGTGGGGCCAGTGTGTGGTGGGGGCCTCCCGTTAGAGGTAGATGTGTGCATGCCTGGTGCAGGGGGCTGGTGCAGAGCATTGGCAGGAGTGGCGCAGGAGGCCGGCGGCACCTGGAGCTCCGCAGCATCCACCCAGGCCTCTCAGCCACACCGAGTTCCCCTTCCCGCATGCCCCTAGGTCTGCACCCGCTGCCCCGGGCCGGCTACCTGCGCTCCCCTTCCTGGACGAGGACAAGGGCTGAGCAGAGCCACGAGAAGCAGCCCCTAGGCGACCCCGAGCGGCAGGCCACAGTCCTGGACACGTTTCTCACTGTGGAGAGGCCCCAGGAGGACTAGACCATCTCCACCTGCCCCAGCTCCTGCAGGGATGGGGTCCGAACACGATGGCAGATCTGGGCAGTGCTGACCCAGCAGACACACTTCACCCGCCCACGAGGCTCCAGCCGTCACCTCCTGACACACACCCTGGGGGCAGCTCTCTGCCAGCCCCGAGACCGGCCTTGTCTGCTGGGCACGGGTCTTCGCCTCACTTGGAGACCAGCCGGCTTTCCTGGGGGACACACGGGGCCCCCGGATGCCTCTGGGAGCCCCAGCACAAGCACAGCCCAGTGGCCTTACGTCCAGCTCGTTCCTGGGCCCCGAGTCAGGAAGACAGCGTCACGGAGTCACTGCCAGGAACGTGCTGAGGAATGGAGTGGCCCACGGCGGCCTTGGGGTGAAGGGGACCCAGGCCTGTGACAGCCACTCCAGGAACTCCTGGGGGTGCTCCAACCTCCGCGTTTTCCTGTGCTGCCAAGCTCAGAAGCCAGAGGCGGGTTTGGTAGTGGCTAATGGGACAATGTGCTGTCCAGCAAAGCACACATGGAGAAGCGGCCCCAAAATTCCCACCTTGATTTCCATCCTGCCCCTTCTTCTACTCCACGGAGGCGCTGTCTCACTAGGGTCCCCTCCCCAAGGCTCAGCTCTAAGACCTGCACCTGCTTCTCTTGGCCCCTGCGTGACAGACAAGTCCATTCCCTCCTTAGCTCAGAACACCAAATATCACCAGACTGCCTAAGAGACTTGATGACACCTCCCGGAATGCTCTCGGGGTGGGGTTCACCTCTCCTTGTCCTGCACCCACTGCTAGGCCACATTCTCGTTTCTGCTCACATCCCATTGCCCGGCTACAAGGCCTGCCCACGGCCCTTAAACTTGCTGGGCAGGTTTGGAGCCCATGGGACCCCGTGGGTCTCTGTCCAGGAGCAGCAGAGGAGGCTGACAGGCCCTGCTCCCTCTGCTCTGGGGGTGTCTGGGAGCCCCAGCTCACACCCTCCCAATGCTTATATGCTGAAGCTCACAGAATGGGCTTCTTGCCTGACAGCAAGTCAAAGAATGAGTTTAATATCAAAGTGTAAGCTTACTTTCCATCCCCAAGCCAGCCTGCCCCCTGCCCCATTTCCCATGAGCACACTTCTGGGGAAGGAAAACAGGCTCCTGGCCTTCACTCTCAGCAGAGCTTTGGAGATGCCCCAGGCATGCCCTGAGCTCCTTCTGTGTACCTGCTCCCACTTCTGAGCCACCCGCTGCCCCTCCGCACTGCTGGCAAACCCAGTTCCTGCCTCAGCCAGGTCTCCTTCCCTGGTTTCCAGTCACACAGAGCCCAGCAGCTTTCTCTTTCAGTCCCATAAGGGCAGCCTTGTGTCCCTGGCCACACTTCCACCCGCCAGGGTCTTCCTCCCCATCTTTCCATCCTTCCTGCTGAGCTTCCACAGAGCTCGTTTGCAAACAGGGGGATTAAAGCATCACTGCGCATTCGAAGGCCTGGCCACAGTCTCTTCCTTTCCAATAGCAGAGTGAACGAGGTGCCTGCTGAGGGGTTGTGAGCTGAGCTGCCCTGGGCTCCGTGCCCGGACCATTCTCCAGCTGCAGCAGCCTGAGGGCTCTGCTGTGCTCACTTGGGTCACATGTGGGGGATGAGTGACCTGGATTTCCAGTCCCAAAGTCACACAACAGAAGGAATCATTAAAGAAGTGAAAGTCCCGCCCCACGTGCACGTAAAGGTAGCCCAGGCTGGGGGAGGGAGTCACAGAAGTCCCACCCCACGTGCATGTAAAGGTAGCCCAGGCTGGGGGAGGGAGTCACAGAAGTCCCGCCCCACGTTGCACGTAAAGGTGGCCTGGGCCAGGGGAGGGAGTTACAGAAGTCCCACCCCACGTGCACGTAAAGGTAGCCCGGGCCAGGGGAGGGAGTCACAGAAGTCCCGCCCCACGTGCACGTAAAGGTGGCCCGGGCCAGGGGAGGGAGTCACAGAAGTCCCGCCCCACGTGCACGTAAAGGTGGCCCGGGCCAGGGGAGGGAGTCACAGAAGTCCCGCCCCACGTGCACGTAAAGGTGGCCCGGGCCAGGGGAGGGAGTCACAGAAGTCCCACCCCACGTGCACGTAAAGGTGGCCCGGGCCAGGGGAGGGAGTCACAGAAGTCCCACCCCACGTGCACGTAAAGGTGGCCCGGGCCAGGGGAGGGAGTCACAGAAGTCCCGCCCCACGTGCACGTAAAGGTGGCCCGGGCCAGGGGAGGGAGTCACAGAAGTCCCGCCCCACGTGCACGTAAAGGTGGCCCGGGCCGGGGGAGGGAGTCAAAGAAGTCCCGCCCCACGTGCACGTAAAGGTGGCCCGGGCCAGGGGAGGGAGTCACAGAAGTCCCGCCCCACGTGCACGTAAAGGTGGCCCGGGCCGGGGGAGGGAGTCACAGAAGTCCCGCCCCACGTGCACGTAAAGGTGGCCCGGGCCGGGGGAGGGAATCACAGAAGTCCCGCCCCACGTGCACGTAAAGGTGGCCCGGGCCGGGGGAGGGAGTCACAGAAGTCCCGCCCCACGTGCACGTAAAGGTGGCCCGGGCCAGGGGAGGGAGTCACAGAAGTCCCGCCCCACGTGCACGTAAAGGTGGCCCGGGCCAGGGGAGGGAGTCACAGAAGTCCCGCCCCACGTGCACGTAAAGGTGGCCCGGGCCGGGGGAGGGAGTCATAGAAGTCCCGCCCCACGTGCACGTAAAGGTAGCCCGGGCCAGGGGAGGGAGTCACAGAAGTCCCACCCCACGTGCATATAAAGGTAGCCCGGGCCGGGGGAGGGAATCACAGAAGTCCCACCGCACGTGCATGTAAAGGTAGCCCGGGCCGGGGGAGGGAGTCATAGAAGTCCCACCCCACGTGCATATAAAGGTAGCCCGGGCCGGGGGAGGGAATCACAGAAGTCCCACCGCACGTGCATGTAAAGGTAGCCCGGGCCGGGGGAAGGAGTCATAGAAGTCCCACCCCACGTGCACGTAAAGGTGGCCCGGGCCAGGGGAGGGAGTCACAGAAGTCCCACCCCACGTGCATGTAAAGGTAGCCCAGGCCGGGGGAGGGAGTCACAGAATCCCACCCCACGTGGTGGTAAAGGTGGCCCAGGCCAGGGGAGGGATTCACTCCCCAGCAACGGAGTCGCTCTCAACACACTCCTGTCCCAGAGGCCACTGGCACTGGTCCTGGGGAGGTACCAGATGAGGCCAAAACTCCTGCCCACTGTCATTACTCATGAAATGGGGTGGCCATGGAGCCTGACCAGGGCTGACATGCCTTCTGCCAGGCCCACGGGTCTCTGTGTGTTTCCGTGCTGGGCTCTGAGGGGAGAAGCCTGGACCTCCCCTACATGAAAATTCTCAGCAAGGTGTCCTATGACCATGGACCCAGAAACGGCCTCAGTCAGTGATGTATCTTCTGGGAAGGGTGCACAGCTACTGGCAGGTACACGCATTCCACCCCATTCCACCTTCCCTTCTGGCAGAGGGAGGGAGGCAGGCAGGCTGAGAAATACAGGGGCTGAAGGCTCGTGTCCCTGCAGGGTGCACAGACCGCTACAGCACAGACAGCAGTGCCCGCAGGTGTCACTCTGCTGGGCCGATGGTGCTTCTCAGCAAAGGTGCAGCTGAGCCACCATCGACAGGCTGATGAGGCAAACTGCAGGTCATGCTCAGGACAGCTGGGAAAAGACCACGGAAAATAGTGTGTCTGATTCAGGGGGTGAGATGGCTCCAGAGTTACATAAGGACCGGCTTGTAAAGGATACGTGCGGGAAGGCTGCGGGAAAGGCGCCTGACAGCCCTGAAAAGTTGAGGGTGAAGGCAGGCGCCGAGAACACAGGTCTGGAGGGAACAGCCCAGTGGGGGAGGCACAAGGATCCCACGCCCAGATCATCATGAAGGACCCCAGGCACGTGCAGCCGTCTGGGAGGTGACAAGAGGGACACCCAGGCTCTCCCGGGGTGTTGGAGGGAACCACGGTGGAGCGAGGGCCATGACTTTCCACAGCCCGTGACCACCCTGCATCCCGGAGGCCACCGATGCTGCCATGTCACAGGGCCTGCTGGGGTTGAGGAAGCACCCCCACCTCCATCTGAGGGACCTAAGACCAGGCCCCAACCGGACCCCAAGGGGCTCAGCTACTCTGGGTCTGGTGGAGGCCATGATGAAGGTTGAGTGCTGGAGAGTTTTTGAGTCCAATGATATGCATTTTATAAACAGCAAAAGTTGAAAGTGTTCACCCCCAGTTGGAAATTATATTTTTGAGGCTCCGAGGCCAACATAACAAGCGATTTATAAAATATACTACAAAGCCCCAGTGTCTGATCTGGCCTAGGTCGAGAGAGAGGCTGAGAACAAACAGTGCCCGGGGCAGCAAGCAGGGCCTCCTCCTCCCGCTGTTCACCCAGGACATCTGCAAACGGGCATCTTCCCAGGTCCCATCCCAGCTGACCCACAAGCAGGGCCTCCTCCTCCGGCCGCTCACCCAGGACATATGCAAATGGGCGTCTTCCCCAGGTCTCATCCCAGGTGACCTAGACACGCATCCACCCACCCCAAGGCAGTGGTTGAGGCTGACACTGCCCTGCTGTTGCTGACCCCAGCGAGTCCTGGAGGCAGGTCGTGTGCTGCAGAAAGCACACGGGGCATCCTCATCGAGTCCCACACACCCCAGACAAGAAAAAGCAAACCCTCCCTCAGTACAAGGCGCCAAAGGGCCTGAAGCTCAGAGCCCAGAAGGGGCCTTCCTAATAAAAATTAGGAGCTACCCAACCCCAGGAAAAGTGTTCACGAACAGGTACCAGGGCCAGGGGCAGCCACGTGCTGGGGCTTCAGGACCACAGTCTCTCCACAAACACCCCTGAGCCGGCTGGGGCCCTGCAGAGCTTCCCGCTCCAAGACTCCAACAAAAAGGGGTCACAGGAACAGAACTGACGATCCAGACACATCCCGCAGTGAAAGCACCTCCAGCCAAGGACAGGGGCCAGGTTTTCTAAGCAACTCAATTCCCTCACACTCAGCAGTGCTGCCACAGAGCCAAGGCGCAGGCAGGGGTGGCGGGGGGTGCCCTGATGGGGAACCCAGGTGTGAGGCCCCACAGCTCCACCTCCTCCCTCAGCCATGCACCTGTGGGTGGTGTGGGCTTTTTCCTTTCTAAGGACAGAACAGCAGATCGGCTTCTACCGATCCAAACAGCTGCTTTAGAACCCTGACTTCCCCTTGATGCCTGGCTGACGTTCTCCTCTTCTGAATTCTACCAAACGGTGAGGGTTTCTGTGCTGGACCCAGGCTCCTCCGAGTGTCTTTATGACCATATCAACGCTCCTCCACGGAGGCCCCAGGAAGGCCTGGTGTCTCCAAGGTGTCCCACGCAAGCCCCTCTCGAAGCTACAGTCGTGCCTTCCTCAGCACCACAGGGGCCAGAGCCCTGGGGCCTCTCCCGTCTAAGCCTGGACCCGACTGTCCTCCAGCGGGAGGGCCCAGGGACTCAGGGTACCCCCTCTGCCCACTCCCACTCCTACTCCCTGCATGTGGGCTCAGAGCACCCTCATCTAAAACACCCATTCACAGTTGTCACGTTTTAATTTGTTTTGGGTGAGATTCCGCAGCTGCTTTGCCAAGGCCCCAGGTAAGTGGCAGTCACCCCAACTCCACCCAGCAGCAGGTGCAGGCGACCGCCACAGGCTACACAGAGCCCCCTGCACAGGCTGCTCTCCACATCTTCCTCCTCCTGTCCGCGGTTCCAACCCTTCAGCCCCTCGGGAAGGGATGTGTCCTCCTCCAGGCTGCCCACGCCCTCTACAAACTCCTCATAGGTAGACTTCTCCGAGAAGGGCCGGGGGCCCAGCAGCTCCACCATGTCTGCCTTCTCCAGTACTTCCTTCTCCAGGAGCCGCTGGCCCACCTGGAAACAACGGCCCACCTGTCAGACGGCTCTGAGGACATGATCACAGCCCAAACCTAAGCAAGCTGAAGGACGGGTGTGGCCTTCGGGTGTGGCATGACCGTGACTCAACATGGGACCCACGACCTGTCTGGGCAGAGGCCACACTCACCTTCTCCACATGCTCCCGGCACCGTGTCAGCAGGTCCAGGGTGCACCTGTAGGTGGCACTGACGAGGTGCCGGACCTCGTCATCAAGGAGCTGGGCGCTTGCCTCGCCGTACAGCTTCTCCACCAGGGTCTTGCCGTGTCGGGAAAAGTCGAAGGACACCTGGCCCAGCTTCTCACTCACCCCAAACTGCACAACCTGCCAGTGCGGAACCCAGGATGAGCCTGCGCCCAACAGAGCCTCCTGCGGCCCGTGCCGGGGGATGCCCACCCTTACCTGGGCGTAGGCACTCTGGGTGACCTTCCTCAGGTCGTCCTGAGCCCCCATAGTGATCTACCCGGAGCACAGCTGCTCGGCTACCCGGCCCCCGAGCATCATGCACGTGCGGTCGAAGAGCTGCTCCTGGGTGTAGAGCTGCTGCTCCCGGGGCAGGTACTGTGCGTAGCGGAGCCCCTTGCCCTGGGGTATGATGGACACCTGAGGACAGGACACATGCCCTCATCACCCCAAACACTGTCCCCACTTCCTCCAGGAGCCACCCTGGAGCGGCCAGGCCACCTGACCC
Organism: Homo sapiens; assembly: GCF_000001405.40. Taxonomy (NCBI): domain Eukaryota; kingdom Metazoa; phylum Chordata; class Mammalia; order Primates; family Hominidae; genus Homo; species Homo sapiens. Next base: position 89,999,735 of record NC_000016.10, on the reverse strand, counting down.
TAGCTCTGACCACAGGTCCTTCTACTGGAACAGGAGAGAAGACAGCCTGACCCAGGCCCCCCATACACCATGGGGATGCCCCAAGAAGTGCACCCGCCTTTGGGAGCTTCACGTGGAAACCACCTACGCTCTGCCCACCCTGCAGAGTCTCTGGAGAGGCCAACGGTCGAATCCAGAGCTCAGGAGTCAGGCGGGTTTAACACTGAGGCTGCTCCCTGGAGTCGCATGGCCAAGGCCCCATTTGGAACCCACTGCCCTGCTTTCCCACCCCGAAGGGATCTTTTGACAAATTCTAGAGCAGTTTATTCCTTAAAAAGCTAAAGGGCCAATCCTTGAATGTACCATGCCCACATGACCACAGGTTGGCCCAGAGATACCAGGCCCAAGCCTGCCAGGTGGACTCACTCAGGGTGGGAGGACCAACCTTCAGCAGGGGGTCCACGTGCTCCAAGAACCAGCCTACCACCACGTGTCCGGCCTCGTGGTAGGCCACAGTTGTCTTTTCACCGGGCTGCAGGACCTGGGCCTTCTTCTCAAGACCTACACATCACATTCCCCGGCGAGTGAGGCACGGCAGGAGTAGGTGGCTGGGAAATGAGGCCACTCCCTCTGCGCCCAGCTGTGTCTGCAGCTACACCTGATCCCCAGGCTCCTCTATACCAGACAGCAGAGGCCAAGCCCCAGCTCCATGCTGCCTTCTTGAAAGTGAAACCCACTTCCCACATACTTCACACAAAGCCTTAACTAAACAGGCCCATTTGAAGCCAATGGGAACAGCTGTGTGTGAAACACAGCGAAGCACCATATCCTCTGGCTTGACTAAAGATGACAGCACAGCATGACAGGATGGAGAGGGATGATCTCAGTGCCCTAACGGCCCAGTGCAAGGGTAGGTAACAGGACAAAGGAAAAGCACAGATGGCACAGCTGGCCCTGCTCAGAGCCCTCTAATCACACCAGGACAGCCCTCAGGAGGCTCTGGTGGCAGGACACAGTGACCACACCTGGAATCCTAGAACTTTGGAGGCCAAGGTAGGAGAATCACTTGAACTCAGGAGATTGAGACCAGCCTGGGCTACATAGCAAGACCCCACCTCTATAAAATTTTTTAAAATTTTTTCAAGTTAAATAAAAATAAGTAGCTTTGGGCTGGGAGCAGTGGCTCACACCTGCAATCCCAACACTTTGGGAGGCCAAGGCAGGCAGATCACGAGGTCAGGAGTTCGAGACCATCCTGGCTAACATGGTGAAACCCCATCTCTACTAAAAATACAAAAAACTAGCTGGACGTGGTGGTGCACACCTGTAGTCCCAGCTACTTGGGAGGCTGAGGCAAGAGAATCGCTTGAACCCAGGAGGCGGAGCTTGCAGTGAGCCAAGACTGCACCACTGCACTCCAGCATGGGAGACAGAGCGAGACTCCATCACTTCATTTCAGACAAAAAAAAAAAAAAAAAAGCACCTTTGGTGTTTGCTTTGGGATACTCGATATCATAAGTACTTTATGTATACATTATACTTCGATAAATGGTTAAATAAAGCAGCAGCAGCTAGAATGCTCTTCCACCTGACCAACGTCAGCTCTCACAGCTTAGGGTGGACCATGAAGGATGGCTACTGGCCACCTCCCTATTCTCCACCCTCAGAACAGCACCAGGGAGAGCCAGGCCAAGCAAGACCGTGTTGGCATTGCCTGGTCTGGCAGCCCCAGGAGACCCTTCCTCACAGCTGACTCCAGTTCCCTAAGCTGCAGGAGGCTGTGTGATCCAGCCCACTCTACAGTCTGCTGAGCTGAAGACAGAGACGGATACTGCTCCCCACCAAGCTAAAGCAAATGCACTGTAAGGCTGGGCACAGTGGCTCGCACCTGTAATCCCAACACTTTGGGAGGCCGAGGTGGGCAGATCACCTGAGGTCAGGAGTTCGAGACCAGCCTGACCAAAATGGCGAAACCCCATCTCTACTAACAATACAAAAATTAGCCAGGTGTGGTGCTACGTGACCGTAATCCCAGCTACTCAGGATGAGGAGGCAGGAGAATCGCTTGAACCCAGGAGGCAGAGGTTGCAGTGAGCCGAGATCACGCTGCTGTACTCCAGCCTGGGCAACAAGAGCGAAACTCCGTCTCAAAAAAAAAAAAAGGAAAAAAGGAAATTCACTTTGTTCACTCCTTTCACAACAGTACTGTCCTGAGGAGGCCCGGGAAGGTCCCTACAGCTTCCAGGAGGCTTTTCCCAGGAAATCTCATCCATTACCTTCAGGGAAGAAGGCTCCTTTGCCCTCCACAGGAGGCATTCAAACCTGGTTCTAATATGCCTCCTTGGGCCTCTGACGGCCTGGAAGGCCCATCTCTTTCAATTTCTAAATGTTGCTCCCAGAAGGGGCATGAAAGCTATTGGAAAATCCCAAGTCCCATATGTTGGTTTAGAAAATTGGTTCCTGCAGGCAGAATTGATTTTTTTTTTTTTTGAGACGGAGTCTTGCTCTGTCGCCCAGATTGGAGTGCAGTGGCACGATCCTGGCTCACTGCAACCTCTGCCTCCCGGGTCCATGAGGTTCTCCTGCCTCAGCCTCCTGAGTAGCTGGGACTACAGGTGTGTGCCACCATGCCCGGCTAATTTTTGTATTTAAAAATCAAGATAGGGTTTCGCCATGGTGGCCAGGCTGGTCTCAAACTCCTGAACTCAAGTGATCCACCCGCCTCGGCCTCCCAAAGTGCCAGGATTACAGGTGTGAGCCACTGCGCCCGGCCTGCATGCAGAATTGAAACTGGGGCCAGGGGGTGAGCCTGCCAGGCCCAGAGCTGCAAACACCCCTCCCTCCCTAAGGGCTCCCAGGCTCACCTCCGATGACCCTCTCAATGGCCTGCTGAAAGTGTTTCTCCTGAACAGAAGAACTCAGATGCCAGGCAGCAATCAGGGCTGCTTCATTGCAAACATTCGAAATATCAGCACCAGACCCAGGAAGGAATAGCCAACAGTCAGTGCTGCTCCTGGCCGCTGGAGCTTGACCCAGATCAGTTGTTAAGGAAAATCTCCAGCAGAGAGGCCAAGGCTGAACTTCAGTAGAGAACTTAAAGGTAATGGGAGGTGTCCATCAGTCACCACTATTTAGCCACATTTTTTGTTAACCTTTATTAAGGTATAATTTATAAACCATAAAATCCACCCATTTTACACACACACATCAACGATTTTTAATAAACTGATCACGTAGTGCAACTATTGCCATAATCTAGTTTTAGGACATTTCCATCATCTCTGTAAGGTACCCTGTGCAATTTATAGTTAACTCCCATTTCCACTTCTGGCAACCACTCACCTCATGTCTGTCCCTACAGATTTGCTATTCTATACATTTTTATTATTATTCTGCACATTTCACATAAATGGGAACATATACTATGTGGCCTTTTGTGCCTGGCTTCTTGCATTTAGATCAGTATTTTCTAGGTTCACCCATGTTGTGGCATGCATCGATACTTTATTCCTTTTTATAGCTGAATGTGACTACAGTATATACCACTTTGGCCATTCACCTGCTGATGGACACTACAGATGCTTCCATCGGAGCAAAACAGACTCATCCCTGCTGAAGGACAATCAGAGTCATCCCCGAGTTATCTCTGCTGAATCATCCCTGCTGAGTCATCCTTGCTGAGGGGCGGTGCTGAGTCATCCCTGCTGAGTCATGTCTGTTGAGGGGCAGTGCTGAGTCATCCCTGCTGAGTCTGCTGAGTCATCCCTGTTGAGGGGCAATGCTGAGTCATCCCTGCTGAGCCATCCCTGCTGAGGGGCAGTGCTGAGTCATCTCTGCAGAGTCATGCCTGTTGAGGGGCGGTGCTGAGTCATCCCTGCTGAGTCATCCCTGCTGAGGGGCAGTGCTGAGTCATCCCTGCTGAGGGGCAGTGCTGAGTCATCCCTGCAGTCATCCCTGTTGAGGGGCAGTGCTGAGTCATCCCTGCTGAGTCATCCCTGTTGAGGGGTGGTGCTGAGTCATCCCTGCTGAGTCATCCCTGCTGAGGGGCAGTACTAAGCCATCCCTGAGTCATGTCTGTTGAGCGGCAGTGCTGAGTCATCCTTGGTGAGGGGCAGTGCTGAGTCATCCTTGCTGTGTCATCGCTGCTAAGGGACACTGCTGAGTCATCCCTGCTGAGTCATCCCTGTTGAGGGGCAGTGCTGAGTCATCCCTGTTGAGGGGCGGTGCTGAGTCATCCCTGCTGAGGGGCAGTACTAAGCCATCCCTGAGTCATGTCTGTTGAGCGGCAGTGCTGAGTCATCCTTGCTGAGGGGCAGTGCTGAGTCATCCTTGCTGTGTCATCACTGCTAAGGGACAGTGCTGAGTCATCCCTGCTGAGTCATCCCTGTTGAGGGGCAGTGCTGAGTCATCCCTGCTGAGGGGCAGTACTGAGTCATCCCTGCTGAGGGGCAGTACTAAGTCATCTCTGCAGAGTCATGCCTGTTGAGGGGCGGTGCTGAGTCATCCCTGCTGAGTCATCCCTGTTGAGGGGCAGTACTAAGCCATCCCTGAGTCATCCCTGTTGAGCGGCAGTGCTGAGTCATCCTTGCTGAGGGGCAGTGCTGAGTCATCCTTGCTGTGTCATCCCTGCTAAGGGACAGTGCTGAGTCATCTCTGCAGAGTCATGCCTGTTGAGGGGCGGTGCTGAGTCATCCCTGCTGAGTCATCCCTGTTGAGAGGCGGTGCTGAGTCATCCCTGCTGAGGGGCAGTACTAAGCCATCCCTGAGTCATGTCTGTTGAGCGGCAGTGCTGAGTCATCCTTGCTGAGGGGCAGTGCTGAGTCATCCTTGCTGTGTCATCCCTGCTAAGGGACAGTGCTGAGTCATCTCTGCTGAGTCATCCCTGTTGAGGGGCAGTGCGGAGTCATCCCTGTTAAGGGGTAGTGCTTAGTAAGCCCTGCTGAGGGGCAGAGTCATCAAAGTCATCTCTGTTGAGGGGTAGTGCTGAGTCATCCCCGTCTATGGGCAGAAGAAAGCAGTCTTGGTAACATTCCAGCTTTTTAACTTTGGTATGTAAACAGACATCTGAAGTCAGCCAGAGGAGAGAACAAAAGGGAGGAAGCACATTTTGTGTCTAAGACAGATGACACCTTTCAGATACCTGCCAGCCAAGACCTCACTCACCATCCTGCAGCAGGCAAACGTACAATCCTGTGTGAATACACGTGACCTGACACTAGGCAGGACACTGTGGGGAGCCAGGGGACGGGTACCACTGGGGGCGCCAAGGCAGCTGGAGGTGATAAGATGCCACAGCAGAATGTTCCAGGGGTGGCAGGAGCCGGCGGGCATAGGTCAGAAGCCGTGGCCAATGGCCACATAACCATGAGGTACTGACGCAGCAAAGAGCTGCGGAGCATGGGTGAAAAGAACAGGCATCTCCCTGGAAAAGTCCCCACTCATTCCTGAGGGTGATCCCGCCTAGGCAGGGAAGTAGGTTTCCTAGCATAGACCAGGATTTCATTGAAAAGAAGAGAGAAAAGCAAACGAGCTTCCTCAGCAGGGAGGGCAAGCCCCAGGCAGAAACGCTGCGGGAAGCATCAGGTTGCCAGATTCTCCCCCTGGGACATTACTGTCAGCTCTGCAGTAAGACTCACTAAGTCTGACTTTAATTAAGACAGAAATTCAAGTGGGTACAAATTAGTTTTGGGGCTAAGAAACTGATCTCTGAGGCCTCTGAACACTCTCAACAGGCGAAAAGTCCTGCAGACAAGGGTGAGCACTGCCAGAACTGAATGAGAACGGCCAGTCACCACCCCCCATGACAAGGAGCAGAGCACACATGGCTCCCACCACGGGGAACAGCACAGCCCGCAGCACTCACCAGGGAAGCCTGGGGTGAGCACTGCCAGCTTCCTCGCCAGGGTGTCCTTATTGAGGCTCTTGTCCAGCTTCAGTGGGCGCAGGTGGACCTTAAAGATGGAGGACCTGCCTTTAATGTAAGGGGGACCTAATGAAAAACAGAGAAAGAAGCATGGGCTCTTGTGCTTTCTGGGTCTTCAGAACAGTCACCCACAACCATACCACAGAACTGCAAGGACAGCTGGGGTCCCTGTGGAGGTCTCTGCTGTCATCCTCCAGACACAGCTGGAAGCAATGGCAGAAACCAGCCAGGCCACACACACATCTGCCTCCACAGCTACTAAACCCCTCAGCCGAGGGCCACACAGGATTAATGCTTCCTAACAAACACAAGAGGGTAGGGGGAAGGCGACGATGGCTGACCGTCAGGGTGAAGAGTAAGGGATAAATTGCTGTCTTCTAAATCATCAATTTTTACTTTTTCATAATTTATTGTTTTTGAGACAGAGTTTTGCTCTTGTTGCCCAGGCTGGAGTGCAGTGGTGCCATCTCGGCTCACCGCAACCTCCGCCTCCCAGGTTCAAGCGATTCTCCTACCTCAGCCTTCCGAGTAGCTGGGATTACAGGCGTACGCCACCACGCCCGGCTAATTTTGTATTTTTAGTAGAGACAAGGTTTCACCATATGGGCCAGGCTGGTCTCAAACTCCTGACATAGTGATCTGCCTGCCTCGGCCTCCAAAAGAGCTGGGATTACAGGTGTGAGCCACCATGCTGAGCCGACTATCAAATTTTTATAGTAGTGGGAAAAAAAAAAAAAAGCTGGAGAATAAGTATCTGTTACATCCCTCCCACCTCTCTGTGTTGCAGCAACATCCCTGCAGGCCCAACCACATATATTCTTGCCAAAAAGTGGATTGCCAGGGGCAGGACGGACGGCAGCAACCTGGGGCTCTCACACATTTTCAAAATGTTACATTAACTGCCTGGGAATTACTATCAAAATCCCTCCAAATACACTGCAAATCACCTAAACAAACTTTTTGGCCAAGGGGATAAAGGCCCAACCCCGAGAAAGGGGTACTCACCAGTGTAAATCTGGCGATGAAACCGGCCAGGCCGCATGAGGGCCGGGTCCAGGACGTCAGGGCGGTTGGTGCCAGCCAACACCACGACGTTGGTGGCAGAGTTGAACCCTGGACACAGGAGAAGCAGGTGAGCCTCAGCAGCTAGCCGGATGTGTGCATGGCAGGTAACCAGCCATCCCTCCGCTACCTGGGAACCCCACAGCCTGGCTCAGGGGGTACAGCGAAGTCCAGGGCGTGGGCCCTCCTTATCCTGACTTATTATGGGTTCCTGCAGCCTCTGACACCACATGGTGCTGGAGTGGAGGAGGGCAAGCCAGGGGCTGCACAGGAAATGGAATGCCCAGCCGAGGGGAAGGGAGGAGAAAGGCTGAGTGCTCCACTTCCCTCCTCTCCAATCGGTCCCCTCCAAATATCAAAACAGTCATCATCTAATTAGAATTACTACTGGGTACTAAAGACAAAACAATATTTAGGAAATGCTTCTGGCCCGCAGAGAAGTGTTGAACACAGCAGGCCTGACTGCTGTCCTCAGAAAGGCCTGCTCGCAAGGGCAGTGTCTGGGCACTGTGATTCTGGGAGCGTTCCCACCATTCCTTGAGAAAACAGCTCCCTGGGCCCAAACGCTTTGTGCACCCCCAGCAAAAACCCTGGGAACCAAGTCTCTCCTGAGCTTCCTGGTCAACATCAGGCAGGCGTGGTCACAGCTTGATGCTGGGGGAAGTCAGCGCGTCCCATGTGGCTCCATTGGGGGAGGGTTCAACACGGACCTGGTCTCCCCACGACCCAATGCGCCTTCTCCCCTGGCTGATTTTGCTGTATCCTTTAACGGTAATAAAGCCCTGAGTGCTACTATAGACTGAGTCCTATGACTTCTAGCATGTCACCACATCTGGGGTGGTCTTAGGGACCCCAACACGGCCCTAAAGCCAAAGTGAAAATCACATCTGCCAAAGGTCTAAGTGAAAGTTTGTCCAAATCTGAAAGCTGGCACAGAAGCCTGGACGTGTCCAATGAGGCTTTAGCAGGACTGACAGACAACGATCAGTCACATCTTAGCTACAATCACTCTGAGAGGAGGCAGGCCTGGGGAGTCTGTGAGATTCTGGGTGATGCAGGGGCAGCAAGACAAGGCTCAGAGTGGAAGGAGCATGGGTTGTGCACACACCACCCTGTGGGCACCGTCAGGAGCAGCCATGCTCGGCTACCTGGTCCCCCTCCCCAGAGAAGCAGGTGTCTCCACACTCCAGAGAACTCCTCTCCATCTGGGGGCAGGGGAATGCACTGGAGGAGGCTTGTGAATCTAACACAGCTTTCTCCAGTACGTTTGCCTGAGAGAACCCTTCCTTAAAAACAGAATAATCAGGGATTCTCTTCTGGGGGTGACTGTACAGAAAAAGGCTGTGCAGACTATTCCTAAGCAGCTGCAGGGGAACAGCTGCACACACTGTCCATCTCCACGAGCATCTGGTTCAGGGTGTTCTCCTGCTCACTCTGGCCTCCAAAGTGCCCTTGGCCTCGCTTCCTGCCAATCGCATCAATCTCATCAATGAATAAGATACATGGAGCGTTTTTTTCGGGCCATTGCAAACATGTCATGAACCTGAAACAGGAACCCACCCAGAATCGGTTTTGCTACTGGTAGGAAGACGGGAACGCCAGTTATCCTCCACCCTCTCCTTGGAAACCTCTGACCCATTTTGCCTCAGTGCACCAGCACCTCCCACACATGCCCATGCCCAGGGCCCCACACTAAGCTATTCAAGTTGACCAGTCCTGGTCAAGGCACGGTGCTGAGGCCACCTGCAGCAGGTTCCCATCCACCTACCCTTGCTGGCCCAACGCCAATAAACATTTCCAGGAACTCAGACCCGTTCACAGTGATGAAGGGCACAGTGGCCTCCCCTGCAGTTGCTTTGGCAAGAAGGGTCTTGCCGGTACCAGGAGGACCAGTGAGCATGGCTCCCTGAAACAGAATGGTGACATCGGGCTCTTAACAGGGGAGCAGATGATACACAGGTGAGAGAGCTGCTTAAACTGGTGACTTCTGAGATTGACTAAGAAGAATCCCATTAGGGATGGCTAAGGAGCTGCAGGGCAGGAGGGGGCCAGACTTGCCCACAGCACACTCCGTCCTACCCATGTGCTCCAGGAGAGGCACCCACCATGGCCGCACACACAGCCAGCTCTTCATGATGGATTCTCATGGGGGATGCCACAGGCAGAGGTAATTCTGGGAAATCACTGTACCTCATACCCAAGAACGGGAAACCTAGATGGGCCCTGACCCCACTAACTCTTTCCTGACATCCACAGCAGAGCACGAGGCCTGTGATGTAACACAGAAGCTGACAGAGCCCCCTCTCGCAGGAGCCCCTGCCTGCTGGGAAAGGGGGACCAACACACCACGTGAGGGGCCTTTCTTGGTACCTGACTGCCTCACCCACTCCATCATACAGATTTTCCCCAGCAAATACATGCATATGAAAAAAAAACTGTAATTTGTTCAGCAGCAATAGATATAAATTAAAAAAAAAAAAAGGATGCGATCGCTCACACCTGTAATCTCAGCACTTTGGGAGGCTAAGGCAGGTGGATCACCTGAAGTCAGGAGTTTGAGACCAGCCTGGCCAACATGGTGAAATCCTGTCTCTACTAAAATTACAAAAATTAGCTGGGCGTGGTGATACACAACTGTTAATTCCAGCTTCTCAGGAGGCTGAGGCAGGAGAATAGCTTGAACCCGGGAGGTGGAGGTTGCAGTGAACCAAGATCGCACCACTGCACTCCAGCCTGGGCAACAGAGCAAGACTCTGTCTCCAAAAAAAAAAAGGCCGGGCGCGGTGGCTCACGCTTGTAATCCCAGCACTTTGGGAGGCCGAGGCGGGCGGATCACGAGGTCAGGAGATCGAGACCATCCTGGCTAACACGGTGAAACCCCGTCTCTACTAAAAATACAAAAAAAATTAGCCGGGCGTGATGGTGGGCGCCTGTAGTCCCAGCTACTCGGGAGGCTGAGGCAGGAGAATGGCGTGAACCCGGGAGGTGGAGGTTGCAGTGAGCCGAGATTGCGCCACTGCACTCCCGCCTGGGCCACAGAGCGAGACTCCGTCTCAAAAAAAAAAAAAAAAAAAAATTCTGAAAGGCAAAGAGAACCACCCACTGCAGCACCTGACTATGAGCTGAGGTGAATGGCAGCTGCCAGTGGAGCTCCAACAGGAGCAGAAGGCCCCAGGCTCTGCACATCTGTCACACACACCTGCTTCCCAGCCTCATGCTCATCAAAGTGGAAAACAGGTCTGTCACCTTCTGGCTCCGCCCCAGGTTCCCGGTGCTTGGTATAATCATTATTTGTTGTTTGGAACAAACTGCCCAGTGAATGCCCACCCCATCGGGAGGTGCTGGGGGGTGGGGGTGCAAGGCCACTGCAAGGATCTGGATGTCAGCCTGGTCCAAAGCCCAGAGGTGAGTTAAAAGGGTGTGTGAATCGAGTTTCTGTGAATGCAAATATTTCTGGGAAAAAAAATCCATGGCTTCTCTCAGGCCCCCAAAGAGTCATGACCCCAAAATGGCACGAAGAGATAAACTTGCTCTGTGTGCCCAGCAGCCAGATCCAGCACCCTGACCCACACCACCTGCAACGCGCTGGCTGACTGCCCGCACACACGTAGCCGCCGTCTGGCTGCACACACCTAGCCGCTGGCTGGGTCACGGGCTTACCAAGAGGCAACTACATCTGATCCCAAGCCTGTTCATACAAGTTGTACCTGTTGTTCTATGTAATTAATATTAAATTAATAAAACAGGAGTAAGAACCGACTCTGACCCACAGCCATCTATGTGGAGCTCAGAGTATTACTATGTTTTCCAAAATCAATACCTTTGGAATTTTTGCTCCTAAGTCCTGATACTGCTTGGGATTCTTCAGGAAATTCACAAATTCCATAATTTCCAATTTGATTCTTCGCACCCAGCTACGTCTGCAAATAACACATCGATGTTGCTTTTTAAGATCTTGGCTGCTGTCTCACCAACACCGAAGAGGCCCCCTCCTCGTCTACTGCGCCTGGATCCCATAAGGCCCCTCCTGGCAGCATAGACGAGAATGCCAACCAGGAGAAGGGTGGGCACCAGACTTCACAAGAAAGAGCTGGAAAATCCAAGAGAACTACTTGTCACACTCAGGAGGTCAGAAATAGCACCTTCATGCCAGGCACGGTGAGTCACGTCTGTAATCCCAGCACTTTGGGAAGCCACGGTGAGAGGATCTCTTGAGCCCAGAAGTTCAAGACCAGCCTGGGCAACGTGGCAAGACTCCGTCTCTAAAAAAATTTATAAAAATGACCGGGTGTGGCGGCTCACACCTGTAATCCCAGCACTATGGGAGGCCAAGGCAGGTGGATCACCTGAGGTAAGGAGTTCGAGACCAGCCTAAACAACCTGGTGAAACCCTGTCTCTAGTAAAAATACAAAAATTAGTTGGGCATGGTGGCGTGTGCCTGTAGTTCCAGCTCCTCAGGAGGCTGAGGTAAGAGGATTGCTTGTGCCTGGGAGTTCAAGTCTGCAGTGAGCCATGACTACACAACTACACTCCAGCCTGGATGACAAAGCAAAACTCTGTCTCTTAGAGGAGACCGCTCTAGGACTTTGTGTTGCTACACAAAAGGTAGCAGGGTTTTTTCCTTTTTTTGAGAGAGGGTCTCACTGTCACCCAGGCTGGTGGGCAGTGGCATGATCACAGTAACCTTGAACTCCCAGGCTCAAGAGATTCTCCTGCCTCAACCTCCTGAGTAGCTAGAACCACAGGCATGCATGCCACCACAACAGATAATTTTTTAACTTTTTATAGATACGCAGTCTCACTATGTTGCCCAGCTGGTCTCGAACTCCTAGTCTCAGGTGATCCTCCCTCCTCAGCCTCCCAAAGCACTGGGATTACCTCTGTGAGCCATCACGCCCGGCCCTCGGCCTCTTTTTTTTTTTTTTTTTGAGAAGGAGTCTCACTCTGTCGCCCAGGCTGGAGTGCAGTGGCGAGATCTCGGCTCGCTGCAAGCTCCGCCTCCCAGGTTCACACCATTCTCCTGCCTCAGCCTCCCGAGTAGCTGGGACTACAGGCGCCCGCCACCACGCCCGGCTAATTTTTTGTATTTTTAGTAGAGACGGGGTTTCACCATGTTAGCCAGGATGGTGTCGGTCTCCTGACCTCATGATCCGCCCGCCTTGGCCTCCCAAAGTGCTGGGATTACAGGCGTGAGCCACCGCACCCGGCCTCTTTCTTTTAAATGTGTCAAAGTCCATCAAGCACGAGGCCTCTCCAATTCTGAAGGCTCTAGTCACAGGCATTTCTATCTCCCTGATGGAACCTGTGGCTGGCTTGGTGGGGCAGGGAGAGTGACCACCCACCACCTCCTCCACCTCCTCCACCTCCTCCACCTCCTCCACCTCCTCCACCTCCTCCACCTGGCCAAGCAGCCCTGCTGGAGCTTACACCACAGTGTCTCCCCCGGGAGGTGCCGCCAGCAGACCCAGCAAGGCCTCCTCACATCTAGGGCCAACTGGGTTGTTTTGTCACAGGAAGACACCAAATGTCCGCCTGGTTTATTTTTGTCTTTGCTCTTGCTCTTCCAAGGCTCGAGGCCATCCCTCCTCCAGCGGCTCCACACTCACTTTCAGCCCCACATACAACCAGGCATCCTGGCAACTCAACAAGCAAAGACAGAACCCAAGTCAGCAATAAACAGCACCCAGATGACATCCGGGAGCTCCATCCAGCAGGAGACCACAGGCACTTCGGGCCCTGCCACTAGAATCTGAGAGAGAATCTCCAGAATTCTACCTGCCTCACCTTCTCTCACCCCACTGCAGCCCCTACTCTGTGCTTAAACATACGTCTCAAAGAAACCGCCCACACCACTACGATTCCAATTTTTACACCCTCCTGGCTAAAGCTGGTACTGGATTTGTACTCTCTCTCGGTTCAGTTTCCAATTCAGGGCAGAAGGGCCGCAGAAGACAGAGCAATGACAAACCCAGGAAGTGAAAACACGAAAACAGGATCCACGCTTAGCAACACTGACTTCTGTGCTGAGTCCTGGGACGCACAGAGTATTTCATCTGGTCTTTGCCCTTGTGTTCATAATTACTTTAAGAACATACGATGCAGCGGAAATCCAAGATAATATGAGAGCCACTGGAAGCTTAGAATGACCAAGTGTCGGCCGGGGGCGGTGGCTCATGCCTGTAATCCCAGCACTTTGGGAGGCCGAGGTGGGCGGATCACGAGGTCAGGATATCGAGACCATCCTTGCTAACACAGTGAAACCCCCTCTCTACTAAAAATACAAAAAATTAGCCGGGCGTGGTGGTGGGCGCCTGTAGTCCCGGCTACTCGGGAGGCTGAGGCAGGAGAATGGTGTGAAGCCAGGAGGTGGAGGTTACAGCAAGCTGAGACTGCGCCACTGCACTCCAGCCTGGGCGACAGAGCGGAAGACTGTCTCAAAAAAAACCAAAAGAACGACCAAGTGTCAGGTACTACATGGGAGCTACAGGGTTGTGTGCAGGGACCCCCAGCACCTGGAAGGATGGGTCAGGGCTGCCCAAAAGGGAGCCTGGGGAAGTCACAGGTGCTCAAGCCCCACCTCTGGACGTTAATTCGACACTTCTGCAGGAGTGGCAGGTAGAAATGATGAAAGTGCATTTTGACAGGGCTCTCGTAGTGATCCTGCTGCATGGCCCAATTGTGGAAGGCTTCCTATGGGACTTCAGGGAATTTCTGCTCCAACAATAACCCAACGACTGGTTTTCTTTTGTAACATTGCCTAGCCAAATATTTCCCTGCTTCAATTCTCATGAAAAAACAGTAAAAAACAAATATATACATATATGTGTGTGGGGGTGTGTGTGTGTGTGTATATATATATATATATATATATATATATATATGTAAAAAAGTATATATATAAAAGTGTATATATAAAAGTATATTATATATATAAAAGTATACATATATAAAAGTATATATATAAAAGTATACATATATAAAAGTATATATATAAAAGTATACATATATAAAAGTATATATATGTAAAAGTATGTATATATAAAAGTATATATATATATATAAAAGTATATATATATTTTTTACTACAGACATTGCTTATTACAGATGCCTCTAATAAGCTTGAAAAACAAATTCCAACACAGCTTAAATGTTGCATTTCTGTTTTGTGTTCACACAGAGGCCCTTCGCCATCCTCCTCACCCATCACTCTCGCTGGTGTAGACTACCACTGCCTGGTTGTGGGGCTCGATCCCCAGCTCCCCTTGAGCAGACTCCAGGTTCCGCTCGAAGGTATCAACGCTGCCAATGTTAAACCACAAGAACTTCTGCAGAGAGCAAGAGCAAGCTTAGGGTGCATCGCCGTGTCCCACACTGAGCCCCACCCTCACACACGCATCTCCCACTGCCTCTTCTCCTAGCCTTAATCTCCACATGGGTGAGGCCTGTGCAGAGGCTAGCTCCAAGGGAAACTAACTAACAGCAGAAGACTCTGGTTTTGGCCCCACGAAATTAGTCTTTAAGTTCTAGATGGAAGTGTAAAATGTCCAACAACTGCTGGGGTGTGCCTTTGTCTCTTTTTCTTTTCTTTTTTTTTTTTTTTGAGACAGTCTCCCTCTGTCACCCGGGCTGAAGTGCAGTGGGATGATCTTGGCTCACTGTAACCTCCACCTCCCGGGTTCAAGCAATTCTCATGCCTCAACCTCCTGAGTAGCTGCGATTACAGGCACAGGCCACCATGTCCGGCTAATTATTGTATTTTTAGTAGAGATGGGGTTTCACCATGTTGGCCAGGCTAGTCTTGAACTCCTGGCCTCAAGTGATCTGTCCGCCTCTGTCTCCCAAAGTGCTGGGATTACAGGCATGAGCCACCACGGCCAGCCATTCCTTTTGGCTTTTTACTCTTTTATCTTTGTCTCCTTCTCTTCTCTCCCCACAATCCTTGATGAGTTGTTCTCAGACACTGCTTGGCAAATCTGAACCCTAGTCAGTCTTATAAGGGCTCCTGTCCTCCTTGGAAGGCTTTGTTATTGATACATGCCAATGAGAAAAAAACACATTAACGAGTAGCTGATGGATACTAAGGGAGTATTTTACTGAAAAAAATAGAAAACTACATTTTTACACGAAATAAACTTATGTCTGCAATACTCAGCCTTAAATTCACCCCTCACTTCAGAAGAGGTCCCAGGGGCAGGAATAACACGCACAGATTGTTTGTTCACGACTTCCAGCCGGTCCACCTGGGAAAAAGAGAAAAATAATCAGCACAGCTAGAGCAGTGAGTATGATATTCAACAGTAAACAGGGGCCTCACCCTCAGACCAGCCCACAGCTAAAGCAATGAGTATCATATTCAACACTAAACCACGGGCCTCATCCTCAGACCAGCCCCACAGTGCAGACCGAGACTCCAACGGTGTCTGAGAAGCTGCATCCACTCTGCTGTGCAGATCCGAGTTTTGTTTTCTGACTGATTTGGACATTTCTAGCCTGGCCTGTGCATGTAATTCAAGAGGAGTTACAATTTGGTACATCTGAGCACCAAAGATTCCAGAGTGACTTAAAAATCTAAAAGGAAGGCCAGGCGCAGTGGCTCAGACCTATAATCCTGGCACTTTGGGAGGCTGAGGAGGGTGGATCACTTGAGGCCAAGAGTTCGAGACTAGCCTGGCCAACGTGGTGAATCCCTGTCTCTACTAAAAATACAAATATTAGCCAGATGTGGTGGGGCGTCCCGGTAATCCCAGCTACTCAAGCGGCTGAGGCAGGGAGAACTGCTTGACCCCGGGAGGCGGAAGTGGCAATGAGCCAAGACTGTACACTGCACTCCAACCTGGGCAACAGAGTGAGACTCCATCTGAAAAAAAAAATCTAAAAGGCATAGAGGTCTCAGACTGACAATACAGCAAAGTCTTCCGGAACTCATCCAGAAACATTTCGCCCACACAGCTGCAGATACCACAAGAAAATGGTGCCACCAAGAATGAAAATGCAACCCCAAAGGCCTCCACGAAGCCACCCAGCGGCGAACACAGCCCGACAGCCGGTGCGCAGCAAAAACACAACTTGAGAGTGCGGCCATTTCCTTAGGTATCATGACAACAGCGTTGCTTTCTCCTCTCCACAGAATCTGAAACCACTATAACCCTACTTTTCTTGACTACTCAGGGTCATGTGACCAACACGAACGTGTTTATGACAGGGGCCTCTTGACCATAACGCAACCGCATCACGGTCAGCGTGTCAGATACCTGGAGAGGACCTCACAGAAGCTCTGGGATCTGTCCAGAACCCACACACCAGCAGGCATCTTGCTCCTCACAGCAGCAGCTGTGAGTGAAGACCAACAGCAGAGATGGGCTGCAGCAGCTCTCCCTTCCTCCCATAAGGAGTCATCAGGGACCTCTCTGAAGACAGGTGTGTGCCCTGTGGCCAGACAAAAAGGCCTTGGGTGGTGGTTCACAACTGTAATCATAGCACTTCAGGAGGACAAAGTGGGAGCATCACTTGAGCCCAGGAGTCTGAGACTAGCCTGGGCAACATAAGGAGACACTGTCTCTAAAAAAAAAAGTGCGGGCTGGGCACAGTGGCTCACGCCTGTAATCCTGGCACTTTGGGAGGCCAAGGTGGGAGGATTGCCTGAGCTCAGGAATTCGAGACCAGCCTGGGCAATACAGTGAAACCCTGTCTCTACTAAAATACAAAAAACTAGCAACCTCCACCTCCCATGGAGGTGTAGTGGCCAGAACCTGTAATCCCAGCTACTCAGGAGGCTGAGGCAGGAGAATCACTTGAACCAGGGAGGTGGAGGTTGCAGTGAATACAGATCGTGCCACTGTACTCCAGCCAGGGCGACACAGCGAGACTCCATGTCGGAAAAAAAAAATTACATTTTTTACAGTCCCAGATACTCAGAAGGCTGAGGTGGGAGGCTGGCTTGGAACCAGAAGGTCAAGACTTCACACCACTGCACTCCAGCCTGGGTGACAGAGCAAGACCCTGTCTCAAAAAAATTAATTAATTAATTAATTAAAAAAAAAAAAAAGGCCTTAGCCACAAACCCTGGTGGGAAAACAGGACTTTCCTACAGAAAGAAGTTCAGATCTTAACACTGTATCAGTTAACAAACGTCCTTCTGAGGGCAACTGAGAAGCACGGCACCTGCTCTCATGTAACTTTATACTAAACCCTGAGCAGTGCTTCACCAGCCTTCAGCAACCCGACAGACCAGGCCCAGTGAAGGACAGGCGGAGGCTTGCTGGTTACTAAACCCTGAGCAGTGCTTCACCGGCCTTCAGCAACCCGACAGACCAGGCCCAGTGAAGGACAGGCGGAGGCTTGCTGGTGCCACATGCCCCTGTGCACAGACACAAAGCCCCAGCCGCTGTCCAGGGTCAGCCAGCAAAGGACAGGGGTGCAGGAGGGGACACGGGTACACTAGGGGAAACAAAAGATCTGCATTAGGTATGTAATTGATACTTGATGATAAACAGACACAATCAGACAATCAGAACTTACTCACAGAAGCTGAAGCTAAAAACAAAAAGCCAAGATGTTAAGGAAGCTTCCACCTTGCAAGAAAATGGGCTTATTAACCTTCTGTTGGGGAAAGTAAAACTGTGTCTCATCTAAAAAATGAGCTTCCTAACCTTCTGTTGGGCTGGCTACTGGGAAAAGTAAACCTGTGTCTCATCTATGGCCTGAGGGTGGGACTGCCCAGGACATCTACCACACAACGGGTTTTCAACCCAGGCCTCAGAGCTCACAGCTTCTTAAGGGCATCGCAGACCACGTGCACCACTACAGCGGCCTCCTTCCCAGGTAGGTAAACTATAAATTCCTCTCACCAGACCTCTGGCCAGGTAATACTGTACAAAGTGCTTCCACGTGATTTCTCTTCCAGGATCTCGAAAATAGAGGTAGAAAAATCCCATGGCAACGCCTGCCCCCAAAAGGGCCAGACTGCGGAAATCCTCGTCATCCCAGGGGAAGTCCCCCCTGTGGAAAAAAGAAAACACATTTTCCAGTTAAATGAAGGTAGTTTCTTTATGAAAATAGCTATTTCCTTTTTCAGATGTTATTAGGAAAGTTTTGCAACCCCCCCCCACCGACCGTACACAATGTAGCCTCAGTTCCTCTCATGAGGAAAGATCTTTACGTGGTGTATGACACACACTGAAAGCCGCAGCTCAGCAGATGCCTCAGGAGAAGCAGAAAGTCCACAGAGAGCGCTGTGTTTGAGCCACTGTTGCTAGGGTTCTCTCTTATGGGGGTCTGTTAAAATCCAGACAGAGGCCAGGCGTGGTGACTCAGCTCTGTAGTCCCAGCACTAAAGGAGGCCAAGGTGAGAGGACTGCTTGAGCCCAGGAGTTCGAGACCAGCCTGGGCAACGGTGGGTGACCCCATGTCCACAAAAAATTTAAAAAAAAATTAGCCAGGAGTGGTGGTGCAAGCCTGTGGTCTCAGCTGCTCTAGAGGCTGAGGTGGGAGAATCATCTGAGCCTGGGAAGTCAAGGCTACAGTAAGCAGTGATCGTATCACTGCACTCCAGCCTGGATGACACAGTGAGACCCTATCTCAAAAATAATAATAATAATAAAATCCAGATAGAAATCTCAGCACATTTTTATTTTTTTTTAATTTTTTTTTTTTTGGAGACAAGGTCTTACTTGGTCACCCAGGCTGGAGTGCAGTCGCACGATCATGGTTTACTGCAGCCTCAACCTCTCGGGCTCAAGCAATCCTGAGTACCTGGGACCAGAGGTACACACCACCATGCCTGGCTTTTTTTTTTTTTTTTTTTTTTTGTAGAGACAAGGTTTCACTATGTTGCCAAGGCTGGTGTCAAACTCCTAGGCTCAGGCAATCCTCCCACCTCCCAAAGTGCTGGGATTACAGGCATGACCCACTGCACCCGGCCTCAGTACATTTTTAGAAACTAATTTCTTTGAAACTTATGAACTAATTCAACAGTTCACCTTTAAACAAGCAGAAAGATTGATATGGGTTTAAATTTATGTGTTCCCCCAAAATTTCCATGTTGGAACTCAATCCCTAAGGTGAAGGTATTAAGAGATGGGGCCCCTGGGAGGGGATTAGGTCCCAAGGGCTCTGCCTTCCCGAATGGGATTGGTGCCCTCACAATCTGTTGCCCAGGTTGGAGTGCAGTGGTGTGATCACGGCTCACCGCAGCCTCGACTCCCAGCTTCATGCAATCCTCCCGCCTGAGCCTCCTGAGTAACTGGGACTACAGGCACGCACCACCACGCCTGGCTTATTTTTGTATTTTTTGTGGAGACAGCGTTCATGTTGTCCAGGCTATGATCTTGTACCTCCAGCCTCCACAACTGTGAGCAGTAAATGTACCCTGTTTATAAATTACCCAGTCTGATGTATTGTTACAGCAGCAGGCGCAGACTAAGATGCACACAAACCTTCTGCATCCGCCTCCACCAGGCAACGTTATCCTGCTTCCCTCCTCTCCTGCCTCCGTCTCCTCCAGACTCAGCATTCTCTAGTTCACCAGTCTCTGAGAGAAAACAAAGTAAGACTTCACAAAGCAATTACATATGATTTTCCAGAGAAAGAAGATTCAGAAAACAGAAAAACACCTTCCAACACACAATTTTAATAACACCAGTGCCTTCTGGAAATAAAGAGACAACAGGAAAAGGATGAGGCTGGGGAGATATTGCTGAGAAGTAGCTTCAGATACATCTAAAATCCCTAAAATTTCACCTCGCTGGCTTCATATTGAGCTTTAATAGTAAACTTTTTTGGGGTAACAGTCCCAAAACTGGCTGTTATTAGGGGAAAGAAAGAAAGGAAGAAAATGTTAAGACAGACTGGTATGGGTGGTCCCCCTTCTCAAGAGAACCAGGGAACACAAACCACCTGTTCTAAGCAGAGTCTGCCTCTCCTCCAAAAAATCTGGCCTCCTACGTATATTTGTGTCCCACGGACCTACCAGCCTCTTCCTGTAATGTTCCAGGACAAGTTCCAGAACAAGTAAGCCATGACACTGTCCACTTCACAAATACAGTGCTACTCCAACAGCTGCAAAATAACACCATGAAAGGCCAGAGAAGGCCAAGGTGACCCCAGGAATGGCAAACATATTACAAGATGGAGTAAAAATTTGCAAAATTTTAAGGACAAACATGAGTCTTCAAAGAAACATTCCTTGGCCGGGTGCAGTGGCTCATGCCTGTAATCCCAGCCCTTTGGGAGGCCCAGGCGGGCAGATCACGAGGTCAGGATATCGAGACCATCCTGGCTAACACGGTGAAAACCCGTCTCTACTAAAAATACAAAAAAATTACCCGGGCATGGTGGCGGGCGGCTGTAGTCCCAGCTACTCGGGAGGCTGAGGCAGGAGAAGGAGGAGAATGGCGTGAACCCAGGAGGCAGAGCTTGCAGTGAGCCGAGATTGTGCCACTGCACTCCAGCCTGGGTGACAGAGTGAGACTCTGTCTCAAAAAAAAAAAAAAAGAAACATTCCTTTCGTAGCAAGGCAAGTCACCACACCTCCCAATATGACTTACGTGTTTCTTCACCCCATGCTCACCGGTACACAAGCAGGAGACATTTCACAGGGGAAACACAAAATACTGACTTCGCCAATCCCAAAACCCAGTCCACACCATCACACCATGATATAATTTTTAAATGATTTGTCGAGGCTTAGGATCTAAACCGGTTGAGAAGGTGCTGGTGACCTGGGAAGGATGGGTACCGCCCAGGAGCAAGCTCAGGGAAGACGATGTCACCATCACACACTCACAGGCCCACCTGCTTATCAGTTCCCAAGGAGATCAGCCCATTCAGTGAATGCTTTAAAAGTACTCAACTGTAAAACTTCACAGTCTGATTTTTCAAACTGGCCCTTTTACCTTTTTTTGGTGCTGTTGATGTTTCTCAGTTTGTGTTCCTTCCACTCCTCTTAAAGTATTTCTCAAACCCTGAGGGACAAAATGATGAGGTTCTAGTATTTCTTTTTTTTTTTTTTCTTTTTTTTTGAGACAGAGTCTCACTTTGTCACCCAGGCTGGAGTGCAGTGGCACGATCTCGGCTCACTGCAACCTCCGCCTTCCGGGTTCAAGTGACTCTCCTGCCTCAGCCTCCTGAGTAGCTAGGATTACAGGCACCCGCCACTACACCCAGCTAAATTTTGTATTTTTGGTAGAGACGGGGTTTCACCGTGTTGCCCAGCTGGTCTCGAACTCTTGACCTCAGGTGATCTGCCCGCCTCGGCCTCCCAAAGTGCTGGGATTACAGACGGTGGCGCCCAGCCTGGTTCTAATATTTTAGAAGACAGAATCACACCAAGAAAAGCAACCGTACTGTCAAGACGATATAGAGAAAGTGAGAGAGACGCCAGTTTTCCCTCCTCCTGCCTCTCTTCTTGCTTCATACAATCGGCATGAGCCCTCAGGTCCTAACACTGAGGGAAGTGCAGGGAGCACCTTCTACTCTGTGGAGACACAGGGTCTCCAGGGGCTTCAGTGAACACTGTCCCTGGACACAAAGCACAAAGCACAGGTCCATGGCCTACAGAAGGACTCCAAGTGGGCAAGTGTGCTCTGAGGTAATGCCAGTCTGCACATTGTTTCTGTTCTGCTTTCCAAACATGAGGCTTAGCTGGTCCTCAGAGTCAGATACGCAGAAACCAAGGTTTGTTCCCATACCTTCCAAAAGATTCATCTAGCACCTTCCTTTGGAAAGAGCTTTTCTCTCACCAGCTTTAGTGAGATATCAACACCATAAAGACATGGAGAAGGTGCTGGATGTTGTGTGGCTCGATATGGAAGCCAGGAAGGGGTAGGATGGGGCGGGGTGGAGTGGGGTGTGCCCTGAGTTGTCTGGACCCTCGCCCCCTGGTCACTCACTGTAGAAGTCACACTCTGAGGAAGCCACTCAGTTCCTGTAAACCTCATGCTGTTAATGATGGTGGATGAAAGACAGGTACCTTTGGGTGGTTTTGAACACAGCCACCAGGAAAATAACGTCGGTCTTGCCTGCAGAGTCAGCTTCTGAACGTGGATCCCCTGGAAGCACTGGAACAGGAGGCCAGATGAGCTTTCCTAGCTTCTTCTGCAATGCAACACCGCACATTCTCACTGGCCATAACCACTGGAGCAAGCAGGGTGAGGTGTGAGCTTATCGCCTTAAATACCCCATTAGAAATATGATTCAATAGAGTAAACAGGAGCAAGCTCACTGCAGAAATGCACTGCAAATGTTTATAGCTATAGCCTCCAACAGCAAGAAAAAACTCCCCCAAAAAACAAAAAACACGGCTTAGAAACTGAGGCAATTTATTTAGTAACTTGAAATATTGCAGCTTCAAAAACAAGACTGTAAGACTAAAACATAAAATTGTGTAAAATTTAAATACTGAAATACACTATGACTCATCTTTGGTCGACCAAGAGCTTAATTTCTTTTCTTTTTTTTTTTTTTTGAGACAGAGTTTTGCTGTCGCCCAGGATGGAGTGCAGTGGTGTGATCTCGGCTCACTGCAACCTCTGCCTCCTGGGTTCATGCCATTCTCCTGCCTCAGCCTCCCCAGTAGCTGGGACTACAAGCACCCACCATCACGCCCAGCTAATTTTATATTTTTGGTAGAGATGGGGTTTCACCGTGTTGATTAGGCTGGTCTCGAACTCCCAAGCTCAGGTGATCTGCCCGTTCTGGCCTCCCGAAGTGCTGGGATGACAGGCATGAGCCCAGCCTTTTTTTTTTTTTTTCAAGATGGGGTCTCATTGGAGTGCAGTGGCTATTCACAGCAGGGACAACAGACAGGTAATACAGCATCCAGCAAGAGGTAAAAGTTTTTGTCAGGCCAAGAAAACAAATAATTTTTCCAGAAGCTCTGTATTTTCTTCAGTCTTCAAGGAGGAAAACGTCGGCCAGGTGCTGTGGCTCATGCCTGTAATCTCAGCACTTTGGGAGGCCGAGGCGGGAGGATCACTTGAGGTCAGGAGTTCGAGACCAGCCTGGCTAACATGGTGAAACCCCGTCTGTACTAAAAATACAAAAATTAGCCGGGCATGGAGGTGGGCGCCTGTAATCCCAATTACTCGGGAGGCTGAGTCAGGAGAATTGCTTGAACCTGGGAGGCGAAAGTTGTATTGAGCCAAGATCGTGCCACTGCACTCCAGCCTAGCGACAGTAAGACTCTCTCAAAAAAAAAAAAAAAAAAAAAAACCACACACATACACAAATATTAAAAAACAAAATCTAAGCACTCAATAACCCAGTACTAACTGTATCCAACAAAATCCCAACATAACCAGTGAATTTATATTGTCCCCAATATTTTATTTTATTTTTTTGAGACAGAGTCTTGCTCTGTCACCCAGGCCGGAGTACAGTGGCGCCATCTCAGCTCACTGCAACCTCCGCCTCCTGGGTTCAAGCAATTCTCCCTATCTCAGCCTCCCAAGTAGCTGGGATTACAGGTGCACACCACCACACTGGCTAATTTTTGTATTTTTATTAGAGACAGAGTTTCACCATATTGGTCAGGCTGGTCTTGAACTCCTGACCTCAGGTGATCCACCTGTCTCAGCCTCCCAAAGTGCTGGGATGACAGGTGTGAGCCCCCAATATTTTATTATAATGAAACAAGACCCACAGTTGACAACACCTATGTTATTTCAGCTGTGTCAACATTCAGGGGGAGGCTGACTCTGTAGGCTACTACCCCAAAGTAAAATCATTCCCCAATTAGTAACTTTCTAATTAACTACATTATTCAAATATCCCTATAAAAGACCACAGTAGACTAAAAAGTAAGACATACTATGAAAAAATTATTAAAATCATAAAAAAAAAAAAAAGCAGCTCAGAAAGAGAATGCTGACAGTAAAGGCTGTGGGGCTAACAAACGATTCCACATCGTGAACGAAATCGATCTGCAGCAGCCATCCCAGCACCAATGGCACACAGTACCTGACACAGAGCTAGCAATGACTCTCGAAGGATCCCATGAATGTTTCCCCGATGGGGGTTTGGAACCCAAGGTGTGGGTCAACAGGAGACCTACACAAACAACAGAAGGTGGCCATACTGCACGTTGTAGGGTGCCAGGTGCCTCTTACCTCACTTGATCCCCATTGCCCATCTGAGAAAGTAGAACCTGAGAGGTAATGTGAGTGCCTGAAGACAGCTGGTAGCTGAAAGTGTGCAATGAGAATTCTGATGCCCCAATCTTCCAGAGCTTTTCCATGACTACCCCAGGACCACCTCAAAGACAGTGTGGCACTGGTACTGGTGGCTGGGTAGATACCAGGTAGCCTACAGCCCTGAAGGTACAAAGTATGACTCTTCAGGCTTCCAAAACTTGATAAAACATCCAATTCCTTTGCTTTAATTCGCAATTTAGTCCTTTTGTGATTTGGTTAGGAGACAATCTGGTTAAGCCTGATGCAGTTCTCACAGTAAATGTAAACACTAAGATAGGAGTTTACCATTCCTTCTTGGAGTTTTCTGCAAGTCAGTTCACAGCTCACAGTAAATAACCTTGCTAAATTAGTTTTTGTATATGTAAAGCCAAGATGTGAAGGTAGGCAAAACACAAACTCCCTTAAACAGGGCCAAGTGCTGCTGTCCTCTTTCCAGTCAGGCCATAAATGAGTTGACCCTTATTCCGGGTCCCACAGACACACACAGCACACAGGTGCAACGTCAGCAGGCCTATGAGGCCCTGCCCCTCCTTGACCTGTCTATCACTAACCTCTTCCTCATACTGATCACACAGAACTCAAGGCTGGACCCACCCTAGGGCAGTGCATTTTCTATTCCATCTTCCTAGCAAGCTCATCTCAATCCCTCACTTCCTGCAGGGGACACAACAAATAACAGGGTTTATCCCTCCTCCATTCCCTTTCTTCATTTTCTATTTCCTTTATTCTGCTTCCTTTTCCTAACATGCCTAATACTTGCTTATCCATTGTCTGGTTCCTCCTTGCACAGCACGTAAACTCTACGAGAACAAGGACAGAGTAGGTAGCTCAATGAATGAAAGATGACTGCATGGAAGCCTCCACAGCATAAGCTTCCATGAGGAGAGCTGTTAGGGTGTTTTTTGTTTTGTTTCTTTTTTTTTTTTTTTGAGACAGAGTCTCACTCCCAGGCTGGAGTGCAATGGTGCGACCTTGGCTCACTGCCACCTCCGCCTCCCAGGTTCTAAGCGATTCTCCTGCCTCAGCCTCCCAAGTAGCTGGGATTACAGGTGCGTGCCACCACACCGGGCTAATTTTGTATTTTAGTAGAGACGGGGTTTCTCCACATCAGTCAGGCTGGTCTCGAACTCCCCACCTTAGGTGATCTGCCCGCCTCAGCCTCCCAAAGTGCTGGGATTACAGGCGTGAGCCATCGTGCCCAGCCGTCTCTACTAAAAATACAAAATTAGCCGGGAATGGTGGTATGCGCCTGTAATCCCAGCTTCTCGGGAGGCTGAGGCAGGAGAATCGCTTTGAACCTGGGAGCCGGAGGTTGCAGTGAGCCAAGATTGCGCCATTGCACTCCAGCATGGGCAAGAGGGAAACTCCGTCTCAAAAAAAAAAAAAAAATGCAAATTGCTGCCACCTCTCCAACCTCTGCATGTCACCCTCAGTCCACAAGTCATAAAGCTCTCAAAAGAGAGCAAGCCAGTGGGGCAGAGCCCTTGCCTGTCGTGTTCACCAAGATATTCCCTGGTAAATGATTAACAGATCTATCTCTAATAAATGAGAAGCAGATGAATGATCCAGTCCGGGAAGGAACTCAAAGATCATTCAACGTCCGTCCTCCCTTCATAAAGGGGTCTATAGCAGTTCAATGATTCAAAACTCTCCTGGGCTATATTAGGCTGTACACACCGATATTGCATATCGCTGACTTTCAATATGTGTTAGCAACCAGGAGGACCTCTGCAATGCTGATGCCACATGGCCAAAGCTGAAAGACTGCTTTCACTCATATTGCTAGCAACTAAACCATCATACACTTTCCCAAATGAATGGAGATGGCGGGGGGGGGGGGGAGTTCATTCCTGAAGACAGGACAGAAATACTCATGGGATCCTTCTTCTTATTTTACTGCTGTCTGAAAACCATGACAGCTTTCTGGGATCAAAATTCAAAAACTCTGCATTAGAAAAACAATTCAACGTTACTGCTGCTCACTGGGATGTATCAATACAAAAATAAAGCAATCTTAAAATGCAGAATATTCCGGTCTTAGACCCTAACCCTATAAAACAGGGTTATGAGCAGGGCACGGTGGCTCAAGCCTGTAGTCCCAGCTACTCCAGAGGTTGAGAAAGGAGAATCGCTTGTGCCCATGAGTTCGAGATCAGCCTAGACAACACAGCGAGACTCCGGCCCCGCTCCCAAATTTTTAAAAATAATATAATAAATAACAATAGGGTTATAGCGATATCTACCTATAGGGCGGGTATAAGACTTAGATAATCCGCGTAAAGCCCTTAGCTCTCAGCATTAGCTGTTAACGACAGTGACTGGTCGCTGTATAAAGAACAGTTTGCAAAACCCTTTCACGCCTCTTATCGTGTCTGGTTCACTGAGTAACTGCGAGGTGGATAAAGCCGAACGCCGCCGAGCCCAGGAGGACACGGGCTGGCACGCGGGGCCACAAAGCTGGTTCGCGAGGAGGTGGGACTCAAGCGCAAATCGCTCAACGCCCGGCGCTTTACAAAGCCGAGCAAGGAGGCTGGAGGTCCCGGTTCCGATGTCCGAGGGGACCGGGCATCCAGTAAACAGCGGGAATTCCGCAAGAAGTGGGTGGAAGAGGTAGCGAGGAGAAGAGCAGGAGTTTGGAGACGGAGGAGGCGGGGGGGCGGGAAGCTCTGGCCAGGTGCTGTCGGCCTCACTGCGCGGACCAGGTCAGGGCCGCCGCCCTCCCGCGCTCCCCCGCGGCCGGCGCAGGCGAATGGCGTCACGCGGCGTCCAGAGCAGACCAGCCGCCCGGCACCGGCGGAGAGCGCCTCCCCGCTCACCTGTCGGGCCTTGCCCAGGGCCCTCGCGCTGGTCTTGGCCGTCCTGCCGCCTCCTGGGCCACCACATCGCCACAGCAAGGCCAGCGGCCTGGCCACCGCTCTACTGCCGGCCGCCGCCAGCAGCCGGTACCACATCCCCAGACCCAGATCCCGCGCCGCCCGGGCGCGCGCATGCGCAATGGGAGAGCGGTCCTAGGGCCCCGCGAGCGCAGGGAGGACTCGCGCAGGCGCGGCAGGGGCGCGGCGCCGGCTGGGGCCCCGTCTTGGGTGTCCACGCCGTCGCCTGACCGTTCGAGGGTTTGATCGCCAGCGCAGCCTCGCCCTGCCCAGACAGCTGGGCCCTAAGGGGATAGCCAGCGCCTTTAGACTTATCTTAAATCGGGCATCGGCATCAACACTTATTTCTGGGGTCCTCCATGGAAAGCAGCTCCCGAAACAACACCCGCCCGGTCCGCCCTCCGCTGCACTGGAAAACCGCCCCTGGACGTTTCTGCCGCAGTGTCCCCCTCACGGAGTTCCGTTTGTCTGCTTGGTCGGTTGTTCTCTGGAGCCCCAGGACCCAGGCCGCTTGTATGTGCCTGCGGCCGCACGGCCCCAACACGCGGACTTCGAGCGGTACCGGGAGACCCGCGCGGCCTCCTCGGAGTGGACAGTGAAGCAGCAGCTGGGCTAGGCAGTGGGGCTGGGCCTGCCCATGGGGACCCGTCCACGTCTCCAGGACATCAGCCTGAGCCTCTTCGCAGCCTCGTTTTCTGTTGACCGAGTTCTGCAAGGGGACGTAGAGGAACCACAGCGTTCTTGCGCTTGAGACCGCTGTGATTTTCTGACATTTTGGAGGCAGAAATGCCTGGGGAAAGGCCCACAGATGCAACTGTCATCCCTAGTGCCAAAAGGGAACGGAAAGCGATTACCCTTGACCTCAAATTGGAAGTGTTACGACGATTTGAAGCGGGTGAGAAGCTCAGTCAGATCGCAAAGGCCTTAGATCTTGCTATCTCTACAGTGGCGACCATTCGAGATAGTAAAGAAAAAATCAAAGCGAGTTCACAAATAGCTACTCCTCTGAGAGCCTCTCGGTTGACTCGCCATCGAAGTGCAGTGATGGAGAGCATGGAGCAGCTGCTGAGCTTGTGGCTGGAAGACCAGAGCCAGCCAAATGCGACCTTGAGCGCCGCCATCGTTCAGGAGAAGGCTGAGTTTGATGACTTACAGCGTGAACATGGCGAAGGTTCTCAAACGGAGAGGTTTCATGCAAGTCAAGGGTGGCTTGTGAGATTCAAGGAGTGCCACTGTTTGCCCCACTTCAAGATGAACAGCGCAGCTCCCAGCAACAAGGACATGTACACAGAAATGCTGAAAAGCATCATCGAAGAAGGTGAGTACACCCCCCAGGTGTCTTTAACGTAGATGAGACGAGACTTGATTGGAAGAGAATGCCCAAAGGAACGTTTATTTCCGAGGAAGAGAATGCTGAGCCAGGGTTTAAGTCATCCAAAGATCGCTTGATGCTGCTGCTTGGTGGCAGTGCAGCTGGGGACTTTAAGTTGAAGCCCTTACTGGTGTACCGCTCAGAAACCCGCAAGGCTCTGAAGGGTTCTTGAAGCCCAGTTTGCCCGTGATTTGGCGCTCCAACAGAAAGGCTTGGGTGACCAGGAGCATCTTTCATGAATGGTTCACTTACTTTTTTTGCCGTTGAAAAATACAGTGCCCAAAATAATCTCACCAACAAAGCACTGCTCATACTAGACAGTGCGTCATGCCACTCTGTAAATTTGAGCGACCTTTCTGATAACTAAGAGTAGAATACCTTCAGGCCAGGCGCGGTGGCTCACGCCTGTAATCCCAGCACTTTGGGAGGCCGAGACGGGCGGATCACCTGAGGTCAGGAGTTCGAGACCAGCCTCAACATGGAGAAACCCCGTCTCTATTAAAAATACAAATTTAGCCGGGCGTGGTGGTGCAGGCCTGTAATCCCAGCTACTCGGGAGGCTAAAGCAGGAGAATTGCTTGAACCTGGGAGGCGGAGGTTGTGGTGAGCCGAGATCGCGCCATTGCACTCCATCCTGGACAACAGGAGTGAAACTCCGTCTCAAAAAAAAAAAAGAAAAAAAAGAAGTACAAGAGTATAATACCTTCATGACAGTACAGCTGACTCAATCCGGACCACGTGTCAAGGTGTAATCTCGACCTTGAAAGCTCATTATCTGAGAAGGACTTTTCAGCACATCCTAGAAGCAGCGGATGGTGAGGACACAGCTATGATCAGGGAATTTTGGAGAAACTACAGCATCATGGATGCTGTGGACATGGCCATCGCATGGGAGGAGCTCAAACCAGCACTAATGAACAGCATGTGGAAGAAGATTTGGCCTGAGTGTGTTCAGGCCCAGCGTTTTTCCCAGGCAGATAACATTGCACAGCTTCAAAAAAACATTGTGACCCTTGCCAGAAATGTGGCCTTTGAAGAGGTTGCTGAGGCTGCTGTGGACCAGTTGCTGCAGTCCCATGAAGAAGATCTCTCAAATGAGGAACTGATGCGGCTGGAACAGGAGCTGGCAGTGGGGGAGGAGGAGAGGGAAGATGGTCCCTGGGCACTGTGGCAGCTAACCACAGGAAGACTGTCGGCAGCCCTCTCACATTTTGAGGCTGGCTTGTAGGTCCTTGCTAGTAACAGCCCTAATGATGACTGGAAACTGAGAGGTTCCAGAGAAATCAGTGTTGCAGTAAACTGCTAGCAGGAGCTGTACAATGAGAAAAAGCGCCACTCAAAACAACTCTCTTAGGTCATTTTTCAATGTGTGTAACCAAAAGTTAATCAGAATAAAGCGGAAGCACCATGATGACCTCAACAGTGGAGGCCCAGCCAGGCCTCCCTGCTCTGTGGTGTTGGACATCCCTGGAAACCTTGCTGTTGGTATTTCCATTTTGATACTTGAGAGCATCAAATTTTGTCATTAAAATGTTATTTAAATATATGCTTTTAAAAGCTCATATATGTGTAAGAATCGCCAGGAAAACTTTTTTTCTTTGAGACGGTCTCGCTCCATCATCGAAGCTGGAGTGCAGTGGCACAATCTTGGTTCACTGTAGCCTCGACCTCCAAAGTTCAAGCAATCCTCATACCTCAGCCTCTGGAGTGTTGGGACTACAGGCACATGCCACCACCACCAGCTAATTATTTTGGTAGAGAAGGAGTCTGTGTGTTGCCCAGGCTGGTCTGGAACTCCCGGGCTCAAATGATCCTCTAGCCTGGACCTCCAAAAGTGCAGGGATTAAAAGTGTGAACCACCATGCCCAGCAGAAGACGTTTTTTAAAAAAGAAAAATTGAGGCCGGGCACGGTGGCTCACGCCTGTAATACCAGCACTTTGGGAGGCTGAGGCAGGAGGATCACAAGGTCAGGAGATCAAGACCATCCTGGCTAACATGGTGAAACCCCATCTCTACTAAAAATATACAAAAAAATGGCCAGGCACGGTGGCTCACACCTGTAGTCCCAGCACTTTGGGAGGTCAAGGCAGGCAGATCATGAGGTCAGGAGATCAAGACCGTCCTGGCTAACGAGGTGAAACACGTCTCTACTAAAAAATACAAAAAAAATTAGCCGGGCATGGTGGCAGGCGCCTGTAGTCCCAGCTACTCAGAGGCTGAGGCAGAAGAATGGCATGAACCTGGGAGGCAGAACTTGCAGTGAGCCGAGATCACACCACTGCACTCCAGCCTGGGCAACAGAACGAGACTCCATCTCAAAAAAAAAAAAAAAAGGAAAAGAAAAATTGCAAAGGGGAGACTAGCCCTTCCAGACATTAAAACCTAGATGAAATAAATATTAATCAATGTGACCATATAAAAATGTAAGCAAAGTAAAACTTTGCCATAGGAAAGAAAATAACACAAAGTCAAATGGCAATTCACAAAGAAAATATTTCCATCTCACAAATAACAGGTTAATATTCCCAATATGTGAGAAACTCAGATTAAGAAGAAAAAATACCAAGAACCCAATCGAAAAAATGGGCACATAATTCATAAATAGATCCTGAAACATATGAAAAGTTTGACCTCACTCATGATTAGAGAAATGCAAATTAAAATGACAGAGATACATTTCTCACACTGCATTGAAAGGTATGACAACACAATCTGCTGTCGAGGCTATAGGTAATGGGCACTGTCATACACTGCTGGTGGGAATGTCCTTCTGGAAGGACATCGGACACTAAGAAAAATCAATGCCTGGCCAGGCGCCGTGGCTCACACCTGTAATGCCAGCACTTTGGGAGGCCGAGGCAGGAGGATCACCTGAGGTCAGGAGTTTGAGACCAGCCTAGCCAACATGGTAAAACCCTGTCTCTAATAAAAATTCAAAAAATTAGCTGGGCATGGTGGCATGCACCTGTAGTCCCAGCTACTCAGGAGACAGAGGCCGGAGAACAGCTTGGGCCCGGGAGGCGGAGGCCGGAGAACAGCTTGGGCCCGGGAGGCGGAGGCCGGAGAACAGCTTGGGCCCAGAGACGTTCAACACGTCTGTGTGATACCACAGGTAGTTCTCCCAACCAATCAGGACATGTTACTTCGCCTCACACCAGATTACATTCAACCCCATTGGATGGCAAAGGCTGTCTTTCCTAAGCCTGCAAATGACTTGTATGTCAACAGACCAATTTCTCTTACTTTGTCCGCAATTCACCACACACACACCAGGCTAAAGGATGTATATTTAATGAGACAGTGACAGCAGCATTGTTACAACTGGGCATCCCTCAGGCCAGCCTGGTCCCATGCTGTGGGACCACCCATGTGTGGTCTTCCACAAGGTGCTGGCGGCACCGGGCTCTTCCTGCTGTGCCACAGACCCACAGAAAGAACCATACGTGATTCCGTTTACCGGCTGTGTCACCCAGAAGGGGCAGGTGGGGGAGATGCTGGGTGGCAGGTAAAAATAAAAGGGGCCCAACCCTTTGTCCAGCAAATACCAGCACAGTTTTTCTATGGACACAGTGATTTGTAACTTGAATAATGTGAAGTTGATTACACAGATTTCGGAATGGCTAATATCCATATGACAGAAATGTGATGCATTCATGAGACGTGTGCAGACTTTGGGGTGTTGGGAAACAGCATTTGGCCTTTAACCTCCTCCTCAGCCCCAAAGAGGAAGGGGAAACAGGACAGGAACCCACACTGTTGATCCAACCTCACATCACATTCTCTGAAGGACTCCGACATGTTCCCTGCTCACCGTTCCACCTGAGGTAGGTCAGGACCCCTGCCCCCATTTTCCAGATGGGGAAACCGAGGCAGAGCAGACAATAAGAACCTTGCCTAAAGCCACCACAGTGGGGAGTGGACACCATCCCCTTCCTGATGCCGGAGGACAAAGAGGAGACCCTGCCGTCTCTCCCACTCCTGGAATGAGCCAGTGAGCCAGGTGGCCTTTCTGCTGACTGAGGTGTCTCCTCTTGGGTTTCCTGGTCAAAGGGGACCAATAACCAAGCAGTGGCATTCTCTGCCCTCTGCCCACCGTGTGCCAACCATGTGCACCAACAGCCAAGCACAGTCCAGGGTGTGGGGGAAAAGGACAGACAGGAGCACCCCCACTGCCCAAGGCAGAAGGCTGGGAAGCCACGTCCTGACACGTCCTCTCCTGAGGCCCCTCGTGGACCGCAGGATCTGTAAAGTGCAAACACCAAAGCCAAGTGTCCCCTCACCCAGAGCTGTAGGTTTCCTCTGCTGCCCAGGGGCCTCTGTCCCGTGGAGTGAGGGACCTCCCACACGCCTGCCCTGATCTTCCTGAATGTGCTCAGTCGAGCGAATACTCTCAGCTCTCTTGACCTCAGGCCCCCAAACAAAAGGCCATTGGCTGGTCATTTCTGAGCTATCTGGAGCCCTCCACAGGGAGCAGGACAGAGCTCCTCAGGTAAATCTGGTTCCAAGAAATGCCACCAGACCACTGCAGGATCCCATCGCCTAACTGGAACCTCCCCCAGCACACAGCCCCTGCTGCACACCTGGAGGCCAGGACACCCTCCTCAGGCTGGGGCCACAGCCTCCTAGCTTGGAGCACCAGGAAAGGTGGGCTGGGCCAAAGCAGGAGCACCCAGCAGGGAAAAGCTCCATGGCCCCTTCCCTGCTGTTGTATAGAAACAACAGGTGACCCCACTGTACTGACCATCCGATGAGGCCTTTGAACCTCAGGCCAGGGAGAGGCAGGTCTGCAGGTGACAACTGTGAACAGTCCCAGCTGGGGACAACCAGAAATCCCCAAGGCCACGAGTGGCTGAAAGGGATGGAGCCCCCAGGCAGAGCCGACACCCCACCGCAGGTGAGACTCGGCCCTTGGCTGAGTGTGTGCAGCCGCATCCTCAGGTGTCACTCAACACTCCTCTGAAGCTCTGTCCGGGTCTTGGCCTGATGAGCTTCCAGGGTGGCCAGGACGGGAGCTGTGGAATTTCTAGGGCCCGGATGCCCTGGTCCAGGGGTGTGGAGGGCTCTGTGCCATGGGGGAGGTGAGATGTCCCCCCAGCTCCCTGCCCATGGAGTTCTGCATTGGGGGAAGGATGGGGGCCACGCAAGGACCCCTCACAGCAGCACACCCAGGTGACAGCCAGGTGCAGCCGCCCCGAGTCCCAGCAAGCACCTGGGAGACAGCGGGCCTTGACACTGCCCACCCGCTCTGGCCCAGCAGGGGTGGAGGGGGCCAGGGCCGCACCCCAGGGGTCTCCGGAGCAGAAGGAACAACTTGATGTTGGCAGGGTGGGTCCTGGCGGGCCAGGCGGGGTGCCCAGCACTGTTCCTCGGCGCTAGGCCTCCACATCGGGACCTGGCTCCTGGAAGAGCGACTGCTTCCTCAGGCTGAGCCGGGCACACTTGGGACAAGTGGTGGAGTTGTCGTAGTAGCAGTCCCTGGGGGCAGAAAGAGGTCGGGGCTCTCTGCACAGGAAACTCCAGCACTGAATCCCCCCAAGCGTCCTAGGTCAGCTCCTATCATCCCCTCTACAGCCGTTACCAAAGGGCAGAGTCGGAGTCTGCAGCCAGATGCAAGTGACTGTATGGCCGTGTGCAGAGCGCTTACGGGCGTGCAGATGTGGACCTCCAGGGGTCCTCACGCTACCTGCTATCCCCCAACCACACAGGTCCCAGTTCACACAGCTGAGGGGCTGAGCCAGGTGGCCACGCCAGACTCGACTCAGAGCCCTTCCTCACGATTCCCACCTGTTCCTATCCCTCCCCTGGCTCCCAAACTGTACATCACGGCACCCTGGGGCACCGCAGCCTAGTTCAAACTTTTAAACAGAACGTAGCAGTAATTAACACCTGTCAGACACTGAGCAAACGACTAGCTCGAGCGAGTTCAGTCTCAACCTTAGTTTCTGCCACAGTCCCATCTGTGTGACACCATCGCTCTGTAGAGCTGGGATTTCAGCAGTTGCTATGAAAAATAGCAAATTCCAGGCAAAAATCAGGGGACAGAAACTGGGGGGGAGTGTCCATCTGATTCCAGGTCTGGAAGATGTGTGAGGCCCAAAAGGTGTACCCATATCATTAGTAAGTAATCATACTTACTGAAGAATGAAATTAAAATATTTTTCTTCTAATTTGTGTACATTATTTTTCCAAGAGCCACTCAATCTTTAGGATACAAATACTTATAAAGTTGTTTGAACATAAGTATTTTTCCCTGTTGGTCTAGCGGCTAGGAAAAAAAACGCGAGAGCATAAGTACTTAATAAATCAAAGTGTTAGGAATTTCTTCTGGCTTAGAAACACTTTGAAAAAATTACTGAGACATTAAAGGGTGGCAGGAACTATAGGTTTGGGAATCTCTAGCCTATACTAACCCTGAAAGAGTGACTTCAATCCTAGTAGAGAAAGGGAGCAGCTGGGATGCTGTGAACACATCAGAGACCAAGCTGGAGTTTCAGGGGCTGGTCCGGGAGGGACCTGGGAAGGGGCAGCCCCCTCATCCCCCAGGTGCCGCTCCTAAGGGAACTTCTCATTTAGTCACAGACATCAGGGTCTGACTTCATATCTCAGGGTCAGCAAAGACCCAAAGAGTCTTTATGTCTCCCCTTTCTCGGGGGAGCAGTGCCAGCTCCCACGGCATCATCCTACCGGAGGCCAAGGGGCAGCTCCCCAGAGGACAGCGCAGAGCCCCAGCCCCCGAGTGCGGGGCCCAGGCCACACCCACCTGTGGAAGACCGCGGAGCAGTCGGCGCACACAGACGTGTGGCTGTCGAACGGGAACAGCACGTCGCCCTCTCTGCAGAGCTCACACACGAAGCCCTTGGCCTGGCACCGCTGGGGGGAACAGTGTGGGGTTGGGGCACGGGCACGTCAGTGCCAGCTCCTCTGGGCACTCTGAGGCCAGGGACACACTGGGCTGGGCTGCTTCTCCTGCCAATCCCCCCTCAGGGCTGGGGTTGGAGAAGAGCGGCCCTCGGGCAGAGGCCCACCTCGCAGTCCAGCTTGATGTGCTTGGCGAAGAGCGTGTGGATCTCGGTGAGCGAGCAGCCCAGGCGGCCGGCATGCACGTCCAGGAGGTCCTGGACAGAGTACATCTCGTCGTTCTCCACAAAATGCTGCCGATCCTGGAGCTGCCAAGTCCCAGCAGCCGTGACGCCCTGCACCGGGGAGGGCCCCTCCCACCGCCCACCCATGGTCGCTGCAGTGGTCAGGGCCCAGGTGCTCACAGAGAAACGAGCTACACAAGGGTCTGGGCCCCAGGAGTAGAATCCAGGAGCCCCAGGAAGCCGACAGGGGAAGATGGACCCGGGCCACGTTTCCTGACCTGTGTAGCCCCCCGCCCTCCACTCCCTAAGGCAGCCCCTCCCAGCCACACCGCATCCCCGCACTCCCCACGCTTCCCACATTCCCCACCCTTCCTTCTCTATCTTGTCACAGAGTTCACCACCCCAGCACACAACGTATTTTTCTTGTCTTCCCTACTTGAAAGGCACTAAGGGCAAGCATTCCTGTCTGTTTCGTTCACTGTTCCAGAATCTAGAACATCTGTATCTGTTGAGCACATAATTAGATGAACCTTGAAAACTGTGTTTTGTGGTCAACCTGCCTGACGAGGGCTGGGCTGGACCCACCCCATGGAGATTCACATAAGGGCTGCAGGGTTTGCCAAACGGAACTGACTGGAGAACTCTTTTGTAGGCAGAACACCTGTTTGCTTTGTTCCTTGGGACCGTGGTGAGGCGACCCTCTGCTAAAGGCACTCCACGCACAAGCTGTCCGGAAAAAACCTGAGCCTGAGGTGCCTCACCACCCTGGCTGCGCTTCCCATCGGGGGCCAGTCCTGCTGGCAGTCTGACCTGCAGCAGCAGACGAGCCTCCATGGCCTCCCTGCAGGTGATGAAGTACGGCTTCATGAGCAGGATGTCCTGGCGCAGCTTCTGCAAACAAGGCGGGAGCAGGCAGGCCTCCTCAGCCAGGACACAGGGCGGCCCCTGTGTGGGCCGCACACCCGGGGCCACGGCAGGGCCAGGAGGGGTTGGTTCCCCACGAAGGGCCGAGATCTGAGTGCTTCACCAAAACCCAAAATCACAGCTCCCAGGCTGGGCAGGACCGTGAGGCTCACTTACCGTGGTCCAGAAAACCCTCCCTTCCCTCTGCCCTCACCCGGCCCCACAGGCACACAACTGTCTAGGAACCAGCAGCCTCAGGACCAAGCCAAACTTCCGGAGAAATCCCAGCTGCCTCCCCAGCCCTGGCCTTGGCAACTCAACGTGCTGCCACAGTCTCCTCCCGGGTAAAATGGGACCTGCCTCCTTTCACTACCTGGCGTGAGACGCCATCATGTCCTGCCAGGACTGCAGCTCCCGTCTGCCCTCGGCTCCCGCCCTACCTCCTCCCTCACCGCTGGCTAAGAGAGTGGCCACCAGCCCTGCACAGCCACAGAGCACCTCAAAGTGGCCGCTGTGCAGTGAGACTTAGCAGAGGCTACATGCTGGAGCCAAAGACGTGGCACAAAAAAGAAAAAGAAAGCAAATATCTCAAAAATGTACATTGATTTCATGTTGAAATAACATTTTGGATATATTGGGCTAAATAAAATATACTATTAACATTAACTTCACTTGTTTCTTTTTACTTTTTTTTGAGACAGAGTTTCGCTCTTGTTGCCCAGGCTGGAGTGCAGTGACGCGATCTCGGCTCACAGCAACCTCAGCCTCCCGGGTTCAAGTGATTCTCCTGCCTCAGCCTCCCGAGTAGCTGGGATACAGGCACACACCACCATGCCCGGCCAATTTTGTATTTTTAGTAGAGATGGGGTTTCACCATGTTGGTCAGGCTGGTCTCAAACTCCCGACCTCAAGTGATCCACCCACCTCAGCCTCCCAAGTGCTGGGATTACAGGTGTGAGCACCGTGCCCAGCTCTTTTTACTTTTTTAACGTGGCTATTACAAAATTTAATATTGTGTTCACACCTGGCATCAGATCACTACGGGACACCGCTCCAGCACCTTCAACCAAAAGGGCAGCCGCGGCGCCTGGCTCACCCT
The DNA here is from genome assembly GCF_000001405.40 of Homo sapiens. NCBI lineage: Eukaryota > Metazoa > Chordata > Mammalia > Primates > Hominidae > Homo > Homo sapiens. The sequence continues at coordinate 89,962,251 of NC_000016.10, read as the reverse complement.
AAGCAGGTGGCCTCCCTCCTCTGCTCAGAACCTCCCGTGGCCCAGAGGAGAAGAGGGTACTGGCCCGGCCCTAGGGCCCACCTGACACAGCGCCCCCGCCCCCCACTTCCATGGCCCCAGCCTCACGCGAATCTCCACCAGCTCCTCCACGTAGCTGAACAGCAGAGGGTTGATCTCCCGGAGCCTGAGTACGGGCCGAGACACCATCAGCGCCAGGTAGCGCATGCTGCAGCGAGAAACCTGCCAGGCACGGCCGGGTGACACCTCTCACACCCACCCAGGGCCCGTGCAGCGGGCAACACCCAACCAGGGGTACACCGGCTCCACACCCCAACCCCCTTCCTGCTCTCCCTCCCCAGGGGGATGCCCCCACCTTCCAACCCCCACCTTTCGAGGCTCAAAGTCCCAGTTGTGTACAACGCGTGCAGGGATCACAGCCAGGTCGTTCCAGTGGCAGTGGCTGCAGTAGTACTGGCCGGTGTAGTCGCACTGCCTGGCCTCACTGGGCACACCCCCTGCAGGGTCAGAGGGGCCCTGAGTGTCCCTGCCTCACAAAAACCCCACACAGCTTTCCAGCCTCATGGTCTGTCCTCCCATGGACCACAGCCCTCGGGGAGACATGGGAACATGTCCTATCCTCAGCCGGAAGACCTCAGGTGGTCCCAGCGTCTCACTGACCTGTTCTCTTATCAGTAAAATGGGATATAAACAGGGCCTCACTGTAGGACCGAGGCAGGGACTTCATGAATTAACACCAGCAACTCTCTAGAAAGAAGAGCTGACGCGCACATGTGCACAACTGGGCGACAACCGTGTACTCTCCCTAGACCCCGTCTATGAGGCTTTCTGTGCTGTGTGACTTCTCCCTAGTCCTCATCTATGAGGCTTTCACACGGGGAGGCGGAGGCCAGGTCCCAGCCCTCCAGGTGCTCCTCAGTGACCTGGGTGAGTCACGGAACGGCTGGAACCTCAGTCTGCTTCAGTGAGAAATGAAACAATGGCAGCAACAGACCCTTGTCACTTCCTAAAGATATCAAGCAGGCACTGCCCCAGGGCCTCACTCAACTGTCTGACTTACGTGCCCTTACACACCTGTGCACCCGGCTCCCCGCCAGGAACAGCTCCCTCACCCTCTTCTCTCCCTGCCACCACTCACGCAGAGAGATGGGCGCCCGGCACTCGGCACAGCGGTAATCCTGGCTGTCCAGCCCTGTCTCAGGGCAGATGTTCAGTTCGTATTCAGCTTGGTGGCTGACTTTGGAGCTCACACAGGGCTTGGAGATGAGGTTCAAGCACTTACTGTGACAGCGGTAATAACACCCTAGGGTGGAGGGACACACACTTCTCAAAAGCGGGAAGGGTGCGCCTGCAGCCCAGGCCACCCTCAGCTGGCTTGCCCCCTCCCCGTGGGTTCCACTCTGAGGCCCAGATCAATCTAAGACCTCCTGGCACCAAGGGAGGCCTTAGAACCTCAAAGATCCTTTTCTCCCTGGCCCCTGAGCCTTGCCCCAAAGGTGGCCCAGACCTTGTCCTCCAACTTGACTCACATGTTTGGGGCCAACCTGCCACTCCCACCACCAGACCCAACCTGTCCAAATGTAACAAACGAAACTCCCACCCCCGACCCCAAGCCCCTCAGCTTCCCCATCTCGGTTTCAGCAGCTCCACCCTTTCAATATCATGAGTTATCCTGAAGGGTTTCTCTCTCTCTGTTTTTGTTGTTGTTGTTTTTGTACTTTTTAAGAGACAGGGTCTTGCTCTTTTGCCCAGGCTGGAGTGTAGTCGTGCAATCAGAGCTCACTGCAGCCTCAGACTCCAGGGCCCAAGCGATCCTCCCATCTTTGCACTGGAAAACCCTAGGATTACAGGCGTGAGCCACCGCACTCAGTCAGACTATTTTCTAATCTGTTACATTCCGTTTCCAAACCTTCAGCTGGACTGCCCTTAGCGACTCCTCACTCCCACCACCTACCCCAGCCCAATCAGAGTCATCCCCCTCTTCTCAGTCACCTCCCTCTCAGTCCAAGCTCAGTCAGCAGCCACAGTAACCTATTAAAGCTCAAGTATGTCCAGCACCCACTTGTGGCCCCCACTGCACTTAAAGAAAAGCCCCAGCCACCTCTGAGCCCACCTCCCCCAGAAACAGAACTGCAGCCCCACCTGGCTCTCTGCTCCTCCTTATATCAACCACAGGGCTGCCCCCACCGGAACATTCCTCCAGACACAGAGCTGCAGCCACACCTGGCTCTCTGCTCCTCCTTATATCAACCACAGCACTGTCCCCACCGGAACAGTCCTCCAGACACAAAGCTGCAGCCACACCTGGCTCTCTGCTCCTCCTTAAGGCACTGGACACATCAACCACAGGGCTGCCCCCACCAGAACATTCCTCCAGACATATTGTCTTGGCTTGCTCCCTGACCTTCAAGTTTTTGCTTAAAAGTCACGTGACGCCGGCTGGGCGTGGTGGCTCACGCCTGTAATCCCAGCACTTTGGGAGGCCGAGGTGGACGGAACACAAGATCAGGAGATAGAGACCATCCTGGCTAACACGGTGAAACCCCGTCTCTACTAAAAAAAATACAAAAAATTAGCCGGGCGTGGTGGCGGGCACCTGTAGTCCCAGCTACTCAGGAGGCTGAGGCAGGAGAACGGTGTGAACCCGGGAGGTGGAGCTTGCAGTGAGCTGAGATTGCACCACTGCACTCCAGCCTGGGCGATTGAGTGAGACTCCGTCTCAAAAACAAAACCAAACCAAAAACAAACAAAAACAAAAAACAAAGTCACGTGATGCCTTTACATTCTGCCCTAAAGTCACATTCACTCCACCCTAACACGTGCTAGGTCCTTTCCCTTTTTCTTCATTGTACAAACTAGACACACCATGTAATTCACTAGTTTAATTTCTCATCCAGAACAGCCCTGTCCAATGTAGACAGTACAACGAGGAAATGCATATTTAGTTAATTTAACTTTGACTGGCCATGTTTGGCTAGTGGCCACCACACTGGATAGCTCACATCTGAATGTGAGCCCAGCGGAGGCAGGAACTTTGGTCTCTCTCATTCCTCACTCCTCGTCTGGGTCTCGGCCCACCTGTGCAGGTGTACCAGGTCTGAATGAGCCCCCAGATGATGGTGTTACACTTGTCACAGGTCTGCTTGACGCTCTTGCTCTTCTCCTTGTAAAAGCGGTGCTCAAGGAGCACTCGGATGTTTGGCTCATCCTCATTGGGGTCCTGCAGAGGGTGAGTCAGGGAGGGGGTCACAGGTGAGCTGGGCTGAAGTTCCTTTCCCTTCGCACAAGCCCCTCAACTTATTTCTTCCAGGCACCATTTAGGGCAGAGATTGTGAGTTTCAGCACAATGCCATGTCCCTTTTCTCCCTTTCACAGTAAACAATGATCAGCTGGACAAGGACCGCCAAGGTCACATGCTACCTTTCCCAGCATCCCTTGCGACCTTTCCCAGCATCCCTTGCAGCGAGGGGCTGTGTGGGATTGCACCGGGCCATGGGCATGTGAGCGGGAGCGACCCGGCCTCTCTGCCCCTCCTGCTTTTTGCCGGTTAGGTGCAGGGCAATGGAAAAGGAGGCCCTCCCCAACACCATTAGCTGTCATAGAGGCCCCAGACCACCTATGGGATTTTTACGTGAGGAAACGAACACATCTTCTCTAAGCCACTATGTTTTGGGGTTTTTTTTTCTTACCACCAATTTACCTGTTTCCTCATGAATATTCTACTTTCTACATTCCCAGGGATACCTGAATCAGCACAGGGGACACAGGGCAGCCAGGCCAAAGCACACACAGACCCAAGGACTGCATCAGGAACATCTGTGGCCTGGGACCCACCACCTTCTTTTGTTGTCACCTTCAAGACACCACCCGTCCTTGTCCATGTGGCTCACTCAGGGAGGAACTTACTTAGCCCACCCGCTTGCTTCAGTGGGTGGGCACACAGCCCAGAACTAGCCAATCGGCCACCGTCATTGGGTCAGTGGGCGGGCACACAGCCCAGAACTAGCCAATCGGCCACTGTCATTGGGTCAGGGGTGGGCACATGACCCAGAACTGGCCAGTCAGCCACTGTCATCCGGTCAGGACTGGCCAATGAAAGTCAGGCCTGAGGTTCCTGCTATAACCACTGTGAAAAGGCAGCTGTCATCTGCACAGGGAGGCTCAGCTCCTGGAAAGCAAGATGTGGTTGCCGGGACCGTCTCTGCCACCGCACAGGGAAGGCCTGCCTGAGGCTGGATCAGACACAGGAAGTCGAGTTGGAAGAGAGCAAGATTCCTGACACTGGAGGATCTTCCAGTCACCAAGCAAATACATTTTTCTTTTTGGCTTAAGCTACTCAGGGTTGAGTTTCTGTTCCTTGCAACAGGAGGGTCTAGGCTAATAGGGAAACCTCCCGCAGTGGGGTGAGGGCCCGTCTTCCACCCTGCCTGTCTCGTGCCCTTCTACCTCAGCCCCTGAGGCCGAGAGAGAGACCACCGCCTGAGAGAGAGCCAGAGGCTGGCAGGGTCCTCCTAGTTCCACAGTTCTGGCCTCGGCCCCAGGCTGCCCCACGGCGGGGCGGCCCCACACCCACCTTCAGCTCCTGGAGCTTCAGCCGGAGGTGGATGAGTCGCACCACGGCATCCTTCTGCTTCTCCGACTGCTCGGGCAGCTCCAGAATCACCTGCTTGCACTCCTCGATCGCCTGCCGCAGCTGCTGGACGTCAGAGGCCAGGAACAGACCCTGCCCAGGTTGGGGGCGGGGGCAGTCAAAGGCCCATCCTGCAGGAGCTCCCTGTTAAGGCCCATCCGCCGAGACAGGCCCAGAGCAGACCCCGACACCCCTCACCCAGAGAAGGAAACTCAACCCAGAGGGCACCGAGGACTTGCTCCAGGGCAGGAAAGGTGGCAGCACGGTCAAGGTCCACCCGGTGCTGCGTGCTCCTAGCCTGACCTGCCTGCCCACAGACCTCTGAAAACCTAATGTTTGAAAGTTGCTTTTCAAAAGACAACTTCCTTCTTTGAGAAATCCAGATGCTTTTTTGTTATGTCACTTCACTTCCTTCTGAAGAGCTTCCTCTTGGAGGAAAGCTAGGGAAAGGACATTTGCTGTCATGAAGGACAGTAAGTGGCCTCGAGCTTGACTGCCAAGCCCAAGCACATGCCGAGAGCCAGCCCCAGCACTTCTGGTTGCTTTCGCCACATAGCGACCAGGGGGCTCACGGCCCAGCAAGGCCCCAGACTCAGAACACTCTGGGGATCCCGGGGAAGACAGGATCAGGTCTCAGTGCTGGGGAGCCTGGACCCCGCCCTCAGGAGCCATCCTCCTCCTCCAGGCTGCTGGGCTCTGAGACCCAGGCAAAGGGGAGGTGGCACCCTCCCCTCCCCCTTGCAGCTCAGCCTGTGGCCCAAAGGAAGTGCTCAAAATGTTGTAATATACAAAACAAGCTGAGTGCAGTGGGTCACACCTATAATGCTAGCACTTTGGGAGGCCGAGGTGGGTGGATCACTTGAGCTCAGGAGCTTTAGACTAGCCTGGGCAACAGAGCGAGACCCCGTGTCTATAAAAAAAAAATGAAAAATTATCTGAGCATTGTAGTGCACACCTGTAGTCTCAGCTAATCAGGAAGCTGAGGTGGGAGGATCGCTTGGGCTCAGGAGGTCGAGGCTGCAGTGAGCCATGATTGCGCCACTGCACTTCACAGCGGGGGCAACAGAGCGAGACCTTATCTCAAGAAAAAGGAAAAAAAATAAGATACGAAACAAATATATGAAGTCTCTCCCTCTTTTTTTTTTTTTCAGACGGAGTCTCTGTCGCCCAGGCTGGAGTGCAGCGGCACGATCTCGGCTCACTGCAACCTCCACCTCCCGGGTTCAAGCGATTCTCCTGCCTCAGCCTCCTGAGTAGCTGGGACTACAGGGGCGCTCCACTATGCCCGGCTAAATTTTTTTTTGTATTTTTAGTAGAGACGGGGTTTCAGCATGTTGGTCAGGCTGGTCTCGAACTCCTGACCTCACGATCCGCCCGCCTCGGCCTCCCAAAGTGCTGGATTACAGGCGTGAGCCACCACGTCTGGCCCAAATCCTTTCAAAGTTACATTTGAATGTTGCCGTAATGTTTCCCTCAAAAGTTGGAGATGGTTTGCATAAAAATAAAAGGTTTTCAAACTTTTTTTTTCTTTGAGACGGAGTCTCACTCTGTCACCCAGGCTGGAGTGCAGTGGCGCAGTCTCGGCTCACTGCAAACTCTGCCTCCTAGGTTCACATCATTCTCCTACCTCAGCCTCCCGAGTAGCTGGGACTACAGGCATGTGCCACCACGCCCGGCTGATTTTTTGCATTTTTTAGTAGAGACGGGGTTTCACCGTGTTAGCCAGGATGGTCTCCATCTCCTGACCTCGTGATCCGCCCGCCTCAGCCTCCCAAAGTGCTGGGATTACAGGCGTGAGCCACCGCGCCCGGCCTCAAACTTTTTTAAAAAAATCATTATATCCTCCCCCTTTTCTTCTTCAACACAAGGCTTCCATGGAACAAAACACGGAACAAACAAGAGTGGCCCTGTAATACCGACTGGTCAGTACGAGGCAGACAAGGGGCTTCCCCTTGCCTCCCACACCCTGACTCTCGGCAAGTGTACAGGACCTCAAGGACCCCAGAGGGAATCTATTCTCTGCACATTTGCTTCATGAAGACATGGAGCTCAGGGGACAGAAGCAGCCCCAGGTTCATGAACCCCAATCCCAGGCTCTCTCCACCTGCCTTCACTCAGGCTCTGAGGGTGGGGGTCTGTGGTGTCATGCAGGCCTCAGATTCGAAGCCAGGAGCCCTGGCTGAGGTGGGGGCTGCTGAGCCTGACAATGGAGTGAGACTGTACCCCAGCTCACAGGACACTGCCCTGCCACCTGGGAGGGAGTGACAAGGAAACCCTGGCCCTTCCTGCCTTGGGGGTTCCCTCAGTCCCTCTCCCCTCCGAGATCTAAAACCTTACCACAGGGCGGGAGAAGTGGTCCTCAGACAGGCCGAGATCCATCACGCGTTCAGGGCAGCGGAATTCCGGCTCCCCAGGGGGCAGCTCAGGCAGGGCCTCTGGAGGAAGACGGGGACAGGTGTGGAGCGTCAGCTGCTACCTCCTGCCTCCCATCCCCTAGGGAGGAGCTGAGATAGCCAGGAGTGGGAAAGGGATTCAGGAAGCCGCACAGAAAGGAGGCACCGTGAGAGCTGGGCACCACTCAGATCTGCACACCGTCCAGTCTGCATTCACAGAGGAGCCCACAGCCTTGTGTAGACAGGAAAGAGCCACTCAAAATGAGGAGGTGGAATGACACTCGGTGCCAAAAGTCCTCAAGACAGCATTATAGAGACATCCCATTTCTAAGGTGGACACCTCATGCGTGACCACGGGGGCGAGAGAAAAACCACTGCATGGCTACACAGCAAAATCCACGAACCCCAGTGTCGACTCCAGGCCGTCTCTGCAGCTGCCCCGCTCCAAGCACTCCCTGATGACCTCATCTGCAGTTTCTAAAGCTCATGCCACCCTGACGCCCAGAGCACGTTCCCTCGGCTAACCTCTCCCTTACCAGGTCTCAGCGCTGACCGCACTCAGCAAGTGTTCCCTGAGCACCTACTATGTGCTGGGCCCTAGGATGCAGCAGTGATGGGTCAGGCACAAATCTTGCCCTCAGGAATGTGAATTCTAGTGGGGACACAGAAACAAACCACACGACCACAGAAGAGATGGGAAAAAGAACACAGCCAGCAGGTGCCGGCTCCGTGGGAAAGCCAGGGCTGCGCAGGACGCGGCAGGAAGAAAGGAGGGGTCCACGTAAGCAGTCAGAGACCTGCCCAGCTCCCACCCTGACTCCCACCAGCACCCACCTTCAGGAGTGACGTCCGGGACCTCCTCCCCAGGGCCCTGCTCATGCTGTCTCGGCCCAGACTGCTTGTTGAAGGGGTTGAGGTGGGCCTGCCGGAAACGGGCCAGCTTCTCATCATATTCCATAGCATCCCACCTGAGGGCCAGGCAGGGCCAGGATGAGTCCCCAGGTACCAGGCTCACCACGGACCACCCCCTTTCCCCAACCACACTGGGGTGTCTGGGGTGAGGCTGGCCTCTTTCACTTCCCTAAAGTGGGTAGTCCTCACACCACAGCCTTGATCTTCAGCCTTTTCCTGAAACACCTCAGCTGCCTCCTGCCCAGGCCCCCACTGGTGGCGTCCCCTTGGAAAGAGCTCACGGTGACAATGAGGGTCCCACGAGGGCACGTGGCCCATCTGAGGGGCCCAAGCTCCCTGCCTCCCAGCACAGGGTCCTCTTGCCCAATGTTGCAGAGCTCCAGCCCTAGAGCTACCTATGGGATCCTCTCTGGGCCTCAGCCCCAGATACTCACTCAGCCCCGCTCTAGCTTGCTATCCACCTGCTATGTGAGACACACCTCTCAGAAATGGGTTCCTCCTTCCTGGGCCCCAAGCAAAGGTGCTTTCTTGTCAGAGCACCCTGAAACCACAGCCCCTGTCTCAGGACTTAGGGTTGGACACTTGGGGACAGTTCCAGGGCCCATTCCTGCTCTGCCACAGGTGAGTGAGCAGGGCCCACCTTCCCCATGCCCAGGAGCAGGGGATCTTGGGAGGATTCCCTGCCAGCACACAGAGAAGCCCCCTACAAATGCATCCAGGCTCTCTGGCCTGGGTTCTGATCCTGTGATGAGCAACACGACCTGAACCAGGCCCACGGCTCTGTGCCTCAGGAACCCAGGAAACAGGCCGGAAGGGCCTAGTTCTCCACGTGGCAGAAGCTCAGGATCAAGAATTGCTCTTTCCCCACCCGGAGGCTCAGAACACTGCAGAACACACAGGGCTGATGGCTCCTGGCAGGGAGGAAGGGACTTTGGTTGGGGTGGGAGTAGAGGCAGTTGGCATCCAGCCCTCCCACTTAACTTCCTGGGCCACATTCCTTAGCCTCTCTGCCTCCATTTCCCCATCCGTAATGGGCCATTGTGAGGGTGAAATGAGTTAACAGAGACTGAGCACAAAGTAAGCTCGCTGTAAGGTCTGTTGATGTTATAGAAAGTCGGAGATGTCTTTTTAAAGTTGTTCAGTAACTGCAACAGTGTTAGTTATGCTTTCACTACACCTGCTACAGTGTTAGTTATGCTTTCACTACACCTGCTACAGTCTGAAATAATTCACAATTATAATAATCAATCCTATGATTTATCCTCTGTCTCTTCTCCCAAAAGAAAGAGAGCTGAGCCCAGAGGGGACGGCCCTGCTCAGGGTCACACTGTGGCCTGGAAGAACTGGGATTTGAACTAATTGCCTCACTGGCAGTGGGATAAGGAGGCCACCCCAACCCCACATGGCTGCCCTGCAACTGGGCAAGACTCCACACCACCTATGGGGCCTGTCCTGCCTGTTGTGCCTGTGGGGCAGGAGTGTGGGTTGGGCACCTGCACGCCAGCCTGAAAGGACAAAGCACCCATGGACAGGCTGCCCGTGGACCCCAACAGGGAGGCACGGGGAAGACACAGGGAACGTGAGTGGGCCCCAGTCCCACCTCCTTCTCTTATTACCTGATGACTGTGGGTGGGTCACAGAGTCAGAGGCGGCCACCCGATGCCAGCACCTCCCCAGTCTCCCAGGGAGCACCCAGGACACAGGAGAAATCAGGCCATCCCAACATCACTCCTCCTTCTTCCTGAATGAGGAGCCTCATTTTTGTTTGTCACATAATTTCCCAGCCTCCCCAGCAGCTAGACCTGGTAAAGTGACTGTTCTGACCCCCTCGGCTTGAGAAGATCAGGCAGATCTGAGCAGCTCTGGGCTCCTGGCTTCACTGACATACCCAAGTGCTTAGCCCTTCCATCCACCCCAGGAAGTACGTGTTCTCCCTGATTTATAGGCAAGAAAAGGGAGAACCAGAGACTAAATCAGGGCTATCTGAAAACAACAGTAATGGGCCGGGCGTGGTAGCTCACACCTATAATCCCAGCACTCTGGAAGGCCAAGGCAGGAGGACGGCATCCGGCCAGGCCCAATGCAATGAGGCCCTATCTCTATTAAATTTTATACAAATATGGGCTGGGCGCCGTGGCTCACGCCTGTAATCCCAGCACATTGGGAGGCCGAGGCGGGCGGATCACCAGGTCAGGAGATCGAAACCATCCTGGCTAACACATTGAAACCCTGTCTCTACTAGAAATACAAAAAATTAGCCAGGTGTGGTGGCAGGCGCCTGTAGCCCCAGCTACTCGGGAGGCTGAGGCAGCAGAATAGCGTGAACCCAGGAAGCGGAGCTTGCAGTGAGCCGAGAACGCACCACTGCACTCCAGCCTGGGCAACAGAGCGAGACTCCATATCAAAAAAAAAAAAAATCTTTTTTACATAAATATGTATGTGTGTGTATATACATATATATGTGTGTGTGTGTATACATACATATGAGAAAAAAGAAAAGACTTCTGAGAATTGTCCTTAAAGGTAGGGGCTGCCCCTCTTCAGCCATCCCTGCCTCCTGCTGCCTGGAATGCAGATGTAAAGGCTGCAGCTGGAATAGCCACACTGGGGAGAGTGACGTGATTGCAGGGGACTGCACCTGAGCCCTAAGCTGCTCACAGCCAGACTTCATTCAAGTGAGAGAAATACGATATTCCCACCAGTGTTATAGGGGAGGTTTTTGTCTCTTGCGGCCAAAGTAGATTCTGACTGAAAGACCCAGCTCGGTGGCTCACGCCTGTAATCCCAGCACTTTGGGAAGCAGAAGTGGGCTGATCACCTGAGGTGAGCAGTTCGAGACCAGCCTGGCCAACCTGGTGAAACCCCGTCTCTACCAAAAATACAAAAATTAGCCGGGCGTGGTGGTGGGCATCTGTAATCCCAGCTACTTGGGAGGCTGAGGCAGGAGAATCGCTTGAACCCAGGAGGTGAGCCGAGATTGAGCCACTGCACTCCAGCTTGGGTGACAGAGTGAGACTCCATCTCAGAAAAAAAAAAAAGAAAAGATTCTGACTGATGATCCCAATAGTTTCATGGTAACAAGACAGACACGTCCAGCTTGAATCCCAACTCTGCTAGCTCCTAGCTGTGTGACCTTGGGTAAGTGGATAAACGTTTCTCTGCCTCCATTCTCCCATGTCTCAAATGGGGATTACAATAGTACCATACAGGGTTATTGTCAAGATTAAAGTAGTTAATACTAAGTTCAGAGAACACTGGCCGGCACATAGTAAGCACCCAATAAATATTGATTATAATTTATCATTATTACTTTTTTTTGAGACAGGGTGTTGCTCTGTCACCCGAGCTGGAGTGCAGTGGTGCGATCACAGCTCACTGCAGCCTCAAACTCCTGGGCTGAAGGGGTCCTCCCATATTAGCCTCCCAAGTAGCTGGAACTCCAGTGTGTGCCACCACACTCAGCTAATTTTTTTTAACTTTTTGTAGAGACGGAGTCTCACTCTGATGCCCAGGCTGGTCTCAAACTCCTGGCTTCAAGCAACCCTCCTGCCTCTGCCTCCCAAATTGCTGGGATTATAGGTGTGAGCTACCATGCCTGGCCTATTACTGTTATTTTTAAGAATCATGGCCGGTGTGTGGTGGCTCACTTTGGGAGGCTGAGGCGGGTGGATCATTTGAGGTCAAGAGTTCAAACCAGCCTGACCAACATGGTGAAACCCCGTCTGTACTAAAAACACAAACAAATTAGCTGGGCATGGTGGTGCATGCCTGTAATCCAGCTACTTGGGAAGCTGAGGCAGGAGAATCACTTGAACACGGGAGGTGGAGGTTGCAGTGAGCCGAGATTGTGCCACTGCACTCCAGCCTAGGCAACACAGCAAAACTCCATCTCAAAAAAAAAAAAAAAATCAGCCCTGATTTAGACTCTGGTTCTCCATTGTCTTGCCTATAAATCAGGGGGAACACCTACTTTCTGGGGTGGATGGAAGGGCTAAGGACTTGTTTATGATGTCAGTGAAGCCAGGAGCCCAGAGCTGCTCAGAACAGACTGGCACTGTCATCACATATGGTGACCAGCCCAGGAAAAAGGTGCAGGAGCTACGCCTGGGGAAGCCGCTGGAAACCTCCTGGTGTTTAAAACATGGCCAGAGGAGCGTCAAGGAAGGCACGCTGGCAGGGACACCTCCGTTCTGCCCAGCAGCTGTACTCTAGGCTACCAGCTCTCCTCCGGGCTGTGAAAAAAGGCATCTTTTATTTGCCTATTTACTGACAGTCAGTGCCAGCCCCAGGCCTGGCGCACGGGCAGGGGATGAATGAGGGGAGGCCGCTGGCCTCGCAGCCTTAGCTTCTGCTCACACAGACCTGGGGATGCCGGCCACAGTGGCCGACTCTGAGCAGAACGCCAGCCTGCCCCTCTCACCAGGCTCACCCCACCAGTTCTGCACCCAGATGTGGGACTTGGCCTCAGAAAGGAGCGGGCAGGAAGTGGAAGAGTGAAAGCAAGAGGTCTGGCCACCCCCTGCCCCTCCTCTAGAGCCCACTGCTCTCATCGGGGAGGACCCCACAACTTAGCAATGAAAGGAAGCCGAAGAAAGCCGGCGGGGTTCCGGGGCACGGAGGGACCCTGGGCCGAAGCTCAGGACACGCGGGATGCACGGACCTGGCCTCCCGCGTCCTGCCCGCGGCGTGACCACCAGGAAGCGGTGTCATCACTGCAGCTGCCACCCCGAGAACCTGAGAAGTCACCCCGGTGTGCGGAGTCAACAGCGTCCTGTCTGCCCATACCTGCATCGCCTGCCAGGGCCCAGGGGCTCGCAGGGACAGGATGGCCATTCCTCTAGGGCTGCTGGCCACGGAAGCCTGGCCGTGGGTTCGGCACCTGCTGCAGGGAGAAGCCACCCCAGCACTGTGCCTCCCCACCCACCACACCCGCGGGAGCTCGCCCGGTCTCCCGGGCTCCTCGGGGGCAGGTCTCTCCCACCCACCCGTTCCACCGAGGGGGAAACTGAGGCTCGGAGCAGCCCAGGGCGGGGGCACGGCCACGCGGGTCCCCTGAGCCGCCCGGGTGCTCCGCACGCAGCTGGTGTGGACGCCGGAGCAGCGGCGGCGTCCCCGGGGTGGGGCGGCCGAGGTCTCGAGGCCCCTGCGCCGGGCGGGCCGCCCTCCCAGCCCCGTCCCCGCCGGCCCCGACCTCGCCGGCCCCGTCCCCGCCGGCCCCGTCCCCGCCGGCCCCGTCCCTCCCAGCCCCGACCCCGCCGACCCCGTCCCCGCCGGCCCCGTCCCTCCCAGCCCCGACCCCGCCGGCCCCGTCCCCGCCGGCCCCGTCCCCGCCGGCCCCGTCCCTCCCAGCCCCGTCCCCGCCGACCCCGTCCCCGCCGGCCCCGTCCCTCCCAGCCCCGACCCCGCCGACCCCGTCCCCGCCGGCCCCGTCCCCGCCGGCCCCGTCCCCGCCGGCCCCGACCCCGCCGGCCCCGCGCCGCTCACCTGACCGCCGCCTCGCATCTGTCTCCCGGCTGCGCTGGATCCGCCCGGCCGCCCCGCTACGCTGGATCCAGCCCCGCGCTCGCTGCTGCCGCCTCCGGCGCGGAGGTTCATGGCACGCGGGTCGCGAGTCTGCGAGCCCCGGAGTCCGCCCGGCTGTTCCGCGGGCCTGACCTGGGGCTGCGCGTCCTGGGTTTCCTCTCATCGCAGAAGGCCTGTGGCTGAAACCCAAACCCCAACACGTTTAAAAAAAATGGGCGGGCGCGGCGGCTCACGCCTGTCATCCCAGCGCTTCGGGAGGCCGAGGCGGGCGGATCGCGAGGTCAGGAGATCGAGACCATCCTGGCTAACACGGTGAAACCCCGTCTCCACTAAAAATACGAAAAATTAGCCGGGCGCGGTGGCGGGCGCCTGTAGTCCCAGCTACGCGGGAGGCTGAGGCGGGAGAACGGCGTGAACCCGGGAGGCGGAGCTCGGAGTGAGCCGAGATCGCACCACTGCACTCCAGCCTGGGCGACAGAGCGAGACTCCGTCTCAAAAAAACAAAAAGGGTGGCTTTTAACACTTTTTTTAACCTCAGTGGTTGAGGAGGAAAAAGGAACAGAGAACCACCGTGTGCAGGTGCCGCCAGCCACCTGCAGGGCCCCGCGGGGGCTTCACGGCTGCAGAGGGAGGGACCCGGCGCGGCTCTACCCTCTTTACACAGGAGGACGCGCCACACTGCGCTCAGGAGGCTGCTCCATGCAGGCGCCGGGCAGCGGGACTTCGGAGGCAGCTGGTGTCCGCGGGCCCTGGCGTTATTCCTGCTTTCCCGTTGTTTACACACAGAGCAGGCCTGCTGCTCCCCGCCCCCGTATCCCTACTCTTAGGCTTCTCGCGTGGAAGATTCAGCTGCCCCCGCTTGTGCCCGCAGGGAGGAGCTGAGGACAGATGAAGGCCAGCATATGCGCCTGGTGCGCTTGCCCTGAGCTCGCGGGCTCAGTTTACCCTCCCTGCAGAAAGGTGTGGTTTTGGCTGCCTCTGGGGCTTGGTCCACTTTGTTCAGTGGGCATGGTGATGACAGTGCCAGTAACTGGAGGCCTCCCAAGTGGGAGCCACACACCACCTTGCAGAGACCAGCTCGGTCGGGGAGACCCTAACCCGGCAGCGCTAGAGGAACTAAAGACACACACACACAGAGATAGAGAGGTGTGGAGTGGGAAATCAGGGGTCTCACAGCCTTCAGAGCTGACAGCCTCGAACAGAGACTTACCCACGTATTTATTAACGGCAAACCAGTGATAAGCATTGTTTCTGTAGATATTAGACTAACTAAAAGTATCCCTTATGGGAAACGAAGGGATGGGCCAAGATAAAGGGATGGGTCTGGCTAGTTACCTGCAGCAGGAGCATGTCCTTAAGGCACAGATCGCTCACGCTATTGTTTGTGGCTTAAGAATGCCTTTAAGCAGTTTTCCGCCCTGGGTGGGCCAGGTGTTCCTTGCCCTCATTCTGGTAAACCCACGACCTTCCAGCGTGGGCGTCATGGCCGTCATGAACATGTCACAGTGCTGCAGAGATTTTGTTTATGGCCAGTTTTGGGACCAGTTTATGGCCAGGTTTTGGGGGGCGTGTTGCCAACACCATCTCATTTAACCCTACGGAAGCCTGGGGGCCAGCAGTCACCTACAGGACAGGCAACTCCATCGGCCCCCCCAAGGCCACATCGCTCAGAAAGGGTGCAGTGAGATTCCACCCCAGCTTAGGGTGGCTTCGGACGCCGTGTCCCTCCATGCACTCAGACCTGGAGGGAGACTGCCCTGAGCCGCCGCTCTATCTGCTGCTTCAAGGTCCCCAGTCCTAGAGATTCCACGTCCACCTGGCCTCTCTCCCAGCTCCTCCTTCTGGAAAGGCCTTCCCCATCTCAGCTCCCACCTGGGCCCCACAGTACATCCTCAGCCTGGCAGTGAGAGGGACCCTGGGAAGAAGTCGGCCCCCACCTTCACCTCCTGGCTCCTCTCCCCAACAGGCCAGGCCCACCCCCACCCCCACCTTCACCTCCTGGCTCGTCTCCCCAACAAGCCAGGCCCACCCCCACCGGGGCCCCTGCCTGGCTGAGCCTCTGTGGAGCAGTCCTCCCCAGTAACCCCAACACCTCCTCCTTGCCTCTGCTCAGCAGTCCTCAGTGATCTCTGGGAGGCAGGGCCCTTCCCCTCACTCACTCACCTTCTCCCTAATCACTCGTCACTGTCTGATGTCTTCGGTTTTGCACATTTTTCTTTATTATTTCTGCCCCCCAGCCCCAACCACCAGAAGCAAAGAGCCGTAGGCAGCATTTTGTTGGCCTTCTTTGCTGCTTAATGGCCAGTGCCTGGACACAGAGGGTGCTTCCTTGCATGGACTGAGAAAGGAATGGGTCCCCGGTTGAGGCTGGCCCTGAGAGGAAGGAGGTTCCTCCCAGCAGGTGGCCCACTGCCCAAATGCATGTTAGAACCGGTTGTGGATCTGAACCAGTGTCTACAGAAGCAATGGGAACCCTCCTCCAAGGAGAGACAAAGATAAACCCACACTCTACACGCAGTTTAAGGTCTACTTTCTTAATCAGAATGTGTTGGCCAGGCGCGGTGGCTCATGGCTGGAATCCCAGCACCTTGAGAGGCCGAGGTGGGAGGATTGCTTGAGCCCAGGAATTTGAGGCTGCAGTGACCCGCTGCACTCCAGCTTGGGTGACAGAGCAAGACCCTGTCTCTAAAAATAAATAAATAAGTAAATAAACATAGAGTGTGTCATGACCATCTCTATTCCTCTGTAGACATTCAACAACACATTTTTTTAATTTTTAAATTTTTATTTATTTTGGGACAGGGTCTCACTCTGTCACCCACGCTGGAGTGCAGCGGCTCAGTCTCACCTCACTGCAACCTCCACCTCCCAGGCTCAAGTGGTTCTACCAGTTCAGCCTCCTGAGTAGCCAGGATCACAGGCAAGCGCCGCCACCTGGCTAATTTTGTTTGTGTTTTTTGTAGAGACATTTGCCACATTGCCCAGGGTGGTCTTGGAATCCTGGACTCAAGTGATCCACCCACCTCAGCCTCACAGAGTGCTGGGATTGCAGGCGTGAGCTACCACGCCCGGCCCCATTTTATTCTTATTTTTTATTAAGAGACAAGATCTCAGTCTGGCTAAAGCACAGCGGCATGAGCACAGCTCCCTGCAGCCCCGAATGGCTGGGTTCAAGTGATCACCCAGGCTTAGCCTCCCAGAGTCCTGGGAGAATCTGCAGTTACAGATAATTTATATACTGGTTTAGAACATTTACTATTTTGTTTTCTTTTCTTTCAGATGGGGTTGCCCAGACTGGCCTCCATCTCCTGGGCTCAAATGATCCTCCCGCCTCAGGCCAAGTACCTGGGACCACAGGCATGCACCACCATGCCCAGCTAATTTTTGTATTTTTTATAGAGACAGGGTCTTGCCATGTTGCCCAGGCTGGTCTCCAACTCCTGAGCTCAAGTGATCTGCCCACCTCAGCCTCCCAAAATTCTAGGATTTCAGGCATGAGCCACCACAAACAAATTTATTGAGCACCAACTATATGCCATGCTCTGCTCAAAGCACTAGGACACTGTGGTGAGAAAACAGACAAGGTCCCATCACTCAAGGAACCAGACAAGCAAAGATGCAAACTAATCAGAGATGTGATGAGCACAAGGAAATAAACAGTTTGACGAGACGGTGACTGAGATCAGGGGAGGAAGATGCTTGAGCCAAGACTCAGGGGTCAGAAGGAGAGAACCACTGAAGAGTGGGAGGGGCATCCAGGTAGAAACCATGAGTGCAAGGTCCTTGAGGAACCGAAAGAGCCTCCTATGAATGAGGAACTGGAAGCAGGTCCATGTGGCTGGAGTTTAGTATGAGGTAAAGTGAGGGGAGAGGACCAGAGACGGGAGGCTATGAGCTAATGGTAAACACATTGGCTTTGATTTGTGGTAAGATGGAAGCCATTGGAAATTTCTTTCAGCATTTTTTTTTTTTTAAACAGGGTCTCACTCTGTCGCCCAGGCTGGAGTGCAGTGGCACAATCTCGGCTCACTGCAGCCTCAACCTCTTGGACTCAAGGGATCCTCCTGCCTCAGCCTCCCTAGTAGCCGGGGCTACACACACACGCCACCACACCTTCCTAATTTTTTTGTGGGGACAGGTGGGGGACGGAGTCTCGCTCTTTCACCAGGCTGGAGTGTAGAGGTGCGATCTCGGCTCACTGCAACCTCCGCCTTCCGGGTTCAAGCAATTCTTCTGCCTCAGCCTCCCAAGTAGCTGGGACTACAGGCATGTGCCACCACACCCAGCTAATTTTTGTATTTTTAGTAGAGACGGGGTTTCACCATGTTGGCCAGGATGGTCTCAATTTCTTGACCTCATGATCCACCTTCCTCGGCCTCCCAAAGTGCTGGGATTACAGGCATGAGCCACCGCACCCAACCCCTTATTTTTGTATTTTTAGTAGAGATGGAATTTTCTCTTGGTGCCCAGGCTGGTCTCAAACCCCTGAGCTCAGGCAATCCACCAGCTTCAACTTCCCAACGTGCTGGGATTACAGGCATGAGCCACCACGCTTCGTCTCTTAACAGCTTTGTTGAGATATAATCAACATACAATAAACCGCACATGTTTAAGGGTAGAACTGGATAGATTTTGACACATGTATACACCTGAGAAACTATGACCATGAGCAGAGATGTGATGAGCACCAAGAAGGAAGCAGACAGTAACCCTATCCTCCATCAACAGATGAATGGATAAAGAAAATGTGGTACTTTACACAACGGAGTACCATTCAGCCGTAAAAAAGAATGAGATCCTGTCATTTGCAACAACGTGGATGGAACTGGAAGTCATTATGTTAAGTGAAATAAGCCAGGCACAGAAAGACGAACTTTGCATGTTTTCATTTATTTGTGGAGGCTAAAAGAAAATTAAAACAATTGGCCGGGGCCGGGCGCAGTGGCTCACGCCTGTAATCCCAGCACTTTGGGAGGCCGAGGCTGGTGGATCGAGACTATCCTGGTTAACACGGTGAAACCCCATCTCTACTAAAAATACAAAAAATTAGCTGGGCATGGTGGCGGGCACCTGTAGTCCCAGCTACACGGGAGGCTGAGGCAGGAGAATGGCGTGAACCCGGGAGGCGGAGGTTGCAGTGAGCCGAGATGGCGCCACTGCTCTCCACCTAACCTGGGAGAAATAGCAAGAGTCCTTCTCAAAAAAAAAAAAAAAAAAATTGGCTGGGCGTGGTGGCTCACGCCTGTAATTCCAGTATTTTGGGAGGCCAAGGCGGGGGGATCACGAGGTCAGGAGTTCAAGACCAGCTTGGCCAACATAGTGAAACCCTGTCTCTACTAAAAATACAAAAATTAGCCAGGTACTCAGGGGGCTGAGGCAGGAGAATTGCTTGAACCTGGGAGACAGAGGTTGCAGTGAGCCGAGATCATGCCACTGCACTCCAGCCTGGGCGACAGAGTAAGACTCCATCTAAAACAAAAAAAAAAAAAAAAAGAAAATTAAAACAATTAAACTCATGGGCATAGAGTTAAACTCATGGATAGTTTCCCGAGGCTGGGAAAGGTGGAGGGAGATGTGGGGATGGTTAATGAATGCAAAAATATAGTTAGATAGAATGAATAAAATCTAATAGTTGGTAGTACAACAGAGTGACTATAGTCTACAATAGTTTATTATATATTTTTAAATAACTAAAGAAGTATAACTGGACCGTAATACAAAGAAAGGCTAAATGTTTGAGGTGATGGATACCTCATTTAACCAGATGTGATTATTACACACTGCATGCCTGTATCAAAATATCTCATGTACTCCATAAATGTATCCACAAAAGTGAAAAAGAATAAATAAATCACAATTCGTAAAAAAGAATAAAAAGCTATCCATTATCCTCAAATATTTCCTGTGCCCTTTGCAACCTGCTGCAACCCAGCTCTGTCCCCAGACACCACCGAGCTGCTTTCTGTCAATAAGGTGCATTTCTCTAATTGTATACAGGTGGAATCACATCGTATGTAGGCCTTTTTCATCTATAGCTTTTTTCACTAAAAATACTTATTCTGAGACATATCTATGTGGCAGCACATGTCTGTGGGTTACCCCTCTTATTCCTGAGTATGCATGGATGACCACACTGTCTATCCATCCACCTGTTGATGAACGTCTGGGCTGTTTCCAGTGTTTGCTATTATGAATAAAGCTACTATAAACATTTGCGTGTGCATCACTGTGTGGAGATAATGCTTTCATTCTCCGGGACAATATTTAGCAACCGAACGGCTGGGTTACGTGCAGTGTTTTTACTCCCTAGGACGCATGAAGCTTTCTCCCATGGCGGTTGTGCCTTTCCATGTTCCTGCTGGGAGGTGTGAGTGCTCCGGCGGTACCTCAGTGTCCACACCAGCACTTGGTGTGGTCGGTCTCTCCATTGAAGGATTGTGAGCAGAGAAGTGGTATAATTTTGTTTTCAAAAGATCCCTCTGGGCCGGGCGCAGTGGCTCACACCTGTAATCCCACACTTTGGGGGGCCGAAGTGGGCGGATCACGAGGGCAGGAGTTCGAGACCACCCTGACCAACATGGTGAAACCTCATCTCTACTAAAAATACAAAAATTATCTGGGTGTGGTGGAGCATGCCTGTAATCCCAGCTACTCAGGAGGCTGAGGCAGGAGAATCGCTTCAACACGGGAGGCGGAGGTTGCAGTGAGCTGAGATCGCTGCACTTCAGCCTGGGAGACAACAGCAAGACTCTGTCTCAAAAAAAAAAAAAAAAAAGACACATTGGGATAGACAGGAAAGAACAAATTTAGATACACTGTCACATATCTTTGTAGTGATTTCCTGGTCCTGAGACAAGATCAGTTCCGTTAAACAGCTATTTCCCATAACAGGAGGTTGCAGATGGGCTAAACTTATGTATATGAGGAAGGTGAACAGATTTTTAATAAGAGGTATTTCTATGAAAACAGAAGAAAAACGAAGTTTATTGTTGGACACGATCTATCCAGATGTTAGACTCAAAGCATCTTTAGTTACAGAGCAGGAAGCCCCTGGCAGTCTGACACAATGTTCTCACCTGTGTTACAAAGAATAACCTCAACTTTCTGGGCCTCGGGAAAAAGTTAGTAGCAATTTCATTGAGTCCAGGTCAGAAAAACAAAAGACAAATTTGAAAGTATTAGTGTGGGCCCGGCGGGGTGGCTCAGGCCTGTAATCCCAGCACTTTGGGAGGCCGAGGCGGGCGGATCACAAGGTCAGGAGATTGAGACCATCCTGGCTAACACGGTGAAACCCCGTCTCTACTAAAAATACAGAAAATTAGCCGGGCACGGTGGTGGGCGCCTGTAGTCCCAGCTACTCAGGAGGCTGAGGCAGGAGAATGGCGTGAACCCGGGAGGCGGAGCTTGCAGTGAGCCGAGATCGCACCACTGCACTCCAGCCTGGGAGACAGAGCGAGACTCGTCTCAAAATAAATAAATAAATTAAATTAAATAAAAATACAAATACAAAAACTAGCCGGGTGTGGTGGCAGGTGCCTGTAATTCCAGCTACTTAGGAGGCTGAGGCAGGAGAATCGCTTGAACACGGGAGGTGGAGGTTGCAGTGGACCAGGACCACGCCATTGCACTCCAGCCTGGGCAACAAGAGCAAAACTCCATCTCAAAAAAAAAAAAAAAAAAAAAAAGAGAAGAAAAGAATACGTTAATGGTAAAGCAAACATCCTATATTCTCAATCATAAATGGGAGCTAAGCTATGAGGATGCAAAGGCTTAAGAATGATCCAATAGGCCAGGTATGGTGGCTCACACCTGTAATTCCAGCATTTTGGAAGCCAGCGGGCAGATCACTTGAGATCAGGAATTCAAGACCAGCCTGGCCAACAAGGTGAAACTCCATCTCTACTAAGAAACACAAAAATTAGCCAGGTGTGGTGGTGTGTGCCTGTAATCCCAGCTACCCAGGAGACTGAGGCAGGAGAACTGCTTGAACTCAGGAGGTGGAGGTTGCAATGAGGTGAGATCGTGCCACTGCACTCCAGCCTGGGTGACAGAGGGAGACACTGTTTCAATAATAATAATAACAATAATAATAATGATATGAAGGAGTTTGGGAACTCAGGGGAAAGGGTGGGAGAGGGTTAGGGATAAAGGCTACATATTGGATACAGTGTATACTGCTCAGGTAATGGATGGACCAAAATCTCAGAAAACACCACTAAAGAACTCATTCATGTAACCAAACACCAGCTAAAACCTACTGAAATTTTAAAAATAAATAAATAAATAAAAAAGAATACTCACAGACAGTTTCCAAAATCTGGAGAACTCAGGTAGAGAAAGAAAAATGCACCAAGTTTTGGTCACAGGGGTGTACTTTACTCAACTGCTAAAAGCTGTAAATAGCTCAAAAGAAAAAAGGTTTTCTTGACTCTGAAAAACAAAACAAAAAGAATCAGTAATGTGGCCAGGCACAGTGGCTCACACCTGCAATCCCAGCACTTTGGGAGGCCGAGGCAGGCAGATCACGAGGTCAGGAGTTTGAGACCAGCCTGACCAACATGGTGAACTCCCGTCTCTACTAAAAATACAAAAAAATTAGCTGGGTGTGGTGGCGCATGCCTGTAACCCCAGCTACTCAGGAGGCTGAGGCAGGAGAATCGCTTGAACCCAGGGAACGGAGATTGCAGTGAGCCGAGATCGCGCCACTGCACTCCAGCCTGGGCAACAGAGCGAAACTTCGTCTCAAAACAAAAAAAAAAATGGTGAAACAAGACAACAGTTATCTGTGGATGACAAAAGTCTTAGGACAGCCACAGTTAAGATGAAATCCACAAGAAACCTGGTCATCTCTGTGGCACACAATCATTTTACATAGCAATCACATTTTTTTTTTTTTTGAGACAGAGTCTTACTCTGTCACCCGGGCTGTAGTGCAGTGGCGGGATCTCAGCTCACTGCAACCTCCACCTCCTGGGTTCAAGTGATTCTTCTGCCTCAGCCTCCCGAGTAGTTGGGACTAAAGGCGCCCGCCACCACGCCCAGCTAATTTTTTTGTATTTTTAGTAGTTACGGGGTTTCACCTTGTTAGCCAGGATGGTCTCCATTTCCTGACCTCATGACCTGTCTGCCTTGGCCTCCTGAAGTGCTGGGATTACAGGTGTGAGCCACCACACCTGGCCTGTAAAGGCGGTTTTCTAACAACTGGAGCAGGGGCCGTTTTCTCGGACGAAGGGGCTCACCCAGTAAGGATGAGACCAACACACAGCCCCACCCTGGAACTGCTCCATGTCCAGTCTGTTGTTACATGAAAGACCACAATTCAAGCCATTTTTTCCGGAAATCTTTACCTACCATGAGTCAGGCATTCTTCTAGGTTAAGGGGTCCAACGGGAACAACACAGAAGTCCCTTGTGGAGCTGACCCCGTGGAGGAGACACTTGGGGACTAAATGACACATTAGACCTGGGCCAGGTTCTCACCTTCCACTGGCCCCAGACCCACCTCTCACGCCTCCTGGCCCTCCTCTCTGCCTGGAGGCTGACCTGGACGTCCCCTGACTTCCAGCTGAGCTCAGCAAGAGGCTGGAGGGCGGAGGAGAGAGAAGTCAGGGTGCCTGGAGGCCGGGGGACGGAGGAGAGAGAGGTCAGGGTGTTGGCTCCGGGGCTCCCTCTGCTCTGATGGGGTTCTTACCCTTCAGAGACCTCAGCTCAGCCGGGGTGGCCTCTCCTGTAGCTCCAGTTCTCACCAGGGTCCAGCCCTCCCACCCCTTCACCTTCAGTGCTCCAGGACCCCTTAATTAGGCCCATTCCTGCCATTCGACCCTCTTTGTTGACCCCTCCCCTGAAGGCACAGTCTCCTGAAGTGGGTGCTGAGTGCTGCACAGAAAGCAGCTCTGGGAGGAGAGTTCAGAGCACGGGGGGCCAGGAAGGGTCCCCTAGGGTGATGCCGTCGGATATCTGCAGGGAGGACACTCAAGTGGAGGGCATTCCCCGGGCCCCAATGTTCTAGAACATTAGGGACGTGGTGTGGACGGGGCATATATAACAAGAGGATATGAAGGACAGCGTGGCACGGGAGCAGATGCCAAATTGCATGTGAGGAGCGGCCAGGCAGCTGTGGGAGCCCAGTGAGGAGACAATCGCACGGACGGGACGAGGAAGACCCGAGGCAGCAGCAGACATGAGGGGTGCTGGGCTGTGGGCGTGTTCTGAAGGTGCAGCTGGCCAGATTTGCTGTCAAAGCAGATGTGGACCTGAGGGGAAGAAAAGCCCCTGGTTGTGGGCGGCAAGCCATCCAGGTGCCGAGGCAAGAGACCGAGGGCACGAGCTGTTCCAGTATAATAAAATATATAAAACAACAGGAGTTATACTAGATATAGATCATAGACATGATTATATATGAATATCATTAATCATTAGTTATCCGGAGGCCTTACCATCTCCCTGTGATGCTGTGCTTCAGTGGTCACGCTCCTAGTCCACCTTCATGTTCCATCCTGTACACCTGGCTCTGCCTTCCAGATAGCAGTAGCAAATTAGTGAAAGTATAAAAGTCTCTTGATATGCAGAAATAATGGTGTAAGCTGTCTCTCTCTCTCCCTCTCTCTCTCTGCCTTGGCTGCCAGGCAGGGAAGGGCCCCCTGTCCAGTGGACACGTGACCCACGTGACCTCACCTGTCATTGGAGATGACTCACACTCTTTACCCTGCCCCTTTTGCTCTGTATCCAGTAAATAACAGCGCAGCCAGACATTCGGGGCCACTACCGGTCTCCGCGTCTTGCTGGTGGTGGTCCCCCGGGCCCAGCTGCCTTTTCTTTTATCTCTTTGTCTTGTGTCTTTATTTCTACACTCTGTCATCGCCGCACACAGGGAGAGACCCACCGACCCTATGGGGCTGGACCCTATACCTGGTGACCCCGGCTGTTTGCCCTGAGCACCTGGGGTGTCGTGGTTGGCATCACCAACCTGAGGGATGTGGAGAAGCAGGGCTGGGGGTCAGGAGCTCAGCTCCGCATGTGTGGAGTTGCAGGTGCAAGCCAGGCTGTGTTCAGGCAGCCTCCCAGGAACCACACCCCAGAGTCCGCACCACAGGGCTTTTCCCTCCCTGCCTGCATCTGCACTGGCTCTGGTCTTGCTTGAACCCACTGAATATGGGACAGTGATGCCAGGCCTGTGATTGACATGGGTCTGGCACACTTAAGAATCAGTGACGGTGGCTCACGCCTGTAATCCCAGCACTTTGGGAGGCCAAGGTGGGCGGATCCTGAGGTCAGGAGATGGAGACCATCCTGGCTAACATGGTGAAACCCCATCTCTACTAAAAATACAAAAAATTAGCCGGGCATGGTGGCGGGCGCCCGTAGTCCCTGCTACTCAGGAGGCTGAGGCAGGAGAATGGCGTGAACCCGGGAGGCGGAGCTTGCAGTGAGCTGAGATTGCGCCACTGCACTCCAGCCTAGGCGACAGAGCGAGACTCTGTCACAAAGAAAAAAAGAACCGGTGCCATGTAAGACGTGGTTCCAGCCTCCGCCCCACCATGCGAGGGGTCGGCCAGGCAGCCGTGCGGAGGACAACCCCAAGAGTGAGATGTCAGAGCTTGCAGCTGGCCCCTCCCAACATTGTGAGGAGCAGAAGGATCCAGCTAACACGCTGTGTCTAGAGAAAGGATCCCGTGCTGTTTCAGGTAGATTTGGGGTGATTTGTTACACAGCAGCAGCCGGCGGAGGAGACACATCCCCGGCCCCATCCATGTTGGGGGTGTCAGGGCCAGAACTCGAGATGGCGGCCTCTGGGGCCTGCAGCCCTCGCATCTGAAGCTGGGGCCCGCAGTGCACACGGCCTGTCTTCTTCTGCGCCCATTGCCAGGTTGAAGGGTGATTCAAGAAGAAGGGGCCGCTCTCAGGGTACCACTGGGCAGAACCTGGGAGACTGAGGCTGCTGATGCCCCTCAGCTCCAAGGGGCGGGGTGGCAGGGAGGCGACTGTGGAGGGCTGGGCAGTCGGCCTCTCTGGGCTCCAGGCTCTGTCCCTGTAGGAGGATGTGGGGAACCAGGTGAGCGGCTCCTCAGGCCATGCCCTGTGTGGCTGGACACCAAGTATCATGCACCCCAGGAAGGGGCTGCCGGGGGCGGGAGGACTGATACGTCCCTCCCGGCAGCCCAGGCCTGCGTCCTGTGGCCGCATCTCCCTGACCTCAGCAGCCCCTCCCAGGGCCCAGCCCCGAGACACTAAACACACCGTCTTTTTCAGGGAGCACTCGGGGCCCCCTTCCCTACCTCCCTGGTTGTGACCCGAGGCTTCAGGTCTGATGGCAGTTTCCACCGCAGGAGGGACCACCTGCCCCAACTTTCAGCCTACAGACAGGTGGGAGAAAAGTCTGGGGTGCAAGCCGCTCTGTGGGAGGCCAGGGAACGAGTGTGGGGTTATTTCCAAGTCGGGAGGGCTGCATCTTGAGGTCTGGAATGAGGTACTTCCCGTTCCTTCTCCCGGGCTTCCCGTTTCCGGGGTCTCCCCACGGGCTGTGCCTTGAGACACATTCCGGCCCCCAGCGCAGGCCTCTCTCAGCCGCCAGCCTGGGAGAGGATGAGCTCTTCTTGCCTGTCCACCCGGGCCTCCCTGTCAGCCCCTCCACCTACTGGACACAACTTTCCAGAATAAAAGGACATCTCTGGCACCAAGCAAGGGTATCTGACAGCAATAGATTTATTAAGTATCCCCGAAAATATAAACACAAACCAGTAAAAA
Source organism: Homo sapiens (assembly GCF_000001405.40). NCBI lineage: Eukaryota > Metazoa > Chordata > Mammalia > Primates > Hominidae > Homo > Homo sapiens. The sequence goes on along the minus strand of NC_000016.10, from coordinate 89,936,032 downwards.
ACAAAACCGTAAAACGTCAGGCCTGGAGCTGCAATAAGACAGAGACAGGAGCAGCTCACACGTGGCCTAGGTGGGGAGGACGAGGCCATAAATACTGCAGGAGGGCGGCAAGGGAGCCCTAGGGCGAGGGGAAAGCAGGGTGTCGGCAGCAAGATGGCTCCGGGGGTTTAGACACTGCTGGCTTCGGCCCCGGCCGCCACCTGCCTCTCACTCCAGCTGCGAGCAGCTTCACTTGGGGCCCTGGGCCTCCGACTCCTCCTCGTCGTCTTCGTACATCTCGCCCTCTTCCTCGGCCGTGGCGTCCTGGTACTGCTGGTACTCGGACACCAGGTCGTTCATGTTGCTCTCGGCCTCGGTGAACTCCATCTCGTCCATGCCCTCGCCCGTGTACCAGTGCAGGAAGGCCTTGCGCCGGAACATGGCCGTGAACTGCTCGGAGATGCGCTTGAACAGCTCCTGGATGGCCGTGCTGTTCCCGATGAAGGTGGAGGACATCTTGAGGCCGCGGGGCGGGATGTCACACACGGCCACCTTCACGTTGTTGGGGATCCACTCCACGAAGTAGCTGCTGTTCTTGCTCTGGATGGCCAGCATCTGCTCGTCCACCTCCTTCATGGACATGCGGCCCCGGAACACGGTGGCCACCGTCAGGTAGCGGCCGTGGCGCGGGTCGCAGGCGGCCATCATGTTCTTGGCATCGAACATCTGCTGGGTGAGCTCGGGCACGGTCAGGGCCCGGTACTGCTGGCTGCCCCGGGCTGTGAGGGGGGCGAAGCCGGGCATGAAGAAGTGCAGGCGCGGGAAGGGCACCATGTTGACGGCCAGCTTGCGCAGGTCAGCGTTGAGCTGGCCCGGGAAGCGCAAGGAGGTGGTGACTCCGCTCATGGTGGCCGATACCAGGTGGTTGAGGTCCCCGTAGGTGGGCGTGGCCAGCTTGAGGGTGCGGAAGCAGATGTCGTAGAGCGCCTCGTTGTCGATGCAGTAGGTCTCATCCGTGTTCTCCACCAGCTGGTGGATGGACAGCGTGGCGTTGTAGGGCTCCACCACCGTGTCTGACACCTTGGGTGAGGGCACGACGCTGAAGGTGTTCATGATGCGGTCGGGATACTCCTCACGCACCTTGCTGATGAGCAACGTGCCCATGCCGGAGCCCGTGCCGCCCCCCAGCGAGTGGGTCAGCTGGAAGCCCTGCAGGCAGTCGCAGTTTTCACACTCCTTCCGCACCACATCCAGGACCGAATCCACCAGCTCCGCCCCCTCCGTGTAGTGACCCTTGGCCCAGTTGTTGCCGGCCCCACTCTGACCTGTACAGGGAGAAGAGGGGTAAGAGACAGGGGCCAGGGACTCTGCAGTCCAGACCTCCAGCCCCTGCCTGAACATCCCAAGGGCAGCCGTGGCAGCCCCATGCCTGTTCTGTCTTCTGTAAAGTAGGCCCCACTGAGCACCCCTTCTCATACCCGCCGTGGCTTCCCTGAGCCGATGCTGCTGAGTGCTCAGGACGAGGGCTCTGGACAGAGTCTTGAGAACTTGGGGTCACAGCAGAGCGAGGCTCTGCCTCCTGAGGGGATCCTGGGTGAATGGATCAGCCCTCCTGCTCCAGCATACCTTCCTTCCGACTGGCAGTGCCAGGAGCCCAAACAGCCACCCCAGAATCCCTGGCAGCTGGGGGCTGGATGCGAGTTGGCATCTACCAGCTGGATGTGCTGCGGTCGGGAAGGCAGAAGTGAAGCGAGGCCCTCCTGTTTCTGTGGCGCGTCCACGGCCCCGCCCCAGGACACAGACATGGGAACGTGGCATCCACGGCCCCGCCCCAGGACACAGGCATGGGAACGTGGCATCCACGGCCCCGCCCCAGGACACAGGCATGGGAACGTGGCATCCACGGCCCCGCCCCAGGACACAGGCGTGGGAACGTGGCATCCACGGCCCCGCCCCAGGACACAGGCGTGGGAACGTGGCATCCACGGCCCCGCCCCAGGACACAGACGTGGGAACGTGGCATCCACGGCCCCGCCCCAGGACACAGACGTGGGAACGTGGCATCCACGGCCCCGCCCCAGGACACAGACATGGGAACGTGGCATCCACGGCCCAACCCCAGGACACAGGCATGGGAACGTCCTGATCTCTTGACCGCAGCAAGGCCTCGTGCTCCTGGACCCCGGAGTCCTCTGGAGGCCCCGTTCTGTCTCACCAGCTCTCTAGCAATTCTGTAAGCTTCTGTCTGCTTTACACTTCATTCCACTTGAAATGCATGAGTGGTTTCTGTTCTCCCCACAGAACCCTTTCTCTGGGCCTCCAATGCCCAGCTGTAAAATGGAGAGATGAGTTCCCACCATTCAGGATCATGTGAGGAGCTGACCATTCCTTGTTTCTCACAGCCGTCCCCGTCCACCGACCTGGGCTTGCCTGTGATGGGGTCTGCCATCAGAGCTTGGAGCAGGGGGAACTTACCAAAGATGAAATTGTCAGGCCTGAAGAGATGTCCAAAGGCCCCTGAGCGGACACTGTCCATGGTTCCGGGTTCCAGGTCCACCAGAATGGCTCGAGGCACGTACTTGTGAGCTGAGGGGAGAGAGGGGCTCGGTGATTCGGGTCACAGAGGGCCAGAGCCTCTCCCTCATTCTTTCTGAATTCTGTGCCCGCCTGCCATCCTCCTGCTCACATCCTAAGAGCCTGTACTCTGAAGTCAGAGTCCTGGACCAAAGGCAAGCTTCAGCAACTTTCTTCACCCTTAAGCCTCACTGTGTTTAAGGACGGAGCAGGACAGGACGGAGCAGGACAGGCAGGATTCAGTCAGACGTCCACCAGATGCAGGGGCTCGTGTCTGCACTCCCAACACTTTGGGAGGCCAAGGCAGGTGGATCGCTTGAGTCCAGGAGTTCGAGACCAGCCTGGGCAACATATCGAGACTGTCTCTATTAAATTAAATAAAATTTTAAATCACATGTCCATGTGGGCAGGTGGGTGTATCACCACTTTGATATGGAAATCACTTCACACCAGTTGCTAAAGAGCCCCTGACTAAGCCCTCCAGGTGACCCCTTCTCTAGGCCCTCTTATGGCCTCCAAAGTCTCTGGCCTGCCCCATCCCTGTCTGTGCCCCTGGACACGCACAGGCCCTCATGGCACTAATATGTTTGGCTCTCACTTTTGTGACTGTGATTTATTGTCTGTTCTGTGCGTCTGGATGCCTGACATCCAGTTACGCCTGCTGGCATCTCAGCCAACCTAACCCATGGGAGGACAGAGATGCTGAGAGCTGGTGAGTCCAGGTGCTGAGACCTGGTCAGTCAGACGCTGAGACCTGGTCAGTCCAGGGCTGGGATAGGGAGGCTGGGGCAGGCACTCACAAGAGGCCTCGTTGTAGTAGACGCTGATCCGCTCCAGCTGCAAGTCCGAGTCGCCCACGTAGTTGCCGCTGGGGTCGATGCCATGCTCATCACTGATGACTTCCCAGAACTGCAAACAAAGTGGGAGAGGGGGGGTCGGCACCGGCCCATAGCCCCAGCCAGGCCCTTTCCCTTGTGAAGCCTTTTAGCCCTCACTACAAAATTAGGGCTTTTGACCCACGGCCTCCACGAGCCCCATTCAGAAGAGAGCCCCACACTCTGTTACCTGTCAGAAAATTGCCATAATAAATATGCACCTCCACACCTACACGTCCAGGCCGACCACAGCCCCAGGGTGGGCCAAGGTTCAACAGACCCACACCCAGGTCCCCAGGCCCAGCTGTGCAGCTGCTGGCAAGGGCCTGGAGCAGCGGATTCCTCCATGAAGGGCATTGGTAATAAACACCTTGAGGGTTAGTTTTTACTATCCCCTCTTTTCAGGAAAGGGAACTGAGACACAGAGCGGGTAGAGACACCCACAGTAGCTGGCAGAGCAGGGTTCAGAGGCCCAGAGCTCAGGATCGCTTTTGGCTGCTACACCTGCCCCTCCATGGGAGAGCAAACCATGTCCAGTGATGGTGCCAGGACATTACTGGCCTCAGCTGACGGGACTCACAGGGACTCTGAGAGCCAGTCTCATCGGGGACCCCCAGCTGGGTCTGCAGAAGGGTCCTTGGGGTCCCAAATGGGAAGCGACTTGCCTGAGGTCACCCAGCCTGTCCGTGTGAGGCTGGCATCGTCTCAGCTCCCAGGGGTCGTCCTCTCTCTACCTGCCACCTCCACCTCTCTCCCCCTAGAGCAGGTGCCTGCAGTGCTTCTCGGACTCTGCTCCCATGACAGCTGCCGAGCGGAGCCTAGACTCAGGGGCTGGGCCTGCTGGGTTCACAGACGCTTCCCTCACCCTTCCCAGCTGTGTGACCTTGCACAGGTCACTAGGATTCCGTGTCTCAGTGTCCTCATCTGTACAATGGGCACGATGACAGGAGGTCTTTTTGAAATGAAAGTGGGTTAATCTGTGTGAGGCATATAAATGGTATATGGCAAACGTAGAACTATCTATCTGTGTGCACACGGAGAACCACACCCCTGGGTGAGAGCAAGCCCTTCAGGGAAGTTGCCACCTCATCGTGGGACACGCTCTGATGGCCGAGGCCGCTGCGTCTGGGAGCAGTGTCTGCAGGCAGCAGGCCTCCTGGGACACACGCTGGGAGGCTTCCCAGGGCTGCCTGACCTCTCCCAATGCCCCTTGCCCTTACTCCTCAGGAGTGACTTTTAGATGAGCTGACGGGTATGAAGGCCTCAAGAAACAAGGGGCTCTACATGTGAGTCATGTGCTGCAGAAGATTCCTCAAGAAAAAAGCAGGTTAGAAAACAATTTGGTGGGGCCGGGCACAGTGGCTCATGACTGTAATCCCAGCACTTTGGGAGGCTGACGTGGGAGGACCCCAGGAGTGTAGACAAAGATGCGCTTTGGAATGGAGACACAGGAGATGTGTTTTAAGATGCCTCTAGTAGGCCAGGTACAGTGGCTCATGCCTGTAATCCCAACACTTTGGGAGGCCGAGGCGGGTGGATCACGAAGTCAGGAGATCGAGACCATCCTGGCTAACATGGTGAAACCCCGTCTCTACTAAAGATACAAAAAATTAGCCGGGAATGGTGGCGGGTGCCTGTAGTCCCAGCTACTCGGGAGGCTGAAGCAGGAGAATCACTTGAACCCAGGAGGTGGAGCTTGCAGTGAGCTGAGATCATGCCATTGCACTCCAGCCTGGGCGACAGAGTGAGACACCATCTCAAAAAAAAAAAAAAGATGCCTCTCGTAAAGGGGTGACTTTAGTGGAAACTGCTGTGCAGGAGGCAGGACTGGGTGGTAGCAAGCATGAGAAGCATGAGTCTAGGAATTCATATCAAGACCCCATCTCAAAATAAATAAATAAATAGAGGCCAGGTGCGGTGGCTCACGCCTGTAATACCAACAATTTGGGAGGCTGAGGTGGGCAGATCACCGGAAGTCAGGAGTTCGAGACCAGCCTGTCTCTACTAAAAATACAAAAATTAGCCAGGGGTGGTGGCTCACACGTTCCAGCTACTCCGGAAGCTGAGGCAGAAGAATTGCTTGAACCCAGGAGACGGAGGTTGCAGTAAGCCAAGATTGCACCACTGTACTCCAGCGTGGGCGACAGAGTGAGACTCTGTCTCATAGAATAATAATAAATAAATAGAAACAAAACCACTCATAGCTGGGCACGGTGGCTCACCCCCATAATCCCTGCACTTTGGGAGGCAGAGGCGGGTGGGTCACGAGGTCAGGAGTTCGAGACCAGCCTGGCCAACATAGTGAAACTCCATCTCTCCCAAAAATACAAAAATTAGCCAGGCATGGTGGCGCGCACCTGTACTCCCAGCTACTCGAGAGGCTGAGGCAGGAGAATTGCTTGAACCCAGGAGGCAGAGGTTGTGGTGAGTCGAGATCGCGCCACTGCACTCCAGCCTGGGCAATAGTGCGAGACTGTCAGAAAGAAAGGAAGGAAGGAAGGAAGGAAGGAATGAAGGAAGAAAGAAAGGAAAGAGAGAGAGAGAGGAAGGAAGGAAGGAAGGAAGGAAGGAAGGAAGGAAGGAAGGAAGGGGAGAAAACTGCTTGTGCCAGGCACGGTGGCTCACGCCTGTAATCCCAGTACTTTGGGAGGCTGAGGCAGTGGATCATCTGAGGTCAGGAGTTCAAGACCAGCCTGGCCAACATGGCAAAACCCTGTCTCTACTAAAAATACAAAAATTAGCCAGGCGTGGTGGCGAGCACCTGTAATCCCAGCTGCTTGGGAGGCTGAGGCGGAGAATCACACGAACTCGGGAGGTGGAGGTTGCAGTGAGCTTATGTCATGCCACTGCACTCAAGCCTGGGCAACAGAAGGAAACACCGTCTCAAATAAAAGAAAGAAAGAAAACTGCTTGTGGGTGCTTCTCTATGCGTGGGTGCCTCTGGTAGATGTGTGGAAGGCTGTGCCTGGGGAGGGGCCCCAGACTGGGAGGAGCTTCTTCTCACGGGTGCCCTGTGGTCTTGTTGAGATTTTCTCACGTGCACACGGTAGCTTTTCAAAGAAAATTTGTTAAAAATAAATGTTTTTAAAACCTTAAGAATAAACATAGTGTAATTATTGTAACGCGGACAGCATGGACATGGACCACCTCTGCTAACAGTGTCTCGGGATGCCCGTTCACCCTGAGACTGTTATCAGAGGTGCCCGTTCACCCTGAGACTGTTATCAGAGGTCATCTCTCCACAAAGGTCAGGGGTGGATTTCTTTCCATCTTTTGTGCATTTTTGTTATTGCTAAGTTTTATTCTTTTTGCGTTAAATTTTTAAATTACAAAAATGATTCAGGCTGGGTGTGGTGGCTCATGCCTATAATCCCAGCACTTTGGGAGGCTGAGGCAGGCAGATCACTTGAAGTCAGGAGTTCAGGACCAACCTGGACAACAGGGCAAAACCCTGTCCCTACTAAAAATACAAAAATTAGCCGGGCGTGGTAGCGCGCACCTGTAATTTCAGTTGTTTCAGAGTCTGAGACACGAGAATCGCTTGAACCCAGGGGGCAGAGGTTGCAGTGAGCTGAGATCAAGCCACTGCACACCAGCCTGTGGGACAAGAGTGAAACCCTATCTTAAAAAAAAAAAAAAAAAAGGCCGGGCGCGGTGGCTCACGCCTGCAATCCCAGCACTTTGGGAGGCCAAGGCGGGTGGATCACGAGGTCAGTAGTTCGAGACCAGCCTGACCAACATGGTGAAACCCCATCTCTACTAAAAATACAAAAATTAGGCCAGACGCAGTGGCTCACGCCTGTCTGTGGTCCTAGCACTTTGGGAGGCCGAGGTGGGCGGATCATGAGGTCAGGAGATCGAGACCATCCTGGCTGGCACAGTGAAACCCTGTCTCTACTAAAAATACAAAAAATTAGCCAGGCGCGGTGGCGGGCACCTGTAGTCCCAGCTACTTGGGAGGCTGACTCAGGAGAATGGCGTGAACCTGGGAGGCGGAGCTTGCAGTGAACCGAGATTGTGCCACCGTGCTCCAGCCTGGGCAACAGATAGAGACTCCGCCTCAAAAAAAAAAAAAAAAAATTAGCCAGTGTGGTGACGGGTGCCTGTAATCCCAGCTACTCAGGAGGCTAAGGCAGGAGAATTGCTTGAACCCAGGAGGTGGAGGTTGCAGTGAGCCGAGATCACTCCACTGCACTCCAGCCTGAGTGACAGAGTGAGACTCCATCTCAAACAAACAAACAAAAAAATCAGCTGGCCATGGTGGCTCATATTTATAATCCCAGCAGTTTGGGAGGCCAAGAGAGGTGGATCACTTGAGTCCAGGAGTTCAAGACCAGCCTGGGCAACATGGTGAAACCCTGTCTCTACCAAAAAACAAAAAAATTAGTTGGGCATGGTGACGCATGCCTATAGCCCCAGCTACTCAGGAGGCTGAGGTGGGAGGATCACTTGAGCCAGGGGGGTGGAGGTTGCAGTGAGCCTAGATCATGCCAGTCCAGGCGACAGAGTAAGAGCCTGTCTCAAAAAAAAAATACAGAAAGGTCCCTGAGGCATTTGGGGCTTGTCCAAGCTTCCCACCTACTGCTTGCCTCCCTAACACTCTCTTTGAGGATCCCCCATTAATTTAGTTGCTGGCAGTCCACTTGAGTCGGGGACCTTGCTCCCCAAAGCACTGGGACACCCCAAATTTATGGTTCCAGGGAACCCACAACCACCAGCCCCTGTAAAGGAGGGGTGGAGAGAGTAACACATCTATGGGAAGTCCTCTGCAGAGCGAGGCACAGGGCAGCAGGAGCAATGGAGCAGAGTGGATTCAAGACCCAGCACGAGCACAGCTGTGGGCCAGGCGCGTGCCTCGCAGGACCTGTTTTCTCATCTGTGAGATGAACGTGTGAATGGTGCCCACATCCAGGCCTTAGCACAAAGCTTGACATGAAAACATTCAGCACATGTTGGCTTCATTTTGTTCAAATGTTTTAGATACTATTTAAAGTTTTAAAACCATATGCACAGGTCACTTAAAAAAAATGGACCAGAAGGATAGAAAAAGAAATTTGTTCCCACTTGGATAGAGAGAGGTGGCTAGATGGGCACCAGGTTTATCTGCAATATTTAAGGTTTTTTTTAACCAGGAGAATATATTAATTGCTTTTGTAGTTAAAATTAATAAAATTATAATTTGAGATAAAGTAATAAAATATATTGTTCCTTTTTTTTTTTTAGATAGGGTCTTGCTCTATTGCCCAGGCTAGAATGCAGGGGCATGACCTCAGCTCACTTTAACCTCTGCCCACCTCCCCCAGGTGATCCTCCCACCTCTGTCTCCCAAGTAGCTGGGACCACAGGCCGGCGTGCCTCCATGTCCAGCTAATTTTTTTTGTTTTTTATTTTTTGTAGGCACGGAGTCTTGCCATGTTGCCCAGGCTGGCCCTGAAGTGCTGACCTCAGGTGATCCACCCACCTCGGCCTCCCAAAGTGCTGGGATTACAGGTGTGAGCCACCGCACCTGGCCTATGTTACATATTTAATAAACAATAAAATATAATTTTATAAACTAAATTGTTAACATCACTACAGAAAAGGAAATCGGCCCGGCGTGGTGGCTCATGCCTGCAATCCCAGCACTTTGGGAGGCTGAGGCAGGTGAATCACCTGAGGTCAGGAGTTTGAGACCAGCCTGACCAAGATGGAGAAACCCCATCTCTAGTAAAAGTACAAAATAAGCCAGGTGTGGTGGCGGGCGCCTGTAATCCCAGCTACTCAGGAGGCTGAGGCAGGAGAATAGCTTGAACCCAGGAAGTGGAGGTTGCAATGAGCCGAGATCGCGCCACTGCACTCCAGCCTGGGCAACAAGAGCCAAACTCCATCTAAAAGAAAATAAGAAAAAAGGAAAATTGTGGCCAGGCGTGGTGGTGAGCGCCTGCGGTCCCAGCTACTCGGGAGGCCGAGGCTGCAGTGAGCCGAGATCGCGCCTCTGGACGCCAGCCCGGGCGACAGAGCCAGGCCTCCTCTCATAACCAAAAACAAAAACCTGGAAACACAAAGCAGAACCCGGCGTTCGAGGCCAGGCGCTCGGCCCGGGCGCTGTCCTTGGTGCTGACCTCGCGCAGCGCTTGGGGTCCTGGGGAAAGCGGGGCCGGGCTTTGAGGGCAGTGGCCAAGGCAGGTGGGAGCGGGGGTCCCCGATGAAGGGGCTGCGAGACTGGGGCCTCCAAGCCCCTCCAGGACCCGAATGCGGTTCCCGCCCGGCCCGCGGCTCCGCAGGTCTTTCAGGCGAGAGGGCGGGGCGAGCCAGGGACTCCGCCTCCCATTGGCTGAGACGGCCAGGCCCCGCCCCCAGCCCCGCCCCGCAGCCGCGAGGAGGCGGTGCCGCAGCCCGCGCGGAGGACAAAGGCTCCCCCCTCCGCCGCTGCAGGCGAACCCCGCCCCGGGGAGGGAGGAGCACAGGCCCCAGGAAAGCAAAGCCCGGGGGTCCAGATTCAGCTCTGCGGCAGTGGGGCAGCGTCCTGTGTCCCGCGGGCCCCGGTGTTTCTGCATAGCCCGGCCCGCCCCTGCCCCCCCCGGGGTGACTGCAGGCGGCCGCTCGGCTTTCCGGGCTTCGGGTTTTCTCATCCTCCCGGCGGGCTGCGCCCGGCTTACTGCATCCCCGCGAGCTGCCGGGGGCTCGGCTCCCAGCGCAGGGGTGACCGCGGTGAGTCGTCCGCGCTGCCGCGTGACCGCCCGGGACCCGGCTTTGCTCCCGGCCTCGAGTCACCCCGACTTCCCTCTGCCCAGAGTGCACGGGCCTTCCTGCCCAGCCAGGCACCGCCCGAGGACCCCAGACAGGGAAGCAGCCGCGTTGCACCCCCTATCAGCTGCGGGAGTGGAGGCCGAGAACGGCCAAGGAACTTCCCATTGATTCCACAAGGGCAGCAGAGCAAAGGAACACGCTCTTGCCGCCCCCGCCCCCGAGAAAATTTCCTTCTCTGTTGCTTTCATTGTTAAAAAGAATCAGATACTATTATTACTGTGAGACAGGATCTCACTCTATCGCCTAGTCTGGAGTACAGTGGTGCGGTCATAGTTCATTGCAGCCTCGACCTCCCACGCTGAAGCAATGCTCCCATCTCAGCCTCCCAGGTAGCTGGGACTACAGGCGCGGCCCACCACGCCAGGCTAATTTTTTTTTTTTTTTTTTTAAGAAACGGAGTTTCACCATGTTATCCCGGCTGGTCTTGAACTCCTTCGCTAAAGTGATCCTCCAGTTTCAGTCTCCCAAAGTGCTGGGATTACATGAGATTCCTCATCCACCGTGCCCGGCCAGGTATTAATTTTTAAAAAGAAATATATTAAGAAAAAACAAACAACTCAAAAGGAATAAAAAGTAGCGGGCAAACTAAGAGCTCCAGTGTTCAGAAGCAGAGCACAAGGCAGCCAAGGACACGGTCCAGGGGACAAGGGCTCCCTCTGCTACCCGTGGAGCCTCAGGGGATGTCTGCATGTGCACCTGACTTCTAGATCCCAGCTCTTGCCTGACAAGTGCCTTGTGGGACCACAGCTCTGGGCCCATCCCAGCCATAGAAGGAGAAACCCCAGGTGGGCCCCAGGGCTGCCTGCCCTCCCTCTCCCCAGAGACCCCTGACCCTCCCAGGAGCCCCAGGGCTGCCTGCCCTCCCTCCCCCCAGCGACCCCTGACCCTCCCAGGAGCAGATGCTCAGGGGAGGCTTGGCCCCAGTGACCACATTAATGAGCCCTCAGCCCCTCCCATCAGGCCAAGGCAGCTGTCAGAGGCTGCTCCGGGAGTCCTGGTTTGATTTGAGGCCACTGTCCCCCAGGTCTCCCCTCCCCCAGGCTCTCCTTGGCAGGCACAGCTGTCTCCTTGGGTGATTAGAGTCTCCCCACTACTGGGCCTCCCACCCTCAGAGGCGCCTCCACCCGGAGCCAAAGTTGCAATTTACATGTCAGCCACGTGGCTGGCCCTGTTGTAATTAGCTTTTTGTTCCTGCCTGGTTTCCATGGCAACAGCCTCCGGAGGCTGCCTTTCTCTGGCCCCTTCCCCTCCAGGACCGTCTCCTGCACCCCCTCCTTCCCAGAATCAGCGCTGCACCAGCCCTGAGCTGGGTCCCTGGCCTTGGTCCTGACAAAGCCAGCCTCCCCCCCCGATCCCCTGTTCCCCAACACTGTTCGGAGGGCAGATCCTTTGGCAAGCAGCGCCCCCAACCCGCCCCGCCCGAGCCCCAGGTTGGCTCCTGCAGGGGATGAGAACCAAGGGCCAGCCCAGCTCTCTCGCACCTGCTGTGTGACCTTGGGCCAGGGACAGCCTCCCAGGACCAGGGGACACGACGTCCCCTTAATGATTTAGGCAGGGGTCCCTGCACAGCTGCACCAACGCCCCTTTCTGCGTGGCCCCAACATCTGCGAGGTGGGCTAACAATGGAGGGAGGGGCGCGCCACGGTGCAGCCTCCACACCCCACAGCCCGGCTTTGTTCCCACATCCAATCCCCAGACTGGTAGACCCTGGGTGGGCGCGGTCAAGCCCCGCGGGGGTTGCCCAGGAGCGGCTGCGCCGATGGAGAGCCTGGTCCTGGACCAAGGTCATCTCGAGTCCAGGCCCAACCCCTCCAACAAAGGGACAGGGTGGAGCTAGGACGCCGAGGGGTGTCGGAGCAGGCTGGGGAAATCGGGGCGGCTCTAGCCTCTCGGGGGACGTTCGGCTACTCCAGTGGGGGGTTCGGGCCGAGGAAATCACGGCTGTGAGGAGAACCCCCCACCCCACCCAAACCTGCCTACCCCACCCGTCTCACTCAAGGCTATGCCGCGGCCCCAAAAAAGAGGGCCACGCCCAGACAGGGCTCCCAGCTGCACCTGCGGAGGCCCGGTGGAGGGGGTGCAGGTGTGGAGGGGGCGCAGGTGTGGAGGGGGCTGAGGCTTCGCGACTGACGTGAGCTGCGCCTCGACAGCCCGAGGTCACCTGGGCAGGGGCAGAGAGGTGCAGGCGAGAGTCCCAGGGCGGGGGCCCCGCGTCCCGGCCGCCCGGCGCGGCGCTGGGCGCATCCCTTTGTTGCAGGTTCGCAGGGGCGGGGGCAGCTGGAGGTGCGGCCCGCGGGGCACGGCGCCTCCCTCCTCCCGCCCCGGGGCCCGGGACAGGCCGGGGCGCGCAGCCTCACCTTGGCCCCGATCTGGTTGCCGCACTGGCCGGCCTGGATGTGCACGATCTCCCTCATACTGGGCGCGTCTGGCGGGCGGCTGCGGACGGGCGCGGGCGGGCCGGGCTGGCTGCTGAGGGTCGGGGACCGCGGCCGCGCGCTCTTATAGCCGCGGCCCCGCCCTTCGCATCGGCTGATGTCACCGCGGGTGGCCAATCGGGAGGCGCCGCCGCAGAGCCCCGCCCGGCCCGCAGGCTCCGCACCGCGCGTCCCCGCCCGCCGCGCGCAATGCGGCGCCCCTCCCGCAGCCAAGGATCCCCCAGCGCTGGGCCGGGCGCGGTCTGAGGGCCCCGCGCATTCGAAAGGAGGGGCTGTCTCCCAGAGGAGCTGGCTGTGGGGGCGCCGGGCTCCAGGGAGGACAATGGCCCCTCTTGGCCCTGGGAACCCCGCCCCCAGCTACCCTCTCGGTTCCGCCCTTGCGACAGCCCCACCCTGCGGCTTTGTACGGAGGGTCTTTTTTCCCCACGCCGGTTTAGAGACCAACCCGCACCATCCCAGCTCCCTGTCTTTTGGCAGACAAGGTGCTCTGAGCTTTTGCCGGTTTTGGGTGGGGGAGGTAGGTAAAGGCTGGCCCAGGCCCTGAACCCACTGAGAAGAAACAAAGCGTCGGATCAGAGCTCGGAAGGGCGCGAACACAGAGGGGTGGCGGCGGCCGAGAGCGAGCTCCGTGGGTCGCCGGCTTCCGCAGTGGGCGGGGAGGGGGTGGGCACCCGACCTCCTCCACCAAGGGGCTGCCATGAGCGTCCAAAGGAGCTTTGTGGGCCCGGGCGCGCACAGCACCTGGACGTGCCACTGCCCGGTGCGCATCCGTGTCAGGAATTGTCACAAGGACGCACAAGCCAGGCAAGAACCCGGCCAGGGTGGGGGAGGGTGGGCAGCGGCTTCTATCTGACTCACTCTCTGAGGTCGGAGACTGCGTGCAGGGGGGCCTCGGGGGAGCGACTGGAGATGCGTTTACTGGTCAGAGAAGGAAGGGAGCAAAGGACTCGCCGGCACGGCACTGACCTCCTCCTGGGCCAGATATTACAGTGCCACCACCTTAGAACAAGGGCCTTCTGATACTTCAGTAACAAAAATCCTTCAGGAAGGGTCTGACAGTGCACGATGTACAGACGAACCCCACCCGGCCCCCAAATCAGCATTCACTTCACAAAATGAGCAGCTGCGAACTTGCCTGTGGACGCCTGTGTCCGGTCTGTGTGCACAGGGCTGTGTGTGGGTGGCGTGGACCTGTACCTGTCTCTCTCTTTTCTCTCAAGAAGCTCTCCAGTTTGGAAAGTCGAGAAATGGATCTTTTGTTCTCAAGAGATGCCCCTCCCTGCCCCACAGTGTGCTCGTGTGGCTGCTGCTGGGGTCTAGCTGCCTGGGGTTCCTCCCTGTCCCTGTTCAAGGGAGTCCGGGGTGAGTGTCTGAGGTGCCTCCCTGTCTCCACGAGGGAAGAAGTTTTGCAGCCTCAGGGCAGCCAGCTCCTGCTCCATCCTCAGAGGGGTCTGGTGCCGGGCTTAAGGCTGACTCACCGTCCGGTCTCCCAGCAGAGGCGGGCCCTGCCAGGAAGCAGCTCCCAGTTCTGAGGCCGGCAGTCAGGGGTGGGGCTGGCCAGGGGGCTGCTGACTGAGCCTGCGTAGGAGTCGGCTGATGGCCCTGCAGCCTCCATTGAGCCTGTCCCAGGAAGGGGGCTGACTGAGTGCTCAGTCTCTGCAGAGGAAATGGAGGTGGTCTCTTCAGCGAGACGCCCAGGTTTCAGCAGAGGGATGGCCCAGGGGCGCCACTGCTCCCCAGCACCAGGCAGCATAGTTCATCCCCAGGTACTCACTCCCAGGGACTTCTCCGCCGGCTGGGCCTCTGCCTCACTGCCATCTTCAGAAGCCTCACATCAAGCATTTCCCAGGACTGGCTGAACACAGACCCTCCACCCCCGACCCCTTCCCCACCTGCCTACTCCCAGAATGGCAGTGCTGGGCAGACAGCAGACCCAGCCCCCAGCCCACCTGCACTGAGCCCCCTTCCAGGCATCTCAGAGTGGACAGGGATGGTCCCATTCACGGCTCATCATGGCTGGAGGGACTCAGGGCCAGGGCCAGCAAAGGGATGTGTCCCGGCTGAGGTCACATGTGGTCACAGGGAAGGCTGGGAACCCGCCTCTTCTGCAGCTAGGACAGCGTCAAGAGTGGAGGGGACTGGGGCCCTGCTGCACCTGCTCGTCCTTCCTCTAGGCTGGGGTTTGTCAGCACGGAGAGAAAACCGAGAAGCAGGGTCAGCGCAAGCCTGGTTGGGACCTCCACACTCCCCAGGCATTTGGGGCCTCTGGGGCTGTGGCTTCCTCACCTGGGGAGGCAGCCACGTTTTCCGGGACTCCTTTCTTCCCTCTCGACTCTCACCCCTGCCCACCTTCCCCTCCCCCATCCCTCCACCCGCAAACTTCAAGCACTTTCTGGAAGGGGCTAAGGTGGGTGATGCTGAGTCACATTTATTACCAGACTTTCCTGGCCCCATGCTCACAGGCACTGGTCACTGAGTCAGGCATTTGCCAGGGCTGTCTGCTTGGGCGACTGCTGCAGGAAAGCAGGCTGAGGCCCCAGTGCCCAGTCTGAGCCTTAGAACCGGCCCTCAGGAGGGCTCAGCCCCATACCACTAGGGGGGCTCCTGCAAACCTGGTCCCTTGGCCTGAGGCAGGGATTTCACCTCCTTTTGCAGGAGCCGCTGCAAGGCTGTGGATGAAGCTTTCTGGTCACAAAGCCCCTTCTCCTGGGGCTGCTGTGGGAGTAGCTCTTGGCACACACTTCCACCCAGAGACTTCACATCCCAGCTGACGAGGGCACGGTCCTGAGAGCTGGCAGCAAAGATGGGGTGGGGTGGATGCTGCTCAGTCATTGGAGCAGACGGAGTGTCCCAGGAGTGGGCGGAAAATGTCTCTTTAGGAGCCTGAGGTTGGCCCCTGGTGCCCGGAGCCTGAGGCCCCACAACCTCCCCATGTCCTCCTCCGTTCCCCACGACTGCTGGTGAGAAGTCCTGCCTGGAGTTTTGCAGGGACCCCTCCCTGGACCCAGAAGGGTCCGCGCTTCAACACTTTCAGAGATCATTTAGTCCATCCTCTTTGACAAACGGGGACCAGGGAGGTAAGGAACTGCCCAGGGTCACACAGGAACCAGACCACACAATATCACCACCTCCCTCTGCCCAGCACACTTAAAGCCGCGTGCACCGCGCTCACCAGGAGCATGTCAGCACCTCCTTGAGCGTCCTGCGGAGCTCCTGGCTGTGGAAGGCGTAGATGAGGGGGTCGATGATGGCATTGCAGATGATGAGGGCGAGAAAGAGGTTGAAGTTCTTGAAGATGCAGCCGCACGTGGGGTGCTCGGGGCAGAGGACGATGAGTGTGAGATGCAGGAAGAAGGGGCCCCAGCAGAGGAAGAAAATGCCCAGCAGGATGGTGAGGGTGACAGCGCCTTTAAGGCCAAAGCCCTGGTGGACCGGGCGCTGCCTCTTGTGGAGCCGGGCGATGCCCTGGGCGTGCTGGCAGGCCCGGGCCAGCATGTGGACGTACAGCACGGCCATGAGCACCAGCATAGCCAGGAAGAAGACCACGAGGCACAGCAGGACGGCCACGTGGTCGTAGTAGGCGATGAAGAGCGTGCTGAAGACGACACTGGCCACCCAGATGGCCGCAACGGCTCGCCGCGCCCGCGGCAGGGTCACGATGCTGTGGTAGCGCAGTGCGTAGAAGATGGAGATGTAGCGGTCCACGGCGATGGCGCCCAGGAAGCAGAGGCTGGACAGCATGGAGCTGCAGGTGATCACGTCAATGACATTGTCCAGCTGCTGCAGCACCGCAGCCCGGGCCACCAGTGCACCGGCCTCCAGCAGGAGGATGACGGCCGTCTCCAGCACGTTGCTCCCGCTCACCAGCAGGTCCGACAAGGCCAGGCAGCAGATGAAGCAGTACATGGGTGAGTGCAGGTTCCGGTTCTTGGCGATGGTGGCCACCACCAGCGCGTTCTCCACCAAGCTCACCAGCCCCAGGCTGAGGAAGAGCCCGTCAGAGATGGACACCTCCAGGCACCGGGCTCCTGTCTGGTTGGCAGCCAGCCCCAGCTGGGGGATGGCTGTGGGGGTGGAGTTGAGGGAGCCCAGAAGTCTTCTCTGGGATCCCTGCACAGCCATAGTCCTGTCCAGGAAGCAGGAAGGAGTCGTTGGAGGCCTCCAGGTCCCCACAGTTCTTCCCCTCCAGGTGTCCTGCTTAGTTCATGGTGCTGCCAGGGGGCCTTGGGTGTCCCCCATGCCTGCCTCCTTCCATCTGGGCACCCCCAGATCTGCCCTCACACCCTCTCCCTGGCTGGACAGGTCAGCCCAGGCATGGCCCAGCCAGTCCAGACACCTCCTGGCATCTACCGCCTGGGCTCAGGGATTCTCACAACCAAGCCTGGTCCTCAGCTCCCTCCCTGCCTCTTCCCTGGTGGCTGCTGCTCAGGTCCCCAGGACATTTCGACACCTCTGGACCGTCCTGGCCTCTGTCTCCTGCCTTCCTGGGCCAGGGCTGCGCTGAGGTCCTGGGAAGAATGGAGCTTTTCTCTGCGTTTTAAAAAGTCGTTCTCAGAGCCCCTCCCACTGAGGGCGGCCACATGCCGGGGGCGTGAGCACCCACCATGGCCCGGCCTGCCACCAGGCGGCGTGCAGGACCCAGGGGGTCCCTCACACCGCGGATCTCCTTTACGTTAAAAAACACCACAGTCTGTCCTGGTCACCAGGGCCCCCACCTGGCCGCCCCTCTAGGAGTCCGGAGCTTCCCCGGGACCTGCCCTCTCCAGAGGCCCCACCCTTCACCCCTCCCCTCGTCAGCAGCTCAGGGAGGACAGGGGTCCCCTCTGCTCTCAGCCAAAGCACGCATGGAGCAGCAACTCAGCTGTCAACGTTCACGGCAGATTTGGGGGCTGGACCAGGGAGAACTTTCCAATAATTAAAGTTCTGGAAACTGAGTGAGCCCTGCAGGAGTTTGCACATCGCGCGGGGTGAGGGGGCTTCCGGCCAGGGCAGAGCGTGAAAGCGTCCAATGCTAGTGAGCCCTGGAGAGGTTGGTGTTTTCAGGCATCTTGTAGAGCCTGAGGCCACTCTGGCGCCTGCCCCCAAGGGCCCAGCCTCGCCCAGCCAGAGTGGCGACCCCCTCAGCTGCAGCCCTGGGGCTGTGGGGGTGTCGCTTCCTGGGAGCGGACCGGCTGGGGGCACCCTAGTGAGGTCTTCAGGGACCCTCCAGTCATCTCGTCGCTCATCCTCACAGGGGCACCCGGGACGCTGCTCCCGCCCTCCCCGGGCGGCGCGCCATTTCCGCTGCGGAAGGCACCACAGGCCCTGCACCAACAGCCACATCAAAGGCAGACCTCTCGCCTCCAGCCGTCGCACGTGGTGCTCCGCAGGCCGTTCACAGCAGTCGGGCGTGGCCCCGAAGCCCAGCAGGGACGGTGGAGAGGGGCCCTGGCACCCACTGCAGGCATCTTCCTGGGTTCACTCCAGGGCGTTCCCAGCACTTCCTTGCTGAAGACTGCGTCTGTGCTGAAGGGTGGAAGCGGGAGGGGGATGGAATTACTCGTCCCATTTACAGCTGCAGGAAAGGAGGCAACGGTGCAGGCACCGCATCAGGGTTTTCAGTTTTGTGTCTGCGATGTTCGAGTTAAAATCCATCCTGTCTCTCGCCCAACTGCCAAACTCTGACCATGAAATGCTCACACCACTCACAAGCCACCTCCATGTGTGTGAGGACATTAATATTTTTCATATTTACTGGTACAGTAAATACTTGTTACAACCGCATTTTACAATTTATAAATCTTTAGTTTTGCTTTAAAATTTTTTATTATTGTCAGCCATGGTGGCTCAGGGCTGTAATCCCAGCACTTTGGGAGCCCAAGGCGGGTGGATCACCTGAGGTCAGGAGTTCGAGACCAGCCTGGCCGACATGGAGAAACCCCGTCTCTACTAAAAATACCAAAATCAGCCAGGTGTGGTGGTGGGTGCCTGTAATCCCAGCTGAGTCAGGATAATAGCTTGAACATGAGAGGCGGAGGTTGCCGTGAGCCGAGATTGCACCATTGCACTCCAGCCTGGGCAACAAGAGCAAAACTCTGTCTCAAAAAAAAAAAAAATTATTATTGCCGGGCACAGTGGCTCACCCCTATAATCTCAGCACTTTGGGAGGCTGAGGCAGGCGGATCATGAGGTCAGGAGTTCAAGACCAGCTTGGGTAATATGGTGAAACTCCATCTCTACTAAAAATACAAAAATCAGCCAGGCGTGGTGGCGCACGCCTATAATCCCAGCTACTTGGGAGGCTGAGGCAGAATTGCTTGAACCCAGGAGGCGGAGGTTGCAGTGAGCCGAGATCACACCACTGCACTCCAGCCTGGGAAACAGAGATACAGTCTCAAAAAAAAAAAAATATATATATATATATATATACATATAATTTTTATGTATTTATTTATTTTGAGACAGTTTCACTCTGTCGCGCAGGCTGGAGTGTAGTGGTGCATTCTTGGCTCACTGCAACCTCCACCTTCTGGATTCAAGCAATACTTATGCCTCAGCCTCCCAACTAGCTGGGACTACGGCACCCACTACCACACCTGGCTATTTTTTGTATTTTTTGTAGAGATGAGGTTTCACCATGTTGACCAGGCTGGTCTTGAACTCCTGACCTCAGGTGATCGGTCCGCCTCAGCCTCCCAAAATGCTGAGATTACAGGGATGAGCCCCCACACCCCATCTGCTTTAATTTTTTTTTTTTTTTTTTTGAGACGAAGTCTCACTGTCACCCAGGCTGGAGTGCAGTGGCATGATCTTGGCTCACGGTAGCCTCTGCCTACTGGGTTCAAGTAATTCTCATACCTCAGCCTCCTGAGTAGCTGGAACTACAGGCGCGTGCCGCCACACCCGGCAAATTTTTGTATTTTTTTTAGTAGAGATGGGGTTTCACCATGTTGGCCAGGACGGTCTTGATCTCCTGACCTCATGATCCTCCCGCCTCCGCCTCCCACAGTGCTGGGATTACAGGCGTGAGCCACCGCGCCCGGCCCTAAAATGTTTTAATTGAGGTACAACATACATGAAAATGCACCAGTGATAAATATGCAGGTTGACGGATGACAGACCTGAACCAGCCACATAAGCAGCACCAGACCAACAGACACAGCGTTCCCACCCGGACGGCTCCAGCGAGCCGCTGCCAGCCCATCTGGCCCATCACGTGAATGGTGTCCCAGTTCACTCTCTCTGGCTGAGATTCGCCTATGCCGGTGGCTGTAACCGTCTGCCTCAGACCGTGGTGTCCACGGCGTGAACAGACCACGTCTGGGTGGCTTCAGACTCCCTATCAACGATACCGTCTGATGGACACAGGTGCGTCTGTGGATTGCCACCCGGGGGACATGGGCAGGGACCTCTCTTCAGCTTTGGGAGACTTGGTCAAACCATCTTCAAATCGGCAGGCCTGTTTCTGTTCACACACGCAGCCCCAGGCTGCTCAGAGGAGAGAGCGCGCCCTGCCCACACCACCACAGGACCTGGTATCCGGCCACAGCCACAGAGCCTCGGCCTCAGCCCAGCCTTTTGCCTCCCATGACCTTTGCCCCCTCACGCTGTGCTTCCAGCATGAGCACAGGGGAGAGAAGGGTCCCAAGGTGTGAGAAGGCCAAGCCTCTGCCTCGGGAAGGAAGACGGCTCCACTGGTGTGAGGGCCGTGGCTGTGTCCCTGCCCCAGGAGCACCCCCGACGTCCACAGCACCTCACAGACCCAGACCCAGAGCCCGCTCACCTCTGGCCATGAACCAGTGAGCAGCCCCTGCCCCAGAGCACTGTCCCCTCACATTTCAAGGACGTTCGTGTTTGCAGCTCCACAATGAGGCCTTTGAGACGGACGGCGGTTAACCCCAGCCTCCACTGCTACCCCCCAGCCCGGGACTTGAAAGGGCATGAGAACTGGGCAGCCTTTTTCGTGCCAAGATGCAGCTGGAGGGCATCGGAAGTGGGGTGACCCTGCCACAGGACTCCCACTGTGGTTCCTCACTGGATGTGCCTGTCGGGGCTTCGTGGGAAGATGAGGCACAGCCGAGCTGCAAAAAGTCAACTTTTTGATGTGTTATGGTCATGGGGGAGATAAATTAGCCTCGGGATGATCTGTGATTAGATGACATCCTACAGCTAATCATATCTCGATTTTGGTCTCTTAGTGCCCCTGGAAACACTGCATGCTGAGTGGCCGGAAGACACGTGGGGCTGGCCCATCCGCTCACCAGGGTCCCCGCCACAGGCAGAGGCACCGTTCCTGCAGAGCACTTTCCATCCAGGTGTTTCTGGACCAGCGACCCACGAGGAGAATGAAGACAGACGTCTTCCTGCGTTTATTCAGTGTCTGGCATCCAGGGCCTGCAACACACACACAGGCACACACACACACACAAATGTGCACCCACACACACAGGCACACACACACACAAATGTGCACCCACACACACAGGCACACACACACAGGCACACACACACAAATGTGCACCCACACACAGGCACACACACAAATGTGCACCCACACACACAGGCACACACACACACAAATGTGCACCCACACACACAGGCACACACACACAAATGTGCACCCACACACACAGGCACACACACACACAAATGTGCACCCACACACACAGGCACACACACACACAAATGTGCACCCCCACACACAGGCACACACACACACAAATGTGCACCCCCACACACAGGCACACACACACAGGCACACACACAAATGTGCACCCACACACAGGCACACACACACACACAAATGTGCCCCACACACACACAGGCACCCACACACACAGGCGCACACACACACAAATGTGCACCCACACACACAGGCGCACACACAAATGTGCACCCCCACACACAGGCGCACACACAAATGTGCACCCCCACACACAGGCACACACACAGAGGCACACACACAAATGTGCACCCACACACAGGCACACACACACACAAATGTGCCCCACACACACAGGCACCCACACACACAGGCACACACACAGGCACACACACACACAAATGTGCACCCACACAGGCGCACACACACACAAATGTGCACCCACACACACAAATGTGCACCCACACACACAGGCACACACACACAAATGTGCACCCACACACACAGGCACACATGCATACAAGTGTGCACACATACATACGTGCACACACACACACAGGCACACACACACACACAAATGTGCACCCACACACACAGGCACACACACACAGGCACACATGCATACAAATGTACACACATACAAATGTACACACATACATACGTGCGCACACACGTTTACCCACACACGCGTGCACATACAAATGTTTACCCACACACGTATGCGCACACACAATGTTTACCCACACACGTGCACACACGTGCACCCACACCACATGCGCACACACACAGGCACACACAAATGCGCACCCACCCACACACGCACACACACACACATCTGCTCAATGTGTGCCCGAGGGCTGCGAGAGGTAAAACATCTCTGTGGCCCAGGGAGTGGCCTGTCCAGCTGCGGCCACAGACATGGAGGTGGGGGTCACCGCCGGACCAACAGTCCCACCGTGGTGGGCTCCAGTACAGCTCCCCAGGACAGCTGGACCCACAGCTGATCTCAGCCCTTGGTTCAGGGACCATTTCCTTTGAACTTGGGGGTGGGGGTGTGGGAGGTGGCAAGCAGGGTTTCTCGTGGGCTCACCGTGGTGCCTGCATTGAAGGCTTTGGGGGGTTCTGGCTCAGTGGAAAAGGGCCCGGCTGGTGAGCCACGCTGCCTGTGGGCACCCGGGGAGCCACGTGCGCCTCAGCCTCTCGCTGGGCTGAGCAGGGCCAAGGGAGGAAACAGGACAGCATTCCCCACAATCATGGCAGAGGCTACGCCCTCAAAACAGTCTTTCAGATCTCACGGTCATTGGAAGTAGGCTCAGCTGCAGGTCATGACATAAACCCCAGCACCACTGCCAAAGTGTCAGTGATCCAGCCACCTCTCAGGACAGCAGGCCTGGGCTCAGCCTCTGCTGCATTGTCCCTGGAACACCGGCTCTTCTCTGACTCCCAACCGTAGGGCGGCTGCTGCAGCTCCAAACATCACATCCCCTATTTGGGTGGACTCAAGGCATCTGGAATGGAAGAGGCAGGGGACCCAGGTCTCCTTGCTAGCCTGTCATTTTCAGAGAAAAGACCCTGAAGACTCTAGCAGACTCCCGCATCTCGATGGCTGAAGCTCACCACGGACCACCCTGGCTGTGGAGGGTGGGGACCTAGAGCAGACTGGGGTTATCTCCCAACCATCTTCCCTGGAGATGAGTGCAGATCCCCCATGGAAAAAGGGGTGGGTGGGACACCAGGAGGACCAGCCTGTGCTCCCCACAGGCTCCTGCTGACCACAAACATCGTTCACTCACTGCAGAGAGGAACGAGGCCGCAGCACCAACTCCCCGCCCCCATGATCTCTTCCTGCAGAGCGTGGGGCTATCACAGCTGGGACCTCAGGGCACCGCTCCTAGAAATGGCCAGCACAGGGCCAGGGCTGCACCCTCAGGCCCACGTCTGAGATGGGCACACGTGGCTCAGCCCTCGGGCCAACTCTTGTCATGGACACTGGGCCCTCGTCGTCCTGGGGAGGGTCCTGCACCCTAAGCTCCCGCCCAGGAAATGCTGAGCAGAGTAAGGAGACACCAGGAACTGCCAAAAGGATGAACTCACAGGCCTCGGCGAGCCCCAGGTTAGACGATTACACAGTGATGGGCTTTCTGGGAGGTGGGTCCACGGACCAGTACCTAGCTGGGGCTGGAACATGTTTCCTGCCTCACTGGCCGCCCTAGAGCCTCGGGCAGCCCCTCGTGTCTGCTGCCTCCTAAGGGTAAAAGATTAGGGCGGTGAGGGGTGCCAGGGGACAGGACCCCTGCTGCAGCCCTAACACCTTGGTGTTCTCGATCCTTCCAGAACCACGCTGGCTTCTGATGCTGTCTGGCTGCAGCCTCCGCCCCTCCTGCAGCTGCAGCACCGTGGGGCCGTGGGATGCACGGGTTCTGTGCACCATCAGTCAACTGTGCCAGGACCTGCTCCAGCTAAGCCCTCCCCCAAGACTGGGGTCTTGGTCCGAGTGGCCCATTCACCCTCAGACCGACTATCCCCTGATCTTTGCTACATGGGCCCTCAGAGCTTCCCTGGGCACTTCTCTGCAAAACATGCTTCTGGGGCTTCGCCTTCAATTCTGGGCACTGCCCTCAAGTTCTCTAATAAAATTATTTTGGCAGAGCCAGGCGCGGTGGCTCACAGCTGTAACCCCAGCACTGTGGGGGGCCAAGGCGGGCGGATCATGAGGTCAAGAGATTGAGAGCATCCTGGCCAACATGGTGGAACCCCGTCTCTACTAAAAATACAAACATTAGCCAGGCGTGGTGGCGGGTGCCTGTAGCCCCAGCTACTCGGGAGGCTGAGGCAGGAGAATGGCGTGAACCCGGGAGGCGGAGCTTGCAGTGAGCCGAGACTGCGCCACTGCACTCCAGCCTGCGCGACACAGTGAGACTCTTGTCTCAAAAAAAAAAAAGAAAATTATTTTGTCAGATTCAACAGATAGTGGCATCCAGCCAAAGGACCCCAACATCTCCACCCCACTTGCTTGGAGGAACAAGACTGAAGGCCGGCTGCCACATAGGGGCCTCTCTGCTCCAGCCCTGCCCTGAGACCCTCTACCAACAAGGCACGCAGCTCTGTTGACGAACTCCACAGCAAGTTCAAGGAGGACGTGCACCCAGGGCCTTGGCATTCAGCAGGGACCTGCACTGAAGACCCCGTGGGGCCCCTTCTCCACCCGTGCCCAGATCCTGGGAGCACAGGAAGCATGGGGTCTGGGCCCCACCTCACCCACAAGCCACTGGGAGGAGAATGGACTGAGTGTGATTCGAATCCGAGGGCATGGGACGGCGCTCAGTGCCTGCGAAAGGAGAAGGTGCGGACGGCAGAGCGTGACCCATTTACATTTATAGGAGAAACAGTGGACCAGGGAGCGACACACTCAGCTTCCCTACTTCAGGCAACTGGCCGACTCCGACCAACAGAGAAATCGGGAACATCATCATACGGCTTTTCGGTCACCTCTGCGGACGCTCAGTCCCACTCCCCCTCCCCCTCAGCGTCGTCCTCGTGCGGCGCCTCCAGGTCGTTGAGGTGGAAGTTGGCCATCATGTCGCGCACAGCCAGCATCAGCCTGTTCAGGCCCTGGTTGCGGTTCAGACCCCCAGCCACTCCTTCCTCGGGCCTCTCCCCCTGCAGCAAGGGGACATGTCTGAGAAGGGGGCTGTCTGTGCTGGGACTAGGGGCCCGGGGCCCAAGCAGGAGGCACTGTGGAGCCCGAGGTGGCCCTTGCCCCAGCACCGGACCCTGAACCCTCCCCAGGTCCCTGTGAGGAGGAAGCTCTCAAAACCAAATGCCGTGTCTAGACCAAGCCAGGCACAGAGTGGGATCAAGCCGGCTGACTCACGGCCCTGCATCTGCTACCATCTGGGCAGGCCCCAGTTTCCCCGGCAGAATGGGCACCCCACTGGCACAATGCAGCCTTGGTCCTTCCCTGCTCCCTGTGCCGGCTGGCACAGTCCTGGTTCAAGGAGGCTCCAGGCATTCGCACTGGAATGGATATGCCCGCACCCACTGGGGAGGCAGGGGCTGGGACGAGCTCAACCTACCTCCATGGTATAGTTTGGCAACAGTGACCGGAAGAAGAGAGCAATGGTGTTTCCATGGCTGATAGGACTTAGCCTGAAAGAAAGTCAAGAAAAGTCAGAAACGACACTGAACTGAGACTCGTGGGACCCAACCCGGCTCACGGGGCTGCCTGCCAGCTGCCTCCCTCGCAGGGACACGGAGGGGCCGCCAGGGGGCAGAGCAGCAGCAGCTGAGCACAGGCCCTGGATTCCCCGGGTGGCCCGTGAGGCTTCCTCATCAGCTTAGGGTGGGGCTGTGGACAGCGGGAACAGGATGAGGGAGACCAACTCAGCTGAGGCAGGCGTGGCGTCCGGAGCGAGGCTCCCACAGCCATCCTCGGCCACTGCACAGGTGCCTTGCTTTTCAGAAAAGCTGCAGTTTCAACGTCTCCTTCAGCACCCACTCCTTACGCAAAGGCAGAAGCTTCCAGGGCCTGCGTTAAGCGGAGACCCTCACGGTGCGAAGGGCTACCGGCCCGGCTCTACAGGACGCTGAGCGGCCAGGCCTCAGGAGCTCTAGGGAGGGCGAAAGCCTGGGCTCCACAGCGGAGGGAGGCAGCAAAGAACCGCGATTCCTCAATGCTGCAACACCCTGCCGGCAGGGATAATCACGACGACCGCTGTGCGGGTGACGGGGCCTGGGTAAGGCAAGTACTTTCCAGCCCAGAAGGAAAAGGTAAAAAGCCTTTCAATGACCCGGATTCTGAAAGCCAGACACACCGGCCGCCTGGCAGTTGGCCCTCTTGCGCCGCAGCCCTGCTCTCCCGGTCTGGCCATGGGGCTTTTGTTCTCTCAATGTGCCGTGTGCTCTGCTCCTGGCACAGGGCCTCGGCACATCGTGACTCTGCTGGGGAACACAAGGACCCTCTCCCCTGAGCCTGGTGAGGGCACATTCATCCTCTCCGTCTCAGCACAGCCACCATCCTTCCTCCAAACACCTTACTGGAGGATTTTTTTTTTTTTTTTTTTTGAGATGGAGTCACTCTGTCACCCAGGCTGGAGTGCAGTGGCGTGATCTCAGCTCACGGCAACCCCCTCCTTCCGGGTTCAAGGGATTCTCCTGCCTCAGCCTCCTGAGTAGCTGGGACTACAGGCACAACCCACCACGCCCAATTTTTTTTTTTTTTTTTTTTTTTGAGACGGAGTCTTCCTCTGTCGCCAGGATGGAGTGCAGTGGCACGATCTCCACTCACTGCAACCTGTGCCTCCCGGGTTCAAACAATTTTCCTGCCTCAGCCTCCCAAGTAGCTGGGACTACAGGTGTGCGGCACCACGCCCAGCTAATTTTTTTGTATTTTAGTAGAGACGGGTTTTCAGCACGTTGGCCAGGCTGGTCTCAATCTCTTGACCTTGTGATTTGCCCACCTTGGCCTCTCAAACTGCTGGAATTACAGGCGTGAGTCACTGCACCCAGCTGGCTAAGTTTTGTATTTTTAGTTGAGACGGGGTTTGCCATGTTGGCCAGGCTGGTGCAGTTTTGATTTTATGTTTATTTCTACATTCTAAAATTAATATGTTTTCCCCACTTCACTGCACACCTGCTTCCACT
This sequence comes from Homo sapiens, assembly GCF_000001405.40. Classification (NCBI taxonomy): domain Eukaryota; kingdom Metazoa; phylum Chordata; class Mammalia; order Primates; family Hominidae; genus Homo; species Homo sapiens. Next base: position 89,909,096 of record NC_000016.10, on the reverse strand, counting down.
GTGTCACTCGCACCTGCCACAGAGGCCGACACGCAAGCGCTTGTACATTCGGTGGAGATGGGAAAGAACGTGGCCTGCAAACGCAGAGCTGTGACCCCCAAATAACACTGTTCCTCTCCTCCTCTCCCTTCCTGTGAGGGGAAAGACCCACTTAGCCCTGAGCCCCATCTCTCAGCATCTGGGTCTGAAAGAGGCAGCCAGTCCCTGTGAGCCCCAAAGCCCTGACCTCAGAGCTGCAGGAGAGAGCTGGGAGCTGCGAGGTGGGAGCTGGGAGCTGGGAGCTGCGAGGTGGGAGCTGGGAGGTGGAAACTGGGAGGAGGGAGGCGGGAGCTGGGAGCTGGCAGGTGGGAGGCAGGAGCTGGGAGCTGGGAGGCGGGAGCCGGGAGGTGGGAGCTGGGAGGCGGGAGGTGGGAGCTGGGAGGAGGGAGGTGGGAGCTGGGAGGTGGGAGCTGGGAGGTGGGAGGTGGGAGCTGGGAGGTGGGAGCTGGGAGGAGGGAGGCGGGAGCTGGGAGGTGGGAACTGCGAGGAAAGAGGTGGGAACTGGAAGGTGGGAGGAGGGAGCTGGGAGGTGGGAGCTGGAAGGTGGGAGGTGGGAACTGCGAGGAAAGAGGTGGGAGCTGGCAGGTGGGAACTGGGAGGTGGGAACTGCGAGGAAGGAGGTGGGAACTGGAAGGTGGGAGGTGGGAGCTGGGAGGTGGAAACTGGAAGGAGGGAGGTGGGAGCTGGGAGCTGGAAGATGGGAGCTGGGAGGTGGGAACTGTGAGGAAAGAAGTGGGAACTAGAAGGTGGGAGGAGGAAGCTGGGAGGTGGGAACTGGGAGGAGGGAAGAGGGAGCTGGGAGGTGGGAGCTGGGAGGTGGGAACTGAGAGGAGGGAGGCGGGGTTGGAAGGTGGGAACTTGGAGGAGGGAGGCGGGAGCTGGAAGGTGGGAGCTGGGAGGAGGGAGGCAGGAGGTGGCAGGGGAGGTGAGAGGAGGGAGGCGGGAGCTGGGAGCTGGGAACTGGGAGGAGGGAGGAGACAGGGGCTGTAAGGTGGGAGGCGGGAGCTGGGAGGTAGGAGGTGGGAGCTGGGAACTGGGAGGAGGGAGGCGGTAGCTGGGAGGTGGGAGGCGGGAGCTGGGAGGTGGGAGCTAGGCGGCGGGAGGAGGGAGGTGGGAGCTGGGAACTGGGAGGAGGGAGGCAGGAGCTGGGAGGTGGGAGGCGGGAGCTGGGAGGTGGGAACTGGGAGCTGGGAGGTGGGAATTGGAAGGAGGGAGGAGGGAGGTGAGGTGGGAGGTGGGAGGAGGGAGTTGGGAGGTGGGAGCTGGGAGGTGGGAGGTGGGAACTGGGAGGAGGGAGGCGGGAGCTGGAAGGTGGGAGGCGGGAGCTGGAAGGTGGGAGGCGGGAGGTGGCAGGTGGGAGGTGAAAGGAGGGAGGTGGGAGGTGGGAGGAGGGAGCTGGGAGCTGGGAGGTGGGAACTAGGATGAGGGAGGCGGGAGCTGGGAGGTGGGAGCTGGGAGGTGGGAACTGGGAGGAGGGAGGCAGAAGCTGGGAGGTGGCAGCTGGGAGCTGGGAGATGGGAGGTAGGAACTGGGAGGAGGGAGGTGGGAGGTGGGAGGAGGGAGGTGGGAGCTGGGAGGTGGGAGGTGGGAGGAGGGAGGTGGGAGCCAGGAGCCGGGAGCTGCTAGGTGGGAGCTGGGAGCTGGAAGGTTGGAGCTGGGAGGTGGGAGCTGGGAGCTGGGAACTGGGAGGAGGGAGGTGGGAGCTGGGAGGTGGGAACTGGAAGGAGGGAGGTACCTCTCTGGCCTGACGTAGGAGTAGATTGTGTCCGAAGGAGGCAGAGGATCAAACCCCATCACAGACTGCGTGGTCACGTCCTTCAGAAAGGGACATAAAACGAAGATGCTACAGATGCTGCCAGGGGGCCTCTACCTCTCCCAGCAGAGTCCTTCTGTCGACTCCAGCATGGACTGGATGCATCTGCTGAGAGATAGCCACAGAGTCTGACAGAAACGGCTGTGCTTTTTGTACCAACGAGCTTTGGGTGAGGGTGGGACAGTCCTTCTGCCACCAGGACACTCACGGGAGTCGAGATGAACCTGCACGGCGTCTGCCCTGCACACCAGAGTGTGTGGTGGGGAAGGAAGGGGGTCACGTGCCGCTCAAGCCTGCCAACATCTTCACCACGTGTCAGAAGCTCCCACTTCAGCAAATGCAGGCTACAGGGACCCTGAGCTGCCCTCGGGTTGCACAGTGCCACGTGCTGCCACTCTACTGAGGAGAGTCAGAAGCTCACAGCCCCAGACAAAGCCAGCCATGCCGGTCATAAGGGCCCGCAGAGCAGCTGAAGTTAAACCAGGAGGCACTAAGCTGTCCCCAGTGGACGGTCCACGGTCCTGCGACCCTCTGACTTGCTGGTTTTCTCACTCGTTCTATCTTATCCCTTAACAACAGTACAAACTCCTTAGGTTTTGAGACAGAAACGGCACCTCCAGCACAGGAGGCGTCAGAGCAGGACTACACCCCACGACTACAGAGAATCCCCCAGCAGCCGCACCACGCGCTCACAAGACCACGGATGGAGCAGCTCACCACGGTGACGACTCAGCTTGTGCTCTGAGCCCCAAAGGATTTCTCTCTCAAAACAACAAGCATCCGAACCCGGGCTGCCAGGAAAGGAGGAGCCCTCTGCACTAGACCCTGCCCCTGCCGTGGCGGGGCTGGGCTGCTGAGGGAGCCCGCACCACGCACGCCTGCATGTGGACCGCCCGGAGCAGAAGGGACGTGCATGTGACCGGCTTACACAGAGCTCCCATTTCAGCCTTTCTCCCTTACCGGGGGCAGGGCAGCGACGGCTTCCTTGATCTCAGAGAGGATCACATGGCGGTGGATATTCCTGGGTGCACGCTGGTAGAGCACCTTCCGCCTAGGGCCGGGGAGAAACAAGGCACAGCAGATAAAGCACAGCAAATGAAATGGTAACCGCCATGGAGCCTCGGCCCCCACCCCCACCCAGCACGAGGCATCTCGCTGCATCTCTGGTGGCTGCAAAAACTGTACACTTTACTCTCGAGCAGAGGCACCATGGCTGGTCCCTGGCCTGCGGCTGGGGAGCCTCTGGGGACCAATCCCAGCCACATGGCCAGTGACTCAGCCTCTTCATCCAAAGAACAAGAACGATGAGAGCCGTAGCCAGTGGCTTCTTGTGGGAAGTCACTGAGTTCATCTCCATGAAGGGACACCTGGGTGTGTCACCATCGTCACTGCTACGGCTACAGGCACAGGCACTGGTCCCTGCTGGAAATCGCTCTTGGAGAGCAGTACAGGGAACAAAATGCTCCTGTCCATGAGAATGTCCAGTCCAGTGGGGACAGCAGACACGCGGACGGGCCCATGACTGCCAGCGGCTGGGGGCACCAGCGCCTCTTGGGCACCCCCGGGCACACCTCATGTCCGCGGCACACAGACTTCACTGTGGAGATGCAAATGGGCACCACTCCCAGGCGGTCCTGAGCCTGGCCACACCACTGCACAGAGCCACGGTGCTGATGCACAGAACTAGCACAGGGCCAAGGGCGCAGACAAACGAGACAAGAACAGCAAGGGGATGCCTGTCAGTTGCAGCATATTAGGGCATGAGCCTCCGAAGTGTTCACACACAGGACAGGAGACTCTTTCTCGTCTCTGCCAGATTTCTTTACTCCCAAGATGCTGCTGTGAGAGACTCGTCATCATCTCACAGCTCATGTGGAAACACTGCAAGACCCGAAGGCACCACTCCAGCCCGAGGCACCCGGGAACAGCAGCTCGGTACCCTGCGCTGATCACCACAGCTGCCTCCCAGGAAGCCTCTGGGACACGCCAGGGGCTGTGCGCTGTCTTGTAGGCTCCACACAGGCCCCACAGCAAGGGAGGCCAAGCTGCTCACAGCCCTTCTCGCCTCCCGAATGCGAGGCCCCCGTGTCTGGGATGAGGGTCCCTGAGGAGGGGGCGTGGCAGGGCTTGTGTCAACCCCTAGCTCACCGGTTCTCACAGGCTTCCACGGCTGGGTCCCCGGCGTCCACTGCTTGCAGAACCTCGTGGACGTTCTCCTCCAGCCAGCTCATGGTGGCGGGCTCTTTCCAGAGAAAGTGTGACCTCCCAAGGTACAGGTTCACCAGCTGGCTCAGGGCAGGGGGCTGGCTGGGGGAGAGCAAGGGCTCTGAGCAGAACCCCTCTTCAGACCACAGCCTGCCTCGAGGCTGGCAGAGCCCCATGGATGGGCAGACGGGGGGTCCAGGGAGTGCCCTGTGGCCTGGAGTGAAAGGAGGCCCCTGGGCTGCTGGCCTGAGGGCGTGGGGCTGGGGCACACAGGTATGTGCCGTGAGCCTGTTGGGCAGGTTATGTTCTTTAGGAAGCAGGACTGACGTCACAGAAATGTGAAAATGCACCCAGGGCGGGTCCATCTGCGTGCACACAGGGCGAGCCCTGGAGGGCCAGGGGATGACCCCAAGGCGTGCACTTTCTCCTGTGTTTGCTCCCTCTTTGTTTATTTTGTTTTTTGAGACGGGGTCTCACCATCACCCAGGCTGGAGTGCAGCAGCACAAACACAGCTCACTGTACCTTTGACCTCCCAGGCACAAGCCGGCCTCCCAAAAAGCTGAGATTACAGGCATGTGCCGCCACGCCTGGCACCCTCTTTATATGAGCCTCGTTTTTAAGCTGGAGGCTGCTCAGCTGTCCCACCTGGACTTTTCCACACAGATGAGGGCTCCAGAGCCGTCCCATGTCAAATGACAGTCCCCGAGGCCGCCACCACAGCCCCTCCTGCTGCTGGAAGCAGGTCCCTCAGGGCCTCTCAGGATGAGTGAAAATGGCTCCCAGGCTCCGAACCCACAGGCACCCACAGATGGGCACCACCAGCCACTCTTTACCTTATTTCAGCATTGGGTCCAAAGAAGCGGTGACTGGAAACGCTGGCGTCGGGCCGCACACTGCAAGACTCGAGCAGGGGCAGGAGGACTGCAGGGGAAGCGGAGGCTCTGTGGGGGCCCTCAGCACACACCCCAGCCACTCCTAGCCCCCAAGGCAGTAAGGGACACAGCGAGGTCCTTGTCACAGACACAGCTGTTCTAAGGTGGAGAGTCTGCAGGGCCAGCGGCTTGCTTCCGGGTGGTATTCTGAGTTGCTGCTGCTGGCGTGCCCAGGGTCTGAGGCTGGGGGTCTCCTTCACACCAGCCCCAAGGAGGCTGCCAGGGCCCCCATTTGCATCCAAGGGAAGACTCACCCACCACCCTCCACACACATGGGGTTGGGTTTTTTTTTGTTTTTCTGAGACAGGGTCTCACTCTGTTGCTCAGGCTGGAGTGCGTTGGCGAAATCTCGGCTCACTGCAACCTCCACCTCCCAGGCTCAAGCGATTCTCCTGCCTCAGCCTCCCGAGTAGCTGGGATCACAGGCGCACACTACCACGCCCCGGTTAATTTTTGTATGTTTAGTAGAGACAGGGTTTCACCATGCTGGCCAGGCTGGTCTTGAACTCTTGACCTCAGGTGATCCACCTGCCTCAGCCTCCGAAAGTGCTGGGATTACAGGCGTCCGCCACCACACCCGGCTAATTTTTATATTTTTGGTAGAGAAAGGGTTTCACCGTGTTGACCAGGCTGGTCTCGAACTCCTATGCTCAAGCGATCCTCCTGCCTCGGCCTCCCAAAGTGCTGGGATTACAGGCGTGAGCCACCGTGCCCGGCCGGTTGGATGTTTTAATCACAAAGACTGGACCCCATGGCAGGCTGGTGGGAGCGGAGGCCACCTGTGCCCAGTGGAAGAGCCAGCACTGCAGGTTGAGGGCAGAGGCCGCCATGTAGGGGAACGGGCCCCGAGGGCAGAGCCTGCAGTGATCTCCAGTGTTCTGGGGTAAGTGGCAGCGGCTTCTTGGCAGCCCACCTGCCTTCAAGGGAGGTGCTGACGCTACAGCCTGTGACACAGCAGCACAGCTCTGCCACAAAGGACAGGGCCTCCCAGCCGCGTTTCCAGACACGGCTGCACTGGTGGAGCATATGGCCAGCTGCATGCAGCCCCAGAGGAGGACAAAGGTGCTTCTTAGACACAGGGGACGAAACTTTTGGGGTCAGCGAGCAGACTGAGGCCTGGCCAGGCCCCTCTGGGGGGCACGTTTCTGCCTGTGCTAGAAGCTGCCCAACCCCACGCCGTGGGCCTCCTCGGGGCCCAGACAGAGCCCTGGAAACCCACAGAACCGAGAAAGGGATGCTGCTTCCAGGACATCCTAATAGGCGATGAGTGGTCACGTAATGTGTGTATACTAGCTGCACGCAAATAACCCTCACCCCTCACCGCCCCTCGGAGGAGGCCCGTCTTAAGGAGGGATTTCACCCTCACCCCTCACAGCCCCTCGGAGGAGGCCCGTCTTTTTTTTTTTTTCTTTTTTTTTGAGACGGAGTCTCGCTATGTTGCCCAGGCTGGAGTGCAGTGGCGCGATCTCGGCTCACTGCAAGCTCTGCCTCCTGGGTTCATGCCATTCTCCTGCCTCAGCCTCCCAAGTAGCTGGGACTACAGGTGCCGGCCAACACGCCCGGCTAATTTTTTGTATTTTTAGTAGAGACGTGGTTTCACCGTGTTAGTCAGGATGGTCTCGATCTCCTGACCTCGTGATCCGCCCACCTCGGCCTCCCAAAGTGCTAGGATTACAGGCGTGAGCCACCGCGCCCGGCCGGAGGCCCGTCTTAAGGAGGGATTTCACCCTCACCCCTCACAGCCCCTCGGAGGAGGCCCATCTTAAGGAGGGATTTCACCCTCACCCCTCACAGCCCCTCGGAGGAGGCCCGTCTTAAGGAGGGATTTCACCCTCACCCCTCACAGCCCCTCGGAGGAGGCCCGTCTTTTTTTTTTTTTTCTTTTTTTTTGAGACGGAGTCTCACTATGTTGCCCAGGCTGGAGTGCAGTGGCGCGATCTCGGCTCACTGCAAGCTCTGCCTCCTGGGTTCATGCCATTCTCCTGCCTCAGCCTCCCAAGTAGCTGGGACTACAGGTGCCCGCCAACACGCCCGGCTAATTTTTTGTATTTTTAGTAGAGACGTGGTTTCACCGTGTTAGTCAGGATGGTCTCGATCTCCTGACCTCGTGATCCGCCCACCTCGGCCTCCCAAAGTGCTAGGATTACAGGCGTGAGCCACCGCGCCCGGCCGGAGGCCCGTCTTAAGGAGGGATTTCACCCTCACCCCTCACAGCCCCTCGGAGGAGGCCCATCTTAAGGAGGGATTTCACCCTCACCCCTCACAGCCCCTCGGAGGAGGCCCGTCTTAAGGAGGGATTTCACCCTCACCCCTCACAGCCCCTCGGAGGAGGCCCGTCTTTTTTTTTTTTTTCTTTTTTTTTGAGACGGAGTCTCACTATGTTGCCCAGGCTGGAGTGCAGTGGCGCGATCTCGGCTCACTGCAAGCTCTGCCTCCTGGGTTCATGCCATTCTCCTGCCTCAGCCTCCCAAGTAGCTGGGACTACAGGTGCCCGCCAACACGCCCGGCTAATTTTTTGTATTTTTAGTAGAGACGTGGTTTCACCGTGTTAGTCAGGATGGTCTCGATCTCCTGACCTCGTGATCCGCCCACCTCGGCCTCCCAAAGTGCTAGGATTACAGGCGTGAGCCACCGCGCCCGGCCGGAGGCCCGTCTTAAGGAGGGATTTCACCCTCACCCCTCACAGCCCCTCAGAGGAGGCTCGTCTTAAGGAGGGATTTCACCCTCACCCCTCACAGCTCCTCGGAGGAGGCCCATCTTAAAGAGGGATTTCACACATGCTGTCAGGCAGGGTCAGCCCCGAGGTCTGACCAGGTGGCAGCCTCACTGTGCCCGCCACATGTGCGTGGATCGAAGCTACCCAGATGCAGTCAGGGGTCACGGCTGTGCAGGCTGAGTCCATCTGGGCGGCACAGGCCTCCATTCTGCATCCCAGCATGGTGCAGAGCACAACCCTCTCGGCCACACCTCGGCGCTGCCGAGACCTTCCCCTGCTTTGCTCTCCTCCCCAGCACTGGTACAATCCAATGCCCCGCACCTCCCAGCCAGTTCTGTCTCTGCACTCTAGAACACAGGCCCCACGGGGGTCGGGATGCCTGCCACCTCCTCGTGCCTGGCTTGGCACGCAGCGGGTTCCGAGATGAGCCGACCCTCTTTCAGGTTTGGTAGGGCAGGTTTGCAGGCCCTACCAGAGAATGCATGTTTCTACAAGTGTGGGGAAGGACTGGGACCTGGCCTCCACCACCAGGAAGAGCAGCCCCCACGGCTGACAGGACACACCCCTACCCCAGGCGAGACACAGCGCTCACTCACCTCCAGGGAACATGGTGAGCGCCTGCTGTATCAGGAGAGAGGCCTTCTGCCTGGCAGAGCTCTGCTCACACTCAGGGAGGTCTGTCTGCTGGCTCAGCAGGAAATACGCCAGTGGAACAGAGAAGGCAAAATTAGGGAGCTGGGACAGGTTCCGATGAGCCTACGAGGGACGAAGAAACAGAGCGTGGAGCCTTAAGTCATAAAGACAAAATATGTGAGTTTGCAGACGCTCTGACATCACCAGTGAGCCCTACCCCGAGCAGGTATATTCTGCAGGCAACGCAAGGGCCTCTTCCTAACTCAGCATAAAGATAACTTAAAACGTCCACCTGGGGGGCTTTCCGCATGCAGAAGATACAGAGGACGTGGGAGGGCCTGAGAAGTAGACTGAGCCGGAGCGAGGACACCGTGGGGAGTGAGGGTCCCACCTGCCGCCCAGGCTCCTCTCTGAAGCTGAGCAGTTGGTGCTCTCAATGTGGAAAATTTACAGACGAGAGCAGCCCACCCCCGCGCGAGTCTGTGAGAGCAGCCCACTGCCGCGCGAGTTTCCGAGAGCAGCCCGCCACGCGAGTTTCCGAGCAGTCTACCACCGTGCCAGTTTCTCTTGCCTTTCTCAGCCTATGTCACATATTGTAGACATGTGACTCACTGCATTTTTTTCTATCAAAATGGGATCACAGACTCACAGTTTTGTGACCTTAAACACCATCATCAACATTCTTCTGCAGCCCCATTTTGGGGGACTCCCTGAGGTTTCCCTGCACCTACATTTTTGTGAGCTCCAGGAATTTCTATAAACCACATTCCTGGGGGTGAGACTTCCTGGCCAACTATGCCAAATGCTTAAAAATTCAAAATAATTTACCCACTTTCATTATCCATGAACATGTGCTATGAAAAAAATTCAACACAGAAGCAGAGAAAGTCAAGAGCTGTCGCCTTCTCCCCAGCCCCAGGCCCTGCTGGAGGTTAGCGTTACAAAGCCCGTGTCCTTCCAGATAAGTGCTGCCCCATAGGAACATAATGGGAGCCCAGGTGTCAATTTAAATTTTCTTTTTTTTTTTTTGAGACGGAGTTTCACTCTGGTTGCCCAGACTGGAGTGCAATGGCGCGATCTCGGCTCACCGCAACCTCCACCTCCCAGGTTCAAGCGATTCTCCTGCCTCAGCCTCCCGAGTAGCTGGGATTACAGGCATGCACCACCACGCCCAGCTAATTTTGTATTTTTAGTAGAGACAGGGTTTCTCCATGTTGAGGCTGGTATCAAACTCCTGACCTCAGGTGATCCGCCCGCCTCGGCCTCCCAAAGTGCTGGGATTACAGGCGTGAGCCACCATGCCCGGCCCAATTTAAATTTTCTGGGAGCTGCATTAAAGACAAAACAGGTGAGATTAATACGTTATATCTAACCCAATACACCGAAATTATCATTCCAACACGTGTCTGTGTTAGAGTTACTGGGGACAGAGCTCAAGTCTCTCCTGCTGTACTCACACTCTTCCCATGGAACAGGACAGACGTGCTGGGGGTCCCTGTGTCAGCCCCACGCAACCAACCCTCCTTCTACCTCCCGGCTGCATCTTCCTGAACTGCCCATGAGGAGCTCGGGAGTTGTCGGTTTTTCATCATTACCAGCATCACAGTCCTTGCAGGCACACGTGTGCATGTGTACACACGTTTGAGCATGTGTACACACGTATGAGGATTCTGACATAAGGCTGCTGTACTGTCCCTAGGAAAACCACATTCCACTCCGTAGAGGCGGCAAGGGAGACAAACAAGGCAGGAGGACGTGGTTCTGCCCTCAGACGATTATCGTTTCATCCCCAAACGTCCCCTGAGCGCACAGATACTGAACCAAGAAAACAGAAGGAGAAGCAGGTGTCCGTCCCTCCACGGGGCCTCACCAGGCTCGCACCCACCTCCCACTCCTGGAAGAGGCGGATCAGGTACTCGTAGTTCCGGGCCCGCAAGGCCAGGTGGTCGATGAGCAGCAGCATGCAGAGGGGGTCCTCATCCGGCTCGAGACTTCCGGAGGCAGCACAGAGAGCAGAGCAAAGGGGAACAGGGGCATCGTCAGGCTGAGAGTGGGCCTGCAGCCAGGACAGGGAGCGTGGACGGGCTTGGCCCTGAGCAGACACTCACCTCAGGATGAGCTTGCAGTACTCCAGCGCCGTGCGCGGGCAGCCTCGCTTCTCCAGGAAGCTCATCTGCTTGTAGAGGGCCAGGTAGAAGCTCCTAGATCCAAAATAGTTCCACATGAATTACAACGACACAAAGGAGAATGCTCTCTGCTCAGCGCCCCGGCCAGCACCCACTCCACCCCGCCCTCTGCTCAGCGTCCTGGCCAGTACCACCCATTCCACCCCACACACTGCTCAGCGCCCCAGTCAACACCCGCTCCACCCCACACACTGCTCAGCGCCCCAGTCAACACCCGCTCCACCCCACACACTGCTCAGCGCCCCAGTCAGCACCCGCTCCACCCCACACACTGCTTAGCGCCCCGGTCAGCACCCGCTCCACCCCCATTCTGCTCTCTGGGTTCTGCTGGCATTTTCTACGTGCCCAGCACACAGAGATCCATGTCTGGAGAGGAGGTGTGCGCTCTCCTTGTCCTTTACAGAGTTATACACGAATTTGCATACTGAAAATCAAACTTCTTTGAAATCTTTTTTTTTTTTTTGAGACGGAGTCTCGCTCTGTCACCCAGGCTGGAGTGCAGTGGCGCTATCTCGGCTCGGCTCATTGCAAGCTCCGCCTCCTGGGTTCATGCCATTCTCCTGCCTCAGCCTCTCCAAGTAGCTGAGACTACAGGCACCCGCCACCACACCCAGCTGATTTTTTGTATTTTTAGTAGAGACGGGGTTTCACCGTGGTCTCGATCTCCTGATCTTGTGATCCACCTGCCTCGGTCTCCCAAAGTGCTGAGATTACAAGCGTGAGCCACCACGCCCCGCTGAAATCTTTATCTTGTTTTTTTGTTTATTATTTATCATTTACAGGAAGAGAGTTAAAATCTCTTGTTACAATTACGATCTTAATTTATCCTCCAATCTCAACAGTGGCTAACAGCACTCAGGCTGGATACATGGAGCCCTGTGACTTTCGGATGCTGGTGGGCTGCTACTTCCATCAACAGCCCACTGTCTCTTTCGCGTCGGGAAATATTAATATTTTATAATCTACTTCAAAGAACTAAGAATTTCATTGGAAGAGACAAAACTAACATAAAGAAAACCAGTGGAGGAAATTCAGACCCAGCACACAGTGCAGACAATCTGTGCAGAACGGGTCAGCGGACCTTGGCTTGCCAGGAGGGCTGAGAGGGTAGGAGCGGATCCCACACTGCAGACAACCCAGGGCGGCCAGAGAAACAGGGCACTGCACACAGGAGAGGCAGGACAGCGGACAGAAGCTGGTCTGCTCCACAAAGGGCCCACAGGACAGGCTGCGGGAAGGCCTGGCGGAAGCCAGTCTAGGTCTGACCAGCGAGGCCTGATGCCAGAGGGATGGCTTTAGGGGCAGAAGTATCTGAAAGAAGAGAGACCTCCACATGCGGTCGCTCAGCACAGGGGAGCGAGGGTCAGGCTGACTCTGAGCTCCTCACTGATTTAAGGTCAAACCTGCAAAGCCTTCCAAAGCTTCTAAACTTGCCAGGGATGGGTTTTCTCAGCCAAACATAGAAGGAAATGCAATTGCAGAGCCCACTGTGGAGATCTGGTTTCTCAGGCTCACTTCTTCTTCTTCTTCTTTTTTTTTTTTTGAGAGACAAGGTCTCACTCTGCTGCCCAGGCTGGAGTGCACTGGTACCATCTCAGCTCACTGCAGCCTCGACCTCCTGGGCTCACTTGAGTGATACTCTCGCCTCAACCTCCCAAGTAGCTGGGACCACAGGCACGCGCCACCAGGCGCAGCTAGTTTTTAAAATGTTCTGTAGTGGCCGGGCGCGGTGGCTCACGCCTGTAATCCCAGCATTTTGGAAGGCCGAGGCGGGTGGATCGCAAGGTCAGGAGATGGAGACCATCCTGGCCAACACAGTGAAACCTCGTCTCTACTAGAAAATACAAAAAATTAGCCAGGCGTTGTGGCACGTGCCTGTAGGCCCAGCTACTCGGGAGCCTGAGGCAGGAGAATGGCTTGAACCCGGGAGGTGGAGCTTGCAGTGAGCCGAGATCGCGCCCCTGCACTCCGGCCTGGGTGACAGAGTGAGACTCCGTCTCAAAAAAAAAAAAAAAAAAAAAATGCTGTTTTGAGACTGCATGTTGCCACGGTGCTCAGACTGGTCTTGACACCTGGGCTCAAGCAACCCTCCCACCTCGGCCTCCCAAAGTGCTGGGATTACAGGCGTGAACCACTGTGCCCAGCCAGGCTCACTTCTAACACAAACATTTATTTTTATTTTTATTTTTTTAAGAGATGGGGGTCTCACTATGGTGCCCAGGCTGGACTTGAACTCCTGGGCTCAGCAGACCTCCCACTCTGACCTCCACAGTAGCATCAGGCATGTCCACAGACAAAGGTAAACCTGGGCTGAGACAATCCCATCCCTCTATCCTTAAGCCCAGAGAGAGGAAGGTGGGTCACTCTGGACCTGTGGGCCCTGGTCCACCCTGGAGGGCAGCCATGAGGTGCCCACTGCACCTCCCCCAGCCTCACTCGCAGGAGAAGGGAAGGGGAGCTGCGTCACCTCCAGGGCAGCTGCACTCACCTGTTCTCGGGTCTGCGGTAATCCAGCCGGCAGGCCCCACTGGTGAGACTGAACAGGGGGTGGAACGCACATTCCATGCTGTACAGCGCTCTCTCTGTGGGCACAGGGACGCCAGGGGAGGGTGTCATGGCCACACACAGCAACCACGGCCCCTCCTCTGATAATGGACAACAAGGAAAGGTCTGGACGGAAGGTCACGAAACTAGAGTCCTGGACACTGAGAGGGCAGACATGCCCCTGGGCACCCTGGATGCCACGCTGCATTTATTTCAACCACAGAACTTGTGAGCTTGACATGGTAACACTTTCAACACCATGAGGCACAACTGCTGCCACGTCCTGACAGAACCAGGCGTCCATGTGTGCAGCACAGATGTGTCCACCTAAGACTGCGTGTGCATGCTGACGTAAGCACTATTATTTACAACAGCCCACACGGCCGTCAACTAATGATGGATACACAACATGTGGTCCGTCCACACAGTGGAGTATTACTAAGCCATAAAAACGAACGACGTTCTGATCGACGCTACAGTGAGGATGAACCTTGAAAACTTCATTGTAAATAAAAGCCAGAGGGCGGGGCGTGGTGGCTCATGCCTGTAATCCCAGCACTTTGGGAGGCTGAGGTGGGTGGATCACAAGGTCAGGAGATCGAGACCATCCTGGCCAACACGGTGAAACCCCATCTCTACTAAAAATACAAAAAATTAGCCAGGTCTGGTGGCGGGCGCCTGTAGTCCCAGCTACTCGGGAGGCTGTGGCATATATTAAACACCAACAAACAAAAACTTTAAATGGGTAAGTTTTGTGCTACGTAGGTTGTATCTCAATAAAGCTGTCATGGATATCCTGGCAACCCCTGTCATCTTACACCATCGCATCTGTCTTGATAGCTTGAGGTGCTCCCACAGCTGAGGGGAATGGGGTGGGGGCTCTGCCTTACCTACGAGGTCTCGAGCCATCTCCTGATCCTCTTGAAAGCGGCAGGCATCGCTGAGCTGCAGGAGTGAGTCAACGTGGTAAGGGCTCGTCTGGAGCAGAACCTACCAGAAGGGAGGACAGCCCTGGAGGAAAGGCACTCAGCAAGGCCCCAGCTCCCAGGCATGCCTTTTTTTCAGACATTTAAAACCAGCGGAGGCTGGGCGCAGTGGCTCACGCCTGTAATCCCACCACTTTGGGAGGCTGAGGCAGGAGGATCACTTGATATCAGGAGTTCAAGACCAGCCTGGCCAACGTGGCAAAACCTGGTCTCTAATAAAAATACAAAAATTAGCCGGGTGTGGTGGCGTGTGCCTGTAATTCCAGTTACTCGGAAGGCTGAGGCAGGCGAATCGCTTGAACCCGGGCCGAGACTGCGCCAATGCACTCTAGCTTAGGCGACAGAGTGAGATTCCGACTCCAAAAACAAAAACAAAAACGGGGGAATTACCGGGTCGACACTCACAACGTCCCCCCAACTCAAAATAGGCTAGTTATTATTGCTAAGCTGAACCAATTATATGACTTAAAGCAAGAACTCAGAACCTGACATGCCCAGGCCAGGGGCCACCTAACTCCCCACTAAGCCCCAAGAAAGAGGAATGGAAAGCAGCAGCCTGCTTTTCCCACAGGGAGATGACGGGGAGCTCTGCGGAGGCTGTCCGGGGTTGCAAGGGGAGCTGTCCGGCGGCTGCGTGAGGGCCGCCCGGGGGCTGTCTGGGGCTGCGCGGGGGCCGTCCGGGGCTGCAAGGGGAGCTGTCCAGGGGCTGCATGAGGGCTGTCCAGGGTTGCACCGGGGCTGTACGGGGACTGTCCAGGTCCGGGGCTGTCTGGGGCTGCGCGGGGGCCGTCCGGGGCCGTGTGGGGGCCGTCCGGGGGCTGCACGGGGGCCGGGAATCTGAGCTGCTCGCCTGCACTGAGCCGCAGGAGGCAAGGGCAGCAGTGAGAAGCCCCAGAGTCCTGGGCCTGCATCACACGGCACTACTGCGACGGTCCCCAGGAACGGCTGAGAGAGCAGCGCTCCAGCCTCTCCTCTGAGTATGGATGGAGCTCGCTTGGCCTAGAGCCTCCGAACACATCTCCTTCTGGTCACAGGGCCAGACCGCCCTGCAGAGACTGGCACCCTTCCTGTTGGGAAGGGCAGGAGGCAGCATGCCTCCCCCAGCCACCAGGGAAGCAGGCGGCCCAGGGCAGTGGTGGCTACATGGCCCCTGCTCCTGTCAGGGGCTGCAGGGACCACGCACCACGATGTTGTTCGGCTCCATAGACTCCACGGCCACCAGGAACTTGTGCTGAGCCTGCTGGTACTCCTCACTGTGCTCAAACGCAAAGAAGGAGAGGCCTTTTTTTGATTCCAGCAGCCGCATGGACAGACCTGGGAGGGGAGAGTGCTCAGGGAGGGTGTGCCGGGAGCAGGGACGTGGGCAGCTCCGAGCACAGCCCTCACCTTCGTGGTGTTCTGGATGAGGCCTCTGCGATATCGACAAACTTGACCTGAGTGTGTACTCATGGGTGTCACCAGCTCCGGACACCTTCCCAAAACACCCGCCGTCTGGTCTACACCAGGAGACGGCATCCCGTCTGCTTTAGTTTCCTATCAAGACGTGTTTGCCTCCAGAACTCGGATACAGCTCTAGCCCCACTGGCCTGGAGGGAATGTCAGGGACAAGGACACACACAGTCCACAGATCGCCAGATCTGACCACGCCGAGCACTGTCCCCAGACCACGTCTGATTGAGGAGAATGTCCGGGGTGGCTGTGGAAGGACAGGGTTGGAGTGCGGTGGCACAGGTGGCCACAGCGCCAGGCCTCTGAAGCCACAGAGCTTTGTAACGTGTGACCACCCTCTCACTTGGCTCCTCTTGTCTGACTGGGTGTATGGGACCCAGTTTCTTCTGATAAACCTGGAAAGCTCAGCCTCCCAGGACCTCCATGGACTAGGTCCCCTGTAGTGATACCTTCTTGATGGCCCTGCCCAAGGCCCCAGTCCTGCAGGAATACATGGCCATGGAACCCCTGTCTGCAGTGAGCAGGGGTTCCTGCCAGGAAGGGAAGGGGCCGTGAGCAGCGGGGTTCACCTTCTGACAGCACAGGCCTCGCTCCTAGATGTGTCCTTACAGAATGTATGCAGGCAATCTCCGGCACCCCCACAGACACAGGCGCAGGAGAAGCGGCCGTGGGAGCCATGGCAGCGCTGACAGCAGCAGCCATGCCGATCACCAAGGGCACCACACAGCTCCCTTCCCACAAGCTGTCCTTGCCCTGGCCCCTGAGGGCCCCCACAGTTCAGCCACTGCAGAGTGGAGGCCAGTGTGGAAGGCCTCCTGACACTTCCCCACACCACACAACCAAGCACCCAACACTCCATGCCTGTCTTCACTGTTGCAATTCATCTTAAAATCACTTATTAGTTTGCAATAATATACAAAATATTGCAGTTTAAAATGAACTCGATTGCTTCCATAAGGGAAAGGTCGATGGCAGAATGGTAGGAAGAACCTGCGTTAAAAGACAGTCACACAAAGACTGTGCCTGGGAGGCTCCGTGTTGAGGTACTGGGCCAGGCCTCCAGCACTCAGGCCCTCAGTGTGGCAACAAACAGTCACACACTGCACACTCCTGGAGCGCTCCTGGAGCAAAGAGTCTCGGCTCAAGAGGCACTGACGCCCCTGGTGCCCAGCGCAGGCCAGTGCACAGAACACACCCCCCCGCCGCCCTCCACCCCCAGCAGCCTCTGCAGACCCTCACCTGGTTTGCTGTACCGGGGCCAGTGCACAGACAACGCCCCCCAACCCTCCATCCCCAGCAGCATCTGCAGACCCTCACCTGGTTTGCTGTAGCGGGGCCAGGTGCTTTTAGGGGTGGTCAGCCATGTGCACTTGGGGTACACACGTTGTCTCTGCCGTGGCCTGGGGAGAACGGGACACAGGTACAGCTTTACTTCCTGTGGCGTGTGGGGACCAAGGCTTGGCTGCCTGATCCCTGCACGGGCTGTGGAAGCAAAACTGAGGGGCAGAGAAGGCATGTGGGGCAGGGTGGGGACGCATTAAGGACAGGATGCAAACAAGCGTCAGCAACTGCTGTGGGACGGGTGCAGCAGGGAGGGCCCCATAGAGAGAAAGAAACAATTCTGGCTGGGCACGGGGGCTCACACCTGTAATCCCAGCACTTTGAGAGGCCAAGATGGGAGAATTTCTTGAACCCAGGAGTTCGAGACTGGCCTGGGCAAGACAGCAAAACCCCATTTCTACAAAGGGTTTTAAAAATTAGCCTGGCGTGATGGCCTGCACCTGTGATCCCAGCACTCCAGCCTGGACGACAGAGCAAGGCCCTGTCTCAAGAGGAAAATAAAAAAAGAAAACGAAAAGAAAGAGAACAACGTACTAATATCCACATGCCCATCACTCAACTTAAGAAACCAACCATCTCTGAGGTAACAGCAGCTCCATGCCTTTTCCATGCTGCCCCACCTGCCCAGCTCAGATACCAGCTGACCAGTGCTTAGAGTGGGCCTGACCCCTGTGGCAGAGACCCCCAAATAACAGAGGTCAGGGCACTCTGCCTGAGCACACAGGCACCAGACAGGTGGGGCGTGGCAGCCGCGGCAGCACAGACAGCAGCAGCCATGCCCACGGTCACCATCAGCACGGTGCAGCTCCCTTCCCACGGGGCCATCCCTGCCCTGGCCCCGGGCTCCCCACAGTTCAGCCACCGCAGAGTGGAGGCCAGTGTGGTGGGCCCTCCTGACATGAAGGTGGCCCCAGCCTGCTTCTCCTGCCTGTAGCACACGCCCAGGCCTAGGAGAGTCAGCCCTTCAGCACTCTCCTGGGCCAGATGTACAGAATCCCAGGGATGGCCTGACCTGCGGTGAGCTATCCCACAAAACAAGTAAGGAAGCCTCCAGAACAGACCCAACGAGGCAGCCTGGGCAGATGCCAGGAGGGGGCAGGGGACAGGAGCCTGGAGGAGCTCTGAAGGCTGGCAGGCGCCCTGAGCAATGGGAGGAGTGTGCTGAAGTGCGGGGGCGATGAGCTGACCGGGCTGTCGTAGTAGGAAGTCAAGGACCCAAGAGAAAGCAGTGCCTGTTATTCTGAGCTTCTGAGAGAACCACCAGAAGGAGAAATGGAAACAGGCCAGGTCTTTGTCTTGGAGGAGCAGGACAAGGAATGAATAAAAAGGAAACTGTGGCTTCTCCATGTAAGTCTTTTGGTAGGACTTAAATTTTTAAAGAAATAAATAAACAAAAAAGTTTAATAATACTATAAAAATAATAAAGGCAATTATTGTCAACTAATTACTACGAGTAATCAGTATTAACAGTTATAATACTAATTACTATTAATAATTATAATTTGCAGAAATAAAACCATGCAAAAATATAAAGAAATGACCAAGACAGACCAAGCAGATGCAAACAAAGGGTGGGACGAGGTGGAACCCTCAGCTCAGAGAAATGCAGATGACAAAGTGACATTTTAAAGTCTATTTTTAATTAATATTCCCGAAGAAACCCATCAACACCAAAAATGTAAAGTAAAATATAAAGCAAAACCTGTTAGAAATCCAGGGAAGGCGTGAACAACAGCATATGAAAACATCCTTGATCTACCCACAATCAAAACCCCAACACTTCTGCCCACACACGACGGCAGGTTTCCAAACCACTACCGTCGACTACGAGTAAGAAGGTGAAGGACCTGGGCAGACACTCAGTGTGAGCCACGTAACTCTACTGAAGGCACTGGCAGCATGCAGGATATATACTCATTCTTGGGCAGTTTCACAGAAATGCCTGCAGACACCGGGGACTGTAGCCAACATCTGGACACATGCTACCATTGGGGTGAGGAAATGACCTGGGTATACCATGGTGCAGAAACAACACTTAGGCTGGGTGTGGTGGCTCACGCCTGTAATCCCAGCACTTTGGGAGGCCGGGCGCAGTGGCTCAGGGCTGTAATCCCAGCACTTTGGGAGGCCGAGACTGGCGGATCACTTGAGGTCAGGAGATCGAGACCAGCCTGGCCAACATGGTGAAACCCCGTCTCTACCAAAAATACAAAAATTTGCCGAGCATGGTGGCACTCGCCTGTAATCCCAGCTACTTGGGAAGCTGAGGCAGGAGAATCGTTTGAACCCAGGAGGCGGAGGTTGCAGTGAGCTGAGATCGCACCACTGAGCTCCAGAGCCTAGGTGACAGAGCGAGACTCCATTTCAAAAAAAGAAAACAATGCTTAGAACTCAGACGTGCAGACCAGGCACGGTGGCTCACACCTGTAATCCCAGCACTTCGGGAGGCTGAGGCGGGTGGATCACCTGAGGTTGGGAGTTCGAGACGAGCCTGACCAACATGGAGAAACCCCATCTCTACTAAAAACACAAAATTAGCTGGACATGGTGGCACATGCCTGTAATCCCAGCTACTCAGGAGGCTGAGGCAGGAGAATCACTTGAACCCGGGAGGCGGAGGTTGTGGTGAGCCAAGATTGAGCCATTGCACTCCAGCCTGGGCAACAAGAGCAAAATTCTGTCTCGAAAAAAAAAAAAAAGAACTCAGACGTGCAAACCCAGGGCATGTTATAGACCAGCAATACTCTCCATGGTCCAATAAAACAGGATGTGTCTGGCTGGGCGTGGTGGCTCATGCCTGTAATCCTAGCACTTTAGGAGGTAGAGGGAGGAGAATCGCTTGAAGCCAGGAGTTTGACATCACCCTGGGCAACAAAGTAAGACCTTGTTTCTATAAAAAATAAAATAAAATAAATTAGCGGTGGCATGTGCCGGTAGTCCCAGCTATTTGGGAGACTGAGATGGGAGGATCACTTGAGGCCACGAGTTCAAAACCAGACTGGACAACCCAGCAAGACCCTGTCTCTAAAAAATAAAAAAATAAAAATAAATAAATAAAAAAAAGACAAAGCCTTCTGGACACTTCGATGGAGAGTCCAGAGGTGGAATATACCTCCTACATAAAGTCCCAGAAGCAGACACCCCCCCTGCTCTTCCTCCTCTAAGGAGCTGAAAGACCCTGTGCTCCCCATCGCAGCCAGCCATCCTCATCTGGGGCTGCCCAACTGCTAAGAACTACTGAATGGACACAGATGAAATTTATCTGGGCCGGGCGCCATGGCTCACGCCTGTAATCCCAGCACTTTGGGAGGCCAAGGCAAGTGGATCACCTGAGGTCAGGAGTTCGAGACCAGCCTGGCCGACATGGTGAAGCCCCGTCTCTACTAAAAAAAAAAAAAAAAAAAAAAAAAATTAGCTGGGCGTGGTGGCGTGCACCTGCAATCCCAGCTACTCGGGAGGCTGAGGCAGAATTGCCTGAACCCAGGAGGCGGAGGTTGCAGTGAGCCAGGATCACACCACTGCATTCCAGCCTGGGCGACAGAGCAAGAATCTGCCTCAAAAAAAAAAAAAAAGAAAGAAAGAGAGAAAGAAACTTATCTCAGAACCTGACCTTCACATTAGTTTTGCTCTGAGAAGCAAAACTAGAATCTTTTTTTTTTTTTTGAGATGGAGTTTCGCTCTCGTTGCCCAGGCTGGAGTGCAACGTCACGATCTCAGCTCACCGCAACCTCTGCCTCCGGTTTCAAGCGATTCTCCTGCCTCAGCCTCCTGAGTAGCTGGGATTACAGGCATGCACGACCATGCCTGGCTAATTTTTTGTATTTTTAGTAGAGACGGGGTTTCTCCATGTTGGTCAGGCTGATCTCGAACTCGTGAACTCAGGTGATCCGCCCGCCTTGGCCTCCCAAAGTGCTGGGATTACAGGCGTGAGCCACCACGACAAAACTAGAATCTTAAAATTTAACAGCTTTTGAAAACTTTTTTTTGAGACACGGTCTCGCTCTGTCGGCCAGGCTGGAGTGCAGTGGTGTGATCTCAGCTCATTGCAACCTCTGCCTCCTGGGTTCAAGCGAATGTCCCGCCTCAGCTTCCTGAGTAGCTGGGATTACAGATGCCTGCCCACCACGCCCAGCTAATTTTTGTATTTTCAGTAGAGACGGGGTTTCACTATGTTGCCCAGCTGGTCTCAAACTCCTGACTTCAGGTGATCTGTCCGCCTCAGCCTCCCAAAGTGCTGGGATTACAGGCGTGAGCACTGCACTCGGCATGGCTTTTGAAACCTCATGCTGGACAAGGCAGTGTGAGGGATGGAGACCAGCTACTCTGAGCATCTCTACAACCCACGGTCACAGACAAGGTTATACACAGACAATCTGTGGACTCCCATTCAGACCCCAATTCTAAGGGTTACGTGTGCACTCTGGCTTTAAATACTCTCCCTCAAGGGTAAACTAGCTTCAGGAACACCACCCCCGGCCAAGAGTCTAAGAAGGAATGAAGCAGCTGTGAGAATGCAGCTCACTGTGGACCTTACCTTTGCTCCCCCAGGATTGCCCGGGCACCAAAATACCTTTTCAGTTCTGTGTCTGGATTCAAGTGTCTGGGGAATTGAAAATTGTAGAAAAAAAACATGAAATTATGTTCTAAGACGATTCCAAAAGCTTCAGAAAGCCACCTAATAGTCAAGGAGAGAACACGGATTTTTGGTTTGAAAGGCAGCTTCCAGGCCTTTCTCTAAAATCACCACCCCAACCACAGCTGAGGCCTCGCCACTGCGGGCACCATGGGGAAGCTGCCGTCACTGTGCCGTGAGGGCGCTCGGTGAGTGCTGTGTCAAGAGGCACTGTGTGTGGCACACGTCTGTTTCTGAGGCTGAGTCGGGGCAGTGCACGCACCCTGGGACTACACTACTGCGTCTTAACTGACTCCACGGAGCTTTTTTTTTTTTAAGCTGGCAATAATTTCTGAAGTAGGGACAGCGATTCATTAAGCAT
This sequence comes from Homo sapiens, assembly GCF_000001405.40. NCBI lineage: Eukaryota > Metazoa > Chordata > Mammalia > Primates > Hominidae > Homo > Homo sapiens. Next base: position 89,887,257 of record NC_000016.10, on the reverse strand, counting down.
CTGTAAGACCAAGAGATGAATTAATCATCCAAGGATGACAGGGTAAGGAGGAACTTTTTGACCAGACGTGGTGGTTCACACCTGTAATTCCAGCATTTTGGGAGACTGAGGCAAGAGAATCTCCTGAGCCCAGGAGGTCGAGGCTGCAGTGGGCTATGATCACACCACTGAACTCCAGCCTGGGTGATAGAGAGATCCTGTCTCTTAAAAAAAAGAAAAAGAAGGAACTCTCTAATATACATAAGAAGTAAAACTAGAAGTTCTCTGAAATATGGATGACTTCCTTTCCTCCTTGTTCCTATTTCCTTTTGTCGGGAGACAGAGTCTCGCTGTATCACCCAGGCTGGAGTGCAGTGGCGCGATCTCGATCTCGGCTCACTGCAACCTCTGCCTCCCGGGTTCAAGCGATTCTCCTGCCTCAGCCTCCTGAGTGGCTGGGATTACAGGCACCCACCACCACATCCAGCTAATTTTTGTATTTTTTTTTTCTTTTTTTTGAGACGGAGTTTTGCTCGTTGCCCAGGCTGGAGTGCAGTGGCACAATCTCAGCTCACCGCAACCTCCGCCTCCCAGGTTCAAGCAATTTTCTGGCCTCAGCCCCCTGAGTAGCTGGGATTACAGGCATGCGCCACCACGCCTGGCTAATTTTGTACTTTTACTAGAGATGGGGTTTCTCCATCTTGGTCAGGCTGGTCTCAAACTCCTGACCTCAGGTGATCTGCCCACCTCAGCCTCCCAAAGTGCTGGGATTACAGGCGTGAGCCACCGGGCCCGGCCTATTTCCTAAATGAGTAATAACAAACTCATATTATTATTATTATTATTTTTTTGAGACACAGTCTCGCAGTGTTGCCCAGGCTGGAGTGCAGTGGCACAATCTCGACTCACTGCAAGCTCCACCTATTGGGTTCACGCCATTCTCCTGCCTCAGCCTCCCGAGTAGCTGGGACTATAAGGCGCCCGCTACCACGCCCAGCTAATTTTTTGTATTTTTAGTAGAGAGGGGGTTTCACCATGTTAGCCAGGATGGTCTCGATCTCCTGACCTCATGATCCGCCTGCCTTGGCCTCCCAAAGTGCTGGGATTACAGGCGTGAGCCACCACGCCCAGCCAATAAACTCATATGATTTTTAAATAAAGACAGTACATTTTATTTTTCCTTTTTTAGAGAACCTTTTCCTCCCACGAAGTCTCTGTGGCAGCCACAGAGAAGGGCAGCCGCAGAGAAGGGCAGCCGCAGAGAAGGGCAGCCGCAGAGAAGGGCAGCCGCAGAGAAGGGCGGGGGCCACACCTGTGCTCCACGTAGAGAACGTGCTTCCTGGAGCTCAGGGGAGCTGGGCCGGGACGGTTCAACCCAGTGCTGTCCTCAATCCTCTCTAGGATGCGATCGATATCTTCTAGTCCGTTTTCCTAAAAGCCCCAAAACAACCTCTTAATCACCACACTGACATTATTTTAAATATTGTAACAATAACAAAATTATTTATCTTAAAAGAGACCTATTACACTGTATTTACTTCCTAAAGGACAGCATAAGTCAAACACTATGTACCATCCACACATTTAGAAAAAAGAAGAGATGTTTCCTAAGAAGCGCTCAGCATAGACAGAATCACAGAACCAGAAGGACCCTAGAAAAAACTGGGCATTCCACATCACACTGGTGTGCTCACCTCCTCAGGCAAACAGGGTTGGGACTTGTGGCTCCAACTAAACGGCAACAAAGCTACACCCTTGTCTCAGGACACAGTCAGACGAGGACGAAGGGCAATGATGAAAACATATTTTTTTCTGATGACAGACTAGCTCCAGTGGAGGGTTCTGTACCCACCATGCAATTAACCCATAAGCATGGGACAGATGTCAGGGCAAACAGCAAGTGTCCCACGGGTCACAGGAGCACCAGAACTAGAAGGGATGTCCCCATCAGATCACACATTCCCACAGAGACACAGAGCAGAGCGCCAACCAGTCGAGGAACAAGGGTAAAAACAAGAAGCAGCATTTAGAAAGTAACTTTCCCTTTTCTTTTTCCCTGATCTCTTAGTTATACTCCTAATAGGAAGGAATAAAAATACTAAGTAAGCTTCTTTCAACACCACCTTGGAAAACAGCCAGAAGAGAATGGAGAGAGCGTCAGGCAGAGGGAGAGGGCGTCAGGCAGAGGGAGAGGGCGTCAGGCAGAGGGAGAGGGCGTCAGGCAGAGGGAGAGGGGCGTCAGGCAGAGGGAGAGGGCGTCAGGCAGAGGGAGAGGGCGTCAGGCAGACGGAGAGGGCGTCAGACAGAGGGAGAGGGGCGTCAGGCAGAGGGAGAGGGCGTCAGGCAGAGGGAGAGGGCGTCAGGCAGAGGGAGAGGGGCGTCAGGCAGAGGGAGAGGGGCGTCAGGCAGAGGGAGAGGGCGTCAGGCAGACGGAGGGCGTCAGACAGAGGGAGAGGGCGTCAGGCAGAGGGAGAGGGCGTCAGGCAGAGGGAGAGGGCGTCAGGCAGAGGGAGAGGGCGTCAGACAGAGGGAGAGGGCGTCAGGCAGAGGGAGAGGGCGTCAGGCAGAGGGAGAGGGGCGTCAGGCAGAGGGACAGAGCACAGCCAGGCCCAACTCACGTACCGATGCTTCTCCCGTGCTGCTTTTCTTGTTTTTCTGTTTTTTTTTCTTCTTCCGGAGTTTGCCACTTGCATGAGACTAATGATAGAAACACATTTTCATCAGTAGAATGAGAAGTAAATCTTAAGAAGTGAGAATTAAAGCAGCAAGCGTGACTCCACCCTCACCTAAGCAGCCCCTACCTCTCCCTCCGTGTCCCAAAAGTTCCTTCAACTCACTCTCTTCTCTCCAGCAGGCACCTTCCCACCTCTCCGAGCCCCTCGGGCTGTGCTACAGCAGTCCCCAGGGCCTTCTGTGTCCAGCCTCACAGGCTCACAGGACCCTGACCAGGTCCAGCTCTCATTCCTCCCTGTGTCGGCCACTCCCTGCCACACTGCAGCCACCCTGAAGACGGGGGCCTTGCTGTGCCCTGGCCGCCTCACACCGCACCTGTATGTGTGGTCCCCTACGCCTGCACCTGGCCAACCCCTTCTGACAGTAGGAAGGCTCCTCAGGAAGCCCCCAGGACCCTGAGCCTCAAGTCAGGACCCACCTGTCACTTCACATGTATGTTGCCCTCCCAACCAGAGGCTCCTGGGGGGCAAAGGCACGTTCCCAGCACCCAGCAAGCTCCCAAGAACACTTGTTGGATAAATGAACACAAGCTCTCCTTTTAGGGCCCCTCTTCTGTGCTGTGGAGCACAGCAGCAGGCTGTCTGCATCTCTGCCCATCCCACGTTAACCTGACCTGCATGTTTCTTCAAAGTTCACTTACACCAGCACCCAGATCCACAACCCAGCCAAGCAAACGTTCGGGGCACAGTTAGGAAGGACACACGTGCGCGGTCGGCTAGGAGGCACACACGTGCGCGGTCGGCTAGGAGGGACACACGTGCGCGGTTGGCTAGGAGGGACACACGTGTGCGGTTACATACACTGCTGGGCAGGCGCAGACTCTCCTGAGATGCAGGAGAAAGGCCTGCGACCTTCACTCATTTCATGCAAATCTCATCAAGGTTCCCAAGTAAATTTGGGGGCAACTAGCAGGTAACCAAAATGGAACTCGGAAAATTACACCTCCAAGGAAAATCACAGCACAGGATACACGTGGCTGGGTGCCTTGGAACTCTCCCGTCTGATGCCACCTCCTCACCACTCAGCCCCCCACCTGCTCTGAGGGCACTGTCTCGGTGTCATCTCCATCCGTCTTGCTCTCTGTGTTTCCACGCTGACCCCTTCCTTTGTTCCCTGGTGCCACAGCGTCTGTGAGCGCACAGCCAGACCTCTCCCCGTTCACCACAGGGTCATCCTCAAGATCGTCAATGTTTATCTGGAAAAACAGGTTGGAGAAGAGCCAGGGCGTTACTTACAGTGTGAACGCTCATGCTGAGATATGAATAGTGAGATGTGAACGGGCTTGCGTTGGGGACCCCCAGGGTCAGTGCGAGACGCTGGACGGGAAAGATGCAAGAACCCGAGACTGTTGGACACAGCAGTGACTCAGCTCTGGCTCAGGGGGACTTTGTCAGCAGCTCTACAGAAAGCCGGGGCCCCGAGGCTATGGGGTATCTCTGCCTTCAGAGATGAGGTAAGGAAGACTCCTCAAATATTGTAATTTACTCCATTTACAGAGGACCATCTGCAGGACAAAACGTTAAATATATATATTCAGCCAATGCATTAAAGTTCCTTCTTCCTCCTTTCTCCTCAAGCCTCAGCTCCTCTCCAGCAGCAGGCAGGAAAAAAAGGCACCAAGGACCCATCAACCTACAAACTTTTCCTAATGAAAATGATAGGCCAGGCGAGGTGCTCGCGCCTGTGATCCCAGCACTTTGGGAGGTTGATGCAGGCGGATCACTTGAGGTCAGGAGTTCAAGACCAGCCTGGCCAACATGGCGAAACCCTGTCTCTACTAAAAACACAAAAATTAGCCAGGCACAGTGGCAGGAGCCTGTAATCCCAGCTACTTGGGAGGCTGAAGTGGTATAATCGTTTGAACCCGGGAGGCAGAGGTTGCTGTGAGTCAAGATCGCACCACTACCCTCCAGCCTGGGCAACAGAGCAAGACTCCATCTCAAAATAGAAAAACAAAATGACATACGATAAAAATAATTCATACGATGAAACCTTCTCTCTCTCTTTTTGAGACAGAGTCTCGCTCTGTCATCCAGGCTGCAGTGCAGCAGTGTGATCTTGGCTCACTGCAGCCTTGGCCTCCTGGGTTCAAGCATCCTCCTGCCTCAGCCTCCCAAGTAGCTGGAACTACAGGCGTGAGCTACCATGCCTGGCTAATTTTTTAAATTTTTTTGTAGAGATGGGGGTCTCAACACATTGCCCAGGCTGGTCTTGAGCTCCTGACCTCAAGCGATCCTCCTGCCTCAGCCTCCCAAAGAGCTGGAGTTACAGGCGTGAGCCACCACGCCAAGTCTGGAACCTTTTTATAGCAGTGAGAATGAATGAATGAATGAACCACCACTGAACACACAATATGGATGAATCTTAGGAGTATAATATTAAATGGATAAAACCTCACAACATACATTCACATACAGATTGGAGGGGAGACAGGCAGTGGGAGAAGGGTAAGAACAGGAAAAGTTCTGGCTCCTCAGCTAGTGAGAGGCTGACCGGGCACGGTGGCGGTGCACCCCTGTAATCCCAGCACTTTGGGAGGCCGAGGTGGGTGGATCACGAGGTCAGCAATTCAAGACCAGCCTGACCAACATGGTGAAATCCCGTCTCTACTGAAAATAAAAAAATCGGCCAGGTGCAGTGGCGCGTGCCTGTAATCCCAGCTACTCGGGAGGCCGAGGCAGGAGAATTGCTTGAATCCGGGAGGCAGAGGTTGCAGCGAGCCAAGATTATGCCACTGCACTCCAGCCTGGGTGATAAGGCGAGATTCCATTTCAAGAAAACAAAAAAAAAAGAGGCTAACAGATTGGGTGTGGTGGCTCATGCCTATAATCCCAGCGCTTTGGGAGGCTGAGGCAGGAGGATCATCTGAGCCCAGGAGCTTGAAACCAGCCTAGGCAATACAGTGAGACCCCATCTCTACAAAAAATTAGCAGGGTGTGGTGGCACACACCTCTTGAGTCCCAGCTACTCAGGCGGCTGAGGAGGACTGCGTGAGCCCAGCAGTCCTGGAATCTGGAACCTGGAGTGAGCCATGATCACACAACGGCACTCCAGCGTGGGCAACAGAGCAAGACTCTAGCTCTAAATTTTTTAAAAAAAAAGCTAACAGAGACCAGCATCAACAATTCTTTATGAACTAGGAGATTCTGATGGATCCAATCGGATGCACTAAGGTTCAAAAATAAATAAAACTGCCTGTTTAATTTAAAACATCTTGAAAACCACAAACCTCAGAAAACACAATCAGCTCCAAGCCCCATAGCCCTGAGATAGTTTCTGAAACAGAATTGAGACTCGGCTGCACCTGGGAAGACAGACACCCCGGCTGCGGTTGCTGAAGAGAAGAAAGCACAGGGCAGGTCTGTGCTTGCCGGTCAGTCGGCTTTCTCTCCAATGGAGGCTCCCACATGACAAGGATACGATTCAGGAGCATCTTAAACGCCCGCTGAGACAAGTCAGGAGCAACTTACGCCCGTTGAGAAAATCCATGGCAGTATAGACGTGTTATGTAAACAGAGCCCCTAACTTGAAAACACTGACACTCCACCAAAACGAGGTTTGTCCCATCCCAGCAGCACCATGATGGTGATTCTCATGGTGATGCCTCCTTCTGCCTGGCCTTTGCTGGCGAAGCTGGGGCCTAGGCATGGGCCGGCTGCCTTGCACCCTGCAGTAAAGGAAGAAAGCTGAAACAAAGCCTATTGTTGAAATGTTTCTAACCTGTGGGTGGTCACTGGTAAATTGGATCTACACCATCTCCAACATTCAACTAATGATGATGTCTCTTAGTGAAGCTGGGTGCTGGTTTACTTGTCTGTTTTTAGAGATAGGGTCTCACTGTGTTGCCCAGGCTGGCCTCAAATTCCTGTGGTCAAGGGATCCTCCTGCCTCAGCCTCCCCAGGAGCTGGGACTACAGGCACACGCCACAACACCCAATTTACTTTTTTTTTTTTCTTTTTTTGAGATGGAGTCTTGCTCTGTTGCCCAGGCTGGAGAGCAATCGCATGATCTTGGCTCACTGCAACCTCCGCCTCCCGGATTCAAGTGATTCTCCTGCCTCAGCCTCCCGAGTAACTGGGACTACAGGCATGTGCCGCCATGCCAGGCTAATTTTTGTATTTTTAGTACAGATGGGGTTTCATCATGTTGGCCAGGCTGGTCTCGAACTCCTGACCTCAGGTGATCTGCCCGCCTCAGACTCCCAAAGTGCTGGGATTACAGGCGTGAGCCACCGCGCCCGGCCAACACCCAATTTACTTTTATTAACTCATGCTGACTTCCTAAGAAAAAAAATTCTTATTTTGAGGTGTTTGACAAATCGAATTCATAAAAAGCTCTATGCCAAGCTGAACTTCAATGGAAAGGAGCCTGTGTACACGGACAGCACGCGTGATGGGCTCAGGAGCCTGCCTGTGTACACAGACAGCACACATGATAGGCCCGGGAGCCTGTCTGTGTACATGGACAACACGTGTGACAGGCTCTGAAGCCCATCTGTGTACACGGACAGCACGTGTGATGGGCTCAGGAGCCTGCCTGTGTACATGGACAGCACGCGTGATAGTCCTGGGATCCTGACTGTTTACAAAGACAGCACACATGATAGGCCCAGGAGCCTGTCTGTGTACACGGACAACACGTGTGACAGGCTCCGAAGCCCATCTGTGCACACGGACAACACGTGTGACAGGCCCCGAAGCCCATCTGTGCACACGGACAACACGTGTGACAGGCCCCGAAGCCCATCTGTGCACACGGACAACACGTGTGACAGGCCCCGAAGCCCATCTGTGCACACGGACAACACGTGTGACAGGCCCCGAAGCCCATCTGTGCACACGGACAACACGTGTGACAGGCCCCGAAGCCCATCTGTGCACACGGACAACACGTGTGACAGGCCCCGAAGCCCATCTGTGCACACGGACAACACGTGTGACAGGCCCCGAAGCCCATCTGTGCACACGGACAACACGTGTGACAGGCCCCGAAGCCCATCTGTGCACACGGACAACACGTGTGACAGGCCCCGAAGCCCATCTGTGCACACGGACAACACGTGTGACAGGCCCCGAAGCCCATCTGTGTACACGGACAACACGTGTGACAGGCCCCGAAGCCCATCTGTGTACACGGACAACACGTGTGACAGGCTCCGAAGCCCATCTGTGTACACGGACAGCACGTGTGACAGGCCCAGGAGCCCGTCTGTGTACACGAACAGCACGTGTGACAGGCTCTGAAGCCCGTCTGTGTACACGGACAACACGTGTGACAGGCCCCGAAGCCCATCTGTGCACACGGACAACACGTGTGACAGGCCCCGAAGCCCATCTGTGTACACGGACAGCACGGGTGATAGGCCCAGGAGCCCGTCTGTGTACACGAACAGCACGTATGACAGGCCCCGAAGCCCATCTGTGTACACGGACAACACGTGTGACAGGCTCTGAAGCCCATCTGTGTACACAGACAGCACGGGTGACAGGCCTAGTTTTGCTTCTTCAGTGAAGTTTTGGTGATGACACATGATTTGCTGCAATCTCTACTGCCATGCATCAGCTCTAAAATGCTGTCAATCACCGTCAGACAAACCTTATTACTGGCTGGGCGCGGTGGCTCACGCCTGTAATCCCAGCACTTTGGGAGGCAGAGGTGGGCAGATGGCGAGGTCAGGAGATCAAGACCATCCTCGCTAACACGGTGAAACCCCGTCTCTACTAAAAATACAAAAAAACTTGCCGGGCGTGGTGGTGGGCGCCTGTAGTCCCAGCTACTCAGGAGGCTGAGGCTGGACAATGGAGTGAATCCAGGAGGCAGAGCTTGCAGTGAGCTGAGATGGTGCCACTGCACTCCAGCCTGGGCGACAGCGCAAGACTCCGTCTCAAAAAACAAAACAAAACACCTTATTACCTACCCAAAAGCTGTGATTTTCATTAGTTTTAGGGTCTCAAATGGGGAACATTTCACAAGGTTCTTGTCCACGACTGATCTTCTTTAGGATAAAGCTCGATCAGCATTTCAGTTAATAACCAGGAAGGAGTTTTATCTTTTTTTAGGGGGAGAGGAAAATGTCCATTTTTCCTAAAAAAAAAAAAAAAAAAAAAAAATGGTGATTTTTAATAGAGACGGAGTTTCACCATGTCGGCCAGGCTGGTCTCGAACTCCTGACCTCAGGTGGTCCACCCGCCTTGGCCTCCCACAGTGCTGGGATTACCGGCATGAGCCACCGCACCCAGCCTGAGGTTGTCTTTTTTTTTTTTTTGAGACAGGGTCTCACTTTGTCACCCAGGCTGGAGTACGGTGGCGTCATCTCACCTCACTGCAGCCTCGACCTCCTGGGTTCAAGCCATCCTCCCGTCTCAGCCTCCCGAGTAGCTGTGACCACAGGTGAGTGCCACTATACTTGGACAGTTTTTTTGTATTGTTTGTAGAGATGGGGTTTTGCCACATTGCCCAGGCTGGTCTCACACACCTGAGCTCAAGTGATGGATCTGCCTTGACCTCCCAAAGTGATGGGATTACAGGTGTCAGCCACCAACCCTAGCCTGGAATGTTTTATACTTTAAAAAATTCAGTATCTTTAATAGATAAAAGGGCTCAGATTTTTTTATTTCTTCACATGTCAATTTAGATAAGTTTTATCTTTAAAGGAACTTGCCCATTTGTCTAATCTGGAAAATTTATTAGCAAGAAGTTCCTTATCGCCCGTTACTATCTGCACCATCTGTACCTGTGAACACTCCTCTCCCATCCCTGAAAATGGTAACGTACCTGGACCTTCCCTTTTTCCCTCCATCAGTCAATCTAGAGTTTTTGCCAACTCGTCTTTTGAGAGAACCAAGTTTCGGTCTCACCGATTCTCTCCATCGTGTCCATACTCTATTCTGTGCATTCCCCTCTTTGATTAGTTTCTTCCTTCGACACATTTTGAGTTTAATTTGCTCTTTTTCTAGTTTAAGGTAGAAGTTTCAGGTAAATTTCTAGATTTTTAAACACTTTTCTAATTTAAAATTTACGATGATAAAGTTCTAATCATCGTTTCAGTTGCATCCCACAAATTTTGATAGGTTGCTATTTTCATTACCAATCAGTTCAGAAAAGATTCTAGGCCAGGCATGGTAGCTCACATCTATAATCCCAGCACACTGGCTTTCAAAAAAAATTGAAAAAATTAGCCAGGTGTGGTGACACCCACTTATAGTTCCACCTACTTGGGAGGCTGAGGTGGGAGGATGGTTTGAGCCCAGGAGTTCAAGATTACAGTGAGTTATAATTGTGACATTGAACTCCAGCCTGGGCAATAGAGCGAGACTCTGTCTCCAAAAAACCAAAACACACACACACCCACACACAGCAAAAACTGACAGGGTTGAAAGTAGAAATAGACAAATCCATAATTATTATTACGATTTATTTATTTATTTATTTATTTATTTTTTTGAGACAGAGTCTCGCTGTATTGCCCGGGCTGGAGCCTGGTGGCACAATCTCAGTTCATTGCAACCTCCACCTCCTGGGTTCAAGCAATTCTCCTGCCTCAGCCTCCCAAGTAGCTGGGATTACAGGCACCCACCACCATGCCTGGCCAATTTTTTTTTTTTTTTTTTTTTTTTTAGATGGAGTCTCGCTCTGTTGCCCAGGCTGGAGTGCAGTGGCACGATCTCAGCTCACTGCAAGCTCCGCCTCCTGGGTTCACGCCATTCTCCTGCCTCAGCCTCCTGAGTAGCTGGGACTATAGGCTCCCGCCGCCACACCCGGCTAATTTTTTTGTACTTCTTTAGTAGAGGCGGGGTTTCACCGTGTTAGCCAGGATGGTCTGGATCTCCTGACCTCATGATCCGCCCACGTCGGCCTCCCAAAGTGCTGGGAATACAGGCATGTGCCACCACGCCTGGCCCAATTTTTGTATTCTTAGTAGAGATGGGGTTTCACCATGTTGGCCAGGCTGCTCTCGAACTCCTGACCTCAGGTGATCTGCCCACCTCCCAAAGTACTGGGAGCTGCAATTCCAGCACTTTGGGAGGCCAAGGCGGAAGGATCTCTTGAGCCCAGGAGTTTAAGACCAACCTAGGCAACATAAAGAGATCTTGTCTCTAAATAAATAAAATTTTTTAAAAAGAGAAACACCATGTCTCTCACCAATGCATTCACATTCATAACCATTTAGTCGTAACTGGCTGTTTACTGTCTCCCATACTTCTGTTTATTAAGAGCTATTTAACAGAATGCCAATAAACATTTTGATTATATTATTTCCAAATATGAGTTTTAAGAGCAAAAAAGTATGGAATGCTTAAATTAAGACTGATGTGTGCCACTGGATAAAATTCTCTGAAATTCCTAAGAACACAGCACGATAAGCAGTCATTCATCCATGGAGGCTGTTAGTGTTACTGACACTCAAACTCACTCCAGAAAGTCCACAAGGGTTTGTGTGGTTTCTGACCTTACAGACTCTTACTCTGTCAACTCATGAACCACACTTTTTCCAAATTCCCACCAACACAAATATAAATACCAAAAAGATTAAATATTTAAATGGGAAAAAAAAAGCATTAAAAGAACAAGCTGAGCATGGTAGGGTATGCTGTAGTCCCAGCTGCTCAGGAGGCTGAGGCAGGAGGATAACCTGAACCCAGGAGTTCAAGACCAGCAACCAGCCTGGGCAACACCGTGAGACCCTGTCTGTAACCAAAAAAAAAAAAAAAAAAAAAAAAAAAAGCCAGGCGCAGTGGCTCACGCCTGTAATCCCAGCACTTTGGGAGGCCGAGGCAGGCGGATCACGAGGTCAGGAGATCGAGACCATCCTGGCTAACATGGTGAAACCCCATCTCTACTAAAAATACAAAAAATTAGCCAGGCGTGGTGGCGGGCGCCTGTGTTCCCAGCTACTTGGGAGGCTGAGGCAGGAGAATGGCGTGAACCCAGGAGGCGGAGCTTGCAGTGAGCCGAGATCATGCCACTGCACTCCAGCCTGGGCGACAGAGCGAGACTCCATCTCAAAAAAAAAAAAAAAAAAAAAAAAAAACTCACGTCAGGGAATATCTATGTGAAGACACTCTAGAGAGATGGATGTGTAACAATGAGAAAAGTGGCTCCAGTATCTTTCAGCACGCAGAAATTAAAGAAGTTAAAGAACAAACACAAACCGAGAAAATACGTTAGAGACAATCGATAGCAAGCTTCCACGAGCAAAAAGACTGTCCAAACCCCCTATAAAAAGGCAAAGATATAAACAGGTTGTCACAAAGAGAAATATAAATGGTCAACGAATACATAGCTAGGTGCTGCATTTCACTACCAAAGAAGTGTAAAATAAAATAATGTGATATCATTTTTCACAAATTACATTGACAAAAATTTAAAAAGACTTACGGGGCCAAGCACAGTGGCTCATGCCTCTAATGCCAACACTCTGAGAGGCCAAGGTGAGAGGACTATTTGAGCCCAGGAGTTCAAGGTTGCAGTGAGCTAGGATTGTGCCAATGCACTCCAGCCTGGGCAACAGAGCAAGATTCCATCTCAAAACAAAAAGCTTTCAGTAACTGCTGTGAATCTAGCAAATTACTGAACCTTGACGGGGGTCTTGGGGACCACTAAAGGTGGACTTGATGCGAGAAGGGCAGTCAACCAAGCATGGTGACTCACGCCTGTAGTCCCAGCACTTTGTGAGGCTGAGGTGGACAGATTGTTTGAGCGCAGAAGTTCTAGACCAGCCTGGGCAACAAGGCGAAAACTCTTCTCTACAAAAAAGAAAAAAAAAAAAAATTAGCCGGGCGTGGTGACATCCACCTGTAGTCCTAGATACTCAGGAGGCTGAGGTGGGAGGATCGCAGAGCCCGCAGAGGCAGAGTTACAGACGGAGGCCAGGGCTTAGGAGAAAACGTCACAGGACCGCATGAGCAAACCATACAGTCAAACTGTTACTTCCCTGTGCCAGAAACGAGCTGCCGGAGATGCAGCAAAGAGTAAGACTAATCCGCTGGGTTAGGCTGATGGGGATGCGCGAAGAGCAAGGCCCTGGGTTAGGCAGAGTTGTTGTGAGGATTAAAGCAGAATGCTCGCAGAGGCCTGGCAAGTCCTCAACCCTGGAACCGAGAGAAGGCCCCTCTAGACTCGAGAAAGGGAAGCCCCACCCGACTCCTGCCCCTACGCCGTGGCCCCACCCCCACGGTGGCCCCAGGCCTCATTTAACCCCGCCCACGCCATCGCCTCGCCACCCCCCCGTCTTTAGCCACGCCCTTTAGCGTCACGGCCCCACGACAGCCACGTGGCCGCAGGCCCATTTAATCCCGCCCACGTCGTGGCCCGGCCCCGCGGACGTTGGCCACGCCCTTGGCATCAAGGCCCCGCACCCTCCACAACCCGGACCCCGCTTAACCCCGCCCATTCGGTCGCCCCGCCCCGACAGCACGGCCCCGCCCCATCCCTTAGCCCCGCCCACCTCACCGGGGTTAGAACCCAGTCTAACTCCGCGGCCCGCCGTCTTCACCCCACGCCACCGCCCACCCGCGTCGCCCTGGCCCCGACGCACGGCCCCGCCCTCCCCACTGCGGCTGGGACCCACGTCACCCTTCCCACCCCTGGCATCACAACCCCGCTCCCCGACCCGGCTGGACGCTCGCCCCGCCCCACAACGTCAAGGGCCACCCCACCCCCACCCGGGCCGCCGCGCTCCTCACCAGCTCGAAGCGGTTGTTGACTCGGACGCCCTCCTTCCCTGCGCCCCCGGGACGCCGGACACCAAGCTCCCGCTTGGGCCCTTCTTCTTCCGCGTCATCGTCATCACGGAGATCGAAATGCAAGGCGCCGGGCCCGAGGGGCTCCTGGCCGCGCTGTTCCCCCCTCAGCCTCCGGAGGGCCCGGCGCGACATAGGACCGAACGACCACGACGTCTGGAGAGAGGGAGAAGGAAGCGCAGAAAACTCGGCTGTCGGCGCGCCTGCGCACTCTTCGCGCGGGGTCGGGGGCGGGGGAGCTGGCTGCGCGCCTGCGCACTCTTGGCGCGAGGGGTGGGGGCAGGACCTGGCTGCGGCGCCTGCGCGTCGCGGCTCTCCGGAACTTTCCCGCTTCAGCGGCGGCGTCTGGGCGGGCTCCGGGGGGTCCGGGCCAGGTCTCTGGAGAGCTGGGTGTCTGCGCGCCGTGCGCACCGGGCATGGAGAGGTGCCCCGCGGGGATGACGGGCTTCGATTCGGGGTAACGGGCGCGCAGCCGGCGACAGTCGGCCCTGCCCGGCCTTGCCCATCCATGTGGCCCGGAACCCGCAGCCGCGTTCTGCCCGCCGGGGCCTGTCCCCGCACCGTGCCTGCAGCATTTCAGCTGCGTCCCGGACGTTGCTAGTTGGTCCTTTTCGTGTCAGGGTGTCATTCGAGTGATCTAGCCGTCGATGCCCGCCTCTGCCCTGGAGCCGCCGCCCCTCGAGCAGCATTGAGTGACGCGGCCCTTACTGCCCGCCCGAGGCCTCTTTAGGGACAGTGGTTCTGACAGTTCTAGGACAGGCCGCCCGCGTTTGTCACGATCTAAGGGCCGGGCGCGGTGCTCACGCTTGTAATCCCAGCACTTTGGGAGGCCAAGGTGGGCGAATCACCTGAGGTCGGGAATTCGAGACCAGGTTGGGCAACACGGTGAAACTCCCTCTACTAAAAATACAAAAATTAGCTGGGCGTGGCTGCGCACGCCTGTAATCCCAGCTACTCGGGAGGCTGAGGCTGCAGTGAGCCGAGATCGCGCCACTGCACTCCAGCCTGGGCGACAGAGCCAGACCCTGTCTCAAAAAAATGAAAAAAATAAAGTAGATGAGGCTGAGACAGTGCTGGGTTCAGTGGGCGGAGGGCACAGCTTCCTGTGCCTGGGGTTGGGGACATGGGGACAGGAGGGCATAGAGAAGACAGGTGCCAGCAGCCTCCTGCCCGACTTACTGCGGCTTCATGAGCACAAGCAGCAGCCCTGGTGAGCCGGCCTGGCCCCTCCCAGGATGGGTTAGGGTTTTATTTTATTTTGTGAGATGAGGTCTTGCTCTGTTGCCCAGGCTGGAGTGCAGTGGCGCAATCTCGGCTCACTGCAACCTCCATCTCCCAGGCTCAAGCACTTCTCCTGTCTCAGCCTCCCGAGTAGCTGGGACTACAGGCATGTGCCACCATGCCCGGCTAATTTTTGTACTCAGTAGAGATGGGGTTTCACCATGTTGGCCAGGCTGGTCTCGAACTCCTGACCTCAAGTGATCTGCCCACCTCACCCTCCAAAAGTGCTGGGATTACAGGTGTGAGCCACTGCACCTGCCGTGGTTTAGGGTTTTAACGTGGGCTTTCATTTCCAAGTGTTCCTGTATGAATTACAACCCAGTCTCCCCATGATAGGGAGTGTGAGTCCCCGTAGAACCAGAACAACCGTCGTCCTTACCAAGCACTACACATTAGCTTATTGCTGGCTGTGTGACCGGAGGAGTTCCCTGACCCTCTCTGTGCCTGTTTTCTTATTTTTAAACAGGAATAAAAATACAGGCCAGAGAGTCCGTGAAATGCTTACACGCATGCTAGAAGCTGGCTGTTTTTACTGGGGGCTCTAATTTTGTGTGTTTGGATTTCCTGGACCCCAGCTGACAGGAGTATTTTCTCCCGCAGGCCCATCAGTTACAAGTCCTGTCCCTTCTGACCTCCAGGCCCCACGGCTAGCATTACAGCCTGGAGTCAAAGTTCTGGGTGAGCTGTGTATCTTTGGCCAAATTCTTTGACCTCGTTGAGCCTCAGTTCCCTCATCTGTAAGGTAAGATGACGGCAGAACGTCACGGAGGAGCAGGGCAGGGCCCCGTTAACAGGCTGAGCCGGGCGCAGGTGAGCAGACAGCACTCGGCACAGGGCCTGTCTAGAGCCTGCAGTCACACCTCCTGCCCCTGTGGATCCTCTCCCTGGAGAACGAGAATACGGATCTGGGAAATGAGACCAAAGTACCCCCCAGGCCAGCAGGTGTGGCCAGAGGAGCTGATGGGCAGTAGTCTGTGCCGTCCGCATGCAGCCCTGACCATGGTGGCCAGGACCACGAAGCTGGTAGAGGCAGCCAGGGCTGCGTGGACAGAGCAGGCCTGGAGCCCTTGCCTGGTGGGCACCTGACTCTAAGCCAGGAGGCCTTTCCTCGTCCTGGAAGGCAGGTGGCCCCTCAAGCCCAGCTTCAACCTTGGGAGAACATGCCATGCTGGGTGAATCCTCAGCGCACATCCCAGACAGAAGACTGTGAGACCTCCTTTATTAGGCCAAGAGTGGCCATGTGCACAGATTTACAGAGCTGCTCCTCCCTGTGCCAGGACCGCCCAGCATCTTCAGGAGCCTCTGGGCCAGGGGCGAGTGAGGACAGCACCAGAATGTGGTAGGGCCAGGAGAGGCAGGACACATGTGGTTTGGACCCCAGGGAAAGGGAAAGGGCAAGGGCAGGGAGCAGCTTGGCACGGACCTTTTTTTTTTTCGAGACAGAGTCTCGCTCTGTCGCCCAGGCTGGAGTGCAGTGGTGCAATCTCGGCTCACTGCAACCTACACCTCCCGGGTTCAAGCGATTCTCCTGCCTCAGCCTCCCCTGTAGCTGGGATTACAGGTTCCTGCCACTATACCTGGCTAATTTTTGCATTTTCAGTAGAGACAACATTTCATCATGTTGGCCAGGCTGGTCTCAAACTCCTGACCTCAGGTGATCCTCCCTCCTCGGCCTCCCAAAGTGCTGGAATTACAGGCCTGAACCACCACGCCTGGCCAGACCTTTCAAACAGGTGGGGGTGCCTCCCAGGAGGACCCTGCCTACTCAGAGACTTCCCAGATGCCTCTGCTGCCTGAGTCCCCACAAAGGGAGAGCAGAGGCAAGCAGGGCACTCTGGTCCAGCTGGGAGCCAAGATACCCTGTCCCCACCTAGACGTCCACTGGGGAAGGGAAACTGCCGTTCGCATTCCTGGGGACGGAGAAGAGCATGGGAACATGGGATGCAGTCTGTGCCAGGATCTAGAACCTTCTGCTTTCTCTCTTCAGTGAGAAAACCCACCCTGTTCCCTCCCCTTCCTCCCTGGCAAGGAATCCTGAGAAGAAACAGCCTCCCCCAGGGAGGGTTTTGAAGTGCGCCTGAACCCAAATGAGCTCTGGGGCCAGGAAACAGTGTATATAAATATATAGACTGTGTGTATATATTATAAATGTATCTATATATGTATATATGTACATGCACAGCTCAGAGCGTCCTAGCCTGATACAGGGCCTGCCTGGTGCCTCCTGGAGGCCTGGCCACCTGGGGCTGTCACTTGAAGTCAAGAGTCCTGGTGTTAGGGATGTAGAGGGATTGGGTCTGGCGACTGCGTCGTGGCGTAGTGTTGAGGACGTCCACGCTCTTGCGGCTGGAACGCACCACGTCTGCCACAAAGCTGGTGCACTCACTGCAGACATCCTTCAGGACACAGCCGTGGGAGTAGATGTGGGGGAACGCCTCCTCCACGCTCTGCCACTGTGGCCCTTGCAGAGACCTGGGAAGTGGGAGAGGGCACTCAGGGAGAGGAGCCAGCCAGGGTGCCACACCCCCCTCCCTGCTTGTGCATGCCACAGCCCCCTCCTGGCTGCCTTTCACCCTAGGCCTCCCCTTGGCCCTCAGGCAACAAACACAGCTAGCAGTGTTCATCTCAGCAGACTGTTCCCTGACCACCCAAGTCCAGTTTCCATCTCATACTGCTCAGCCTCCCAGAGCCCTACACAACGATCCGTCTCTGCCTTGCATTTCCATTTCCTTGGGGTGTCCTAGCAAACAGACAAAGCCAGCCCCCTCCACCCCAGCTCCCAAGTTCCTCTTCACGCCCGACCACCACAGTGACATCAGCAGCAAGGCGAAGAACGCACTGAAAGATGTCTCTTCTCTGGATTGGCGCGGTTTTGGCAGCTGATACCCTCTGAGGACTCTCAAAGCCCAGTGTGTAGACAGGGATGTGTCCAAATTTCTTAGAAGGCATCTTCATCTGCAGCACAGAGGGAGGAGGTATGAACCAGGCACCACCAGAGACATTCAGGTACACTCAGTGCTAGGGGACCTCCCTCCCCAGTCTGGGACCTGCGTGGCAGCCAGGGCTTCCTGGAGAATATTCTCTGTCCCTGTGCTCTCCGATGTCTCCTCTGTGCCTTTTGGCTGAAGACTGGCACGGGGTTCCTGCTTGCTGCACATCTGGACAGGGGCTTCTTAGAGCGCAAGAACCGTCCCTTTTTATACCATGCGGGACCTGCCACGTTTCCTGCTCATCTGGACAGGGGCTCCTTAGAGGGCAAGAACTTTCCCTTTTTATACTATACGGGACCTGCCACCTTACCCTGCACATAATCAACATTTAACATGGATGAGGTGGAAGTTTTTCCATTGCCAAGTGGCAGGATGTAGAGTAAGATTTAAAAATAGTGGTAGTAAGAGTACTCCTTAAGCAGAGTTTTGCTTCTGAACTGAGGCCTGAGGGGTAACATATATATATATATATATATATTTTTTTTTTTTTTTTTTTTTTTAAGACACAGATCTTGCTCTATTGCCCAGGCTGGAGTACAGAGGCACAGCCATACTCACTGCAGCCTTGAATTTGCTGGGCTCAAGAGATCCTCCCACCTCAGCCTCCCAAAGTGCAGGAACTGCAGGCATGAGCCACCGCGCCTGGCTGGTGACATACTTTTATTTGTATTTTGTCTTTTTGAGACGGAGTCTCTGTCACCCAGGCTGTAGTGCAGTGGCACAATCATAGCTCACTGTGGCCTCCACCTCCCGGGTTCAAGTAATTCTCATGCCTCAGCCTCCTGAGTAGCTAGGATTACAGGTGCGTGCCACCATGCCCAGCTAATTTTTTTGTATTTTTAGTAGAGATGGGGTTTCACCATGTTGGCCAGGCTGGTCTCAAGTGGTCCGCCAGCCTCACTGGCCTCCCAAAATGCTGGGATTACAGGTGTGAGCCACCGTGCCCAGCTGACATACTTTTAAATGTTAGGATCCCTTTACCTCTGTGCACCTGCACATAAGCACACACCTCAACTGCAATAAGAAGCCCCTCCTAAAACACCCAAAAAGTTATAGAATGTAAGAAGGTAGGACTTTTAGAGGGGAAGTGAAGGGTTTTTTGGCACGAGGCTACTAACGTGCAATGTTTAAAAACAAAAACCTGTAAGGGTCTTTAAAAACTGCACACTATCTTGGAAAGTATAGGAATGGATTCTGCCTGAAAGGAAATGGATGAGGTGCCTGGTGAGGCAGCATCATCCAACACATCCAATCAAAGCCAGTGGAGCCCCTCATCTGCCTTGCTCAGACCCCAGAGATCCCACATGGTCCTCACCTTTATGCTACAGGAAGTGCAGACGGCTCTGGAAGGGAACAGAGGAAATGCAGCATCAGCAGGGAGGAAGCCCACAAACAGCTGAGAAACAGTCGCATCCCGGCCTCCACGCATCCGAGGTCAAACCATCCTTGCCTTCTGCCTGATGCTTGGTTACTTCAGTACTTTATTTTACTCCAAAATCTTGCTTTTCTTTATACTTAGGTATCCACCCAAAATATATGTGCTCCTTGGCATTCTCTCAGGAAGGATGGCTCCAGGAGTTTTCTCCTGCCAAGTTTTCTATTGCCAAGTGGTAGGATATAGAGTAAGGTTTAAACATAGTGGTGGTGGGCCAGATGTGGTAGCTTACGCCTGTAATCCCAGCACTTTGGGAGGCCAAGGCAAGTGGATCACCTGAGGTCAGGGGTTTGAGACAAGCCTGACCAACAAGGTGAAACCTCGTTTCTACTAAAAATACAAAAATGAGTTGGGCGTGGCAGCAGGCACCTGTAATCACAGCTACTTGGGGGGCTGAGATAGGAGAATGGCATGAACCTGGGAAGTGGAGGTTGCAGTGAGCTGAGATCACGCCACTGCACTCCAGCCTGGGGGACTGAGCGAAACTCTGTCTCAAAAAAAAAAAAAAATGGTGGTAAAAGTCCCTCTTAAGCAGATTTTTGTTTCTGAACCAAGGCATGATGGGTCTTTCTGAACCAAGCCATGATGGGTCACATACTTTTGGAAAGTTTAAAAACAAAAACCTACAAGGGTCTTTAAAAACTGCACACTGTCGGCCAGGCGCGATGCCTCACGCCTGTAATCCCAGCACTTTGGGAGGCCAAGGCAGGTGGATCACGAGGTCAGGTGTTCAACATCGGCCTGGCCAAGATGGTGAAACCCCGTCTCTACTAAAAATACAAAAAATTAGCCGGGCATGGTGGCGGGCACCTGTAATCCCAGCTACTCGGGAGGCTGAGGCAGAGAATTGCTTGAACCCAGGAGGCGGAAGTTGCAGTGAGCCGAGATCATGGCACTGCACCGCAGCCTGGGTGACAGAGAGAGACTCTGTCTCAAAAAAAACAAAAAGCAAACAACAACAACAACAAAAAACAAAAAAAAAACTTGCACACTGTCTTGGAAAGACATCTAAGATTCCTTCTAAGAAGACGTGTAGACATTGGTGTGTACCTGACACTACTCACCATAAAAGCACCATGGAAGCTAGAGGGGCCTCAACTGAGATGCTCAGTTTTAAACAGTGATTCAATTTTGTTTTAATTCCCATATCTGATTTCAAAAATAAATACCTTCTTATAAAAAATTCAAGGCTGGGCGCGGTGGCTCAAGCCTGTAATCCCAGCACTTTGGGAGACCGAGATGGGCAGATCACGAGGTCAGGAGATCGAGACCATCCTGGCTAACATGGTGAAACCCCGTCTCTACTAGAAATGCAAACAAATTAGCCAGGCCTGGTGGCGGGCACCTGTAGTTCCAGCTACTCGGGAGGCTGAGGCAGGAGAATGGCGTGAACCCGGGAGGTGGAGCTTGCAGTGAGCCGAGATTGTGCCACTGCACTCCAGCCTGGGTGACAGAGTGAGATTCCATCTCAAAAAAGAAAAAAGAAAAAAAAAAAAATTCAAGGCTGGGCGTGGTGGCTCACCGCTGTAATCCCAGCACTTTGGGAGGCCAAGGTGGGCGATCACCTGAGGTCGGGAGTTGGAGATCAACCTGACCAACATGGAGAAACCCCATCTCTACTAAAAATACGAAATTAGCAAGTGTGGTGGCACATGCCTGTAATGCCAGCTACTCAGGAGGCTGAGGCAGGAGAATCACTTGAACCTGGGAGGCAGAGGTTGCAGTGAGCTGAGATCGCGGCATTGCACTTCCGACTGGGCAACAAGAGTGAAACTCTATCTCAAAAAAATAAAAAAAAAAAATTCAAACATGAGAGAATTAAAATGTAGACACCACATGCTCAGAAGTGATCCCTGCTAGTAATGGTTTCCATCCTCCAGGCTTTTCCAAGCATATATCAACAGAAATATACATAATTTTACAGATAAAATTAGGTGATTTTTTTTTCCCAGACAGGTCTTGCTCTGTCACCCAGGCTGGAGTGCAGTGACACCGTCATAGCTCACTGCAGCCTTGACCTCCTTGGCTCAAGTGATCCTCCCACCTCAGCCTCCCAAAGTGCTGGGATTATAGGCATGAGCTACCATATCCACCATATCCAGCCTTACCTTTTTTTTTTTTTTTTTTTTTTGAGACAGTCTCCCTCTGTTGCCCAGTCTGGAGTGCAGTGGCGCGATCTCGGCTCACTGCACCCTCCACCTCACAGGTTCAAGCAGTTCTCCTGCCTCAGCCTCCCGAGTAGCTGGGACTACAGGCACCCGCCACCACGCCCAGCTAATTTTTTGTATTTTTAGTAGAGACAGGGTTTCATCGTGTTAGCCAGGATGGTCTCGATCTCCCGACCTCGTGATCTGCCAGCGTTGGCCTCCCAAAGTGCTGGGATCAAGGTGTGAGCCACCGCGCCCGGCCCAGCCTTACTTTTTTATTCAGTCTGGGAAATTCTAACTTTTACTTGGGTCGTGTGGATGACTTACAGTTAATGTGATGCGAGATACAGTTGTGTTTAAGGCTGTCATTTGCTATTTGTTTTGTTTTTGACTCATTTGTTTGTTCTCCTTCTTTTCCTACCTTTTTTTGGATTAATTACTGTTTATGGTCCCATCTTATCTCCTTTGTTGGCTTATTAGCTGTAACTGTTTTATTTTAGTGGTTGCTTTAGGACTTATGGTATACATCTTTAACTTATCACAGTCTACCTTTAAGTAATATTTGTATAGCGTGTATAATACCTTACTATACCTTATCATAGTGATTCACCTTACCATAGTGAACCTTAAAATAGTATACTTCTGGCCAGGCGCGGTGGCTTACGCCTGTAATCCCAACACTTTGGGAGGCAGAGGTGGGCAGATCCTGAGGTCAGGGGATCGAGACCATCCTGGCTAACATGGTGAAACCCCATCTCTACTAAAAATACAAAAAATTAGCTGGGAGTGGTAGCAGGTGCCTGTAGACCCAGCTACTCGGGAAGCTGAGGCAGGAGAATGGTGGGAACTCAGGAGGCGGAGCTTACAGTGAGCCAAGATCGTGCCACTGCACTCCAGCCTGGGCGCCAGAGCGAGACTCCTTCTCAAAAAAAAAAAAAAAAAAAAGGAAAAAAAGTATACTTCCAATTTTCCCCTCTCCCTGACCTTCATGCTAACTGCTGTTATCAACACTACTTACACACGTGTTACAAAACCCACAATACATTGTAATTAATTTTGTCTTGTTTTTTGCATGCCACACATTTTATCTTGCTGAGTACTGGTTTGTTTTTTTGTTGATGTTTAAAAAATTCTTATTCTTGAGCTTTGTTCTCAGAATCAGTTAAGATACTTGTGAACAGTTTGATCCTTTCAGGTCTTGCTTTTATGATGTATCAGTCAGGCCTAGAGCAACAATCACTTTGGGCTACTTACTCCACGTTAGTGAGGCGAGTCCTTTGTGTGCATTCCAGTTAGTGCCCTGTGAATTATGACATTTCTGCCTGTGGCCGGTGGAAACCGATGTTACTCATTCCTGCCCCTGAGCACCGTCCCTTCAGATCTTTAGAACAAGGGAAGGTAAATTTTTTGTGTAAAGGGCCAGAGAATAAACCTTTTAGGCGTGGCTGAGCGAGTAATAAATGGGTGTGGCTGTGTCCAGTGAGATTTTACTTGCAAAACAGGCCGAGGACCAGATTTGGCCCGTGGCTATAGTCTGCCAATCTCTGCTTTAGGATAAATGTTCTGCAGCCTTCAGTCATTTCCTTCAGAGAGGGGGACCTTCTCTGAGGCTTTCTCGGCGCAGCCCTCTCCTCTGGAGTTCTACACGGCGGACTCGAGCTGCTGTGGTCTCCCTGGATTCTCAGCCTGACCTCCTCCATCTGGGGAGTCCGGCAGCTGTGGCTCATGACCTAGAAACTCTCCAGGCAATGACTGTGGTGATGGCAGGCTTGCCCCGTTGTGTTTCCTTTTTGTTGCCTGCTGTCTTGAAAACCATTGTTTCACATCCTGTTTGTTCTTGGCTGTGGAAGATGCCTATTACCCCATCTTGGCTGAAACTGGGAGTTGCTTAGCTATTTAAATTTAATTTAATTTAAATACAATTTAAAATTTAACTCCTCATTCGTACTAACCATATCTTGTGGACTCATCAGCCATCGAACATGCTAGAACATTCCTGGAATCACAGGAAGTTCTGTGGGCGGTACTGCCCCGAGGTTTCTCGCCTCCTCCTTCCCTTGTGAACTGACAGCTAAAGGGAAGGCTCACCTCTTGCAGAAGAGACAGCTGGGCGGCCACGAGAACAGCGGGAACTTGGCCCGGCAGCAGCAGCAAATCTGTCAGGAGAGACTGGTTAGAGCCCCGCTTTGTCCAAAGCTCCCTGGGGTCCCGCCCTGTCCCTGCTACCCCCTCAGGGCTCCCAACCAGATCATGAGCAAACAGTCCTGGGAACTGGCCCTCTCGGCACCCGCCCCTGACCCAGCGGGCAAGAGCGTAGCCCCACGTCTAGGCAGCCTCACCTTCCCCTTCTTCAGACTGCTGAAGAGCTCCTTGTTCTGCAAAAACTTTTCCATCTCGGCCTTCACCAGCACACGGCGCACGTCCATCACCTCTTCCACAGTCAGCGCCAGGCTCTCCACGGGGTGGCTGAACTCCTAGGGGACGGCCTCAGGTAGGAAGTCTTCTATGCAGGAGGCTCCCCTAGCTTACTCTCCTTCCCTGAGGACCCTAACCCTCCCTGGCCTCAGCCTAAACAAGCCTGCGACCTTCTAAAACGCTGTCCATCAGCCATCTTGTCCATCAGCCATCCATCCCCATGTCTTTGATGGGCCCTGCTGCTGCAGGCCAGGCCTCCCATGACCAGCGGACCCTGCCGGCCAGCCCAGCCTTCACTGGCCACGCTCCACACAAACTCCCCTCAGCCCATGTCTGTTCAAGGTGTCCCTGCCTGCAAACACACCATGGGCTGATCCACACCAGCCAGAATCCATCTCAAACCTTCCCTCCCTGAGCAGCTGATGTCCTCTTTTCTGGAAGGTCCAGGACCCTCCAACAGGCCACCTCAGCTTGCATCTGCCCATCTGCGCTCAGCACACCTCCCGTGTCCTGGCCACTGATTCCTGGGGCCACCTTATGTTGAGTGTGTCCTGTTTTTGCTTCCCTGTGCTTGGCATAGAACTTGACACCTGATCTCTCTAAGCCTCAGTTTTCTCTTCTGTAAAATGGGGCTGGATTTCAGCTCCATCGAGATGATTCAGTTAAAGCCCTTAAACACACTGCCAGCACAGCGTTCGCAGTGTCGGTCATCACTGCCAAGGCAGGTGGGCACCATCTATGAAGGTGCCACAGAGATGGAGTTGGACCATGTTTTCTGCTTTGGATTTGCAGTGGGTTGTCCTGTCTAAAGCTGTGAACACACGCTCCTGGCATTGGGGGGAGCGGGGCCCTTGCATTCCTTCCTTCCTCTGACCTGAGGCACCCAGGGCTTTAGGCTTCTGTTGCCAGTTGCCTGATGGTGCCGTTTCCATCTGAACAATTCACCTCAGGTGCCACAGGTGTGACGCCAACAACGTCCGTGGCCAGGAGACCTCACGCCAGGTACAGAGAAGGGCCGCCTGCTCCCCAGGTGAGGCTGTGAGCCCAGGGCAGATGGAAGGCCAGGTTCTGTGGTGCTCAGTAGCCCCCCTTCAGAAAGCACTTCTGAGACTTCAGAGCTAAAGAACCACTCATGTGACCTGTGGTCATCTTAAATGTGTCCTCTAATTCCTTAAGAAGTGGGCCTTGGCCGGGTGCGGTGGCTCACGCCTGTGATCCCAGCACTTTGGGAGGCCGAAGAGGGCGGATGACGAGGTCAGGTCCCAGCACTTTGGGAGGCCGAAGAGGGCGGATGATGAGGTCAGGAGATCGAAACCATCCTGGCTAACACGATGAAACCCCGTCTCTACTAAAAATACAAAAAATTAGCCGGGTGCGGTGGTGGGCGCCTGTAGTCCCAGCTACTCGGGAGGCTGAGGCAGGAGAATGGCATGAACCCGGGAGGCGGAGCTTGCAGTGAGCCGAGATGGCGCCACTGCACTCCAGCCTGGGCGACAGAGCCAGACTCTTGTCTCAAAAAAAAAAAAAAAAAGAAGTGGGCCTTAATTCTCTCCCTCCCCTTGAGAATAGGCTGGACTTAGTGACTCATTCCTAGTGAGTTGGGACAATGTGGCACTGCTGGACTTGGTCATAAATACTCAGTGGCTTTCACTGCGCTCACTCTTGAACCACGTGCTCTGGGGGACGCCAGCCACCACGCTGTGGGGATCCCCAAGCAGCCCGAGAGAGGCCTACACAGCAAGGGACTCACGCCTCCTGCTCACAGCTGGGTGAAGACGCCACTTCAGACGGCTCCTCCAGCCCCGATTTGACCCTTCAGTCGAGATCAGGCCCCACTGCCATCCTAACTGCAGCCTCACGAAAGACCCTGAGCCATGGCCACACAGCTAAGACACTGCCGGAGTCCCAACCCTCAGAAACTGTGAGATAATATATATTTGTTATTTTAAGATGCTGCATTTTGAGGTAACTTTTGATGCAGTGATATATAGCTAATCCTAGGCTAACGGGGCAAGCCCTGCCTTCGGTGGGATACGACCTAGGCTAACAGGGCAGGCCCTGCGTTTCGGTGGGGATACGCACAGTGCCTTGCATTTATATAAGGCTCATAGTTCTCAAAGCATTTTAACATCTGTTCTCATCTGAGCCGCTGGATAAAACCTCAAATAGTGACAGCAACCACACCGTTCACATCCCTCCAACACCTGCATGCTGCCACCGTGGCCCACGGGCCGCACACTCCCCTTACCTCAGTTGATTAAATCCTGCACCAGAACTCAGGTCCACGTGGGCCTCAAGATGTCAGCAAAGGTGAGCTCTTCACAATTACAGGTCAGATAAGAAACCGAGGGCAGAGGGGCTGAGCAGTACCGTGGCGGCGTCACGGCCAGAGTCAAGGTCTCGACCCAGTGAACCCCCCTCACACTGACCTCCAGGCACAGGGCACGCAGGTTCACCGTCTGCCCTAACCCCACACTGAACCCTTCAATTAGGGACCAGGCTCCGGGGCCGCAGTGCAGTGCGGTTCGGCCCCAGCAGGCGGCAGCAGAGACCACGGCCCCAGACCAGCAGCTCCACCACTGGTGCCCCATGTTCAGACCGCGCCCCCCCAGACGGACGCTCAGGCCACACCCCCCAGACAGGTGCTCAGACCCATCTCCCAGACCTGGCTGGCGGCGGGAAGGTGGGTGCAAAGACGCCCCCTGGGCCGCCCTGGACGACAATCGCACCCTCACTCACCAGCCACAGGTGTTTGGCATCGGGGGTCATGGAGGCCTCGGGTCTGTCCCCCGAGGAGCCCCGGTTGCTGAGTAGGGGGTGGCTGGGGTCAGAGACACTCGCGGGACAGGTACCTGGGGGAGAGCAGAGGCTCCATCAGGACTGCCTGGCAGGAGCTGTGGTAAAGAGGACTGTGCCCAGGGGATGATAGAGATGGTGGAGGGCTCCAGGGGAACCAAGCAAAAGGTCAAGGGGAGAAGCGGCCGGGCAGTAGCTACACGGGCAGTTCTAGCACTTAGGAGGCCGAGGCGGGTGGAACCTTGAGCCTAGGAGCTTGAGACCACCCTGGGCAACGTAGCGAGACCCTCAGCTCTATAGAAAAATATAAAAGTTAGGCAGGCATCGTGAAACATGTCGGTAGTCCTAGCTACTCAGGAGGCTGAGGCGGGAGGATTGCTTGAGCCCAGGAGGCCAAGGCTGCAGTGAGCTATAATGGTACCTCTGCACTCCAGCCTGGGCAGCAGAGCAAGACCTTGTCTCAAAAAGAAGAAAAAAGCGAAGAGGGTGGCTCCAACATTAGGACATTCATCGGGGCCCATGTGGTATAGAGGGTCCACAGGACCCCGGAAGGGCCCCCGTGTCTGAGCCCCAGAATGAGCTGGCATGGGCAGTCCCACAGCAGCAGTGAGCCAGACCCTCCTCCTGCAGTCCACACCTCACACTGGAGCTGGGGTCGACCTCCCTCCCTCCACCAACTCCCAGAGGCTGAGGCACAGCTCCAGGTGGGGGAGGCCGAGGTTAAGTAAGTGTGAGGTTTGGAACTGGCCTGGCCTGGACCTCTTAACACTGGGAAGGGGCTGTAAGCACCAAACACGATTGTCCCGAGACTCTGGCCCCACAGGCAGACAAGGAGGCCTGGCCGTGCCTGCTGGGATGTGGTGGTGGGGAGACAAGAACCCTGAGTCGCGAGGGCTCTCCGTAAAGTTCAGCCCTCACGGTGGTAGGACCAGCCCTGCACAGCCAGCAAGAATCGTTCTGTGCTCAGCAGCGCGAAAAGGAGTCGAAGGAATCACGGCTCAGGTTCCAGAGCCATGTGCTGCGAGCCCAGCCGGCTCCCCACGGACACACGGCTCCCTTCCCAGAGGACTAGAAGGGTCTATCACTCATCTAGTTAGCTATCTTTCTATATCCCAAAGTTAATTATGTCTAGGTAATAGAATCATGAGAATTCTTTTTAAATATTAAAAAATATTTTTATAATAAATATGCATTACTTAGTAAGTTTTCAAGTTAAACAAAAGGAGATGCCTGCCTGAGGTGGTGCCGTCTTGCAGGCACGAGCTCCCTGGGTCCCTGGGAGCTGCCTGCTCAGGAAGATGTGGGCTGAGGTGGAGGGATGGTGCCCACAGGATGGATCGGGGTGGGGGCGAAGGAGGGTACGGGGGTGAGAAGCAGCACTTGCCCTGGTCTCGGGAGCCGGGCCTCCACACATGCGCACTGCCAGCTCGGGGCCGTGGTGGCTCCGTCCCTCCTGGGGGGTGGGTGGCCGACTGCAGGCCAGAGGCCACCTCACTTCGGAGCTGGGCCAGGTCATGCTCTGAGAAGGAGCGGTCCCGTTTCAGCGTCACCTCCCCACACGGAGACTCTTCTTCCTGTGGACACACCAGACGCGGCCCTGCCCTGACAATGCCCGCCAGTGCCTCCTGCCCATGCCTGGAATGAAGCAGAGGACCCAGGGGTGCCGCAGGGTCTGCTGCGATGTGGGGCAGCCTCCACCCACTTCCCAGCCTGCCCGCCTCTGGACAGTTCGTGGCAAGCACCCGAGTAACCAAGCCCTTCCCCAGGCCTTCCGGAAAGGGACAGGTCTAGTGTCAGACGGAGGCAGAGCCCTCTGGGATGGCCCCCAACAAGGCCATCACCAGCCCTTCCTGTGAAGAGAGGAGCGTCCCATTCACAGGGCAGCCAGGGTGGGCAGGGAGCCTCGCTGGGTCCACCTTTTCACATCAACTAGCCAGGGGCTCAGTTTCCGGGGCCTGGGACAGCGAGGCACTTCCGCTGTCAGCCTTCCATCGTCTGTGGGAGGAGGCAGCCCAGGCCCTCTCCCAGTCACCCTTCTGAGCGGCCAAGATGGCAGGGTCCCCGATCCCCACAGGCCTCCTCCTACGGCAGGATGTCAGTTTCAAGGGAGGGCTCCTGGACAGGAGACACCGCAATTGCTGCTGCCCCCGGCTTAGCTTAGCCCTTCTCACTTCCTTGGCCCCCATCCTCCCATTCCTGGTCTCTTTTCAGGAATCCCCATGGGTTCTGACCTCAGATGTATTCATCTCTTCCATTTCAGCCAAGGTAGGCGCCTTGAGCAGCACGCGGGGCCGCGGGCGCTGGGCGCTGCCCCCAGCATCTGTGACTGACAGGTTGATGCAGGAGGTGGACTTGGCATCTCCGGAGCAGGCGTTGAGGATGCAGGGCAGAGAGCCAAACCCTGGGGAGACGGGAGCCGAGGCAGGACGGGCCAGTGAACGGGGAGACAGCAGGCAGGAGCTGACAGCTTTGTGTGCACCAGCTGGCTTAATTCCCTGACTTTGCAGAAGGGGAAACTGAGGGCTAGCCAGCCATTTAAAAAAATGAGGAACTAGGCCGGGCGCGGTGGCTCACGCCTGTAATCCCAGCACTTTGGGAGGCCAAGGCGGGTGGATCACGAGGTCAGGAGATCGAGACCATCCTGGCTAACATGGTGAAACCCTGTCTCTACTAAAAAATACAAAAAAAATTAGCCAGGCGTGGTGGCACGCGCCTGTAGTCCCAGCTACTCGGGAAGCTAAGGCAGGAGAATGGCGTGAACCCAGGAGGTAGAGCTTGCAGTGAGCCGAGATCACGCCACTGCACTCCAGCCTGGACAACAGAGCGAGACTCTGTCTCAAAAAAAAAAAAAAAAAAAGAAGAAGAACTAGGCTGGGTGCGGTGGCTCACGCCTGTAATCCCTGCACTTTGGGAGGCTGATGCGGGTGGATCACCTGAGGTCAAGAGTTTGAGACCAGCCTGACCAACATGGAGAAACCCCGTCTCTACTAAAAATACAAAATTAGCTGGGTGTGGTGGCGCGTGCCTGTAATCCCAGCTACCCGGGAGGCTGAGGCAGGAGAATCGCTTGAACCCAGGAGGTGGAGGTTGCAGTGAGCTGAGATAGCGCCACTGCACTCCAGCCTGGGCAAAAAGGGCGAAACTCCATCTCAAAAAAAAAAAAGGAAAAGAAAAGAAAAACATTTTAAAAATTTGCTTTTATTCTATTTTCTTCTAAATGCTGAAATATGTCATACTATTGTAAACTATGTAGAGTGGCAAATACAGGTGAAGACCAGGACAATAGGGTATAAGATCATGTTAGGCAGGGAATGGTGGCTCACACCCATAATCCCAGCACTTCGGGAAGCTGAGGCAGAAGGATCACTTGAGCCCACGAGTTCAACACCAGCCTGGGCAACAGAGTGAGACCCTGTCTCTACAAAAAACACAAAAATTAGCCGGGCGTGGTGGTGCATGCCTGTCATCACACTACTCGAGAGGCTGAGGTGGGAGGATTGCTTGAGCCTGAGAGGTTGAGGCTGCAGTGAACTATAATGGTGCCACTGCACTACAGCCGGGGTGACAGAGTGATACCCTATCTCAAAAAAAAAAAAAAAAAAGATATAGGAAATTCCAATGGCCTTGTAAAGTTTTTAATGAGAGGCATAAAAAGTGATTTTTTTTTTTTTTTGAAACGAGGTCTCACTCTGTCACCCAGTCTAGAGGGCAGTGGTGCAATCATGGGTCACTTCGGCATCAACTTCTCAGGTTCAAGCAATCCTCCCACCTCAGCCCCTGGAGCACCTGGGATTACAGCCATGTGCCACCACACCTGGCTAATTTTTCTTTGAAATTTTTGGCAGAGATGAGGTCTCACTATATTGCCCAGGCTGGTCTCGATCTCCTGGGCTCAAGTGATCCTCCCGCCTCAGCATCCCAAAATGCTGGGATTACAAGGCATGAGCTACTGAGCCCAGCCTCATCATTTTTTATTTTTGGCCAGGTGCAGTGGTTCACACCTGTAATGCCAGCATTTTGGGAGGCCAAGGCAGGCAGATCACTTGAGCCCAGGAGTTTGTGTCCAGTCTGGCCAATATGGTGAAACCCCGTCTCTACTAAAACTACAAAAAAAAAAAAAAAAAAAATTAGCCAGGCGTGGTGGCACGTGCCTGTAATCCCAGCTGCCCAGGAAGCTGAGGCATGAGCATCACTTGAACCCGGGGGGCGGAGGTTGCAGTGAGCCGAGGTCGCTCCACTGCACTCCATCCTGGGCGACAGAGCAAGACTCCATCTCAAACAAATATATATATATATAATTTTAATTTAATTTAAATTTTTTATCCCCAAGTAATCTGAGTTTCAAAAGCCTGTGTGCCTCAAAAATTAAGATGTTCTGTGTCTTCCATGGGTTCAGGCGCCCTCAGGGAGACGCCACCTTCCAATGTGCAACCTGACCAGGGGAATGGGGGAACCCCAGCCGGGGGCTCAGGGCTCTCTTCTCCTGCCATCCCCTCACTCACCGCGGGCAGCCCAGCCCTCGCCCCGCACCGGGCGCAGCCTCCGCTCCTGCTTGATCTCCTCCAGGATCTTCTCATGCAGGGACCTTTGCTTTGGTGGCAACGGGCGCAGCCGCCTCTCAGAGACCTGCGGTGGGGAAGCGAGACCTGCGGTGGGGAAGCAGGACCTGCGGTGGGGAAGCGGGACCTGCGGTGGGGAAGCGGGACCTGTGGTGGGGAAGTGACCATGACACGGGCCCACTCTGGAGTCGGAAGAGCCTGCCAGGCCCACCCGGAGGGAGTGCTGCTCCCAGGGGGCTCTGGGCTCCGCATGCACCTGGGGTGGGGTGGGCATGGCTCACATGGCCCCTTCCCAGAAAAAGGGCCCAGGGCCACACAGCCCCGGGCTGGCACACAGGCAAGAGGAAGCCAGCCCGCCTCACCCGTGACGCAGACGCACTGGGACACCTCCCAGGCTGGCCACAGGAAGACGTGCTGGGACACCTCCCAGGCTGGCTACAGGACAGCACCAGGCCCCGGGCGGCCCCTGAGGAGGAGGAGGCTGGGGCAGCACCTGCTTCAGTGGAGGCCGTGAGCGGATAAAGTCCAGGATGAGCTCGTGAGCGTCCTTCTTCACCCGGGGCGGGATGTCCCCATCCACCTGCGGGGAGGACGGCTGATCTGAGGCCCTGCAGGGACCATCCACTAGTGCAGGGCGACTGGGAGAGGCCTGCTCAGCCCAAGGACAGCCTGGTCTTCGCACCTACCCGCCCTCCCACTCTTTGCTCGCAGGGACCCAGCTGCTTCCCTGGTAAACGCACGGCAGATCCACAGGCCATGCTCTGGGCGGCCACAGCATCCATGGTCTGACGCGTCCCCACCTGGCTGCCCCAGCCTCTAGCACCTGGGACTCATCTGGAGGTGGGGTGGGGTGGCACACACCTCACAGGGGCATCATAAGAACCATGCCGGCGCCTCCTAAGGGCTCCATGAGTTTTGTTACGGCAAAAATATCCTACAGCCAGGCCAGGCAGGTGGCTCACATCTGTAATCCTGGCACTTTGGGAGGCCGAGGTGGGCAGATCACAAGGTCAGGAGATCGAGACCATCGTGGCTAACACAGTGAAACCCCATCTCTACTAAAAATACAAAAAATTAGCCAGGCGTGGTGGCGGGCGCCTGTAGTCCCAGCTACTTGGGAGGCTAAGGCAGGAGAATCGCTTGAACCCAGGAGGTGGAGCTTGCAGTGAGCCAAGGTCGCACCATTGCCCTCCAGCCTGGGCGACAGAGCGAGACTCCGTCTCAAAAAAGAAAAAAAAAATCCTACAGCCTTGGCTCTTGTGGCCTCCAGGGGCCATTCCTGGACCTCCAGAACCTTCCACACTTCCTTTCCCTGCCTGGTCACTGTCCCTGAAGTGATATCAAGCTGTGGGAATTGGGACCACATCTCCCTAATCCATATTTTATGACCCAGTACCCAGCACAGAGAGCAGGGACCCTGGGCCGCTCTCTGGGGTGGGCTGCCCAACATCCAGGCTGCTCATCTGCGTCCGCCCCGCTCACCACGACCTCTGCATCCAGGCTGCCCCTCTGCGTCTGCCCCGCTCACCATGACCTTGCGCAGCTTGTAGTTCCGGGCCCGGATGTCCTGCATCAGCATCTCGAAGGGCGTGAGCTGGAACTCGGTGGGGAGGGGGTTGAACTCCTGCTCTTGCACCTTCTTCAGCTTCACTCCGCGGCGGAGCTCCCGCATGAGCTGAACCCACAGTCGGGCCTGGGCCCCAGGGGAAGAGAATGGGTCTCAGCCCCAGGTGAAGCTCCACGGCCCCCCAGGCAGAGACCCTTGGCAGGCTGGGCCGCGTCAGTGGCCCGGTCAGGTGGGAGTGAGCCTTACCCAGTCTGTGTGACCCAGGCTGTCCAGCTCTGCCCGAGGCGTCTCCAGATGCGGCTCGTCCTCCCGAAGCTTCTGCAGCATCTGTGACCACACGTGCTCGTCAGTCCAGGGGAGGTACGAGAATGGCAGATGCAAGACGGGCCCCGTCCGTCAGGGACACGACCACGTCACGGGGGCTCCACTCGACCAGCCGGAAAAGAGACAGCTGGGCATTTTGGCCCAGGCCATAGGACTCGAAAAGGTATCTGGGGAAACCGAGCCATCGCCACAGGCGGCGGACACAGGTGTGGAGACTCCACTCAGTCCACACAGCATTTCCTCAGGTGGGCCATGCACCCTGCCACCCCCGAGTCCCCGCAGCTGCTCTAGGTCCCAGCCAGGCCTTTACGCTGAGCTGCTTCTCTGAGTAGCGTCTGGGGCTCAGCGCAGTGTGGCACAGGCCAGTCTTTGTGCATGGCTTGGGTGAATGGATACGTGGTGGACAGGTGGATGGGAGGGTGGATGAGCTGCTGCCTGGCAAGTCCAGGGAAACAGACATGGGTATGTACTTTGTGAACTGGGGAAGGTGCCAACACTGTGGTGAGGGCCTGTTTGGGAAGCGCTCTGTGCTGAGAACTTGGGAAGAAGGCGCGGCACCTGCTGCCTCCGTCACGCACGATCTCGGTGGCACGCAGCCTCTGCTGTCACGAAGTCCCAACTCTAGAGAAGCACCTACCCTTTGGCACAGCCCCCACAACCAAGGCAGAACCGGTCACCCTGGCTTCGGCCCCAGGTACCCGCCACACTGCTTTGGGACACTCCCTGGGCAGCGTGAGGTGTGTGTCTGCCCACAGGCCTCATGTATGCCAGCCCAGGGCAAAGGGCACAGAGGGTGGCACTCCTGTCCTTCCGGGAACACCTGTACCTGTTCCTGAGCAGGCCGCTCCTGGCCAAAATGCCAACAGACACAGCTACACCCCATGGAGAGACCCTTCTCTCACTTGGTCCTACTACCAATTCCCCAAACTTCGCCTCAGTCAACTGCCTGCATACAGAGCCGTTTCCTCCTAAAGAAAGTGCTTTCTGGCCGGGAACAGTGGCTCATAGCTGTAACCCCAGCACTCTGGGAGGCCGAAGTGGGAGGATCACTTGAGCCCAAGAGTTTGAGACCAGCCTGGGCAACAGAGTAAGACTGTGTCTCTAAGAATGAAAGAGCTTTCACTGGGTAAGAAACTGATCTGAGCAGCAGAAAACAGCCTGATCAGAGACACAACAGCAGGAGGACCGTCTGCTAATTGTGGGGAACGTTAGAAGCATGTCCCAGGAGGCCAAGGGGGAGCTGAGAGAGAGGACGGAAGATGGGCCATGGGATCTTGAGGGTGAGAGGGAGGATGGAAGACGGGCCATGGGATCCGGGGGGTGAGAGGGAGGATGGAAGACGGGCCATGGGATGCGGGGGGTGAGAGGGAGGACGGAAGACGGGCCATGGGATCCGGGGGGTGAGAGGGAGGACGGAAGAGGGGCCATGGGATGCGGGGGGTGAGAGGGAGGACGGAAGACGGGCCATGGGATCCGGGGGGTGAGAGGGAGGACGGAAGACGGGCCATGGGATCCGGGGGGTGAGAGGGAGGACGGAAGACGGGCCATGGGATCCGGGGGGTGAGAGGGAGGACGGAAGACGGATCATGGGATCCGGGGGGTGAGAGAGAAGACGGATGACGGGCCATGGGATCCGGGGGGTGAGAGGGAGGACGGAAGACGGGCCAGGGGATCTGGGGGGTGGAGGGAGGATGGAAGATGGGCCAGGGGATCCAGGGGGTGGGGAGAGGACGGAAGATGGGCCAGGGGATCCGGGGGGTGGAGGGAGGATGGAAGATGGGCCATGGGATCTGGGGGGTGGGGGGAGGATGGAAGATGGGCCATGGGATCTGGTGGGTGGGGAGAGGATGGAAGATGGGCCATGGGATCTGGGGGGTGGGGGGAGGATGGAAGATGGGCCATGGGATCTGGGGGGTGGGGGGAGGATGGAAGATGGGCCATGGAATATGGGGGGTGGGGGGAGGATGGAAGATGGGCCATGGGATCTGGTGGGTGGGGAGAGGATGGAAGATGGGCCATGGGATCTGGTGGGTGGGGGGAGGATGGAAGATGGGCCATGGGATCTGGGGGGTGGGGGGAGGATGGAAGATGGGCCATGGGATCTGGTGGGTGGGGAGAGGATGGAAGATGGGCCATGGGATCTGGGGGGTGGGGGGAGGATGGAAGATGGGCCATGGGATCTGGTGGGTGGGGGGAGGATGGAAGATGGGCCAGGGGATCTGGCGGGTTGGGGGAGGATGGAAGATGGGCCAGGGGATCTGGGGGGTGGGGGGAGAGCCGTCCAACCTTGGCACACGCTTGGGCTGCAGATGAGGCCGAGCAGCTCAGGCTGCCACCCGGCGTCAAAACCACCTGCAAAGGCTCAGAGGGTTCGGGAAGCTGGCCAGGAACCTTCCTCGGTTAGAGGACAGGAGAGACACAGCACCATAAAGGGTCAGGGAGGAATGACAGACCAGCACTAGTTAACTTCGAAAACACCTTCTGCCACCGAGGCAAGAGGGAATCCCCTGCCTCTCCAAGGCCTGGCGTTCTCCTCCATGAGATGCTGACGGGATAAAAGGCAGAGCCCATGTGTGCAGAGACCCCACGACACAGAAACACATCAGCTCCCTTGGGGCAGCAGCCGTGCCCAGGGAGAGGCTGAGAGAGTCAGAGAGGGATGGTTGCTCCTAACTCTGAGTCCACGGAGAGATAGGAGGCCCAGGGGAGAGCTCCGGCTTGGGAGCCACGTCGGAGCCTAGCACTGCCCGACTCTTGCTTTGTGGCTTCGGGCAAGGGTCCCAGCCTTAGAGCCTGCACTTGCTCATCTGTCAAGTGACCCCTCCACCTGTAAGGGGCAGGAGAATGAGGCTGGGTTGTCACAGGCCCAGCAAGTGGGCTTTCTCACCGAACGGCCCGTCCCCACCCAAAGCTCCAAGCAAGTCGCTGAGCCTCCCTGTGGTTCCTGCGTATAGAGGGGGCCACCTTTGGCATCATATTTCAGAAGGAACCAGGGCCTGGAGAGGCTGGTGGGGAGGCAGGAGGAAGGGCGCTCTCTTGCAGATGTAAAAGTGGAGGAAGAGAGAATAATGCGCGCTGGGAGAGGATAACAACTCAGGCAACGGGAGAGAGCAGTTGGGGAAGAGGCTGAGCCCACCACTTAACTTCTCTGGTAAGAAGAAAGTGTGAGGCCAGGCGTGGTGGCTCATGCCTGTAATCCCAGCACTTTGGGAGGCCGACGCAGATGGATCACCTGAGGTCAGGAGTTCGAGACCAGCTTGGCCAACATGGTGAAACCCCGTCTCTACTACCAGGCATGGTGGTGGGCACCTGTAATCCCAGCTACCTGGGAGCCTGTGGCAGGAGAATTGCTTGAACCTGGGAGGCGGAGGTTGCAGTGAGCCGAGATCGAGCCACTACCCCTCCAGCCTGGGTGACAGAGTGAGACCCTGTCTAAAAAAACAACAACAACAACAAAAAAACAACAAGAAAGCGTGAGGATTAAGTGGGAATACATAATGCCAGCGGCAGTCGCACCGACGACCTGACTTTCTGTCCACGAAGAGACGTCCTTGCCAGTCCCCTCCCACCCACTGCTCCCCTCCCTGGCCTCCCGGACCCTCCACGGTCGCCCCCACCCACCGCTCACCTCCTTGGCCTCCCGGACCCTGGCCAGGAAGGCCCGCAGCTCCAGCGTCTCCACGAAGAGCGCGCGGCACACGGCCTGGTAATGCGCCTGTGCGCCCCGGGGGTCGGTCAGCCGCGCCGCGCACAGCCGCATGGCCTGGGCAAAGGTGCGCACGCTGCGGGGGACGCCCTCGGCCTCCTCCTCCTCCTCGGGACCCCCGTAGCCCTCATCGGCGGCACCGCAGCCGCTGTCCTCGCTGTCGTTGTTGGCCATGAGGTCGATGAGCCGCTCCAGCTGAGGGCTGAGTTCGCGCTCCTCGCTCTCGTCCAGCCCCCAGTCCAGCGCGCGGTAGATGGCGAAGCCGAGGGACTGCACGGTCTGCGGGACAGGGGCGCGGTCACTGGGCGGTACTGCAGGGGGGTGGGGCGGGGAGAACGCGGCTGGTGGGTGCAGAGGGCCCAGCACCCGGCCAGGGAGACAGCAGCTGTCGGTCCACAAGAGACCAAGGCACAAGCAAGACATGGACCGGATGAAAAGGATGTTCCCGGCCGGGCGCGGTGGCCCACACCTGTAATCCCAGCACTTTGGGAGGCCGAGGCGGGCGGATCACGAGGTCAGGAGTTCAAGACCAGCCTGACCAACATGATGAAACCCCGTCTCTACTAAAAATACAAAAATTAGCTGGGCGTGGTGGTGCACGCCTGAAATCCCATTTACTTGGGAGGCTGAGGCAGGAGAATCGCTTGAACCTGGGAGGTGGAGGTTGCAGTGAACCGAGATCGGGCCTCTGCACTCCAGCCTGGGTGACAAAGCAAGACTCTGTCTCAAAAAAAAAAAGAAGTTTTTTTAAAAGCACATTAAAAATTAGTGAAGCTTCACAGTAGCGACCTCTTAACTCAGCATTTCTCGATTTTACTTGACAGGGACCCTGACTTTCATAATCTACCACGAAGGGCACCAGTGGTTCTGTGGAGTGATATGGGGGTGCCGACCTGCCCACCCTAGTCACCATCGTCTGCACCGACTTCCAGGCCCACAGGCCCAGGTGGTCCCCAGGTGGCCAGGTCTGCTGGGACAGGCAGGCAGAGGCAGCACAGTCGGACACAGGAGGTCGATGGACAATTACACGGACACTCTCAGCTGCACAGTGCTGTGTTCCATGTCTTAAAGGGTTCTCATAGTTTCGCTTTACAACAAGGAAAGAAAGACCCACACACACAAATATAACGACAGCACTCCTTATGTCAGATGCTGTGCCGGGCCCTGCACATCACGTACCAACCTCACCTCGAGCCACACTGACGTGGGGACAGGGACGGAGGCATGGAGAGGTCGGTCCCCTTGAACACAGTCTCGACTGCCCAAGCTGGATCAGGACGGGCGGCTGCTCATGGCCCCTCTCTCAGCTCTGTGCCACACTGCCAGGGTGGGGGGCCATGGTGTGGCAGATGGAGCCACGCCTCCCCCAGGCACTGTCCACTTCCTGGGGCCGCTTTGCCTCAGTGGCCCTGCAGGGGGGCCCTTTGGCCTCTCATTTCCTGTGTTCCTTCCCCACCACCCACTGCTGGGAGCCCAGGAAACCTGATCCTGAGCCGGGCAGAACAAGAACAGGTGAAAGTCAGGCCAGGACAAGGCCCAAGAACACAGCCTCGTCTGTCCTGCAGAAACGCCACAGAAGGCCCTGGAACCTGCCTCGTCTGTCCTGCAGAAACACCACAGAAGGCCCTGGAACCTGCCTCGTCTGTCCTGCAGAAACACTGCAGAAGGCCCTGGAACCTGCCTCATCTGTCCTGCAGAAACGCCGCAGAAGGCCCTGGAACCTGCCTCGTCTGACCTGCAAAAAAGCCGCAGAAGGCCCTGGAACCTGCCTCGTCTGTCCTGCAGAAACACCACAGAAGGTCCTGGAACCTGCCTCGTCTGTCCTGCAGAAACACCACAGAAGGCCCTGGAACCTGCCTCGTCTGTCCTGTAGAAACACTGCAGAAGGCCCTGGAACCTGCCTCATCTGTCCTGCAGAAACGCCGCAGAAGGCCCTGGAACCTGCCTCATCTGTCCTGCAGAAACGCCGCAGAAGGCCCTGGAACCTGCCTCGTCTGTCCTGCAGAAATACTGTAGAAGGCCCTGGAACCTGCCTCGTCTGTCCTGCAGAAACACCACAGAAGGCCCTGGAACCTGCCTCGTCTGTCCTGCAGAAACGCCGCAGAAGGCCCTGGAACCTGCCTCGTCTGTCCTGCAGAAACGCCACAGAAGGCCCTGGAACCTGCAAGGGCACTGGTGGGAAGTATATCAGTGGGAGTGGAGCCCCAGCCCACCTTGGGGGCTCACTGTTATCTCATCTCTGCTGTAGGCGGGCAAGACACATCCTAGAATCAAGGTCAGAGGGCGCTGCAGCAGCCAAGGCCTAACAGCCACACCCGACCAGTGACAGCAGGGCCCTGGCCAGGGCTCGGGGGGTCACCTGGGGCAAGGGACCTCCAGAGAGGAATCTGAGGGCCCCTCCTGGGCACAGTGACAGAGGGCGGGGTGTGAGGAAGCCGACTGGAAGAGCCGCTGTTCACACAAATTCCCAGAGGGAAGGGCAGGGAAGGACAGCGTAGCGGGAAATGTGTTTCCCACCTGCTCCGGGTGGGGCTGGCCTCAGCTCGTGCTGTCCCTGGTCGCGTGGCTCCGATTGTGCCTCGTGGCACAGGACAGACAGAGGGAGGAAGCAGCAAAGCCCCCAACCCCCACACGGTCCACAGCAGCACCCAGCCCCTCTAGGCCACTCCCTGCTTTTCCTGATCACATTACTGAAAGGGTTAACTCCAACCCGAGCCTCTTATCTGAAGGCTGCGTCCATAAAAGCTCTTCTGTGCCCAGGTCACTGGCAACTTTCTCTGAAAAGCAAAAAACTTGCTTTCCCATAAGGAAAATTCTGGGCAGGCAGCCAGTCTCAGGGCCTCCCACCTCCACCCGCCCACAGCAGGTGCAGGCCTGGGGCAGCAGGTGGGCAGTACTGCCAGCCCAGGACACCTGCCCAGTAACTGAGGGGCTGTGCAGTCATTTCATGGAATCCAGGAGCGAGACGTTAAGGAACTCCTTTGCCGTCTTTCCTGGGGACAGGGCGATCAGGTTAACGTATGCGCCTCTGAGACAAACAGTCCAGGCTGCGTCCCTGCATACCAAGCTCTCTGTAAAACGTTTAAGATGTACCACGGCAGGCCCCCTTTGGAAGGTCTTCCAGGCGGTAGGCAGCAGCTGCTCTGTTTGGAGACTCGGGACAGCAGGGCCAGCCGGCCTCCCAGCCCTGGAGTCCTGGACTTCAGAAAGGTAAACTGTCCCGTGTACAACGCAACAGTGAGACACACGACAACCGGACACAGCCACACAGACAGGCCCCCACTCACGTCCCAGGACACTACGTATAGCACAATGGCATCTCCACACACAGAGCTGCCAGGCAACCTGAGCGCATGCAGTCTAAACATCCCCGCCCCGAGGTTCTCCACGGTGGCAGGTGCCTTATCACTGAATTGTTAAGTGCTGTTTGTGGTGACATAGACTTCGGTTTTATTATTGTTTTTAAATTATCAACAACAGAACACACAGCCTCTTTTGGTCTGTGTCACACCCACCCTGGGTATACCACCATGTTTAATAATATATCAATAGGTCTTGCGGTAAATCTATGTTGTTTTCTTCTTGTTTTTTTTTTTTTAAACAATTAATCTCACTTGGGCATGAAAAACTTTTACAAAAGACAGAAGACACTCGGGAGACTGAGGCAGGAGAATTGCTTGAACCCGGGAGGCGGCGGTTGCAGTGAGCCAAGATCACGCCACTGGACTCCCCCTGGGCAACAAGAGGGTAGATCTAAAAAAAAAAAAAAAAAGGCTGGGCGTGATGGCTCACACCTGTAATCCCAGCAGTTTGGGAGGCTGAGGTGGGTGAATCATGAGGTCAGGAGTTTGAGACCATCCTGGCCAACATGGTGAAACCCCACTTCTACTAAAAATACAAAAATTAGCCGGGCATGGTGGCGGGCGCCTGTAGTCCCAGCTACTTGAGAGGCTGGCCAGGAGAATGGCGTGAACCCGGGAGGCGGAGGTTGCAGTGAGCCAAGATCACGCCACTGCACTCCAGCCTGGTGACAGAGAGAGACTCTGTCTCAAAAACAAAAAAAAACACAAAAATTAGCCAGGCGTGGTGGCATGCGCCTGTAATCTCAGCTACTCGGGAGGCTGAGGCAGGAGAATTGCTTGAACCCAGGAGACGGAGGTTGCGCTGCAACTAGCCGAGGTTGCAGTGAGCTGAGATCGCACCACTGCAGTCCAACCTGGGTGACAGAGGGAGATTCTATCTCAAAAAAAAAAAGAGGCCAGGCACAGTGGCTCAGAACTGTAATCCCAGCACTTTGGGAGGCCAAGTGGGAGGATGGCTTGAGCCCAGGAGTTTGAGACTAGTCCGGGCAACATAGTGAGACATCTCTATTAAAAAATAAAATAAGGCCGGGCGCGGTGGCTCACTCCTGTAATCCCAGCACTTTGGGAGGCCGAGGCAGGTGAATCACAAGGTCAGGACATCAAGACCATCCTGGCTAACACGGTGAAACCCCGTCTCTACTAAAAATAGAAAAAAATTAGCCGGGCGTGGTGGCGGGCACCAGTAGTCCCAGCTACTTGGGAGGCTGAGGCAGGAGAAAGGTGTGAACCCGGGAGGCGGAGCTTGCAGTAAGCCGAGATCACACCACTGCACTCCAGCCTGGGCGACAGAGCGCGACTCCATCTCAAAACAATAAAATAAAATAAAATGAACAAAAGCAAAAAAAACAAAGAAAGAAAACTAAAAAGGCAGTAGAAAGTGGAAACATGACGTTCCAGACATGACTTCAGGGCAGGTGAATGGGAGAGGAAGGCCCTGCCCTGCGGTGAGGTTCCAGTTTTGGTCGGGTGGGGTTTCGGGGCACTGGTCACCAGGCTGATTTTTCCTGTTTGCACCTGAAGTCGTCTCCCTGACCCCGGCTCTGTGTCTGGGAGGCCGGCCCTGCAGACGTCAGCTGTGCCCCTCATCTGTGCAGCTGTGGAAGGAAGTAACACCACTGCCTCCTCCAGGCCGGAAGCACCACGGGGACCCTCCCCACCCCGGCGGTCTCCTCCACGTCTGCTCTCTGTGAACAGCGTTTCATCCAGTCCCTGCAACTAAGCCTGTTGGGTACTTCATCTGCACCCTGCCTCCCTGAAACAACTGTGTAACTATATATGTTTTATGATTTACATTTTAAGATGCAGGTACGTTTTAACACACATCAAGTAATACTTGGAATTTTTTAAAAAGTACCTGGGCTTCCGAGCTGGCTAGTGGCACGACCATGGTTGCAGGTTCTGTAAGAGAAGAGGGAGTTAAGTTATTTGTCAGCATCCCCGGGACCCCAATAAACACTGCTGTCCCCCCACCTCCCCCTCGGGGACACACACCACAGCCCCACTCTCCGCCGGAACACCAGAAAGCTCACAGCAGGCCCAGCCACTTGGTCATTTGGACGAACACCCATGAGGCCCGGCTCGAGCTGGCTCTAAGCAGGACACCCAGGTACAGGGGCCGGGAGAGCAAGGCAACCCCTACTTGCAGAAGGATGATGGTCAGCTTGTGGACAGACCCCCAGTGCCCCACGCAGCAGCCCCTCCATGGTGACCACTCAAAGGCGAGTCAGGGCTGGAGAGCAGCCAACAGGTCCCACAGTCTGTCCCGGGCACTGCAGGAGGCTGCCCCTAGGGAAACATGGCTGGGAGTAAGAGTGAAGGAGGGGCAGGTGGAGTAGGAGGCCAGATGTGGTGGCTCACACCTATAATCCCAGCACTTTGAGATGCCGAGGTGGGAGAGCTGCTAGCAGCCAGGAGTTCAAAACCAGCCTGGACAACATAGTAAGCCCCTGTGGCTACAAAAAATTTTAAAATTACTTTGGGAGGGCCAGGCGCGGTGGCTCACGCCTGTAATCCCGGCACTTTGGGAGGCTGAGGCAGGCGGATCACAACGTCAGGAGATCGGGGCCATCCTGGCTAACACGGTGAAACCCCGTCTGTACTAAAAATACAAAAAATTAGCCAGGCGTGGTGGCGGGCACCTGTAGTCCCAGCTACTCGGGAGGGTGATGCAGGAGAATGGCGTGAACCCAGGAGGCAGAGCTTGCAGTGAGCCGAGATTGCACCACTGCACTCCAGCCTGGGCAACAGAGTGAGACTCTGTCTCAAAAAAAAAAAAAATTACTTTGGGAGGCTGAGGTGGGTGGACCACTTGAGGCTAGCAGTTCAAGACCAGCCTGACCAACATGATGAAACCCTATCTCTACTAAAAGTACAAAATACAAAAATGAGCCAGGCATAGTGGAGAGCACCTGTAATCCCAGCTACTCAGGAGACTGAGGCGTGAGAATCGCTTGAACCCAGGAGATGGAGGCTGCAGGTGGAGGCTGACCCAAGATCATGCCACTGCACTTCAGCTTGGGCAACAGAGCGTGACTGCATCTCAAAAAATATATAAAAATAAAAATAAAAAAATTAGCCAGGCGTGGTGGCAGGTGC
Organism: Homo sapiens; assembly: GCF_000001405.40. Taxonomy (NCBI): domain Eukaryota; kingdom Metazoa; phylum Chordata; class Mammalia; order Primates; family Hominidae; genus Homo; species Homo sapiens. The sequence continues at coordinate 89,844,124 of NC_000016.10, read as the reverse complement.
CTGTAGTCCTGCTACTCGGGAGGACCTCTTGAGCCCAGGAGGTTGAGGCTGCAGTGAGCCAAGATTGCACCAGTGCACACCAGCCTGGGCGACAGAGTGAGACCCTGTCTCAAAAAAAAAAAAAGGCCAGGCACGGCAGCTCATGCCTGTAATCTCAGCACTTTGAGGTGCCACGGCGGGTGGATCACTTAAGATTAGGAGTTTGAGACCAGCCTGGGCCACATATCGAAACCTCATCTCTCCAAAAAATACATAAAAATAGCTGGGCATGGTAGTGCATATATGTAGTCCTAGCTACTCGGGAGACTGAGGTGGGAGGATCACTTGAGCCTGAGGGGTGGAGGTTGCAGTGAACCGAGATCACGCCACTGCATTCCAGCCTGGGCAACAAAGCGAGACTCTGTCTCAAAAAAAAAAAAAAAAAAACAAAAAACAAAAACAAACAAAAAAAAAAAAACGTGGCAGCAAGGCAGCAGCTCCATCCATCGAGGCACATCTTCAGGAAAGAACCTGTGGTCTGAGATGAGACACACCACCTGCCTGGGACTGAGGTTGTGCACACTGAAATCACAGCAGTCAGATGAGAAACCCCGGGTCAGAGGGAGAGACAGACTTTGCAGAGCAGGTAAGTCGGCATCTGACTGAGACCACCGATTTGGAGATGTCCCCCCAAGACTGTTTATGCCTCTTAGAGAACCACAGTCCGAGTGGAAATGCAGGTGGAAGCTGGAGTCACGTATTTCATTGATGAAACCTGGCCCTGAGGGAGGCCCGGGAGCGAACCTGCCTTTTGCCGGTGCTCACGCTGGAGCTGGTTGCTCCACTTCCCGTTTCACAGATGAGGAAACAGAGACCGGAGGATGAATCTGTTTGCTCCAAGGTATCAGGGCTGATAAGTGCCAGGAGTGGGGCCAGGCCGTGGGGCCCAGGGTCTGTGCTCCCCAACCCTCCTCCCCCGGGGTTCCCAAGATGCTGCGCTGGGTGGGATGCAAAACATCCACCCGATTCTACAGCCTTCCTTGAACTGGGCATGCAGGTGGGACTGTGCTAGAACAAGAGCTCCAGCTGCCTGGAATTCTTTCTGGAATGAGGTAAGATGTATATATGCGTCTATATCTAAGCCATGAAATCATCTGCTCAGTGGACCTGCTAACTCCACAAATATTTTCAAAATGCCATCAAGAACCAGGAAGATTGCCAAAGATAAAGGGAGCCTGCTCCATTAACATAATGGAAAGCAATCCACCCCCGCATCAGTGGAGTTCATAGAACAATGTGTGGCCCACGGTGGGGGTGTGGGTCCCCAGGGCCTGGGCAGTCCTGGCCCGCGCTGGGCGTTCAGCACGTTTGCAGCTGTGATTGGGCCGAGGCCATGGGAAGGTGGAAGACATCAGACCCAAACAAAGGTGCTCCCTGGAACAGACCAGGGCCCTGTGGGGAAGGGCTGACTGGTGGCCGGCTGGCCCTTCAGTGCCTTCACAGACTAAGCCCACATCAGGCGAGGTCCTCAGTGCATGGGAAGCTTCTGGTTGGAATAATTTTAATGTTTGTGCCTCTGGCTCAAATACTCCATAGGTTAACAAAAAAAGTTGTATCAAAATTAAATGTTCACGGCCGGGCACGGTGGCTCACGCCTGTAATCCCAGCACTTCGGGAGGCCGAAGTGGGTGGATCACCTGAGGTCAGGAGTTCAAGACCAGTCTGGCCAACATGGCAAAACCCCGTTTCTACTAAAAATACAAAAATTAGCTGGGCATGGTGGCACATGCCTGTAATCCCAGCTACTTGGGAGGCTGAGAGAGGAGAATCGCTTGAACCCAGGAGGTGGAGGTTGCAGTGAGTCAAGATGGTGCCACTGCACTCCAGCCTGGGCAACAGAGTGAGACTCCGTCACAAAAAAAAAAAAAAAAAAAAAATTACGTGTTCATGAATCTAATTGTATTTAAGCTGCAAAGACTTGGGGTGTCTCTGGGTTCTGAGATGAGAGATTATCTGGGGGAGACTTGGGGGCCGACAGAGGCCTTTGCAGTCAGAGCCCGAGCCCAGGATGTTATAAAACTCAGATGTTATAAAACTAGATGTTAAAAAATTATTTACTGTGGGGTGCGGTGGCTCACGCCTGTAATCCCAGCACTTTGGGAGGCTGAGGTAGGCGGATCACCTGAGGTCAGGAGTTGGAGACCAGCCTGACCAACAGGGAGAAACCCCACCTCTCCTAAAAATACAAAATTAGCCGGGCATGGTGGCGCATGCCTGTAATCCCAGCTACTCGGGAGGAACACGCCTGTAATCCCAGCTACTTGGGAGGCTGAGGCAAGAGAACGGCTTGAACCTGGGAGGTGGAGGTTGCGGTGAGCCGAGATCGTGCCACTGCACTCCAGCCTGGGTAACAAAAGCAAAACTCCATCTCAAAAAAAAAAAAATTATTTACCGTGGCCTCTATCTGCGCAGCCATCCCATAAAGGTTGGTGCCATAATTTCCTCGTTACAGATGAGGAAATCGAGGCTCAGGCAGGTTGAGAAACTTACCCAAGACCATACCCCTAATAAATGGGGCAGCTGGGCCACCGAGCATGGCCAGACCACAGCAAGCAACCCAGCCGAACACCCAGGTATAAGTGCATACAGAGCTACCACAACCACGTCACCAACGTGGCCACAGAGCTACCACAACCACGTCACCAACGTGGCCACATGGGGTTATGCAAACCACCTTTTGCTTATCTAAAAAATTCTCTCCAGGGTAGAGCAGACGGAGGCAGTAAGGACCCCAGATTCTCATCAAGTCTATTAGTGCCATGCTAAGGTGGGAGGCAGAACCAGGACCCCTCGTTTCCATCCACCACTAAGAGTTAAGAGCCTATTTCTCCCTGCAGGGAAGCACAGCCTCAATGAGAGAAGAAAAGCCACCTGAGTTTCTTTTTCCTTTTTTTTTTTTTTTGAAACAAGGTGTTGCTCTGTCACCCAGGCTGGAGTGCAGTGGTGTAATCATGGCTCACTGCAGCCATGACTTCCTGGGCTCAAGCGATCCTCCCGCCTCAGCCTCCCAAAGTGCTGGGAGTACAGGTGTGAGCTACTGCACCTGACTCAGATTTCTTTTGTGTAAAATAACAAATGACTAGAACAAAGATGCTAGGGAGTCTTCTTTGAAACAATCCTGTGTGTGCTTGTAAAAGATGACAGGTTTCAGCTGGGCGCGGTGGCTCACGCCTGTAATCCCAGCACTTTGGGAGGCCGAGGCAGGCGGATCATGAGGTCAGGAGATCGAGACCATCCTGGCTAACACGGTGAAACCCCGTCTCTACTAAAAAATACAAAAAAATAAGCTGGGCGTGGTGGCGGGCACCTGTAGTCCCAGCTACTCGGGAGGCTGAGGCAGGAGAATGGCGTGAACCTGGGAGGCGGAGTTTGCAGTGAGCCGAGATTGCGCCATTGCACTCCAGCCTGGGCGACAGAGTGACTCCATCTCAAAAAAAAAAAAAAAAAAATTTGAAAACTTTTTATTTTTATGCAAACCATCTCCAACTTTTGAGAGAAACATTACGGTAACATTAAAATATAACTTTGAAAGGATTTGGGCCAGACATGGTGGCTCATGCCTGTAATCCAGCACTTTGGGAGGCCGAGGCGGGCGGATCCCAAGGTCAGGAGATCGAAACCATCCTGGCTAACACGGTGAAACCCCGTCTCTACTAAAAATCTAAAAAATTAGCCAGGCCTGGTGGCGGGCGCCTGTAGTCCCAGTTATTCGGGAGGCTGAGACAGGAGAATGATGTGAACCCGGGAGGTGGAGCTTGCAGTGAGCCGAGATCGCGCCACTGCACTCCAGCCTGGACGACAGAGCGAGACTCCGTCTCAAAAAAAAAAAAAAAAAAAAAAGATGACAGGTTTCATTTGGAAGAGGGATGTCTGTGGGACATTTGCTGCCTGCAGCTCCTCCAGCAGCTTCAAGAGGAAGGTCGTCCCACACTGCAGGGAGGTGGGTGGTGGACAGAGGTTACCAGGCAGCCTCAGCCTCCATCTGCTTGGGAGCGTCAGCCTAGCCCGACAAGGGGTTTGGTGGGAGGTCAGATCCTGACCAACCTGTGGCTACTGGCGCTGGGTGTCTTGCCCCTGTGACCTCACTTCCTCACCTGCAGGACAGAGATGACTCCTGCTCAATCTCACGCATGGCGTTACCTCGAATAACAAGTCAGGTGGCAGACACACACAGGCATGATCATCAGTGACAATGGCAGTGAGGCCACCAGGGCCCCCTGGCCAGGCTTGGCCCAAGGCTGCCCTGCCTTTGACTCTCTTAGCCTTGGGGTCAGGACAGGGATGGCTCTGGGGGAGCCCATGCTCTCTGCATGGGAAGGGGTACGACTCCCCTTTTCACCCCACCCCCAGAGGAAGACCTCACACATCTTGATGAGGCCATAGCATTTGGCTACATTGGGCCCAACCCCCGCACGTGGCCGCTGCTTAAACGCTGACTGTGAGTGAAGCCATCTCTGATCTCTCCCGCCTCCAGGGGTTTCCTGCTTCCCAGGTCTCAGGCTGAGTGCTCTCAGAAGCACCAGGGCCAGGGCAGACAGGGGGACGCAGCACACCCATTCCTGGCAGACCCACGAACTAGCAACAGCCCAAAGCAGGCACCCTGCAGCAACTTTCAAATCAGCGCCGCCCCCCACCCACTGCCAACACTCCTGGAAGGCACAGGCACCCGGCCACACACCCATGACATCCCTAACAGTTTTTTTTTTTTTTTTGAGATGGAGTCTCGCTCTGTCGCCCAGGCTGGAGTGCAGTGGCGCGATCTCGGCTCACTGCAATCTCTGCCTCCTGGGTTCATGCCATTCTCCTGCCTCAGCCTCCTAAGTAGATGGGACTACAGGCGCCCGCCACCACGCCCAGCTAATTTTTTGTATTTTTAGTAATTTTTTTGTATTTAGTAATTTTTGTATTTTTAGAGATGGGGTTTCACCATGTTAGCCAGGATGGTCTCGATCTCCTGACCTCGTGATCCACCCGCCTTGGCCTCCCAAAGTGCTGGGATTACAGGCGTGAGCCACAGCGCCCAGCCCCCTCCTAACAGTTTAACACTCGAAACACAGATGTGTCCACTTGAGACACGTCTGTAATCCCAGCACTTTGGGAGGCCGAGGCAGATAGATCACCTGAGGTAAAAGGTTCAAGACCAGCCTGGCCAACATGGTGAAACCCCGTCTCTACTAGATTGCACACAGGGACACTGGGCAGCCATGAAAGAGAACAAGAGCCCTTTGTGCGGAGAAAACCCAAGACCCACACTGAGGAAAAGAGAGGGGAGCCCCTGAGTGCAGGAGGAGACAGAGCCACCTGCCTGCTGCACAGATGAAAAACACTCCTAGCACGGGCTGTTGGACACCCTTCATTGCACTCTGCACTTTGATTTGGAGCATGTGGATGTGCGAGTGTCAAGAAATCAAGGTGTGAGAGTGAGTAAGCCCGCAGCACCCAAGTCAGTCTTAGAATTCAGGGTGGGGGCCTGGTGGTCTGGGGCAAACACAGATCTGCCATCAGACAGCCTGTGTGGCTTCCGTGGCTCACCGTGCTTCCCTGAGCTTCCCTGGTTCCCGCTGATGAAACAGAGAAATCACCTACCATAAGAGTTATTGTAGGCTGGGGACGGTGGCTCACGCCTGTAATCCCAGCACTTTGGGAGGCCGAGGCAGGCCGATCACCTGAGGTAAGGGGTTCAAGACCAGCCTGGCCAACATGGTGAAACCCCATCTCTACTAAAAAATACAAAAATTAGCTGGGCATGGTGGTGGGTTCCTGTAGTCCCAGCTACTCAGGAGGCTGAGGCAGGAGAATGGCAAGAACCTAGGAGGTGGAGTTTGCAGTGAGCTGAGATTGCACCACTACACTCCAGCCTGGGCAATGTGGTAAGATCCCGTCTCTCTTAAAAATACAAAAAAAAAAAAAAAAAAAAAAAATGCTGAGCGTGGTGGTGTGTGCCTGTGGTCCCAGTTACTCTGGAGGCTGAGGTGGGAGAATCGTTTGATCCCCGGAGGCGGAGACTGCAGTGAGCTGAGGCACTCCAGCCTGGGTGACAGAGCAAGACTTGTCTCAGAAAAAAAAATAAAAACAAAAAAAGAAGCTGCTGAGAGCAGGCAAATGGAAGCCCAGAGGGAGAAACGCCCGCACGAAACCAGGAGTCTGTGTTTGTTTAGCAAACAGAGCCTGCTCTTTGGGTCAGAGGGAACCATGTGGTTGAGCCGTGAGCTTCCTCTTGCATCTCACTTCCGCCAGTGCTCGTCTCAGAGGGCGGTGGCTGATCCCTGGCTGAGACCAACCCACTCGTTCCATAAACTCACACGCCCCCCGCACGGGGCGTCCTCCTCCTCAACAAGAACCCAGGATGCCAGGCATCAATGCCTGCGGAGACCCGAGTCCGGGAGGTGCGTGCGGAGACCCGAGTCCGGGAGGCGTGTGTTGGCCACAGAACTGCCCTCAGCAGTGCCCCTGATCCCCCGCTTCTCCGCTCCTGCAGGGATCCCGACCCAGCCCCTGCCTGGCGTGTGTCAAGTCTTGAGGTGAGCCCTAAGGGGACCCCACCGCTGGTCACAGCAGAAAGGCAGCAGCTGAGAGGTGACAGCGTCAGATCCTACCTGAGAAGGTGCCCTCTCTCCTGGCTAAGAAGCACCCCTGTCACATGCGCCTCACGATGCGGCTATGCTATTAATCCCGGTCCAAGAGGTCCAGAGAGGGTGAGGAACTGACCCAAGGCCACCCAGCTGAGTCTGACCCTGGGCCTAGCCTTGGCTCCAGGGCTGACACGGAGACCTCAACTCTTCCCCCTCACCACCATCCGAGTCCCCTGAGGGTGGGGTGCCTCACTCCTGCAGCAGCAGACCAGGGAACTTGTTACAGATGCAGATTCTCAGGCTGACCTGGGAGGGTCAGAGTCAGATGTTCCGGGCAGGACTCGGATCTGGATTTAACAGGCCTGACAACGGAGCCTCGAGTCCTGCTCGAGGGAGAAGACCTGCAATTCCAGAACCCACGCGACGGGCCAGGCACGGGCAGCTTTGGAAACACAGATTCCTGGGGCCTGCAAAGACCTACAGAACAGGAATCTGGGGTGCAGGATTTTTTCTTTTTTTAGCTGGAGTTTCACTCTTGTTACCTAGGCTGGAGTGCAATGGCGCAATCCTGGCTCACCACAACCTCCGCCTCCCAGGTTCAAGCGATTCTCCTGCCTCATCCTCCTCAGTAGCTGGGATTACAGGCATGTACCACGACGCCCAGCTAACTTTCTTTTTTTCTTTTTTTTTTTTTTCAGTAGAGACGGGGTTTCTCCATGTTGGTCAGGCTGGTCTCGAACTCCCGACCTCAGGTGATCCGCCTGCCTTGGCCTCCCAAAGTGCTGGGATGACAGGCGTGAGCCACCGCCCCCGGCCGGGGGATATTTTTCACAGCTCTCCAGGGCGGTGAGACCTTCACAGCAGAGGTCAAGGTCGTTCTGGGTGAATGTACATTCCGGATTCTTGCATTTCACTGTATGTAAATTTCACCTCAAAAGAAACAACTATAAACAAACGTTGGTGTCTGCTTAATACCACACAGGCTGAAGTATTTAGGGGAACCGTCCTACCATCCACAACTTCCCTGAAATGCATTAAAATGAGATGGAAGGGAGGATGGAGAGAGACGCAAGGAAATACCTGGAGACAGTGGAGGAGGATCTGGAGGTGGGTTGTGGGCACTCCCTCAGATTCTCGGCCCCCGGTCCGCTGCAGTCGGCAGAATCACGGCCCCTAAAGCTGTCTGTGTTCTAACCCCAGAACCTGTGAGCATGTACCGAGAGGAGCTTACAGTGGCAGTTGAGGGTCCAGGTGCTGACCCCTGACAGGTGGATCATCCTGGGTTTCTGACCTCTTCAACTGTAAGAGAATAACCTATGTTTGTTTTGTTTTTGTTTTTGAAATGGAGTCTCACTGTGTCGCCCAGGCTGGAGGGCAGTGGCGCAATCTCGACTCACTACAACCTCCGCCTCCCAGATTCAAGCGATTCTCCTGCCTTAACCTCCTAAACAACTGGGACTACAGACGCCCGCCACCAAGCTCAGCAAATTTTTGTATTTTTAGTAGAGACGGGGTTTCACCATGTTGGCCAGGCTGTTCTCAAACTCCTGACCTCATGTGATCCGCCAGCCTCAGCCTCCCAAAGTGCTGGGATTACAGGTGTGAGCCACCACACCTGGCCCATACACTCCTTTTAAACTACTCCCACGCACTCCTCCCGCTCCTCAGTCCCAGAGAGACACACGCGCTGGAATGAAGGGGTCTTTGGAATGAGGAGGACAGAGAAGCCAGGCGAGGCTGGGCCCTTCCTCCAGGTGTCCTCGACTTCCCCGGCACGGGCTGATTTGCCTAATTACCAGGTGTGTTTCCAGCCCGCCTTCCTCCTAAATGGGGCCTCAACCTTATCTGGAGTCCCAATGCCCTCTGAGGAGTCAGAGTGAATGATCAGAGCCGAAACCTTCTGTCTTCCTGCACTGAGACCCACTGATATGTTTGCTTAAATGGGCTGCAAACCAGGACCAGACCAACCAGTCCCTACAGGCTGTGGGAGCCGGCTCTCACCAGCACTCCAATACCCCTGTTGCTGAATTAGGAAGACATAGCAGATTCTTTCCTATCTGGGGCAGAGAAACTACTCTCTGTGAACATCAGGCTGGTGGTGAGTCGGTGTAGGAGGGCCTGGAAGGTGGCAGTGAGGACGGGGCCACATTCCCACCATTAACCGAATCTCAACAGTAGCACAGGGACCCCAAGCCTTTGCCCAAAAGCACAAGGCAGAACTTGCAAGAGCTGCCCAAGCCAGGGCTCAGCGAAAAATCACACGGGCTATGCTTATCCACGCTTCTAAGACGGCCAACCGCGAGCGCAGGCAGGTTCACAGATTCACACGGGCTATGCTTATCCACGCTTCTACGACGGCCAACCGTGAGTGCGGGCAGGTTCACAGATTCACACGGGCTATGCTTATCTAGGCTTCTACGACGGCCAACTGCGAGTGCGGGCAGGTTCACAGATTCACACGGGCTATGCTTATCCACGCTTCTACGACGGCCAACCGCGAGTGCGGGCAGGTTCACAGATTCACCCGGGCTATGCTTATGGGGCCTTCTACGACGGCCAGCCGCGAGTGCGGGCAGGTTCACAGATTCACACGGGCTATGCTTGTGGGGCCTTCTACGACGGCCAGCTGCGAGTGCGGGCAGGTTCACAGATTCACACGGGCTATGCTTATGGGGCCTTCTACGACGGCCAACCGCGAATGCGGGCAGGTTCACAGATTCACATGGGCTATGCTTATCCACACTTCTACGATGGCCAACCGCGAGTGCGGGCAGGTTCACAGATTCACACGGGCTATGCTTATCCAGGCTTCTACGACGGCCAACCGCGAGTGCGGGCAGGTTCACAGATTCACACGGGCTATGCTTATCCAGGCTTCTACAACGGCCAACCGCGAGTGCGGGCAGGTTCACAGATTCACACGGGCTATGCTTATGGGGCCTTCTACGACGGCCAACCGCGAATGCGGGCAGGTTCACAGATTCACATGGGCTATGCTTATCCACACTTCTACGATGGCCAACCGCGAGTGCGGGCAGGTTCACAGATTCACACGGGCTATGCTTATCCAGGCTTCTACGATGGCCAACCGCGAGTGCGGGCAGGTTCACAGATTCACACGGGCTATGCTTATCCAGGCTTCTACGACGGCCAACCGTGAGCACAGGCAGGTTCACAGATTCACACGGGCTATGCTTATGGGGCCTTCTACGACGGCCAACCGCGAGCGCGGGCAGGTTCACAGATTCACACGGGCTATGCTTATCCATGCTTCTACGACGGCCAACCGTGAGCACAGGCAGGTTCACAGATTCACACGGGCTATGCTTATCCAGGCTTCTACGACGGCCAACCGCGAGCGCAGGCAGGTTCACAGATTCACACGGGCTATGCTTATCCATGCTTCTACGACGGCCAACCGCGAGCGCAGGCAGGTTCACAGATGTCTCCGTAAAGAGAAGAGTCTTGCTGCAGGACTGCCTTCCTGTGAGGTAACCCTTGCTCAGAGGTGAGACTATATCGGGAATGCCATCTACAAACAAACCCCAGCTCACACAGAGACACACCCAGCTCACACCCACACCCACACACAGCGGCCAGCCTCCTTCCCGCTTTCTACATGGGAGGGCTCAGGGATAGAGGTCATTTTACGTCACAGGGAAACACGCCCCGGAGGAGCTCCCAGCCCCCACCGGGTGCACCTTGCAGAACCCCTCCCTGAGAATCCGGTCGGGATTCGCAGCCTGGACCCACACGTGCTGCTCCCCAAGGCAGGTCCAGCGAGTGCACAGGTGCAGATCCCTTGCTGCCACCTCCACTGGCCAGTGCTTCCGGAGCCAGGCGTGCCCAGGGCTGCACAGACGTTAGCACCACGCTGCACCTCCCATTTCACGGAGAAGGAAACCGAGGCACAAAGGCGAAGCTTCTCAAGCCCAGCAGGCCGTAGGCCTGAGCTGAACCTGCCCCTGAGCCCAGCAGGGCGTAGGGGCTGAGCTGAACCTGCCCCTGATACCACCTGGGTGGCTGCTTTCCCTTTGTGGACTTGAGTCTTCTCATTTGTAAAATGGGAATCAAAACAGTGCCTTTGGCCAGGCGGGTGCGGTGGCTCACCCTGTAATCCCAGCACTTTTGGAGGCTGAGGCAGGCGGATCACCTGAGGTCAGGGGTTTGAGACCAGCCTGGCCAACATGGTGAAACCCCATCTCTACTAAAAATACAAAAAGATGGCCGGGTGCGGTGGCTCATGCCTGTCATCCCAGCACTTTCGGAGGCCAAGGCAGGCGGATCACCTGAGGTCAGGAGTTCGAGACCAGCCTGGCCAACATGGTGAAACCCCATCTCTACTAAAAATACAAAAAGGCATGTGCGGTGGCACATGCCTGTAATCCCAGCTACTCCGGAGGCTGAGGCAGGAGAATCACTTGAACCTGGGGAGGCAGAGGTTGCAGTGAGCTGAGATCACGGCATTGCACTCCAGCCTAGGCAACAGAGCGAAACTCTGTCTCACAAAAAAAAAAAAAAGAAATCAGCTGGGTTTGGTGGCAGGCACCTGTAATCCCAGCTACTTGGGAGGCTGAGGCAGGAGAATCGCTTGAACTCAGGAGGCTAAGGTTGCAGTGAGCCGAGATCATGCCATTGCACTCCAGCCTGGGCAATAAGAGCGAAACTCTGTCCCAAAAAACAACAACAACAACAAAAACAGGGCCCTTCATCAGAGGAGCAAACAAGAGCATGGAAGGGCACTGCTCAGCCCGGCTCTGCAAACGCCCCTGGATGCTGAAGCAATGTGCCCACCTGTAAGGGGCACCTGGCCTCATCTCCACACCGTGTCTTGACTGAGTTCTCCTCCCAGGGTGCAATAGAAGCAGGGCCTGAGCTCCGAGGGTGCCCAGGGACAGTGAGGGCAGGTGATGCTGGCCGTGATGCCCCTCAGCTCTGGTGAGGAGTCAGGAAGCTGCTAACAGAAGCCACCTGGTTTAAGGAACGCATTCCAAGCAGAAGTGTCCTGGCTTCCAGAGGGAGACTCAGGAGGAGGAAAATATTATCTCCTCTGGGAGCAGAATTTCATCTTTCCAATCAGTTCTTGCTTTTCTCCAGCACAACTACAGACACCATCTCCAGAAAACAACTAAACACTCATGTGCACACGTTTGCAGACTGCTATTTTAAAATAAAGGCAAGCTCACCAGACAGTCCTGGCCACTGAGGAGGCCCAGCCAGCCCAGATCCAGCGGCAGAACAGGCAGGCTGGCTGCGGGCTCGAGGCCACGGTGCTCCTCGGCAAAGGTGGACTCCAGCACAGACACACAAACGGGCTTCCGTGGGTGAAAAGGATGCCCCTTCACATGGGCCGTAACCATGGGGTGCTTCCTGGGCCCAGAGCCCCTCTCTTGCCTCACGCGGGCACGCGCTGCCATCACTCCGCCTTGAGGAGGAATGGGAGCAAGAAGCTGGGGCCTGCTCATCAGCACGGCGCGGGATGGAGGGAACCAGAGGAGGGAAGAGCTTCGCCCTCTGCAGAGCTCTGGACGTGGACACGGTGCCCCGTGCTGCCTAGATCACTATGGATGTTTCTGTTTAGAACACAGGCCGCGAGATGAACAGGTTGGGAAGGCTTAGACATCTGGGAGTGCGCGGGGCTGCGAAACAGCAGAACCCCAGAGCCAGTGCTCTAAGGGTGCCTTAGAGGCAGATGGCCTGAGAGCCGGGCAGAAGGGGGAGGGGCAGGAGAAAGGGCGGGGGATACCTGGAGGACCAGCAACGTGGGGCATCCTAGCGTAAAGAGCGGGGCCTGCCTGTGAAAAAGTTTAGCATCCAGGCCAGGCGTGGTGGCTTACGCCTGTAATCCCAGCACTTTGGGAGGCCGAGGTGGGCGGATCATGAGGTCAGGAGATCGAGACCATTCTGGCTAACACAGTGAAACCCAGTCTCTACTAAAAATACAAAAAATTAGCCGGGCGTGGTGGCGGGCGCATGTAGTCCCAGCTACTCGGGACGCTGAGGCAGGAGAATGGCGTGAACCCAGTAGGCGAAGCTTGCAGTGAGCCGAGAACGCGCCACTGCACTCCAGCCTGGGCGACAGAGCGAGACTGTCTCATAAAAAAAAAAAAAAAAGAAAGAAAGAAAAAAAGTTTAGCATCCAAAGTTGACAAGAAAAAACATTCAAAAAATAGGGTCACGTGTAAAGTAGCCAATCAGGGTGAAGAGGGCAGGTGACGGAAGGAAGGGCCATCCCACCCACCTTGCACATGGACCACACAGACCCTCATTAGCACCACGTCTGAGATGTATTTGAGAAACCACCCAGCTGGGCGCAGTGGCTCACGCCTGTAATCCCAGCACTTTGGAAGGCCGAGGTGGGCAGATCACGAGGTCAGGAGATCGAGACCATCCTGGCTAACACGGTGAAACCCCGTCTCTACTAAAAATACAAAAAATTAGCCGGGCGTGGTGGCGGGCGCCTGTAGTCCCAGCTACTCGGGAGGCTGAGGCAGGAGAATGGCGTGAACCCGGGAGGTGGAGCTTGCAGTGAGCAGAGATTGTGCCGCTGCACTCCAGCCTGGGCAACAGAGCGAGACTCCCTCTCAAAAAAAAAAAAAAAAAAAGATTCTAAGCAGTTACAAAGTCTTCAGAGTAAAGATTAGGAAGTCTCTTCTAGTCATTTTTTTCCTAATCTTGGCTTGGAAATGAGAAGTATTACTACTTGTGTGCTAAGATAATATTATTCATCCTCCTAAGTATGGTCTAGTTTGTTGTTGGTTTTTTTCAAAGTGGTTTTACACACCTACTGCCCATATTCAGTTTGTGTGAGAGGGTGGGTACTGAAGACCCAAGGTTACAGGTTGAGAAATTCAACTGGAGCAAAAAACTGAGACTACAATGCCAACAAGTGAGATTGGATGTTTTCCTATTGATATCTACAGGGAGAAATAAGTATGCATCTTTTAATGTATTTACTTATCACTTAAGTCCCAGAGAAAGGCTGGGTTAGCCACCTTTGAGGAGACAGCTGGCCTGATGTCTCAGCTGACTCAGAAGCACCACAAGGATGGCACAGAAAGTTCAGGGTAATAGATTTTTCTTAAACCTTCAAGAGAGAGCAAGTCATAAAACTCATTCGCCTTCATGAGACAGGGTTATGAACAGAAAACAAAGATCGTTATCAAATAAAAAATGAACTGGACCACAGGTGGGTACCACCCCCTAAGGTCAACACAGTGCCCTACCTGAACTTTGAACCCCAGCCAGGAACTGCTGCCGGGGCTGTGAGGACCAGGAAGGGGCCACACCACCCAGGGATGGAGGTGGAGAGAATCAGATCACTGCTCTGAGGACGCCTTGCACAGCACCAACAGGAAGCAGGCGGCTGGGCTCCCGCACAGCTAGGACAAATGAGGAGCTCTGGATTCTAACCACCCGGCAAACCACTTACCACTGTGTGCCTCGGTTTCCCCATCTTTACAGTCAGAGGGTCAGACGAACCAGGCTGCCTACAGCCTCCTCCTGCTCTGCACTTATCTCCAGGAATGGGGTGAAGTCCAGGCACCCTTTCACAGAGGCTCTGTGAGCATGCAGCCTCCTGGGCCCCATGCACCTGCCGTCTCACCCCACCCTCTGGGCGGCAGTGGGCACAGCCCTGAGGGACGCCACAGTGAATCTGAACGCTGCCACTGTCTGAGTGCCAGCGCAAGCCTGCGCCTCAGGTTTCTCCAGAGGGAGTAAAACCTCAGGGCCTGCTCTTGCTGTCACCTGTGTGGGATACTGCAAATGGCAGGAGTGTGGAGGCAGCTGAGGGGGGGGCTCCAGGATGAGCAGGACCTGGTGAAGGAACAAGGGCCCTTGGGTGGGGCACAACGGCCCCCACCCCTCGTGGCTCTGTAGCTTGCTTCTGTCTGGCCTTGCCCTGGCCCTTCCTGGTCCTCCACATAGGCCTGCTCATGCAAACCCACAGCTCTCAGGCCTGGAGAGAGTGCGGCAAACACACAGCCTGCCTCTGCCCCCCGGCAGGGTACCAGCTTTTGGGGTCATATCACATGCTCCAAGCCAGCACTCCAGCTCTCCAGGGAAGAAATCACTTTCGGTTTTTTTCGTAAAGGGTAAATAATCACTTAAGCTCACCATTCTCACTAACTTCAAGTATCTTTCTAGGGCTTAATTGTTGGTTCTGGTTGATGGTTAAGAATAGAAACACCAAGCAGGTTGTCCCCCCAACTTTACACACCCCTTCCTCTCCCAGTTAAACCCAGGAATTTAGTGTCAGTTCAGACGCCAAGTGAGGCGCAGCCCCCCACCTTCCACCCAGGAGAAAATGCCCCAAGGGGACGCTTCTGTCTCCTTTCCTGCTGAAGGCAGGGGAGGAGTCGCCCCAGCAAAGGCCAGCTCCGTGCTCCCTGAGCCACCGGCCCAAGTCCCTCTCCCGGAGGAAGCCAGGCCACTGGGGAGCAGCCCGCTCCGCGCTGGGAGAGGCGTCAGGTGGGGGGGTCCGGGAGGGGAACGTCCAGGGCCGGGGAGGGAGAGGAAGGAGGGAGAGAAGGAGGGAGGAAAGAGAGAGGGAAAGAGGGACGGAGAGTGGGAGGGAGGGAGCTCCGGGTCCCGCAGAGAAGGGGATCTCCCGCTCCAGAACCGGTCGCAGCCTCTCCGCCGGGACCACCCCCACCCAGGGGGCGGGACGGACGCCCCAGACCGCGGTCCCCGCCGGCTGCCCCGCCCCCGGCCTCACCCGCGGCCTCGGGCTCCCGCGCCCCGACCGAGCCGTCCCCGCGCAGCAGGAGGTCCCCGGTATCCCGCAGGCGCCGGCCCGGCGAGCCCCGCAGCCCGCGGCAGCCCTGGAAGCACACGGCCCACGCCTGCTCCTCGTTGAGCGGCTGCTCGTAGGCCTTCAGCACCTCCTCCAGGGACAGCTCCCAGGGCTCCGGCCGCCCTGCGCCCGCCGCGGCGCCGCCGCAGCTGCCCGCCCGGGCCATGGCGGGGCCGTCATCGCCTCCCGCGCGCCGGACCCGCGTCCATGCAGCCGCGCCTTCCGCCGCGCAGGGTCAGCCTGGCCGCCCCGCCCCGCGCGAGCGCCTCAGGTTGGGGGCGGGGCGGCGACGGGGGCGGGGCGCGGAGGGCGCGGGGGGCGGGGCGCGGAGGGGGAGGGACGCGGGGCGGGGCGGGGAGTGGAGGGCGCGCGGGGAGAGGCCCGGAGGGGGACGGGTGAGGGGCAGGGCGGGGCGCGGGTAGGTGCGGAGGGGCTGGGGCTCAGGGCTGGGGACGCGGGGGCGCGGGGCCGAGGCCGGGGTGCGAACCCCTCCGGGGTGCTGGGCAGGACCGGGGGGAGGGTTGGGGGCTGCAGACATGGGCCAGGGCCCGCGCGCTCGGACACGCGGTGACACCCCCGGCGCTCCCCCGCAGACCCAGACGGCCGATGCCCACAAAAGCCCGGGCCGGCATCCAGCCCGGGACACTGCGGTGACCGCGGGGGGCCTGGGAGGTTTGCCGCTGGGAACGCGGGAGGGAGCCGGGAGGAGCTGAGCAGACAAAGCCCGCAGTGGCCTCCCCGAGCCCCGGGCAAGGTGACCTCCAGGGGTTGTCGCAGGGTGGCTGGGGTGAGGGCGACTCCCCGCATCCGGCCTTCGGGTATGAAGCCCTTAATAAATGCCTCTGCCTAGCAGGGAATGTGCCTGCAGTGACGTCTCCAGGGTGTCCGTGAAAAATAAACACACACGGTTGGCCAGTGATGGCGTGCATCGCATTTGGGGCGTGTTTGTGTCTTCAGGCCGGGTCACTCCTGGACACTGGGTGTTTGCCTGAGGGACGCAAGGGGAACTCGGCTGGGGCTCATCCCGAGGCCTCTTCATAGTTGTGCCAGATCTGAATAAGTGGGCAAGAAAATGCAGTTGGGGCATAAACGGTCCCAAGCCTGGGTGCTGCCAGTACCACCCGGGGGCAAGAAATGCAGATTCCTGGGCTCCAGGGCTGGAGATTCTGATGCAGGTCCGAGGTGAAACTTGGGGCACTTAAAGTTCGCTGGTCTCCCAGGAGTTCTGGACCTGCCTGGACAACACAGTGAGATCCCATCCCAGAAAAGAAGTTCCACAATGATTTTTTTTTCTTTTTTTTTTTTTAGAGACAAGGTCTCACCCAGGCTGAAGTGCAATGGTACAATCGTAGCTCACTATAACCTCAAATTCCTGGGGTCAAGTGATCCTCCCACGTCAGCTTCCTGAGTAGATGGGACTAAAGGCATGAACCACCACGCCCAGCTGATTGTTTTTATTTTTTGTGGAGATGGGATCTCACCATGTTGCCCAGGCTGGTCTTGAATTCCTGGGCTCAAGCAGTCAGGCCACCTTGGTCTCCCAA
Organism: Homo sapiens; assembly: GCF_000001405.40. Taxonomy (NCBI): domain Eukaryota; kingdom Metazoa; phylum Chordata; class Mammalia; order Primates; family Hominidae; genus Homo; species Homo sapiens. The sequence goes on along the minus strand of NC_000016.10, from coordinate 89,827,172 downwards.
AGTACTGGGATTACAAGCGTGAGCAACCGCGCCCAGTCCAGCTGGACTTTTCTTTTCTTTCCCTTTCTTTTTTTTTTTTTTGAGAAGGAGTTTTGCTCTTATCGCCCAGGCTGGAGTGCAGTGGCGCAACCTTGGCTCACTGCAACCTCTACCTCCCAGATTCAAGCGTTTCTCCTGCCTCAGCCTCAAAGTAGCTGGAACTACAGGCGCCCACCACCACACCCGGGTAATTTTTTGGGTGGTTTCGCCATGTCGGCCAGGCCGGTCTCGAAATCCTGACCTCAGGTGATCCCCCTGCCTCAGCCTCCCAGGGTGCTGGGGTTGCAGGCATGAGCCATGTCGTCCCGTCCAGCTGGACTTTTCATCTGTAAGCAGAAAGGAGGCTGATGATGACGAATTGTGCCTAAAGTTTGTTTGTTTGTTTGTTTTGAGGCAGAGTCGCGCTCTGTTGCCCAGGCTAGAGTGCAGTGACGCGATCTCTGCTCACTGCAAGCTCCCCTCCCAGGTTTACGCCATTCTCCTGCCTCAGCCTCCTGAGTAGCTGAGACTACAGGCGCCTGCCACCACGCCCAGCTAATTTTTTGTATTTTTTTAGTAGAGACGGGGTTTCACTGTATTAGCTAGGATGGTCTCAATCTCCTGACCTCATGATCCGCCCGCCTCGGCCTCTCAAAGTGCTGGGATTACAGGCATGAGCCACTGTGCCCAGCCATGCCTAAAGTTTTTATAATCAACAGCGGGGCAACATTCACATCTTTTGTTGGTTCCCCAAGCTAAAACACAACCAAAAGTAACAGGAGTGGGCTGGGCACGGTGGCTCATGCCTGTAATCCCAGCACTTTGGGAGGCCGAGGCAACCCGATGGCTTGAACCCAGGAGTTCGAGACCTGCCAGGGCAACATGAGACCCTATCGCTACAAAACTTTAAAAACATTAGCCAGGTGTGGAGGTGTGTGCCGGTGGTCCCAGCTACTTGGGAGGGTAAGGCAGGAGGACCACTTGAGCCTGGGAGGTCGAGGTTGCAGTGCGCTGTGATTGCACCACTGCACTCCAGCCTGGGTGACGGTGAGACCCTGTCTCTAGTAAATAGATGCATAAAGACTAATAGGCGCAGTGGGGTTTTGCAGAAGGAAAATTGGAGATGAGCGGGGTGGGGATGGGGTGCCATGCCCTGAATACCATGTACCACAAACCTGGCACTCAAGCAGATCTCCCCTCCTGATTTGTCCCTGCCACCCGCAGCATGGGTACCAACGATGGGTAAGTTAGGAATTTCAAGTTCTGGCTTAGAAGAGCAACAGCAGAAAACCTTCCATGAGGCATCTTATTCCACAGGAGCAGCACGCTCTACATTCGTGGTAACCAAAGTCCCTGGCCCACACACTGCCAGGTGTGTGATGATGGGGAATTGTTCTCTGCTGATGTCTGAGGCTGATCCTTGGTCCCACACACAGGGTGGTTTCTCCCTTCAGAATGCACGGGGATAAAGACTTCCATTTGTGGCCGAGCGCGGTGGCTCACTCCTGTAATCCCAGCACTTTGGGAGGCCGAGGCGGATGGATCAAGAGGTCAGGAGATTGAGACTATCCTGGCTAACATGGTGAAACCCGTCTCTACTAAAAAACACAAAAAATTAGCCAGGAGTGGTGTCGGGTGCCTGTAGTTCCAGATACTGGGGAGGCTAAAGCAGGAGAATGGCGTGAACCCAGGAGGCGGAGCTTGCAGTGAGCCGAGATCGCGCCACTGCACTCCAGCCTGGGCGACAGAGCGAGACTCCATCTCAAAAATAAAAAAAGAAAAAAAAAAAGACTTCCATTTGCAACACCCCACTGAGTAGGTCTCACTGCTTCTTGCCAGAAGTCAAGGTGGGGGACATTGCTCTCACCACGACTGGCCACCACCCCAGAGCACTCTTTGGACGTGCAGCCTCATCACTGCCACAGTGCAGCACTGGCCGGGGACATTTGAGCAGAAGATGGTAATTACCCTAATGGGAAGCTGGCTGGGGCACAAGGGGACCTTCTCTCTTCCTCAAAGGGCCTCACGTGTCCCTTACCGACCACAAGGTTTTAGGGTGTAATTTGTGAGCTCAGTCCTCCAGCCACTGCTGCATCCTGGCAAGGACCTAGTGCTGACTCACCTGGCTGAACAGTGACCCTTGAGGTCACGTGAGTGGGGTACAGTGACCCTCTCTGAACTGGCATCCACCATCCTACCTGGGATCCCTATGGACTCACCAGCAGGACTTAGAACACTGAGATTTTAGTAAAAAATTTTAAAAGTTAGGGCTGGGCACGGTGGCTCAAGCCTGTAATCCCAGCACTTTGGGAGGCCAAGGGGGCAGATCACGAGGTCAGGAGTTCCAGACCAGCCTGGCCAATATGGTGAAACCCCATCTCTACTAGAAAAATAATTAAAAAAAAAAAAATTAGCAGGGCGTGGTGGCACATGCCTATAATCCCAGCTACTCGGGAGGCTGAGGCAGAAGAATTGCTTGAACCCAGGAGGCGGAGGTCGCAGTGAGCCGAGATCGCACCACTGCACTCCAGCCTGGGAAACAGAGCAAGACTCCATCTCAAAAAAAATAAAAAGAAATAAAACATGGCCGGGCATGGTGGCTCACACCTGTAATCCCAGCACTTTGGGAGGCCGAGGCAGGCAGATCACAAGGTCAGGAGATCAAGGCCATCCTGGCCAACACGGTGAAACCCCATCTCTACTAAAAATACAAAAGGCCAGGCACAGTGGCTCACGCCTGTAATCCCAGCACTTTGGGAGGCTGAGGCGGGCAGATCACGAGGTCAGGAGATCGAGACCATCCTGGCTAGCACGGTGAAACCCTGTCTCTACTAAAAATACAAAAAAATTAGCCGGGCGTGGTGGGGGGGTGCCTGTAGTCCCAGCTACTCGGGAGGCTGAGGCAGGAGAATGCCGTGAACCTGGGAGGTGGAGCTTGCAGTGAGCCAAGATTGCGCCACTGCATTGCAGCCTGGGCGACAGAGCGAGACTCTGTCTCAAAAAATAAATAAATAAAAAATAAAAATAAAAATACAAAAATTAGCTGGGCATGGTGGCACATGCCTGTAGTCCCAGCTACTCAGGAGGGTGAGGCAGGACAATCGCCTGAATCCAGGAGGCGGAGGTTGCAGTGAGCCGAGATCACACCACTGCACTCCAGCCTGGTGACACAGTGAGACTCTGTCTCAAAAAACAAACAAACAGAAAAAGGGACTCAACGAGAAGCACTGTAGAGATTGATGTAGGTCAGTCATTAAGTCAGCTTGGAAAGCTTTAGAGCAGGGGTGTCCAATCTTTTGGCTTCCCTGGACCACACTGGAAGACGAATTGTCTTGAGCCACACGTAAAATACACTAACAATAGCTCTGTGCATAAATCTCACAATGTTTTAAGAAAGTTTAAGAATTTGTGTTGGGCTGCATTCAAAGCTTTCCTGGGCCGCATGCAGCCCACAGGCCGCGGGTTGGACAAGCTTGCTTTAGATCAAGGCCATTTCTACAGTTATGGATTGCCTGCATCTAAAAACATGCTCCTTGTCCTTCATTTCCAGTAGATTAGGAAATCCTGGGAGAGGGAAATTATCAGTAACTGGGCTGCTCCGCTTGGGGACAAACTAGAGACATTTAGTATGATGATGAATCCAGCAGTGCTTGGGGCTGGACAATCACTTTATCAAGTTATCACATTAACAGAAACACCCCCAAAATGTTTATCTCATGGTACCAGCTGCTCATTCATGCCAATTTACCAGGCACTGATTTCTCATGCCTGGGGAAAGAGCAGGGCAACCCCAGGTAGGTGCCTGCCCCTCTGTTCTTACAGGCAGAGCAACGATACACAAGGAAACAAAGACCAGCACAGCAGGTGGGGAAGGGCTCCAGGTGCCGACATCAATCAGGAACCCACTGGTCATGTTTGCTTTTGCCCATGCTCTGTGTTTGGTGCTTTGAATAATATCAGACGGAGCCCTTTGAGGGGCTGTAAATCTTCTCCACACCATGGCAGTGCACTCAGAGGGGCTGTGTGGCTCATGACTGCAGTTGGCCACAGATTAAAAAGCTCTAGGAATTATACCTCTCAGCATCTTTACAGACAGAGCCTAGAAGATCTCAACTGTAGGTTCCTGGAGGCTGAGAAGGTAAGTTGGCGCTGGTTCCCCAGGTGTTCTGTGGCTCTAATTACACAGAGAATTCCAGGGTTCTTCATTTCAGGAGAGGAGTGCAGGGCCCCAGGGTACAAGGTGGCATAGCAAGAACCCTGAGTGCCTTGGGACAGAAGTCAGAGCAAGTCAGACACAAAGTCAACTTCAGGTCAAAGGCCTCCTCCACCATCTGGACTCAGGCAGAGCCACTTCACCTGGGGCCAGTGGAGTGCAGAGGTTTCTTTGGCCACGCCTTACTCATTCCATTTCAGACTCAAAAACAAGGTTGGCTCCTCCCAAGGGATTATGTGCACACTGTACTGGTGAGCAGCCTGGCCTCCTGCACCCCCGAGGCCCCTGAATACTCTCTTTGTCACAGTCTGTGCAGCCAGGCAGGGTCAGAGCTCAGGGGCCCAGGAGGAAAAGCAGACATTTGAGAGCCCTGGTTTTGTGTTGTGTTTATTTTAGGGTAACTATACAGGCCGTGGATCCCAAGGGGTGCAAGACTGAGCCAGGCTGGGCTTGATCTCTGAAAGGGAACTCACGACAGATCTGAGGGAAGGGTTCCGGCCCGGGGTGCTCCAGGGTTTCTAGGCTGGTGACCGACACAGAGGCTGAGCATGGCTGAACCCAGACACCGCGAGGGATCCAGACCATGCGGCGGAATGCGTGGCCATGGGGAGGTCCCAGAGCAGAGACAGAGGAAGCCCTGGACAGCAGGCGGGCTGGGTCAGCGAGCAGGACCCGTGCGGTATGGTGAAGAGAGACACACGCTGCGATTCTGAGTCAGGAGATGAGAGAAATACTCAAGGCCCTGTCTGCTTCCTATTGAGGGTGGTCAGAGTTATTTACACATGCTGAATTTGTTTCTCTTTTGAACAGATAAAGCAAGGTGGTTAAAAATGAATGGGTCCTGGCTGGGCGTGGTGGCTCACACCTGTAATCCCAGCACTTGGGGAGGTTGAGGCGGGTAGATCACCTGAGGTTGGGGGTTGGGAGTCTGAGACCAGCCTGACCAACATGGAGAAACCCTGTCTCTACTAAAAATACAAAATTAGTCAGGCATGGTGGCGCAGGGCTATAATCCCAGCTGCTCGGGAAGCTGAGACAGGAGAATCTCTTGAACCCGGGAGGTGGAGGTTGCGGTGAGCCATGATCTCGCCATTGCACTCCAGGCTGGGTGACAAGAGCGAAACTCTGTGCCTCAAAAAAAAAAAAAACAAGAATGGGACATGCTGAGATGTGTCACTTAGACACTAGTTCCTGTGTGAACATGGGGTTGACAAGCTCCTCCCCACGTGACAGCAAACATCGTCTCAGATGGTGAAAGCACCTCCAGTGCCCGCCCAGGGGCCTGAACGTTGTAAGATGAGAGAACTAGGCTGGACGTGGCGCCTCACACCTGTCGTCCCAGCACTTTGGGAGGCTGAGGTAGGAGGACCAAGAGCCTGGGAGGCGGAGGCGGAGGTTGTAGTGAGACGAGATTGCGCCACTCTAGCCTTAGTGGCAGAGTGAGACCCTGTCTCAAAAAAAAAAAAGGCCAGGCGCGGTGGCGCACGCCTGTAATCCCAGCACTTTGGGAGGCCGAGGCGGGCGGATCACCTGAGGTCAGGAGTTTGAGACCAGCCTGGCCAACATGGCAAAACCCTGTCTCTACTAAAAATACAAAAATTAGACAGGCGTGGTGGCAGGCACCTGTAATCCCAGCTACTCGGGAGGCTGAGGCGGGAGAATCGCTTGAACCTGGAAGGCAGTGGTTGCAGTGAGCCAAGATCATGCCACTGCAGTCCAGCCTGGGCAACAGAGTGAGACTCCATCTTAAAAAAAAAAAAAAAAAAGAATGCAGAAGTTCCTCACAACTCATGGGCATAATTCTCCCCACACTGCTCAGTGACAAGGCAGAGGCAGAACAGGCCATTATAAAAGATGTGCCAGATCAAAGGACAGATGAACTTTTCTTTTCTTTTCTTTTCTTTTCGAGAGGGAGTTTTGCTCTTGTCGCCCAGGCTGGAGTGCAGTGTCATGATCTCAGTTCACTGCAAGGTTTGCCTCCCAGGCTGAAGCGATTCTCCTGTCTCAGCCTCCCCAGAAGCTGGGATTACAGGTGCCCACCACCACAGCCGGCTCATTTTTTGTATTTTTAGTAGAGACCAGGTTTCTCCATGTTGGGGACGCTGGTCTCAAACTCCTGACTTCAGGTAATCTGCCCACCTCGGCCTCCCAAAGTGCTGGGATTACAGGCGCGCGCCACCATACGCTTTTTTTTTTTTTTTTGAGACAGAGTCTCAATCTGTCGCCCAGGCTGTAGTTGGCATGATCTCGGCTCACTGCAACCTACATCTCCTGGGTTCAAGTGATTCTCCAGCCTCAGCCTCCCAAGTAGCTGCGATTACAGGCACTGGTCACCACGCCCGGCTAATTTTGTATTTTTAGTAGAGATGTGGTTTCACCATGTTGGCCAGGCCAAATTCGAACTCCTGACCTCAGGTGATCTACCCACCTCAGCCTCCCAAAGCGCTGGGATTACAGTCATGAGCCACCCCACTTGTCCTAGACAGAAAATTATCTTTTTTTTGAGACGGAGTGTCGCTCTGTCACCCAGGCTGGAGTGCAGTGGCACGATCTCAGCTCACTGCAAGCTCCGCCTCCTGGGTTCAAGCAAATCTCCCGCCTCAGCCTCCTGAGTAGCTGGAATTACATGCACCTGCCACCACACCCGGCTAATTTTTGTAGTTTTGGTAGAGATGGGGTTTCACCATGTTGTCCAAGCTGGTCTCGAACTCCTGCTCTCAGGTGACCCGCCTGCCTCAGCCTCCCAAAGTGCTGGGATTACAGGCGTGAGCCACTGCGCCGGGCCAAGACAAGAGTTTTGCTCTAGTTGCCCAGGCTGGAGTGCAGTGGCGCAATCTTGGTTTACTGCAACCTTCGCCTCCTGGGTTCAGGCGATTCTCCTGCCTCAGCCTCCCGAGTAGCTGGGATTACAGGCATGCACCACCACACCTGGCTGATTTTGTATTTTTAGTAGAGACGGGGTTTCTCCATGTTCGTCAGGCTGGTCTTGAACTCCTGACCTCAGGTGATCTGCCTGCCTTGGCCTCCCAAAGTGCTGGGATTACAGGCATGAGCCACCACACCTGGCCAATTTTTGTGTTTTTAGTAGAGATGAGATTTCACCATGTTGGCCAGGCTAGTCTCAAACTCCTGACCTCAGGTGATCCACCGGCCTCGGCCCCCCAAAATGCTGGGATTACAAGTGTGAGACACCGTGCCCAGCACCCCTGCCTTTTTTTTTTTTTTGAGACAGGGTGTCACTCTGTCATCCAGGCTGGAGTGCAGTGGCGTGATGGTGGCTCCCTGCAGCCTCAGCCTCCTGGGCTCAAGTGATCCTCTCACCTCAGCCTCCCAAGTAGCTGGGACTATGTAGGGTCCAGCCCTATGGGGCTTAGTGGGTGTTCTCCCCATGTACGGAGAAGAGAGATTGTAATAAATAAAGACACAAGACCAAGAAATAAAGAGAAAACAGCTGGGCCCCGGGGACCACTACCATCAAGACGCGGAGACTGGTAGCGGCCCCGAACGGCTAGGCTCTTTGATATCTATTGCATACATGACAAGGGGGCAGCGTAAGGAAGGTGAATCTTCTAAGTGATTGACAAGGTGAAGCATGTCACGTGATTACAGGATGGGGGCCCTTCCCTTTCAGGTAGGTGAAGCAGAGAAAGAAGGCAGCATACGTCAGCATTTTCTTCTCTGCACTTATAAGAAAGATCAAAGACTTTAAGACTTTCACTATTTCTTCTACCGCTATCTACTACGAACTTCAAAGACGAACCAGAAGTAAGGGAGGAACATGAAAGTGGACAAGGAGCGTGACCAGTGAAGCACCACAGGGAGGGGTTTAGGCCTCCGGATGACTGCGTGCAGGCCTGGATAACATCCAGCCTCCCACAAGAAGCTGGTGGAGCAGAGTGTTCCCTGACTCCTCCAAGCAAAGGAGACTCCCTTTCATGGTCTGCTAAGTAACGGGTGCCTTCCCAGACACTGGCGTTACCGCTTGACCAAGGAGCCCTCAAGCGGCCCTTATGCGGGCATGACAGAAGGTTCACCTCTTGCCTTCCACTCACTTCTCACAATGTCCTTTCAGCACCTGACCCTATACCCACCGGTTATTCCTAGGTTATATTAGTAATGCAACAAACAGTAATATTAAAAGCTAATGATTAATGTTTATAATAATTGATAATTGTCCATGATCATCTCCATAATTTGTATTATGACTGTTCTTATTGTAACGATTTTATTATACTGAAATAGTTTGTGCCTTCGGTCTCTTGCCTCGGCACCTGGGTAATTCTCCGCCCACAGGACTACAGGCTCGTGTCACCACACTGGGCAATACAAAAAATACAAAAAAAAAATTTTGTATTTTTTGTAGAGACGAGGTCTTGCCATATTGCCCAGGCTGGAATTCTTACCTTTGTTACTGTATTTAACGTATCTTTTTCCTCCGGCCATCTTCATGGTTTTCTCTCTGATTTCCACAGTTTGAATACACTGCATGTGTCAGGCAGGGGCTCATATTTATCAAGTTTTGTGTGTGCTCTGAGCTCAGGTCTTTCATTATTTTGGGAAAATTATTGGTAATTTTCTCTTCAAACATTTTTTATGATTTGTTCTTTCTTCTTCTTTTGGGAGTCCTATTACATGCATATGATATCATTTGATATTTTCCCACAGTTCTTGGATGCTTTTTTTAAAAAAAAACTTTTTTTCTTCTTTATTTTCCAACGTGGGTAATTCCTATTTTTCTCAGCTGTGTTGATCCTACTGCTGCCCCATCAGAAAAATTACCTGTTATCAGCGTTCTTCCTTTCTTATAATTTGATGAGTTTCCTCCTCATGCATATTGTTCACCTTTCGTACAAGAGACCTCCACATATTAATCACAGTTAATTTAAATTTCCAGCCTGTTTCAATTTCTCGATCACCTCTGAGTCTAGTCCTGTTAATTGCTTAGTGTTATTTTTTGTTTTTGAAACAGGGTCTTGCTCTGTTGCCCAGGCTGGAGTGCAGCGGCGCGATCTCAGGCTGTTCCCTGAGTTCACACCATCCCCCTCAACCAGCAGATTGCAAAGTGTCCGAGTCGGGCCGTGCAGGAGTCTTTGTGGGGGTTTCATGGACTCCGAATTCTCATTTCTGCTCCATCCCCATCTCATGAATCCAAGGCCCCACTCTGTGCCTCGGCTCTTCGTTTGTGGTGCTGAACGTCATCTACGTCATCTACGCCATCTACGTAATCAACACAATAAAGACGCCTGCCGGGAACGCGGCCCTTCGGCTGAATCCCTTCGGTGGTTCCAAGGCCACTGCCAGAGGATGCGGACGGGTCTCCAGGGCCTCTACTTACCCAGGACTTTGAGGCACATTAGCTTCGCCTAGGCACTCGCTTTTACGAATTCTTATGTTTGGTTTTGTTTTGAGACAGAGTCTCGCTCTGCCGCCCAGGCTGGTTAAAAGATAGGGTCTCAGCCGGGTGCGGTGGCTCACGCCTGTAATCCCAGCACTTTGGGAGGCCGAGGCGGGCGGATCACCTGAGGTCCGGAGTTCGAGACTAGCCTGGGCCAACATGGCGAAACGCTGTCTCTACTAAAAATAACAAAAATCATCCAGGCGTGGTGGCGCGCACCTGCAATCCCAGCTACTCGGGAGGCTGAGGCAGGAGAATCACCTGAACCCAGGAGGCAGACGTTGCAGTGAGCCGAGATCGCGCCACTGCACTCCAGCCTGGGCGACAGAGGGAGACTCCGTCTCAAAAAAAGGAAAAAAAAAAAAAAGAAAAGAAACAAAAGTGATGGGGTCTCGCTCTGTTGCCCAGGCTAGTCTGGAATTCCTGGGCTCAAGCGACCCTCCAGCCTCGGCCTCCCAAAGCGCTGGGAATACAGGCGCGGCTACCGCGCGGTCTCCGGCTGCCGAAACACCGCCCTGCGCGCGGACCGTTCGGCCGCCGGGAGGAACAGCGGCTGCCCGGAGCTCAGAGGCGCGCGCGGCTTTGCGCTCCCCGCGGCGCTCTGAGCCTGCCTCGGCTTGGTTGGCCAGGTGGTCTCTTCAGGACCAACCCCAGTCATTCCCGGCAGGAACCACGCTTGAGGGGCGGCAGTCTGCCCGCGCGAGACGCCCCCGCGGACTACACCGCGGCGGCAAAGCCAAACGCAAAAACTACCTCACCGCGCGCAGGCGCCTCCCCCAGGACCAACATGGCCACGACGCAAGGCCTCGACCTGAGGGGCGTGGCCTGGCCGCCGCCAGCCAACGGGTGTGCGCGCCTGGCCGCAGCCAATAGGAAGGCAGCGCGGGCTCGGGCGCAGGGAGCCGCCGCCGGGGCTGTAGGCGCCAAGGCCATGTCCGACTCGTGGGTCCCGAACTCCGCCTCGGGCCAGGACCCAGGGGGCCGCCGGAGGGCCTGGGCCGAGCTGCTGGGTAGGTGGGCGCGGCAGGCCGCGGGAGTGGGCGGCGTCCGGCCCGGGACGGTTTCGCCGGTTCCCCGATCCCTTCCCGCCAGAGCCTCCGCCGGTCGGATCCCCGGACGCCGCGCCCGGGGGGCTGTGCGGGGTGGGCGCCCGGCTGGGGCGGCGCGGCTGCCTCGGACCCGGCCCCTCCTGCGCCTGGGCGGACGCCCCCAGCCGCCGCCCGCGGGGCGCTCCCTTCTTTCCCGAACGCCGCCCCCGCCGGCCGCCCTGTCAGGCGGGCCTGGGGTGCGCGGCCTGGGGCTCCCCTCAGCGCAGAGGCCGCCCCTCGCCAGCCGTCCCCGGGCTCCCCTGCCTCGGGCCCTCCTGGGCCGTCTTCCCCGGCGTCCGCGGTGGGGCCGTCTCCGTTAGTTTCCCGAGACCTGCGCCCTGGGGAGGAGCCCCGGCCCCTCTTCGGGAGGGTGTCGCTGGTGGGTTTCTCCGCGGCGTCCACCTGCGCGTCGGGCCGGGGACCCCGTGTGTGAATTGTGCTGTGATGGTTTCGAACCGACTTCTCTCCGTAGCGGGAAGGGTCAAGAGGGAAAAATATAATCCTGAAAGGGCACAGAAATTAAAGGAATCAGCTGTGCGCCTCCTGCGAAGCCATCAGGACCTGAATGCCCTTTTGCTTGAGGTAAGAGGAAGCTGGTGTCCGTCTGCGGGCAGATTTAGGTTCGGGGTTTTTGAGTCCAGCCACCGCACAGCTTTCCTAAGAAAACACCCGAGGCGGCGGGCGCGGTGGCCTGGCCCGCAGAGGGGAGGGTCGCCTGAGCCCGGGAGTTCTGGACCAACCTGGGCAACGGGGTGAGACCCCGCCTCTTTTATTAAAAACAAAACAACAACAACAAAAAAACAGGCCGGGCGCCGTGGCTCAGGGCTGTAATCCCAGCTTTTGGGGAGGCCAAGGCGGGTGGATCACTCAGGGTCAGGAGTTCGAGACCAGCCTGGCCAACATAGTGAAACCCGGTCTCTACTGAAAATACAAAAATTAGCTGGGTGTGGTGGCGCACGCCTTTAATCCCAGCTACTCGGGAGCCTGAGGCAGGAGAATTGCTTGAACCTGGACCCGGGAGGCAGAAATTGCAGTGAGCCGAGATCACGCCCCTTGCAATCCAGTCTGGATTACAGAGTGAGACTGTCTCACAAAAAAAAAAAAAAAAAAAAAAAAAAAAAAAGCCGGGCGTGGTGGCTCACGCCTGTAATCCTAGCCCTTTGGGAGGCCGAAGTGGGTAGATCACTTGAGGTTAGGAGTTCGAGACCAGCCTGACCAACATGGTGAAACCCCGTCACTACTTAAAATACAAAAATTAGCCGGGTATGGTAGCAGGTGTCTGTAATCCCAGCTGCTCAGGAGGCTGAGGCAGGAGAATCGCTTGAACCTGGGAGGTGGAGGTCGCCGTGAGTGAGATCCCGCCATTGCACTCCAGCCTGGACGACAGTGAGACTCCCTCTCAAAAAAGAAAAAAAGGAAAATAGCCCAGTAGGGAAGCATTACTTACACACAGGTTGTGTTTATGCACAGATCTTGAATTTTTTTTATTTTTATTTTTTATTTTCATTTATTTTTTTTGAGACAAAGTCTCACACTGTAGCCTGGGCTGGTATGCAGTGGGGTGATCTCGGCTCACTGCAGCCTCCACCTCCCGGGTTTAAGTGATTCTCCCGTCTCAGCCTCCCGAGTGGCTGGGACTACAGGCACGCGCCACCATGCCCTCCTAATTTTTGTATTTTTAGTAGAGACAGGGTTTCACTATGTTGGCCAGGCTGGTCTCGAACTCTTGACCTCGTGATCTGCCCATCTCGGCCTCCCAAAGTACTGGGATTACAGGCGTGAGCCACTACGCCTGGCCTGGAGCTTGAATTTTTTAAATGGAGTTTGTTGTGTTTTGGATTCTAGGTAGAAGGTCCACTGTGTAAAAAATTGTCTCTCAGCAAAGTGATTGACTGTGACAGTTCTGAGGCCTATGCTAATCATTCTAGTTCATTTATAGGTAAGTTATAGCTTCATTTTCTCTATTTTGAATTGCAGAAGGGTTTTTATATAGTAACCATAGTTTGCTAAATTAAGTAGAAATGTAAATTTTCTCAGGCGATGGGTTTCCACTGGTGTGTGTAGTCGCAAATTCTATGGGATGTTTGTGTGACTTGCTCTTGGGCTTCTTACGATGCTGTGTTTAAAAACAGCGTCTGATTCAACCTGCGACTCAGAAGCAGTAGGACCCAGAGTGTCCCTTGGAAAAACATGGGACATAGCAACAGCAGGGATGTGCCCCTTGCTCATGGAAGTAGTGAGACAGGCTGTGGTGTGCCCAGGAGAGCAGACGGGAGAACAATTTTCTAGGTACCTCCTTCTCCCCCCAGTTTGAGAGTGGGAGATAGGGTAAGTTCTGGGTCAACAACAGTAAGTTATTTTCTGATCCTTCACGTCCTTATGTGATGACTTGTTTCTGTTAAAATAACCTTCAGTAATAGCGCTCCCTTGACAACTGGTCACTGAATGTCATTGGCAAATGATACAGATTTTCACTGCCATGATTGTATTTGAATTTCACAAATTGCATATTATCATTCCAAGGAACCAAGCTCAGCCACACAGATAAACCTTTAATTCATTAATTTTTGAGTTTGTTTTTTTCTGCTAAAGATATAGTTAGTACATGCACGCACGTGCACACGGACACACACACACACACACACACACACAGTAAAAGACTTGTAGATAAAAAAACTTTCCTATGGAGACACATTGGAAACAAATGACTAGAAATTGGCATTGTTGGCCTGGCACAGTGGCTCACGCCTATAATCGCAGCACTTTGGGAGGCTGAGGTGTGCGGATCACCTGAGGTCAGGATTCGAGACGAGCCTGGCCAACATGGTGAAACCCTGTCTCTACTAAAAAACACAAAAATTAGCCGGGTGTGGTGGTGGGTGCCTGTAGTCCCAGCTATTCAGGAGGCTGAGGCAGGAGAATTGCTTGAACGTGGGAGGCAGAGGTTGCATTGAGCCGAGACCCCTCCATTGCACTCCAGCCTGGGCAATAAGAGCAAAACTCTGTCTCAGAACAGAAAATGGCATTGTCTACTTTTTTTTTTTTTTTTAACAGACAGGGTCTCACTCTGTTGCCTGGACTGGAGAGCCGTGGTGCAATCACGGCTCACTGCAGTCTTGACCTCCTGGCCTCAAGTGATCCTCCCACCCCAGCATCTTGAGTAGCTGGGACTACAGGTGTGCGCCACCATGCCTGGCTAATTTTTTCATAGAGACAGGGTTTTGCCATATTGCCCAGGCTGGTCTCAAACTCCTGAGCTCAAGCAATCAGTTTACCTCAGCCACCCAAGGTGTTGGGATTGCAGGCATGAGCCACTGTGCCCCATCTGTCTACTTTTCTACCGAGAATTTCACCAGCAGCTGATGATTTCTCGTACTATAATTTTAAGCTTCTAGAACTATTGTAAAATTTTTTTTTTTTTTTTTTGAGACGAAGTGTTGCTCTGTCGCCCAGGCTGGAGTGCAATGGCGCCATCTCGGCTCACTACAAACTCTGCCTCCTGGGTTCAAGCAATTCTCCTGCCTCAGCCTCCCGAATAGCTGGGATTATAGGTGCCCGCCGCCGCACCCAGCTAATTTTTGTATTTTTAGTAGAGGCGGGGTTTCACCATCTTGGCCAGGCTGGTCTCAAACTCCTGACCTCGTGATCGACCCGCCTCGGCCTCCTGCAGTGTTGGGATTACAGGCATGAGCCACCGCAACCAGCCTGTAAATGTTTTTACTTATGTATTGATAATGTGTTTTTAGAGCCAGTACATTACAATAACAGGTTCGTACTGCAGTTAACAGTTTTTTTTTTTTTTTTTTTTTTTTGAGACGGAGTATTGCTCTTGTTACCCAGGCTGGAGTGCAATGGTGTGATCTCGACTCACCGCAACCTCTGCCTCCCTAGTTAAAGTGATTCTCCTGCCTCAGCCTCCTGAGTAGCTGGTATTACAGGCATGCACCACCACGCCTGGCTAATTTTGTATTTTTAGTAGAGATAGGGTTTCACCATGTTGGTCAGGCTGGTCTCAAACTCCCGACCTCAGGTGATCCACCCGCCTCGGCCTCCCAAAGTGCTGGGATTACAGGAGGGACCCACTGAGCCTGGCCTCCAGTTTTTTTTTGTTTTGTTTTTTTGAGATGAAGTCTGGCTCTGTCGCCCAGACTGCAGTGTAGTGGCGTGATCTCGGCTCACTGCAAACTCCGCCTCCTGGGTTCACGCCATTCTTCGCCTCAGCCTCCTGAGTAGCTGGGACTACAGGCTCCCGTCACCAAACCTGGCTAATTTTGTTTTTGTGTCTTTAGTAGAGACAGGGTTTCACCGTGTTAGCCAGGATGGTCTCGATCTCCTGACCTTGTAATCCGCCCGCCTCGGCCTCCCAAAGTGCTGGGATTACAGGCGTGAGCCACCGTGCCCGGCCCGGTTTCTTTAAACAATTAATTTTGGCTCACGTGGTGGCTCACACCTGTAATCCCAGCAGTATGGGAGGCCGAGGCGGGCGGATTAATGAGGTTGGGAATTGGAGACGAGCCTAGCCAACATAGTGAAACCCCATCTCTACTAAAAATACAAAAAATTAACTGGGCGTAGTGACGCGTGCCTGTAATCCCAGCTACTTGGGAGGCTGAGGCAGGAGAATCGCTTGAACCTGAGAGGCGGAGGTTGCAGTGAGCTGAGATGGCGCCGTTGCACTTCAGTCCAGGCGGCAGTGTAAGACACCATTGCAAAAAAATAAAACAAAAAAAAATTAATTTTGGAAGACAAATAAATTAGAAAATGATTTCTTGGCATTGCCTGCTTCCAGGTTGCCCACCGTTTCTCACTTTATTGAATGCAGACCAGTGGCTGGTTGCTCAGGAGAATGGTGGCTGCCTGCAGGCTGTTAGTGAGGTTCCACTTGGTGGCCTGCGGACTGAGCACAGCTGTGACTGCACCTGCCCACCAGGTGCATGGCAGAATGTTGGGAAATCCCTGCCTAATTTTATCACAACCATCAATGTGAGTCAACAGGGGCAGGCTTATCTCTGAAGTAATTAGAAAAACAATGTAATTGAAAGAGCCTGCTGCAGTTCTCAATTTATTGTGCTCCTTTGTAAAAAGATGATAAAGTTCTTGGTCAGAATATATTTCTTTATCTTGCTCCTTTTGTGTCATGGGAAACGTAACAAATACCAATGTATAACTCTGGGTTCAGGTGTTGCCACCAGTTTTATTGTGAGCTGCTTGGATCATCAAATTCTCATTTTTATCTCATGTTTTTCCCTTTGCATCTATTCTCCCCGTTTAAAAGGCAATTTTTTTTGTGCTGCATCTTAAAATAAGGCATTTTAAACAGCAAGTCTTTGGTTTTAGATTTTGTCTCATGTGTTAAGAGAAAGCTATGGTTTTGTTTTGTGTTTAAGGCTCTGCTTTGCAGGATCAAGCCTCAAGGCTGGGGGTTCCCGTGGGTATTCTCTCAGCCGGGATGGTTGCCTCTAGCGTGGGACAGATCTGCACGGCTCCAGCGGAGACCAGTCACCCTGTGCTGCTGACTGTGGAGCAGAGAGTAAGACACCAGCAAAGATGAGGAAACCTGCCCGTTGTTACTTTTAAGCTGGTTGGGAAAATAGGACATAGCTTTAGTATTGTTTCAGGTAATTTGTTTTTTAAAAAATGTAATCTCTCTTTTCAGAAGAAGCTGTCTTCCCTGTTAGAGTTTGCTCAGTATTTATTGGCACACAGTATGTTCTCCCGTCTTTCCTTCTGTCAAGAATTATGGAAAATACAGGTAAATTTGAGATTGCAAATCTGACTCTCCAGTGTTCCAGGCAATGTTCTGTTGATCTGGATGGAGGCAACAGAGTACCTGGGTTTTCTTGGGAATTCTCCAAGCTTCTCATTAATTACAGAGAGTGGATGAAAAAGGGTTTAGAAATCATCTGTGGATTGGAAAGAAGTACCTTCAATTGCCATTTTTTGTCCCTATTCACCTATCATTAGTAATATTTATTAGACTAGAATATATTGAAAAACACGTTTAGCCTTGGGTATATTAGTATGGAGAATTTTCCAGGGTAGTATAGTAAACTATTAAAAAAAAATGTATGTAATTTTTTTTTCCAGAGACAGGGTCTCGCCTTGTTGCCCAGGCTGGTCTTTTTTTTTTTTTTTTGAGACGAAGTCTCGCTCTGTCGCACAGGCTGGAGTGCAGTGGCGTGATCTTGGCTCACTGCAAGCCCCACCTCCCAGGTTCACGCCATTCTCCTGCCTCAGCCTCCCGAGTAGCTGGGACTACAGGTGACTGCCACCACGCCCAGCTAATTTTTTGTATTTTTTAGCAGAGACGGGGTTTCACCGTGTTAGCCAGGATGGTCTCGATCTCCTGACCTCGTGATCTGCCCACCTCGGCCTCCCAAAGTGCTGGGATTACAAGTGTGAGCCACCGCGCCTGGCATTTATTTTTATTTTTGAGACAGAATATTGCTCTGCCGCCCAGGCTGGAGTGCAGTGGCGCAATCTTGGCTCACTGCAACGTCTGCCTCCCAGGTTCAAGCGATTGTCCTGCCTCAGCCACCTTAGTAGCTGGGATTACAGGCGCGTGCCACCATGCCCAGTTAATTTTTGTATCTTTTTTTTTTTTTGAGATGGAGTTTTGCTCTTGTTGCCCAGGCTGGAGTGCAATGGTGCTATCTTGGCTTATCGCAACGTCCGCCTCCCGGGTTCACGCCATTCTCCCGCCTCAGCCTCCCGAGTAGCTGGGATTACAGGCATGCGCCACCATGCCTGGCTAATTTTTTTTGTATTTTTAGTAGAGACGGGGTTTCTCCATGTTGGTCAGGCTGGTCTCAAACTCCTGACCTCAGATGATCTGCCCACCTCGGCCTCCCAAAGTGCCGGGATTACAGGTGTGAGTCACCGCGCCCTGCCCAATTTTTGTATCTTTAGTAGAGATGAGGTTTCACCATGTTGGCCAGGCTGGTCTTCAATTCCTGACCTCAGGTGATCTGCCCATCTTGGCCTCCCAAGTGCTGGGATTACAGGTGTGAGCCACTGCGTCCGGCCTTTCCCATTCTTTTATCCAGCATACATTATAGAATTCATTAGATTTTTCAGTTATTGCTTTGGTCCCTGCCCTCATTATCACGTAGCTTGGGAAACAAGCCACTAAATCCACAAGAAGTGCGATGATTCATGTGCTCACAGATTTGCGAAGAAGATGTTGGACATGCATATCAGATTGGAGAGTTAGGAAAGCCTTCCTGCACGGACTGTGAAGAGTGCGAGTTAGGGGCCGGGCCCAGTGGCTCACACCTGTAATCCCAGCACTTTGGGAGGCCGAGGCAGGTGGATCATGAGGTCAGGAGATCGAGCCCATCCTGGCTAACACGGTGAAACCCCGTCTCTACTAAAAAATAGAAAAAATTAGCCGGGTGTGGTGGCAGGCACCTGTAGTCCCAGCTACTCAGGAGGCTGAGGCAGGAGAATGGCGTGAACCCGGGAGGCAGAGCTTACAGTGACCCGAGATGGCGCCACTGCACTCCAGCCTGGGTGACAGAGCGCGACTCTGTCTCAAAAAAAAAAAAATAGAGTGTGAGTTAGGGGGATGAGAAGGGGAGGCTGCAGGGAGATCAGGGCAGTGTGACAGGCACAGTGTTCACAGTGAGTGGCTAAAGCAGATCCTGTTTTATCAAATGGGAGAGGGTTGAGTGAGAAAGACAAGGGACATGCACAGGGCACACTGAAGCCTGACCTTTGTCCTGGCAGCTTCGAGGAGCCAGTGAAGGCTTCTGAAGGAGAGACTGTCATGTCAGTGTGTGTAATACTGTGTTGGCTGTAGTGTGGAGAAAGGGTTAGAAGTAGGCTACAGTGCGTAGGAAGAGAGAAGGAAGAGAAGCAAGTGTTGGGCAACGGTGTGTGGGTGCCCAAAGGCCAGGGAGTTTGAAAACCAGTACAGCTTTGTAAAAAAAGATGTGTTTCAGGCTCTAAGTTTTTGCTTGAGGTTAATTTTCAATACGGCATGGTTAAGAACCTAAGTTGAACATTTTGTAGGAAAATGCATTCATAAAGGACTCAGAATGCTGGGGGTTTTTTTGTTTTTGTTTTTGTTTGTTTTGTTTTGTTTTTCAGAGTTCTTTGTTGCTTGAAGCGGTGTGGCATCTTCACGTACAAGGCATTGTGAGCCTGCAAGAGCTGCTGGAAAGGTAGCGTGCTAATGATGATTCAGTGTTACTGTTTTTGCAGTCTAGTCTAGTATAAATTATATTTCAAAGCCCAGAATCAGACGGGTTTGATTTCTGGCTTTGACATATAATTTGTACTAGACTAGATTGCATTGCATATTTATACTAGACTAGACCTGGAGGAACTATTGCTTTATTATTTCAAGAGAACGTTTATGGTGTTTTGGTTTTGTTTGCTTTTTGTCTGTTTTTTTTTTGAGACGGAGTCTCGCTCTGTGGCCCAGGTGGGAGTGCAGTGGCACGATTTCAGCTCACTACAACCTCCACCTCCAGGGTTCAAGCAATTCTCCTGCCTCAGCCTCCCAAGTCGCTGGGATTACAGGCGCCCGCCACCACACGCAGCTAATTTTTGTTATGTATTTATTTTTTTTAGGGACAGAGTCTCGTTCTGTCACCCAGGCTGGAGTGCAGTGACGTGATGTCGGCTCACTGCAGGCTCCACCTCCCGGGTTCACGCCATTCTCCTGCCTCAGCTTCCCGAGTAGCTGGGACTACAGGCGTCCGCCACCACGCCTGGCTAATTTTTGTATTTTTAGTAGAGACTGGGTTTCACCATGTTAGCCAGGATGGGCTCCATCTCCTGACTTCAGGATCTGCCCGCCTCTGCCTCCCAAAGCGCTGGGATTACAGGCATGAACCACTGTGCCTGGCAATTTTTGTTATTTTTAGTAGAGATGTGGTTTCGCCATGTTAGCCAGGCTGGTGTCAAACTCCTAACCTCAGGTGATTCCCCTGCCTCGGCCTCCCAAAGTGCTGGGATTACAGGCATGAGCCACCTCGCGCGGCCTTTTTTTTTCTTTTTGAGACAGAGACCTGCTATGTCGCCAGGCTGGAGTGCAGTGGTGAGATCTGGGCTCGCTGCAACCTCCGCTTCCCGGATTCAAGCAATTCTGCCCCTGCCTCCTCAGTAGCTGGGACTACAGGCGCGTGCCACCACACCCGGCTAATTTTTGTATGTTTAGTAGAGATGGGGTTTCACCATGTTGGCTAGGCTGGTCTCGAACTCCTGATCTTGTGATCCTCCCGCCTCGGCCTAGAGCAGAATTTCATCTCAAAAAAAAAAAAAAAAAGAAAAACCTGCTTCCTAGGATATACACATCTTATCTCAGCACCAAAATCTATGAAGCAAAAATGGCCAGAATTAAAGGGAGAAGTAGACATTTCAGCAATAATCATTAGAGGTTTCAATACTCCCCTTTCAGTAATGGGTAGAACAAGTTAGATTAAGAATGATATAGAACAGCCGCCCCGTCCGGGAGGGAGGTGGGGGAGTCAGCCCCCCGCCCGGCCAGCCGCCCTGTCCAGGAGGTGAGGGGCGCCTCTGCCCGGCCGCCCATACTGGGAAGTGAGGAGCCCCTCTACCCGGCCACCACCCCGTCTGGGAGGTGTACCCAACAGCTCATTGAGAACGGGCCATGATGACAATGGCGGTTTTATGGAATACAAAGGGGGGAAGGGTGGGGAAAAGATTGCGAAATCAGATGGTTGCTGTGTCTGTGTAGAAAGAAGTAGACACGGGAGACTTTTCATTTTGTTCTGTACTAAGAGAAATTCTTCTGCCTTGGGATCCTGTTGATCTGTGACCTTGCCCCCAACCCTGTGCTCTCTGAAACATGTGCTGTGTCCACTCAGGGTTAAATGGATTAAGGGCGGTGCAAGATATGCTTTGTTAAACAGATGCTTGAAGGCAGCATGCTCGTTAAGAGTCATCACCACTCCCTAATCTCAAGTACCCAGGGACACAAACACTGCAGAAGGCCTCAGGGTCCTCTGCCTAGGAAAACCAGAGACCTTTGTTCACTTGTTTATCTGCTGACCTTCCCTCCACCATTGTCCTATGACCCTGCCAAATCCCCCTCTGCGAGAAACACCCAAGAATGATCAATTAAAAAAAAAAAAAAAAAAAAGAATGATATAGAAGTTGAATGCTGCAAACCAGCTGACCTGACTGACTGTGGAGCACTCTACCCAGTAGTAGCAGAGTGTGTATTCGTAAGTCCAAATGGAACAGTCCCCAGGATACAGCATAAGGTTCAGGCCAAGGCCAGGTGCGGTGGCTCACACCTGTAATCCCAGCACTTTGGGAGGCTGAGGCGGGCAGATCACCTGAGGTCAGGAGTTCAAGACCAGCCTGTCCAACGTGGTGAAACCCTGTCTCTACTAAAATTACAAAAATTAGCTGGGCAAGGTGGCAGGTGCCTGTAATCCCAGCCGTTGTGGAGGCTGAGGCAGGAGAATCGCTTGAACTTGGGAGGCGGAGGTTGTAGTGAGCTGAGATTGTGCCATTGCACTCCAGCCTGGATGACAAGAGCAAAACTGTTTCAAGAGAAAAAAAAAAGGTTCAGGCCATAAAACAAAGAGGAATAAATTTAGAAGGGCTGAAATCATTCAAAATATGTTCTCTAACCACAAATGAATTTAATTAGAATAAACAACAGAAGGGAATTGGGAAAATCCACAATATTTGAAAGTTAACATAATGAGTCAAAGAAGTCACAAGGGAAATTAGAAAATAACTTGAGACTGGGCACAGTGCCACACCAGTCATCCCAGCACTTTGGGAGGGCAAGGTGGGAGATTGTTTTGAGCCCGGGAGTTTGAGTCCAGCCTGGGCAAAGTAGTAAGACCTCCAGCTGGGCGTGGTGGTATGCGCCTGTTGTCCCAACTACTCAGGAGGCTGAGGTGGAAGGATTGCTTGAGCCTGGGAGGTCGAGGGTGCAGTGACTGATTGCGCCACTGCACTCCAGCCTCAGTGACAGCAAAAAACTGTCTCAAAAAAAAAATTGGGACATATGGCTCAACTCAATCCCCTGATGATGGGATTTAGTTGAGCCTTACGTCTGCCTCTGTGTGTGTCTCCAGCCATCCCGACATGCATGCTGTGGGATCGTGGCTCTTCAGGAATCTGTGCTGCCTTTGTGAACAGATGGAAGCATCCTGCCAGCATGCTGACGTCGCCAGGGCCATGCTTTCTGGTGCGTTCATGACAAGATGCGGGTTCTTGGGTAAAACTCATTTTGATCTGTGATAATGCCTTCTGCTCTCAAGAGCTCTGCGAGGCAGAACAGCCTGTCTCTCCGTGGCCGTGGGAACCTGGCATGACAGACTCCCAGTCTCAGCCTGTTGTGGGGTTGCATTTTACTTGACTGATGTGGAAATACTAGTAAGTCGGCCTTGACATGAGTTTAAGTGTTTCCATTCACCTTTCCCATAGAGTGACCGCAGCTGCTTCCTTCTGTCGCCCAGGCTGGAGTACAGTGGCGCGATCTCAGCTCACTGCAACCTCCGCCTCCTGGGTTCAAGTGATTCTCTGCCTCAACCTCCTTAGTAGCTGGGACTGCAGGCACGTGGCACCATGCCCGGCTAATTTTTTTTTTGTATTTTTAGTAGAGACGGGGTTTCATTAGGTTGGCCAGGCTGCTCTTGAACTCCTGACCTCGTGATGCACCCCCCTCGGCCTCCCAAAGTGCTGGGATTATAGGCGTGAGCCACTATGCCTGGCCTTCCTGAGGAATGATATTATGAGAAAAACTTGGGACTGTAATGTCCCCCCACAAACTAAGAAGGTGCTGAGAGACCAGAGGATGGCTCAGACTAGGGACCAACCCAGTTTGAGGAGTAGTTGGGTTTGTCAGAAGATGGCTTGGACCAGAGTCCAGCTTGAGGAGTAGTTGGGCTTGTCAGAGGATGGCTCGGACCAGAGTCCAGCTTGAGGAGTAGTTGGGCTTGTCAGAGAATGGCTTGGACCAATCCAGCTTGAGGAGTAGTTGGGTTTGTCAGGACTTATATTCAGCGCACTCCTGGACGGCGGCAGGACAGCTCTAGAGAACCGCCCCACCACCTGTCTCTAAGGTGCATTGAAGCTCGTTTTCTGGCTCTTTGCCTGCTGTGTTTGAGTGATGAGACTCTTTTCCTTGGTGAGTTCTCAGATCCTCTCTGGGATATTTGGGTTCTGAGGAACACCTGCTGGGAGACCCATCCCACTACAAGTGACACCTACAAATAAAAATTAGATGAGAAACTGATCTGTACAGTAGCTTGTGGGTTTTTTCCTTTTTCCTAAAGCTTTTTGGTGGCATGAGCGACTTAGCATTCCTGAGCTACTATAACCTGGTACCAGATAGGTTAAATTTAAATCAAAGTTAGAAAATCTTGTGGATTTCAGTCCTCTTGGTCTTATTTTTTAAAAAGCTAAGAATGCCTTTCCTCCCCCATCACATTCCTCAGAATAGGATGCTTCTGGGTCCCTCTAGACCCTCTGGTATTGGAGATTGGCAGGCAAGACAATCCATAAGACCTCCCTTGGAAACCACTTTTATTTAAGAGAAAAAAATTGGGCTGGGTGGGGTGACTCATGCCAGTAATCCCAGCACTTTGGGAGGCCAAGGCAGGTGGATCATGAGGTCAGGAGTTCAAGACCAACCTGGCCAAGATGGTGAAACCCCATCTCTACTAAAAATACAAAAATTAGCTGGGTGTGGTGGCGGCGCCTATATTCCCAGCTACTGGTGAGGCTGAGGCAGAGAATTGCTTGAACCTGGGAGGCGGAGGTTGCAGTGAGCGAGATCATACCATTGCACTCAAGCCCAGGCGACAGAGCAAGCCTCCGTCTCACAAAAAAAAAAAAAAAGAAAAAAATCTGACTATAAACTTGTTCCCTTTCAAATAGAAGTGCAAGAGGAAAAAATCTGGTTCATCTAAGGGTCCTGATTGGGTTTGGTGAACGCTAGTGTAGCTGTGGTCAGGTGAGCAGTAACTTCTGCAGCGTTCCTCAGGTTAGGAGCAGCTCACAGGGGTCCTGGTGGGCCCAAGCCATATGCTCACCCGCCCCTCTGAAGTGGATGGTCTGTGCCATTCACAGTTGCTTGGAGACCATGATGTCCATAAATAACTTTGGTTTTATGGTTTTTCAGATTTTGTTCAAATGTTTGTTTTGAGGGGATTTCAGAAAAACTCAGATCTGAGAAGAACTGTGGAGCCTGAAAAAATGCCGCAGGTAGGAGGAAAAGTCAAGTGAAGAGTTTAGCGGAAGGAGCCGTCCTTATTCCAAGTGTTGAAATGTATTTACGTGTCTCTCTATTGAAACGTGCTGTTTGTACCTATTTACGGGGTACATGTGATACTTGTTTTGTGCATAGAGTGTAATGATCAAGTCAGGGTGTTTAGAGTCTCCGTCACCTCCAGTATGTATCATTTCTGTGTGTTGGCAACATTTCACATGTTGCAGTTACTTTGAAATATACAATCTGTTGTTAACTATAGCCGCCTCACTCTGCTGTGGAACATTAGAACTTACTTCTTCTGTCTAGCTGTATGTTTGTACCCATTAACCAACTCTCTTCGTTCCCCCACTGCATATACCCTTCTCATCTCTGGTATCTCTCGTTCTACTCTCTACCTCCACAAGAGCCACTTTTTAGCTCCCACATATTTGTGATAACATGCAATATTTGTCCTTCTGTGCCTGGCTTATTTCACTTAACATAATGGCCTTCAGTTGCATTCCTGTTGCTGTGAATGACAGGATTTCACTTTAAAAAAAAAGAATAGCTGGCCGGGCATGGTGGCTCATGCCTGTAATCCCAGCACTTTGGGAGGACGAGGCGGGCGGATCACAAGGTCAGGAGATCGAGACCATCCTGGCTAACATGGTAAAATCCCGTCTCTACTAAAAAAATAGAAAAAATTAGCCGGGCCTGGTGGCAGGCACCTGTGGACCCAGCCACTCAGGAGGCTGAGGCAGGAGAATGGCGTGAAACCTGGAGGCGGAGCTTGCAGTGAGCCCAGATCGTGTCACTGTATTCCAGCCTAGGCGACAGAGACTCCATCTCAGAAAAAGAAAAAAATAGCTGAGGTTGGGCTCAATGGCTCATGCCTATAATCCAGCACTTTGGGAGGCTGAGACTGGTGGATCCCCTGAGGTCAGGAGTTCAAGACCAGCCTGACCAACATGGTGAAACCCTGTCTCTAGTAAAAAAAAAAAAAAAATAGCCGGGCGTGGTGGCACATGCCTGTAGTCCCAGCTACAGGCGTGGAGGCAGGAGAATTGCTTGAACCCAGGAGGCGGAGGTTGCAGTGAGCCAAGATTGCGCCTTGCACTCTAGCCTGGGTGACAGAGCGAGACTCCGTTAAAGCTGACCAGTATTCCGTTGTGTGTATATACCACGTTTTCTGTATCCGGTCATCTCTTGTTGGGCACACAGGTTGATTTCATATCTTGGCTATTGTTAATAGTGCCACAATAAATGTAGGAGTACAGATGTCTCTTCAGCTGGCTGATTTCCTTTCCTTTGGCTGTAAGCCCAGTAATGGGATTGCTGGATCATATGGCAGTTCTGGTTTTTTTTTTGTTTTTTTGTGTTTTTTTGAGACGGTGTCTCTCTCTGTTGCTCAGGCTAGAGTGCAGTGGCGCGATTTCGGCTCACTGCAACCTCTGCCTCCCAGGTTCAACCGATTCTCCTGCCTCAGCCTCCCGAATAGCTGGGATTACAGGCATGCACCACCATGCCCAGCTAATTTTTGTATTTTTAGTAGAGGTGAGGTTTCACTCTGTTGGCTAGGATGGTCTCGATCTCTTGACCTCATGATCTGCCTGCCTTGGCCTCCTGAAGTGCTGGGATTACAGATGTGATCCACCATGCCTGGTGAAAGTGAGACCCTCTGGGCTGGTAGTTCTGTTTTTAGAACTACCCAACTATTTAGAAATCTCCATACTATTTTCCATAATGGCTGTATTAATTTACATTCTCACTGATAGCATATAAGAGTTCTGTTTGCATTCTCACCAGCATTTGTTATTTTTTGTTTTCTTGATAATGATAATTCTAACTGGAGTGAAATAATAGCTCATTGTGGCTTTGACTTGTATTTCCCTGATGATTAGTGACATTGGCTTTTTTTTTTTTTTTTTTGAGACAGAGTCTTGCTCTGTCGCCCGGGCTGGAGTGCAGTGGCGCGATCTCGGCTCACTGCAAGCTCCGCCTCCGGGGTTCACGCCATTCTCCTGCCTCAGCCTCCTGAATAGCTGGGACTACAGGCGCCCACCACCACTCCCGGCTAGTTTTTCTATTTTTAGTAGAGATGGGCTTTCACAGTGTTGGTCAGGCTGGTCTCGAACTTCTGATCTCATGACCCGCCCACCTTGGCCTCTCAAAGTGTTGGGATTATAGGCGTGGGCTACCGTGCCTGGCCTTTTTTTTTCTTTTTTCTTTTTTTTTTTTTTGAGATGGAGTCTTGCTCTGTCTCCCAGGCTGGAGTGCAGTGGTGCCATCTTGGTTCACTGCAAGCTCCGCCTACCGGGTTCAAGCTATTCTCCTGCCTCAGTCTCCCGAGTAGCTGGGACTATAGACACCCGCCACCGCACCTAGCTAATTTTTTTGTATTTTTAGTAGAGACAGGGTTTCACCTTGTTGGTCAGGCTGGTCTAGAACTCCTGACCTCAGGTGATCCACCCACCTCGACTTCCGAAAGTGCTGGGATTACAGGCGTGGGCCACAGTTCCCGGCCTGTTTCTGGGTTCTCTATCCTGTTCCGTTGGTCTGTGTGTATGTTTATATCAACCTCATGCTGTTTTCATTTCTGTAGCCTCGTAGTATATTTTGACCTCAGGCAGTGTGATTTCTATATTCTATAGCTTTGTTCTTTTTCCTCAGGATTGCTTTGCTTATCTGTGTTCTATTTTGGTTCCATGTGAATTTTAGAATCTTTTTTTCTATTTCTGGGAAGAACGTTATTGGTATTTTGATAGGGATTGCATTGAATCTGTAGATAGTTTTGGATACGTCCCAAATTTTTATTCCCTTTTGGAGGTTCCTGAGCCAGTGGCTCCCATTTTGCCTACACTGCAGTCTGTGGGCTTTGTTTGAGGAAGTCTGTTTTATTGTTACCATGAGTTGCTCTCTGAGTAGTGGTATGCTTTAAGCCCAGGAGATGTGAAGAAGGGAAATGGACAATGGTACCTTCTCACCGTCTTCTGGCTCCAGAGGCATCAAGGGTGAAAGTCCTTAGTTCCACAGCCCAGATTCAAGGCCTGAGCTTTCCTCTCTTCACTGAAGTACTTCAGCAAAACTCTGCGTGCAAAAGTGTCCTGCCCAGCCCTAGGCTCATGGCCTCAGGCCATGCTGAGAGCAGTCTTAGGGTAATTCCAGAAAGTTCAGCCTTTTCACTCTGTCTAGGTCCCTTCGGTACTGGAGTAATTTCTAGGTCTATGAGGGTTTTTAAAGTTGATCTCTTTGTAAAGTCCATTTCTTTTTCTTTTTTCCGAGACGGAGTCTGGCTCTTTCGCCCGGGCCGGACTGCAGTGGCACTATCTCAGCTCACTGGAAGCTCTGCCTCCCGGGTTCACGCCATTCTCCTGCCTCAGCCTCCCGAGTAGCTGAGACTACAGGGCGTCCGCCACTGCGCCCGGCTAATTTTTTGTATTTTTAGTAGAGACGGGGTTTCACCATGTTAGCCAGGATGGTCTCGATCTCCTGACCTCGTGATCCGCCCGCCTCGGCCTCCTGAAGTGCCGTTTCTTTACTTTAGAGTAACAAGTAATAATTCTCTTGTGTGATGCAGGTATCACACAAATTACAGAAGATTACCAAGATGGTAACTCACATTCTATTTTGACAGGTCACGGTTGATGTACTGCAGAGAATGCTGATTTGTAAGTTAATTGCACTGCAGCCCAGACTGTAAATGACTTAGTTTGCTTATTAGCAATTGTATCAGTTTTCTGCCTTTCCATTTGAGGTATTTCTCCTCTGTATGTTTCACTGTGCAGAGTCCTGGTACTGGAATGCCCTTGTTTTGGCATTTTCAGAGCTGTGAAGGGATACCTCATGAATCTGTGGGTCACAGGGAAGCATTTTCTTGTCTGTGTGTTTTGATTAAGGCCTACAGATTGTAGAAGTCTTGATGGATGTGGGCCCTCTGGGGGGTTGAAGTGGATCTGTTGTCTGAAAGCGCCTGGGGATTGTTTCTGGTGGGCTGCCGCCGTGTGCTGACATCTGTTTTCTGTTCCTGGCTCTGTCTTCAGTTGCACTTGACGCTTTGGCTGCTGGAGTACAGGAGGAGTCCTCCACTCACAAGATCGTGAGGTGCTGGTATGTTCCTGAGGGTGGCCTGCCTGAGTGTGCAGCAGGGAGGTGTCTGCCAAATTAAAGAGCCAAGATATTTTAAACACTTCCAGAGCTTCAGCAGCCCGCTCCTGAGCACACTTCCTCTGCCAGTTACGATAACGTGCGTGAGGAGGAGGCGACCATGGGAAAGCCCGGGGAACGCTCTGGTCAGCCTTTTCCTGTGAGGATGAGGTCGGAAGGTGCGCCCACTGCAGTATCCTGTTCCGCCTCTGGAAGTCCTGCACCAATGTTTGTCCCACTCACTGTGACCTCCTCCTGTGTGGAGTCTCCCCTTGCTCCTCCTTCCCTGGGTGTGATTCAGGCTCTAGAGCTGGCCCTGCCTCTCAGCCCCCCACATTTCTAGAACACACTGTAGCTGTGCCTCTACAGACTCCCGCTGCCTGGCCTCCACAGATCCTGCTCAGATTCACCAGTAGGCAAAGCTTGGCCCTATTAGCTTTTTCTCTCCATGGCTCTGTGGAGATGTGCGGAGACCCTTACAGGTCGGGAGGCGGAAGCTGAGGAGTGGGGGCTGGGTGGAAGGTGGACATCGGGGTTTGGTGGAAATGGGGCTCTGGGGTTTGCTTCCCTCTAGTGTGGGCAGGGGACCTTGAAGTGAAGTCTTGAGAAACCAGTAGAATTTGCCACTGTTTCCAGGCCTTGTCAACCTTTTCATTCTTTATTTTGCTCCTCATTTCCCATCCCTCACAGTAACTGTTTAACTGCTCAATTAAATGTGTTGTACCGTTCGGTACTTTTACTGAAACAGTGAATAAAGCACTGTGTGATTTCCTGAATGTTTACATGTGCATCAGTTAGCTTGGGCTGCTGTAACAAAGTGCCAGAGACTGCGGTGTGGACGGCAGATGTGTTCTCACAGCAGTGGAGGCTGGAAGTTGGAGGTCAGGGTGCCCCTAGGGTTGGGTTCTGGTGAGGACCCTCTTCCTGGCTTGCAGGAGACCTACTTTTTCTGTGTCTTCATGAGGTAGAGAGGGGAGAGCAAGCCCTCTGGTGTCTTCTCCGGGCAGTCATCTCATCATCACCTCAGCCTTATCAACACCCCACCTTGAGAGGCTGGGCTTCAACAGAGGAACTTTGTGGGGATACAGTTTAGTCTGTGGCAAGGGCTTTTTTTTATAATCTGTGTGATAAGATTACTCACACTGATGTCCTGAGAGTCAGGTAACAACCACTGACCTGCCGATTTTTATATTTTGTAATTAGTTGCCAATTATTTATTTATTTATTTATTTTTGAGACAGAGTTTTATTCTTGTTGCCCAGGCTGGAGTGCAGTGGTGAGATCTCTGCTCACTGCAACCTCTGCCTCCCAGGTTCAATCAATTCTTCTGCCTCAGCCTCCTGAGTAGCTGGGATTACAGGCATGCACCACCACACCTGGCACAAGCCTATAGTTTTGTATTTTCTATTTTTAAGTAGACATGGGGTTTCACTATATTGGTCAGGCTGGTCTCGAACTCCTGACCTCAAGTGATAACACCCACCTCAGCCTCCCAAAGTACTGGGATTACAGGCGTGAGCCACCGCACCTGGCCTGCCAATAATTTAAAATCAGACATCCTCCAACAGTCTTGGTGGCCAGCTTCCCTTGCACACTGGGGGCTGTGGTGTCCCAAAGCCCTGCCCTGTGAGGAAGGACAGCAGGGCTGAGAAGTGAATCTCCACGATGTCCCACACCCTGTTGTGTGAGTGTCTTGAGTTTGCACAGAGCCGACGTGGCCTCGTTGGGTGTGTGACCCTGGGGCAGTTCACTGAACCGCCAGGACCCTTGATTTTCTTTCTTTCTTTCTTTATTTTTTTGAGACAGAGTCTCACTGTGTCGCCCAGGCTGGAGTGCAGTGGCACGATCTCGGTTTACTACAACCTATGCCTCCTGGGTTCAAGCGATTCTCCTGCCTCAGCCTCCCACATAGCTGGGACTATAGGTGTGTGCCACCATGCCTGGCTAATTTTTTTTATTTTTCTTTTTTTGAGACAGAATTTCGCTCTGTCGCCCATGCTGGAGTGCAGTGGTGCGATCTCTGCTCACTGCAAGCTCCGCTCCCTGGGTTCACACCATTCTCCTGCCTCAGTCTCCCGAGTAGCTGGAACTACAGGTGCCCACCACCATGCCCGGCTAATTTTTTCTATTTTTTTAGTAGAGATGGGGTTTCGTTGGGTTGGCCGGGATGGTCTCGAGCTCCTGACCTTGTCATCTGCCCCCCTTGGCCTCCCAAAGTGCTGGGATTACAGGTGTGAGCCAATGCGCCTGGCCTAATATTTTGGTATTTTTAGTGTAGATGGGGTTTCACCATGTTAGCCAGGGTAGTCTTGATCTCCTGACCTTGTGATCTGCCCGCCTCAGCCTCCCAGAGTGCTGGGATTACAGGCATGAGCCACCGTGCCCGGCTGGACCCTTGATTTTCTTACCTGGGGAATCGGCATAAAGTGCCGCTTGCTGGTTGCAGGTTGTAAGCCTCACGAGAGGGTCTGGGTTTGGTTTGGTGGTCTGTATAGGCCTGCTGGGATGTGGCAGGCTAACAGACCTCAAGTGCTCTTGCCACCTGGCTCTGTGACCCCATTCACCCCCAGAACATCGTGTTCTCTCACACAGATGGCCCAGGAAACCTTAGTCCCTTCCATTCCTTCCTCATCTTCATGGACAGAGCTGGCCTCAGTCCCTGTTGTGACTGTTTGAGGCCCTGGTGTGCTGGGCTCTTCTCTCAGGCTTGGCACGACCCTCTGGGGGAGTTCCGTGTCACAGAGGGTGCCGCTGAGGCCCCGTCGGGTTGGCTCCCGGGGCTCCACTCCCGGGTGCGGCGCGGCCTGCCCTTCCCAACCTGTTTCCTTCTGCTCCACTCCCGGGTGTGGCGCGGCCTGCCCTTCCCCACCTGTTTCCTTCTGCTCCTTCGCTTCTCTGCTCCGTGGGTTTCGCCGTTGCCTTGCCCCCTTTCTCGTTGAACTGCCACCTCCTTGGATTCAGTTTCAAGTCTGTGGTTATAGTGGCCTGGCCAAGAAAGCCCCTTCCTTGCTTAAAGAAGGGATGAGCCTGAGCCACAGTTTGTGCTGGGATTGGTGGGTGGCGTGCAAGGCACCCTCCCTTTCCTGACCCCTCTTTCTGCTGCATTGGCAGGTTCGGAGTGTTCAGTGGACACACGCTTGGCAGTGTAATTTCCACAGATCCTCTGAAGAGGTTCTTCAGTCATACCCTGACTCAGATACTCACTCACAGCCCTGTGCTGAAAGGTAGGCCCAGTGTGGAGGCTGCTCAGTTGCTACCCATTTTGGGGATTGCTGTTGCCTTGTTGCCTTGGTAACGCTGACTGGAGATGCCAGGAATTCTAGGACCTCTTTTACGTCTGTCTTGAACCAGAGACTGGGTCCTCAGATGCCTGAGATTGTTACTAAATATCCTTTTACCTGAAAGCAACAGATTTTTATAAGAAAATTCAGAATTATGAGTGGACAAAATAATTGTCATTAAAATAGAAATATCTTTTTTGTTTGTTTGTTTGAGTCAGAGTCTCACTCACTTGCCCATGCTGGAGTGCAGTGGCGTGATCTCAGCTCACTGCAACCTCTGCCTCCCAGGTTCAAGCAATTCTCGTGTCTCAGCCTCTCAAGTAGCTGGGACTACAGGCGCCAACCACCACACCCGGTTAATTTTTTGTATTTTTAGTAGAGACTGGGTTTCACCATGTTGGCCAGGCTGGCCTCGAACTCCTGACCTTCGGTGCTCCACCTGCCTTGGCTTCCCAGAGTGTCGAAGTGTTGGGATTACAGGTGTGAGCCACCGCACCCAGCGTAAAATAGAAATATCTTTATTTTATTTATTTATTTATTTATTTATTTATTTATTTATTTATTGGAGATGGAGTCTTGCTCTGTTGCCAGGTTGGAGTACAGTGGCGTGATTTGGGCTCACTGCAACCTCCACCTCCCGGGTTCAAACCATTCTCCTGCCTCAGCCTCCACAGTAGCTGGGATTACGGGCATGTGCCACCATGCCCGGCTAATTTTTGTATTTTTAGTAGAGACGGGCTTTCACCATGTTGGCCAGGCTGGTCTCGAACTCCTAATCTCAGGTAATCCGCCCGTCTCGGCCTCCCAAAATACTGGGATTACAGGCGTGTGCCGCTGTGCCCAGCCGCTGTCTAGTCTTTTAAAACTTGGTGTTTGAGCATGCACATTCTCCTTCTGGAATACCTGATCACCCAGCACAACTCACGTTATCTTTCTGCTGGCTACCCTTGCC
This sequence comes from Homo sapiens, assembly GCF_000001405.40. NCBI lineage: Eukaryota > Metazoa > Chordata > Mammalia > Primates > Hominidae > Homo > Homo sapiens. The sequence continues at coordinate 89,794,896 of NC_000016.10, read as the reverse complement.
TTGCTGTGACTGTGTCATGGTTCTCAGCTAGACTCGGTGGCGTGTTTGATGGCCCAGGCATCGTCTGCCCAGTGGGTGTCCTGTTACCCATGTATGACAGACTGTACCCAAGATATCAGTCTTACGAATAAGGCCACGATGAACACTTTGAGCTTTTTCTGTATCTAGCATATCCCCAGGGTAGATGCTCAGGCAGGAAACTGGTGGGAGATGAGGGATACACAGATGGCTCCCAACAGGTGCTGTGAGGTGCTCAGGAGTTTATCATCACTTGACTGAGCTGAGCTTCCTTTGAACAGCATCCCCACCATGATTGGTTTATTCCCAGTTTATCTTATTTTATGTATTTATTTATTTTTTTGAGACAGAGTCTTACTCTGTTGCCCAGGCTGGAGTGTGGTGGTGCGATCTCAGCTCACTGCAACCTCTGCCGCCTGGGTTCAAGCTATTCCCTGCCAAGCTTGAATTACAGGCGCCTGCCACCATGCCCAGCTACTTTTTGTATTTTGAGTAGAGACAGGGTTTCACCATCTTGGCCAGGCTGGTCTAGAACTCCTGACCTTGTGATCCACCCACTTCGGCCTCCCAAAGTGGTGGGATTACAGGCGTGAGCCACCTAGCCTGACCTTACTGACAGTTTAAAAGCAGGAAAATTGAAATGCAGTTGGTACATTGGAAAATATTTATTGTGAATATGACAAAGCATTACAAGTAAGTAACCGGGCCTGAGAAACAGAATTGATGATATAGCAAATAGGCAACAAACAGGGAGATGGTGAACTTTAATAACTGAAAAAGTACATATTAAGATCTGTCTTCACACTGAAGCTTTGAAACACAACTTTTTGGCCAGGAGCAGTGGCTCACGCCTGTAATCCCAGCATTTTGGGAGGCTGAGACGGGCAGGTCACGAGGTCAGAAGTTCGAGACCAGCCTGGCCAAAAGAGTGAAACCCCATCTCTACTAAAAAATACAAAAATTAGCCGGGCGTGGTGGTGGGCGCCTGTAGTCCCAGCTACTCGGGAGGCTGAGGCAGGAGAATCGCTTGAACCCGAGAGGCAGAGCTTGCAGTGAGCCGAGATTGTACCACTGCACTCCAGCCTGGGTGACAGAGTGAGACTCAGCATCAAAAAAATAAAAATACAAAAAGTATCTGGGTATGGTGGCACACGCCTGTGGTCGCAGCTACTTGGGAGACTGAGGCAGGTGGATTGCTTGAGCCAGGGAGGTCGAGGCTGTGGTGAGCACTGCACTCCAGCCTGGGTGATAGTGAGACCCTGTCCAAAAACAAAACCTGTGGGCGGCAAGCCACCCAGGCACCAAGGCAAGAGACCGAGGACACGAGCTGTTCTAGTATAATAAAATATAAAACAAGAATAGTTATACCAGATATAGATCTTAGATATGATTACATATGAATATCATTAATCATTAGTTGGTAGTAATTACTGTTTATTGCAATATTATAATAATCCTCGCTCTATAATCATAACCTAGGAAAAGCCAGGCCATACAGAGACAGGAGCTGAGGGGACATGGTGAGAAGTGACCATAAGACAAGAGTGTGAGCCTTCTGTTATGCCCGGACAGGGCCACCAGAGGGCTCCTTGGTCTAGCGGTGACGGCAGCGTCTGGGAAGACGCCCGTCACCAAGCGGATCGTGGTCCAGCGGTAGCAAAAGGTGTCAAGGAACACCACTCACTACTTAGACCGGGAAAGGGACTCTCCCTTTCCCCCCGGGAGTTTAGAGAAGACTCTGCTCCTCCACCTCTTGTGGAGGGCCTGACATCAGTCAGGCTCACCCACAGTTATCCGGAGGCCTAACCGTCTCCCTGTGATGCTGTGCTTCAGTGGTCACGCTCCTAGTCCACCTTCATGTTCCATCCTGTACACCTGGCTCTGCCTTCTAGATAGCAGTAGTAAATTAGTGAAAGTACTAAAAGTCTCTGATATGCAGAAATAATGGCATAAGCTGTCTTTGTCTCTATCTCCTCTCCCTCTCTGCCTCGGCTTCCAGGCAGGGAAGGGCCCCCTATCCAGTGGACACGTGACCTTACCTATCATTGGAGATGACTCACACTCTTTACCCTGCCCCTTTTGCTTTGTATCCAATAAATAACAGCACAACCAGACATTCAGGGCCACTACCGGTCTCCGCGCATTGATGGTAGTGGTCCCCCGGGCCCAGCTGTCTTGTCTTTTATCTCTTTGTCTTGTATCTTTCTTTCTACACTCTCTCGTCGCCGCACACGGGGAGAGACCCACCGACCCTGTGGGGCTGGTCCTTAACAAAAACCCACAACTTTTTGATCTCTGACTTGAAGTTTTTGTCTGTTTCTCCCCCTGCAGCATCTGATGCTGTTCAGATGCAGAGAGAGTGGAGCTTTGCGCGGACACACCCTCTGCTCACCTCACTGTACCGCAGGGTGAGTGGATGTGGTATTATACCTGCTTCTGAGCTCGTGGCGGGGGGATTAAGATCTGCCTAGTACTTGTCATGCTGCCTGCCGTGGACGGCACATCGAGAGGTTCAGGGATGTCTGGTGAGATGTGGCTGTCCTCATCAAGGCCACCACTCAGGTCAGGAGACTGAACTTGTCCCTTGGGCCGAGCCCCTCCTCCTTGAGATAGGGAGAATTCTCTCCAAGCAGGTGCTGGCCACTGTGAGGGGAGAGACGCCACGGTGTGAGCTGTCACAGCTCCATGTGTTACCTTTGCAGTGGGAAGTGAGGGGGCTGCGGTGGCCACCGGCTGGGAGGAAGGTGAGGGGTCATCTGTCGCACATTGGTTTGCTTGGATATTGAAGGGAGCGGATGCTTTTATTTCAGCTCTTTGTGATGCTGAGTGCAGAGGAGTTGGTTGGCCATTTGCAAGAAGTTCTGGAAACGCAGGAGGTTCACTGGCAGAGAGTGCTCTCCTTTGTGTCTGCCCTGGTTGTCTGCTTTCCAGAAGCGCAGCAGCTGCTTGAAGGTGAGCTTTTACGCGAGCCCGGTGGTGCTGGTCAAGAGTGTGTGTAGGGGGGTGTCAGCAGAGTCCCAGCTGACTGTGGGTGAGCCTCTCAGTGAAGCCCTTCCCTACCTGCCCGGAACCTGCAGTGCCTCCTGTCGATGGAACATTCTTTGTCAGACGCTTCCATAAGCACTGACTGCTGCTCTGAGAGGCCAGAGTGTCCACTGCTGCTTCATTCAGGTCTCTAGTGGTTTGCACTTGACATGCTGTAATTGCTGTGTAGTCTTTTAAAACTTGGTGTTTGGGTGTGCACAGTCTCCTTCTGGAATACTTGATCACCCAGCATAACTCACGTCATGTTCCTGCTGGCTGCCCTTGCCTTGCTGTGACTATGTCATGGTTCTTAACTAGACTGGGTGGCGCGTTTGATGGCCCAGGCATTCGAGAGCTGCCAGCTGGACAGCATGGTCACTGCGTTCCTGGTTGTGCGCCAGGCAGCACTGGAGGGCCCCTCTGCGTTCCTGTCATATGCAGACTGGTTCAAGGTAAGTGACCTGCCAATCGGCTACCTAATACCTGATCTTCCCAGAAGGCCTGGGAGTGGGGACCATGCTGTCCCCACCTGATTCTCTGTCATGTGAGTGAGCAACCTTGCTGTCAGCTTTGCCGAGTGGCCTTGGCAGATCTTCCTCTGCGTGTGCCGAGGAGCCTGGGTTCTCCCTGTCGGGGCCTCAGCGGATCTTCCTCTGCATGTTCCGAGGAGCCTGGGTTCTCCCTGTCGGGGCCTCAGCTCCTTCCCCTGGTTTCTGTCTCACTTAGTTGACGGAGCCTCCTGCTGTCTTTTATAAGAAAATTAGCGAAATCAAGCCTGGACACCATAGTGAAACCTCATCTCCACCAAAAAAAAAAAAAAAAAAAAAAAAACACACACACACACACACAAAACAAAAACTACGCAGGTGTGGTGGCAGACACCTGTAGTCCTCGTTACTCGGGAGGCTGAGACGCAAGGATTACTTGAGCCTGGGAGATCAAGGCTGCAGTGAGCTGTGATTGCACCACTGTACGCCAGCCTGGGTGACAGAAGGAGACTCCATCCCAAAAAGAAAAAAAAGAAAATGAGTGAAATCAGGAAAGAGGGGACACAGAAGTGGATGCTGCTTTTTGCAGAGTATACAATGTCTCTTATTTTCCCTTTTTTTTTTTTTGAGATGGAGTCTTCCTCTGTCGCCCAGGCTAGAGTGCAGTGGTACAGAAAGCTCACCTTCTCGGCTCACTGCAAACTCCGCTGCCCCGTTTCAAGCTATTCTCCTGCCTCAGCCTCCTGAGTAGCTGGGATTACAGGTGTGCACTACCATACCCAGTTCATTTTTGTATTTTTAGTAGAGACGGGGTTTCACCATGTTGGTCAGGCTGGTCTCTAACTCCTGACCTCATGATCCGCCCGTCTTGTCCTCCCAAAGTGCTGGGATTACAGGCATGAGCCAGCGCACCTGGCCTTTCCTTTTTATTTATTTATTTATTTATTTTATTTATTTACTTATTTATTTTTTTGAGGTGGAGTCTCATTCTATCACTCATACTGGAGTGCACTGGTGCGACCTCGGCTCACTGCAACCTCCTCCTCCTGGGTTCAAGCAATTCTCCTGCCTCCGCCTCCCGAGTAGCTGGGGTTACAGGCGTTCGCCACCACACCTGGCTAATTTTTAGTAGAGACAGGGTTTCATCATGTTGGTCAGGCTGGTCTCAAAATCCTGACCTTAAGTGGTCCGCCTCCCTCGGCCTCCCAAAGTGCAGGGATTACAGGCATGAGCCACCGTGCCCAGCCTTGCGTCTCTAATTTTCACGTAAGTCCTGAAACAAGTACTTCATTTCTTCAGCCGTATCACATATTCTTCCTTTTTCTTTGGAACACACACAGTGTGCTCTCTGACAGAAGTTTATGCAGCTGTTCCTGAACCTAAGTGGGCATTAGACTCGCCTGGAGGGGGCTTTGGAAATAAAGATCCAGGGCCCATTTGAGACTACTGAGTCTGAGCTCCTGAGACCTCAGGGATCCCTGGGCAACCCCTGTGAAAACCCCCAGTTCATGTGGGGAGTTGGGTGTATTTGAGATATCAGCTTTGAAGGACCGCCATGGTTTCTCTTTTAGTGCTTGTGAGTAAAGTTTCCATTTGAAGAGCTAATTTTTGTAGAAGTTTTGGGTTCGGGCCAGGTACAGTGGCTCATGCCTGTAATCTCAGCAGTTTGGGAGGCCTAGGCAGGAGGATTGCTTGAGCCCAGGGGTTCAAGATCAGCCTGGGCAGCACAGTGAGACCCCGGTCTCTACAGAATGTAACAATTAGCTGGGTGTGGTGGTAAGCACCTGTGGTCCTGGCTACTTACCGGCTGAGGCAGGATGATTACTTAAGCCGAGGAGGTTGAGGCTGCATTGAGCTGGGATTGCATTACTACGCTCCAGCCTGGGAGACAGAGCAAGACTCTGTCTCAAAAAAAAAAAAAAAAAAAAAAGTATTGAGTTTTCCTGCCATCACCACCTCGGTGAAGTAGTTGCCTCTTTGTAGGAGTCTCAGCTCCCTGAAATTTTCAAGGGCTGCGGTGCCTGCATCGCCATCGTGGCTGCGGTGCCTGCTCCCCCCCCAGGCCTTCTGAGGAGCTGAGGCTGCACAGGAGGCTGAGCCGCATCTGCTTGTGTTGGGAGAAGGTGGTGACTGGTGCAGTGTCAGTGTCAACTCACTTCTATTCCTTAAAGTTCCTTCTCACCTGCCCTCAGGCTCTCCCCAGCTCTGCCCAGTTAGCCTGGGGCTTCCACTAAACTAAGAGGAGAGGTGTTTGTTCTGTCCTTTTAGTGAGGCGCTGAGAGATTTGTGCCAGAATCCACCTGGTGCTCTTGGGTCAGGAGTTGATGGGTCTCCCCGAGCCGCGGCTCAGGTGTCTCCCTGGGCTGCTTTTTCTTCGGTTCCAGAGGCGACAGTTGGGAGAGGAATACTCTGAAGTGCTGTGTTGGTGGTGGTGTTTTGGTTTTGTTTGCTTTTCTTTTACCTTTTCAAATCAACTTTATCAAAATATAGTTTAAATGAAATAATGAAAGGTATCCAATTTAAGTGTACCATTAAATGAGGTTTTTTGTTTTTTTCTGTTTGTGTTTTCTTTTAAGAGACTGAGTGTTGCCCAGGCTGGAGTGCAGTGGCATGATCATAGCTCACTGCAGCCTTTACCTCCTGGGGTCAAGCAGTCCTCCTGCCTCCGCTTCCAGAGTAACTGGGACTATAGGTGTGTGCCACCACACCCAGCTAATTAAAAAAAATTTTTTTGTAAATACAATGTCATACCGTGTTGCTCAGGCTGGTCTCAGATTCCTGGCCTCATGCGATCCCCGCACCTTAACCCCCGAAGTACTGGAATTACAGGCATGAGCCACCATGTCCAGATAGTTAGATGAGTTTTGATAAATGTATATATGCATATTCAGTGTTTGAACATCTGTTTTTGTTATGTTTTGTTTTGTTTTTGAGATGGAGTCCCCGTCTGTCACCAGGCTGGAGTGCAACTCCCACCTCCTGGGTTCAAGCGATTCTCCTGTTTCAGCCTCCTGAGTAGCTGGGACTACAGGTGCCTGCCACCACACCTGGCTAATTTTTGTAATTTTGGTAGAGATGGGGTCTCACCATGTTGGCCAGGATGGTCTCGATCTCTTGAGTTTGTCATCCGCCCCACTTAGCCTCCCAAAGTGCTGGGATTACAGGCATGAGCCAACGCACTTGGCCTGAACATCTGTTTTAATTTTTACTTTTGAGGGCAAATACCAGCACTGTGGGAGGACGAGGTGGGCCGATTGCTTGAGCCCAGTAGTTCAAGACCACCCTGGGCAACGTGGCAAAACCCTATCTCTACCAAAAATACAAAATTTAGCTGGTATGGTGGCAGGTGCCTGTAATCCCAGCTACTCAGAAGGCCGAGGCAGGAGAATTCCTTGAACCCGGAACGCGCAGGTTGCAGTGAGCCAAGATCAGACCACTGCACTCCAGCCTGGGCAATGGAGCAAGACCCCGTCTCAAAAAAAAAATTTTTTTTTTTTACTTTTAGGAAATGTTAATATAAGTAGACCAAATGATCGTGAATTTGAGCCCTTTGGGGTAATTAATATAATTCTCAGCATATCACATTATGTAGTTAAATGTAATTTGTGGGGTTTTTTTGTTTGTTTTTTTGAGGCAAGGTCTCTGTTCTGTCTCCCAGGCTGGGATGTGGTGGTGTGATCATGGCTCACTGCAGTCTCAACCTTCCAGGCTCAAATGATCCTCCCACCTCAACTTCCCGAGCAGCTGAGTCCGCAGGTGTATGTCACCACACCTGGCTAATTATTAAAAAATTTTTTGTGGACATAGTGTCTCACTATGTTGCCCTGGCTGGTCTTTTTGTTTTTTTAAGATGGAGTTCGCTCTTGTTGCCCAGGCTGGAGTGCAGTGGTGCGACCTTGGCTCACGGTAACCACCTCCCGGGTTCACGCCATTCTCCTGCCACAGCCTCCTGAGTAGCTGGGACTACAGGCGCCTGCCACCACACACGGCTAATTTTTTGTATTTTTAGTAGAGACAGGGTTTCACCGGGTTAGCCAGGATGGTCTCGATCTCCTGAACTCGTGATCTGCCCGCCTCAGCCTCCCAAAGTGTTGGGATCACAGGCGCTAGCCACCGCGCCCGGCCGTCCTGGCTGGTCTTGACCTCCTGGGCTGAAGTGATCTTCCTGCCTCAACCTCCCAAAGTGTTGGAATTACCGGATTGAGCCACTGCACCCAGCCATTAAGTGTAATTTTTTCAAAAATAGCAAACAGAACTGCCTTTTATCTCAGCAACTCTAACAATGGCTGCTGTGACCCCAGGTCTGGCTTGCGCGTGTCACTTAGATGCTTTACAGAAATGCCTTTGGCGACGGGTCTGGACTGTTCCTGCTGCGGCCAGTGATCATCTGGCTCACTGTTAATTGAGTGAACGTTGCCAAGAGACAGGAGCAGTTGTGTTGTGGATGGCTGAATGGAGGGTGATAAGACATGGTGTGCTTGGCGGGAGAATTTCAGGTTGAAACTGGGTGCTGATGTTTTGAGAAGGGAACCCTTGAGTGGTCTCAGGTTTTATTTAAATTTTTAACTGACAAGTATTGAGCTGCTTTCCTGGTATTTGGCACAGACAGTTCATGTCTCTGAGCTTTGTTTTTCCGTGACTCTGTCCCTCTCAGAGACATTTGACAAGCGTTATCAGCATTTTCCGCTTTTTATCTAATGGCTTTTTGGGTCTGTCTGCATGATGATAACATTCAAAAGAATCTACACATGGTCAGGTGTGATAGTTCATGCCTGTAATCCCAGCACTTTGGAAGGCCGAGGCAGGTGGATCACTTGAGGTCAGGAGTTTGAGACCAGCCTGGCCAACATGGCAAAACCTCATCTCTACTAAAAAGACAAAAATTAGCTAGGTCAGACGTGGTGGCTCATGTCTGTAATCCCAGCACTTTGGGAGGCCAAGGTATCACCTGAGGTCAGGAGTTCAAGAGTAGCCTGGCCAACACGATGAAACCCTGTCTCTACTAAAAACACAAAATTAGCCAGGCATGGTGGTGCACACCTGTAATCCCAGCTACTCAGGAGGCTGAGGCAGGAGAATCGTTTGAACCTGGGAGGCGGAGGTTACGGTAAGCCGAGATTACGCCACTGCGCTCCAGCCTGGGTGACAGAGTGAGGCTTTGTCTCAGAAAAAAGGAAAAAAAAAACCGGGCTTGGTGGCACGTGCTTGTAGTCCCAGCTACTTGGGAGGCAGAGGTGGGAGAATCACTTGAACCCGGGAGGCAGAGGTTGCAGTGAGCCCTGATTGCACCGTTGCACTCCAGCCTGGATGACAGAGTGAGACTCTCTCTCTCAAAAAAAAAAAAAAAAAAATAGCTGGGAGTGGTAGCAAATGCCTGTAATCTCAGCTACTAGGGAGGCAGGAGAATTGTTCAAACCTGGGTGGGCGGACGTTGCAGTGAGCCAAGATGGCACCACTGCACTCCAGCCTGGGTGACAGAGCAAGACTCTGTCTCCAAAAAAAAAAAAACAAAACACAATTTTGCACGCTTTCAGAAAGACCAAGGTGAGCCTTCAGTTCACGTTGGAGTTCAGGTTTCCTGATAGATGGTAACTTGCTGAGGTTTCACCAGGATGTCCTGTGGTCTCAAGTGGGGCTAGGGTGGCAGGAGCTCGTCTGGTTTTGCAGGTAAGCGGTTCAGTGTTCACAGAGGCCCACATTCTGTCTGCAGGTTCACTATGATGCGTTCAGGGCCATGCCCATTTAAAATCTCCTTCCTTCCCTGACTCACTGCAGCCCCCAGGACTTTGCTGCAGCCCCCTTCGTTCCTGGGAGGGTTTGCTCATGTTCCTCGCTTGCTCTGCTAGGGTCTTGCAGCTTCATTGTCTGAGGGGTGGCCCTCCTTGGCCTGTGTTCCTTACCCACCTCTCTTGCAGTGATCTGTCCACTGGTGGATGAGGTTAGAAGTTAAAGTGTGTTCAGAAGTGGCTTCATCCCACAAAATCAATTTGTTTGCTGTGCACAAACACTTCTTAGGGCATTTAGCAAATTGTACCCCTAAGGATCCCAAAAGGATCCCATAGTTAGTGTTTGTTATAGCTAATGATTTTTAACTGTTTTTCTTCGAATAACTTTTAGATATCTCTTCAGTCAAAGCGCAGTCGTGACATCTGTAAATGTATGAACCACATGACTTTTTGGTGTTTCTCTTTTTTCCTTTTTGTTTAGGAGGCCGACTACAGCAGCCGCCCGGACACTGCCTAGGTGGGCTTCACACTCTTCTCTCCACACAGGACACTGCCTAGGTGGTGCAGCTGCGCCTGGCTGTCCTGGGCTTCACGCTCTTCTCTCCACACAGGACACTGCCTAGGTGGTGCAGCCGCGCCTGGCTGTCCTGGGCTTCACGCTCTTCTCTCCACACAGGCCTCCTTTGGGAGCACACGAGGCTACCATGGCTGCAGCAAGAAGGCCCTGGTCTTCCTGTTTACGTTCTTGTCAGAACTCGTGCCTTTTGAGTCTCCCCGGTACCTGCAGGTGAGAAGCTGGCTGCCACATCCATGATTTCTGGTGCTTCGCTCACCTGCTGCATCTGAGGACTGCCTTGGCCTCCCCAAGAGCCTCCTGCAGATCTGCTCTGAGCCTCTCAGCCAGGCCCTTCCCCTTCCCCTTCCCCTTCCCCAAGCCGTTTATGGTGAAACAACACAAACATTGCAACTGGAGGTGTCCACGTGGACACACAGTGAGTGCGTGTGTGCCAGTCAAGGCAACTGCTAAGAAACCCTTTTCTCACCTAGGCCAAGGAGGTGGGTAGATATATTATGTCACTGTTCAGTCTCCCTCAAAACAGTGAGCAGGTCTGAGTGGTGACGTGGAGAGACGTTCTCAGCACCCAGTTACGCAGGAAGAGCGAGTTGTACTGCAGTGAGGGTTTTAGGATCTCATGTTTGCTTTTTTTTTTTTTTTTTTAATTTCATGTGGGTTTTTTTTTTGTTTTTTTGTTTTTTTGGGTTTTTTTTTTTGAGACAGTCTCACTCTGTTGCCTAGGCTAGAGTGCAGTGTTGCCATCATAGCTCACTGTAGCCTAGACCTCCCAGGTCAAGCAGTTCTCCCACCTCAGCGTCCTGAGTAGTTGGGACTACAGGCGCATGCCAGCAAACCTGGCTGTTTTTTCTTTTTTTCTTTTTTTTAGTACAGATGGGGTCTTGCTGTGTTGCCCAGGCTGGCCTTGAACTGAGCTCAAGTGATCCTTCCGCCTTGGCCTCCCAAAGTTCTGGGATTACAGGTGTGAGCCACTGTGCCCAGCCTGACCCTCATCTTTTAAGAAAATTGGCCGGGCGTGGTGGCTCACACCTGTAACCCAGCACTTTTGGAGGCTGAGGAGGGCAGATCACTTGAGGTCAGGAGTTCGAGACCAGCCTGACCAATGTGGAGAAACCCCCTGTCTACTGAAAATACAAAATTAGCCGGGCGTGGTAGCGCGCGCGTAGTCCTAGCTACTCAGGAGGCTGAGGCAGGAGAGTTGCTTGAACCCGGGAGGCGGAGGTTGCAGTGAGCCGAGACTGCACCATTGCACTCCAGCCTGGGCAATAAGAGCAAAACTCCCTCTCAAAAGAAAAAAACACGCTGTGTCCCCTCTGTCCCCTTTGACCAGGAAGTCAAAGGCATGGAGCTGCAGGCGGCCGGGGCCGGTTCCTGCTGCCGCTGCTAGGATTGCACATCCCTGGTTCCCCCAGTGAGCCGCCCTGGACTTGCAGGACCAGCTACATTAGGGTTTCTTGATTTTTCACCTGGGGAAGCAGCCTTCTATTGTGTTTTTTTTTTGTTGTTTTTTTTTTTGGAAATGAAGTCTCACTGTGTCACCCAGGCTGGAGTGCAGTGGCGCGATCTCGGCTCACTGCAAGGTCCGCCTCCTGGGTTCCCGCCATTCTCCTGCCTCAGTCTCCCGAGTAGCTGGGACTACTGGTGCCCACCACCGCGCCCGGCTAATTTTTTTGTATTTTTAGTAGAGACAGGGTTTCACCATGTTAGCCAGGATGGTCTCCATCTCCTGACCTCGTGATCTGCCCGCCTCAGCCTCCCAAAGTGCTGGGATTACAGGTGTAAGCCGCTGCGCCCGGCTTGTGTTTTAATTTTACTAATGGTTTGCTTTGCATACTCATAAGTCTGACTGTAAAGGGCTGTGTTTCTCTACTCAGCACTGTGGATGTTGGAAGTGAATTGTGGCCTCCCTGGAGTCCCAGGCAGTTCCCAGACTAACGGTGCTGCGCTCTGCTATCTATCCTCAGGTGCACATTCTCCACCCACCCCTGGTTCCCGGCAAGTACCGCTCCCTCCTCACAGACTACATCTCATTGGCCAAGACACGGCTGGCCGACCTCAAGGCAAGCTGTCCCTCCATGCCCACTCCTCACACCTGTCCCAGCAGAAACTGCTTTGTTTTCTTGTTCTCATTCTGTGTCTTCCCTGAAGGTTTCTATAGAAAACATGGGACTCTACGAGGATTTGTCATCAGCTGGGGACATTACTGAGGTAATGTTGCTTGAGCCCTGCAGGGTCTCAGCCAGTCACGCCCACCATGCAAAGGTCCAGTTTCTTTTGACTCTTGAGTTGAGTTTTTCAGCCTTCCCAGTCTCATGTCTGGTCTTGCCTCGGGCGCAGCTGGGGGCGAGGCTCTGCGGGCCTCTGTGTTGCTGTGTCCCACCTTGTGTGTCCCCAGCATTGGCAGGGAAAGGGTTACTGTGTGGCAGAGTGAAGTGCCTCAGGCTGCAGGACATTTGTCCTTTTGGGAGATCTTGGTTCCTGTGGGGTTGAATGGAGAGGTGGTTCGTCATGTTTTTCTCTGAATCACAGAAAAGTGTTAACTTTTTTTTTTTTTTTGGAGATGCAGTCTTGGTCTGTCACCAGGCTTGAGTGCAGTGGCGCAATCTCGGCTCACTGCAACCTCTGCCTCCTGGGTTCACGCCATTCTCCTGCCTCAGCCTCCAGAGTAGCTGGGACTACAGGAGCCGCCACCACGCCTGGCTAATTTTTTTGTATTTTTAATAGAGTCAGGGTTTCGCCATGTTAGCCAGAATGGTCTCAATCTCCTGACCTTGTGATCCGCCCGCCTTGGCCTCTCAAAGTGCTGGGATTACAGGCGCCCGCCACCACGCCTGGCTAATTTTTTAATTTTTTTTAGTAGAGACGAGGTTTCACCGTGTTAGCCAGGATGATCTCGATCTCTTGACCTCGTGATCTGCCCGCCTTGGCCTCCCAAAGTGCTGGGATTATAGGTGTGAGCCACTGCTCCTGGCCAAGTGTTAACTGTTTTTATAGCAGCCAAATGTCAGATGGTCATGTGATATGTGTGGGTCACTAATGAAAACATTCTTTTTTTTTTTTGAGATGGAGTCTCGCTCTGTCGCCCAGGCTGGAGTGCAGTGGCGCAGTCTCGGCTCACTGCAAGCTCTGCCTCCTGGGTTCACGCCATTCTCCTGCCTCAGCCTCCCGAGTAGCCTATAGTGGGCCTACAGATGCCTGCCACCACGCCTGGCTAATTTTTTGTATATTTTTAGTAGAGATGAGGTTTCACCACGTTAGCCAGTATGGTCTCGATCTCCTGACCTCGTGATCCGCCCGTCTCGGCCTCTCAAAGTGCTGGGATTACAGGCGTGAGCCACCATGGCCGGCCTAATGAAAACATTCTTTACTTTTTACTTTTTTTTTTTTTTTTGAGACGGAGTCTCGCTCTGTCGCCCTGGCTGGAGTGCAGTGGTGCGATCTCAGCTTACTGCAAGCTCCGCCTCCCGGGTTCACACCATTCTCCTGCCTCAGCCTCTCCAGTAGCTCAGACTACAGGCACCTGCCACCACACCCAGCTAATTTTTTTGTATTTTTTTAGTAGAGATGGGGTTTCACCATGTTATCCAGGATGGTCTCAATCTCCTGACCTCGTGATCTGCCCGCCTTGGCCTCCCAAAGTCCTGGGATTACAGGCATGAGCCACTGTGCCCAGCGTATTGTTTTTTTTTTTTTTTTTTTTTTTGGAATGGAGTCTCGTTCTATTGCCCAGGCTGGAGTGCAGTGGCGCAGTCTCAGCTCACTGCAAGCTCCGCCTTCCGGGTTCATGCCATTCTCCTGCCTCAGCCTCCCGAGTAGCTGGGACTACAGGCACCCGCCACCACGTCAGGCTAATTTTGTGTGTTTTTAGTAGAGATGGGGTTTCACCGTGTTAGCCAGGATGGTCTCGGTCTCCTGACCTCGTGATCCGTCTGCCTCGGTCTCTCAAAGTGCTGGGATTACAGGCGTGAGCCACTGCGCCTGGCCCTCCATTCTTTACTTTTTAAGACCTTTTTATTTTAAAGTTACGAGTTACTGAAGAACACTTATAGGTGACATTAAAGTGTTAGGTGAAAATATTTAATATAATTTTCCATTTATAATTTATTGCTGTTTATAAATTACTTTTTTTTTTTTTTTGAGGTGGGATGTTGTTCTGTTGACCAGGCTGAAGTATAGTACCGTGATCACAGTTCAGTGCAGCCTCAAACTCCTAGGTTGAAACGATCTTCTCACCTTGACCTCCTGAGTAACTGGGAGTACAAGTGTGCGCCACCATGCCTGGCTGGTTTCTAAAATTTTTTGCAGACATAGGGTCTCCCTGTGTGGCCGAGACTGGTCTTAAACTCCTGGGCTCAAGTGATCCTTCCGCCTTGGCCCCCCAAAATGCTGGGATTACAGATGTGAGCTGCCGCGCCTGGCCTCAGAATGTTTTTTTTTTTTTTTGATGCAGGGACTTCCCCTGTTGCCCAGGCTGCAGTAGGGTAGCATGATGATGGCTTACTGGAGCCATGATTTCCTGGGCACAGGCAATCCTTCCACCTCCACGTCCTGAGTAGCTGGGACCACTGGCTCATGCCTCTACACCTGGCTAATGTTTTTGTATTTTTTTAGAGATGAGATGTCATCATGTTGCCCAGGCCGGGCTTGAACTCCTTGGGCTTAAGCAGTCTGCCCCGCTTAGCCTCTCAAAGCACTGCGTTTATAGACATGAGTCATGGCACCCAGCCCTCGTAATTTCTTTTAATCTCAAAAATTAAGTCTCTACTCCTTCCCACCTAGAAATCTTTACTTTCAACTCTTTCCTGGAGGCAGGAAAGAGGCTCACGGCAGGCTCTCAGCAGAGCTGAGCTCTCGAGGAGGGCCGCACATCACGGGGTCTGAACCTTGTGTGTGTGGAGGTGGCAGTGTCATCCTCCCCTGTCGTGCTGGTATTTTGGGACATTTTGGAGTGCTCCAGGGCCCCTGCTGTGCGCACAGCATGTGGGCCTTTACCTTTAATGTGTACAGAGCCTTTCAACAAGGAAGCACAGGTTGAGTGTGGCCTTCACTGCTCAGTCTTTTCTTTAAAGTCCTCTGTTCTTTTTCCTTTCCTCCCTGTATGGGAACCAGCCCCACAGCCAAGCTCTTCAGGATGTTGAAAAGGCCATCATGGTGTTTGAGCATACGGGGAACATCCCAGTCACCGTCATGGAGGCCAGGTAGGCTGGGCTGCCGAAAAGGCCTCTAGCAGCTGCAGTGTGTGCAGACCGCGCTCTGATGCCTGCAGTATGTGCAGACTCTGCTCTGATGCCTGCAGGGTGTGCAGACTCCGCTCTGATGCCTGCCAGCGTCTGGGGCTCTTTGGAGTGTGTCCCATTTCTGCCCAGAGCCACATGGGGCAGGTTGGCCACTGTCTATTCAGAGAGAGACAGGAGTCAGGGCTGTGAATCGAGGATCCTGCCGTTAAGGGATACGGGGTGAGGTCAAGAGCTGTGCATTTGCTGTGAAACATTTTTTCCTCTGTAAAAGCAGGTGATGCCCCTCCCGTGCTGAAGCAGCCAACAGGAACTGCTGATTGGGGAGCTTGCACTGGGAGGGAAGGCAGTGGGGCCATGATGTTTTTTTTTTTATCAATGCCTTCTTTGTGACCAATATGGAGTCAGTAACAGAGAGCTGAATAGCACAGCTTTATTGAATTTGGTATGATCTCAAAACATCTTGAATTCTGGTGGTTACACATGTGGATGAGCTGATTGCAGCTCCCAGGGTTTTGAAATTTAGCTCCAAGGAAATTGCCCCAAATGGACCTTACATGGTCCTCGTGGCCTCAGATTGATCCAGGCTCCACGTTCAAGCCCAGGGAGCAGGCCGAATGTGGTCCTGATTCCCACGGACTCAGGGCTGGGCTAGCACGGCCTGCCCTACACATGCCTTGTCCCGGAACTGTGCACAAGAAGACTTCATAATGCATCGTGGCTTTGGAGTGAGCCCTCGCAGTCCACTCTCTGAAACACCGGTCACCGTCTGTGGGAATTGCCTTCTCGCTGCTCTGACTGATGCACTGTCTGCTTCTCTGTGTTGCAGCATATTCAGGAGGCCTTACTACGTGTCCCACTTCCTCCCCGCCCTGCTCACACCTCGAGTGGTCAGTATGCGTCTCCATGAGTTTGTGACCAGTTGTGTAGAAAGCAAGGACTTTCCTTGTCAGTCTCTCACAGGTCTCTTCTCTTCCCACAGCTCCCCAAAGTCCCTGACTCCCGTGTGGCGTTTATAGAGTCTCTGAAGAGGTATGCAGCAACGGTTAGAAGGGGATGACTACTTCCAGGTTTCTTCTGACAATGCGAAGAATTGTGGATCTTCTGTAGAGAAATTTGTTAGACCACTATTGTGTTTTATTGGTAAAATATTGGCTCCAAAATTGGTTGGTTACTTTTTTTTTTTTTTTTTTTTTTTTTTTTTTAGTTGGAGTCTCACTCTGTCACCCAGGCTTGGAGTGCAGAGGCGAGATCTTGGCTCACTGCAACCTCCACATCTTAGGTTCAAGCGATTCTCTTGCTTCAGCCTCCTGAGTAGCTGGGATTACAAGCCTGTGCCTGGCTAAGTTTTTTTTTTTTTTTTTTTTTAGATGGAGTCTCGCTCTGTTGCCCAGGCTGGAGTGCAATTGCACAATCTTGGCTCACTGCAAGCTCTGCCTCCTGGGTTGGAGCAATTGTCCTGCCTCAGCCTCCTGAGTAGCTGGGATTATAGGTATGCACCACCACGCCCTGCTAATTTTTGTATTTTTAGTACAGACAGGGTTTTGCCATATTGGCCAGGCGGTTCTCAAACTCCTGAGCTCAGAAGATGATCTACCCACCTCATCCTCACAGAGTGCTGGGATTACAGATGTGAGCCACCGCTCCTGGCCTTTTTTTTTTTTTTTTTTTGAGATGAAGTCTCACTCTGTTGCCCAGGCTGGAGTGCAGTGGTGCGATCTTGGCTCACTGCACCCTCCACCTCCTGGGTTCAAGGAATTCTCCTGCCTCAGCCTCCTGAGTAGCTGGGATTACAGGCGCGCACCACCACGCCCGGCTAATTTTTGTATTTTTAGTAGAGACGGGGTTTCACCATGTTAGTCAGGCTGGTCTTGAACTCCTGGGCTCAAGCGATCTGCCCACCTCGGCCTCCCAAAGTGCTGGGATTATAGGCGTGAGCTACCGCACCCGGCTGCATCATTCTTCAGTGAAAGAAAATGTTTCAGTACATAATGATTGTGCAGAGAGGAGAACTGAAGGAAAATGAAAGAGCTCTGGGAAAGCCTCATGCTGCAGAACTTGAGAGTAGACCTGGAAGTTATTGTTTAGAATAATAAGGTATCCTTGGATCACTTACATTGCAGGTTTCTAGTAAGAAAGTTGGTTGGTATCAACCAACTTTGGAAGAAATAGGAAAGTATAAGTCCTATATTCCAGCAAAATTTATAAAGTTCTGGGACCTGTAAGAAGATAAACACAAAGAGCCTTTTTTTTTTCTTTTTTTGTATTTTTAGTAGAGACAGGGTTTCACTATGTTGGCCAGACTGGTCTCAAACTCCTGATCTTGTGATCCACCCACCTCGGCCTCCCAAAGTGCTGGGATTACAAGCGTGAGCCACCATGCTCTGCAAAAATAATTTTTTAAATCTTAAAATAAGTTTATTCTCTGGGATCCTTACTTTCATTTGTTTTGAGACAGGGTCCCACTCTGTCACCCAGGCTGGAATGCAGCGGTGCAGTCATGGCTTACTACAGCCTTGACCTCCTGGGCTTCAACAGTCCTTCCCTCTCCGCCTCCCAAGTAGCTGGGTCTAGAGGCGTGCTCCACCACACCCAGCCAGCCTTGATCTCCTGGGCTTCAACAATCCTTCCCCCTCCGCCTCCCAAGTAGCAGGGTCTAGAGGCGCGATCCACCACACCTGGCCAGCCTTGACCTCCTGGGTTTCAACAATCCTTCCCCCTCTGCCTCCCAAGTAGCTGGGTCTAGAGGCGCGCTCCACCACACCCAGCCATTTTGTAAATGCTTTGAGGACACGGATTTTCGCTGTGTTGCCCAGGCTTCTCTCTCTCTTGGCCTCAAATAATCCTCCTGCTTCAACTTCCCAAAGTGCTGGGATTACAAATATGAGCCACTGTACCTGGCTTACCCTTTATCATGTTAAGAAAGTTCCCTCTTACTAATTTGCTAAGGATTTTTAGCATGAACTAATGCGTTTTATTTTTTTTTCTTTAATTTATTTTTTGAGTCGGAGTCTCGGTTTGTCAGCCAGTCTGCAGTGCAGTGGCGCAATCTCGGCTCACTGCAAGCTCCACCTTCTGGGTTCATGCCATTCTCCCACCTCAGCCTACCAAGTAGCTGAGACTGCAGGCGCCCGCCACCACGCCCGGCTAATTTTGTTTTTGTATTTTTAGTAGACACAGGGTTTCACTGTGTTAGCCAGGATGGTCTCAATCTCCTGACCTCCTGATCTGCCTGCCTCGGCCTCCCAAAGTGCTGGGATTACAGGCGGGATCCACCGCGCCTGGCCCAATTTTGCATATTTTTAATGACACGAACTAAACGTTTTTCTTAGTATTAATCATTAAAATTAACAAAGATTCATGTTTTGCTGGGCGTGGTGGCTCACGCCTGTAATCCCAGCACTTTGGGAGGCTGAGGCAGGTGAATCACAAGGTCACGAGTTCGAGGCCAGCCTGGTGAACATGGTGAAACTCCGTCTCTACTAAAAATACAAAAAATTAGCTGGGCCTGGTGGCAGGCGCCTGTAATCCCACCTACTCGGGAGGGTGAGGCAGGAGAATTGCTTGAACCTGGGAGGCGGAGGTTGCAGTGAGCCGAGATCGCACCACTGCACTCCAGTGTGGGTGATAGTGGGAGACTCTGTCTCAAAAAAAAAAAAAAAAAAAAAAAAAAGAAAAACAAAGATTCGTGTTTTGAATTTGGAAATTACCAAAAATTGTATGAGAGAAATAGAAATAATTTATAATTTCACTGCCCAGGGATAATCACTGGTGGTATTTTGTGGTCTAGCTCCTTAGATATTAATATATGATTAATATGATATATTTTGAAACAGTGCTTTTTAAATCTATATATATTTTTTAATATTTTTTTGTAAAAACAGGCTCATACTGTACACAGTATTTATAATTTATTTAAATTTAATATGTTTTTATTTTATAATAGATTTGGGGATTGTAATCTTGAATTAATTTAAGCCATAGCTGACTTAATTGTATTGTTTTCCTGTGATCCAGAGCAGATAAAATCCCCCCATCTCTGTACTCCACCTACTGCCAGGCCTGCTCTGCTGCTGAAGAGAAGCCAGAAGGTAAGTTCCTGGGCCGCTTGTCCACTCTGGGACTTGTGCTTTTCCATTTTCCTAACCTTGAGTGTCTGTTGTGCTACACCACCCGAGTGAGCTCGGGGGTGGCTGTGCCAGCTCAAGCCGGTGCTTTGGGTACAGGGTCCGCCCACCATGCTGACGCCCAGTGCCAGCTGTGGCACAGACTCTTACCTGGGGGTCCTGAAGAATCACTTAGCACCTTCCGGAAAGGAGTGTGTGCAGTGCACAGCCCCACTTTGTCACTCGTCATCTTCCTGTGGGCCGCACTGAGGTGTTTGTACAGGCTTCAGACTCGGGTGCTCTCTCAGCGGCCACCTTGGGGCCCACAGCGCTGGCTCGAGCCTGTCGTAGGGAGTGTCATGCAGCACTTTTCTGTTGCACAGTGCAGGTAGGAGTAGAAGTCAGGCTCTTTTGGCCTGTGGGGAGCAGTGGTGCAGCTGTCGGTCAGACCTACGCCCTCATTGGGAATCCGTGAAAGGCTGCACTCAGGCAGCAGTGGGAGATGCCATCATGAGGCTGGTTTTTCTTGAAGTGTGTGGCTTTATCTCCAGTAGAAGCCAGCATCTCCCTGTGGGAGCCGCTATGAGCTGAAGACATAGATCTGAGGCTGCTGCTTCCCTGTGGGCTTTTTTTTTTTGAGACAGAGTCTCGCTCTGTGGCTGTGGACTGCAGTGGCGCGATTTTGGCTCGCTGAAACCTCTGCCCCCTGGGTTCAAGCAGTTCTCCTGCCTCAGCCTCTGTAATAGCTGGGATTATAGGCACGCACTACTACGCCTTGCTAGTTTTTGTATTTTTAGTAGAGATGGGGTTTCGCCATGTTGGACAAGCTGGTCTCGAACTCCTGACCTCAACTGATCCGCCTGCCTCGGCCTTTCAAAGTGCTGGGATTACAGGCATGAGCAACCGTACCCAGCCCCTTGTGTGCTCTTCTAGATCCCCTTCCACCTGCAGGGCCAGGGAGGCTCGTTGAGATTTTTTTTTTTTTTTTTTTTTTTTTGAGACAGAGTCTCGCTCTGTTGCCCAGGCTGGAGTGCAGTGGCGCAATCTCAGCTCGCTGTAAGCTCCGCCTCCCAGGTTCATGCCATTCTCCTGCCTCAGCCTCCCGAGTGGCTGGGACTACAGGCGCCCGCCACCACACCCGGCTAATTTTTTGTGTTTTTAGTAGAGACAGGGTTTCACCGTGTTAGCCAGAATGGTCTCAATCTCCTGACCTCGTGATCCACCCGCCTCGGCCTCCCACAGTGCTGGGATTACAGGTGGGAGCCCCCATGCCCGGCCGACCCACCCTGAGAGCATGACCTCTCAGTTGTGCTGGGGATGCCACAGGGGCCTCAGGGCTGTGTACCCTGCGGTGTGAGGCGTTTGCTTCTCTTGAGAGGTGTCCTCCTTCCCCCAGGATCCTCCTTCCCCTGGGGTCCACTTGTTCGTAGCTTTTGGTGGCTTCCAGAATGGTTTCTAATCATTTGTCTGATGAGGCTTATGCACAGACTCCTAGAGCCTATGATTTCTAGAGCCTGTGATTTCTGGTTTCATTTTGGCTGTGGCTGTGCATAGCAGTGCATTTTCATGCTTGTGTCTTCTCCAGCAACCCCAGAACTTGAAGGTTTTTTACTTTAAAAACATATGCAGCGTATCTTCCTTTTTATATTGAAAGTGGTGGCTGGGCGCAGTGGCTCATGCCCGTAATCCCAGCACTTTGAGAGGCCAAGGCGGGCAAATCATGAGGTCAGGAGATCGAGACCATCTTGGCCAACGTGGTGAAATCCCGTCTCTACTAAAAATACAAAAAATTAGCTGGATGTGGTGGTGCGTGCCTGTAGTCCCAGCTACTCGGGAGGCTGAGGCAGGATGATTTGAACCCGGGAGGCGGAGGTTACAGTGAGCCGAGATCGCACCACTGCACTCCAGCGTGGTGACAGAGCAAGAGTCCATCTCAAAAAAAAAAAAAAAAAAGTTTGAGGAACCAGGGGACTAAATGGTCACCTATCCGTGATCCTGTCCCCACCCTCGCCAGCCCTCGATCCTCCTTGTTTTCTTCCGTGTGTATGCTTCTCACGGTGGTGGAGTGGTATTGATGGTGCACACAGAACCGCTTTTTTTCTTAAACTTGTTTATAAATGTAATTTTTTATGAAACTCGTTTATAATTGTAATTTTCGATGTGGCATCCAGCATCAGGGAAGACACCTCATTTACCTCCTCAGAGACTCCCAGTCCCTCCGTCTGCCACACACAGCAGCTTGGAAGTTCACAGCTCTGTATTTGACTGTGTGAAGTTTCTATTTTTGCAGTGAAGAGTCCTGTTGAGTGTCTTTCCATCTGGTTTCTTCCTTCTTCTCACAGATGCAGCCCTGGGAGTGAGGGCAGAACCCAACTCTGCTGAGGAGCCCCTGGGACAGCTCACAGCTGCACTGGGAGAGCTGAGAGCCTCCATGACAGACCCCAGCCAGCGTGATGGTGAGGATGGATGGGAGCTCATGCTGTGTCTCATGTGTGCAGCCTGTGGTTGGAGCTCTGTGGCTGGGCCATTTTCCCCATAGTGACATCAGGCTGGTGTGTCTTCCTAGTAGTCCAGTAGTTTAAAGATTGACCCCGGGCTGGCGGGTGTGGAACCTTTTTTGAGACAAGGTGGAAGGCTAGTCCTACTGAAGCTGTCACAGACCCTTGGCAGAAGGTGAATATTCGGCTAGTTGCATCTGAGTAGGACGAATGATGATAGAGAAGAAAACGCGTGACTAGGATGCCTGTTTTCCCGCTCATCCTGCCTGCCGGAGTCGATGTCACATCAGACACACAGGGTCTCTGCCCTGTGATCCTGCTTCCATGTGATGGTTTTCTGTAAAATCCAGAGTAAGAAATGTTCATCTGTGGATTGAGAACATGCAGTTTCTTTTTTCTTTTTTTTTTTTGAGACAGAGTCTCACTCTGTCCCCCAGGCTGGAGTGCAGTGGCGCCATCTCGGCTCACTGCAACCTCCGCCTCCTGGGTTCAAGCAATTCTCCCGCCTCAGCCTCCCAAGTTGCTAGGATTACAGGTGACTGCCTCCATGTCTGGCTAATTTTTTGTATTTTTTAGTAGAGATGGGGTTTCACCATGTTGGCCAGGCTGGTTTTGAAATCCTGACCTCAGGTGATCCACCTGTGTTGGCCTCCCAAAGTGCTGGGATTTCAGTGTGAGCCACCGTGCCTGGCCTACATGGAGGTGATATATATATATTTTTTTGAGACGGAGTCTTGCTCTGTCACCCAGGCTGGAGTGCAGTGGCGTGATCTCAGCTCACTGCAAGCTCCGCATGGAGGCAATGTTAACACAGCTTGGTTAGCGCTAGCTGGGGCTGCAGCGCCTTGGCGGTCTTCACTCAGACCAAGTGCGCCAGTTCCTGAGTGCAGCCTTCCGGTGATTCAATGATGGCTTGTGCAGAATGTGGTACATGGGGGACATGGAGGAAAAGTTCCAGTGCTTAAGCAAGAGGTTGATACATGTCAGGTGAGTCCTGTTTCTAAAAGCAAAGCGGTTTTCACCTTTAAATGATGTAGTTGGGCTATGTGTGGCCCATTTCCCTGGGCCAACATGGAACCTCTGGCATGCGCTTAGGCAGATGTGGTGTCTGGAGGGCTGGCATGGGATTTCAGATGGGGAGGTTCATGTTGGTGAATGAACATGTCCCCCTCTCAGCCAATCAGGAAAAGGTAGTGGATGGCGTCTGGCCCCATTTGCCATGACACATGCTGCACCACAAGGCTGCAAATCCTGCGGGGCGAACAAACACTGGTGTTCAGCACCTGGCTGGGGGATGTGTGCAGTCAGCAGGATCCGTGGAATCGTACTTGACGGGAGGCGGAGCTCTCTAGGCCGCAGCTGTATCCCTCCTTTCGGGGTTCTTGTCATCCCTAACTAGTTTCTTCCTTCGCAGTTATATCGGCACAGGTGGCAGTGATTTCTGAAAGACTGAGGGCTGTCCTGGGCCACAATGAGGATGACAGCAGCGTTGAGATATCAAAGATTCAGCTCAGCATCAACACGCCGAGACTGGAGCCACGGGAACACATGGTAGGTGTAGGGGCTCAGAACAAAGCAGGGGGTCTTCACCATTTTCCATTAGGCAGAGGCATTAGACGCATGGAGCCTTCTCTCAATTTCTGTTTGACTTGCTCAGTTAGTGTCGTATCAGATGTTCCAGGGCCAGGCAGCGGTGTACCAGGGTCAGCTGCCACAGTCTGTTTGTGTATGAAGAGCTCCTTTTACATTTTATTTATTTATTTAATTTTGGAGACAGGGTCTTGCTTTGTTGCCCAGGCTGGAGTGCAGTGGTGCAATCATGGCTCACTACAGCTTTGACATCCTGGGCTCAAGTGATCCTCTTGTCTCAGCCTCCCGAGTAGCTGGGACTACAGGCGTGCATCACCACACCCGGCTAATTTCTGCATTTTTTGTACAGTTGGGGTTTCTCTGTGTTGCCTCGACTGGTCTAGAAGTCCTGAGGTCAAGTGATCTGTCTGCCTCAGCCTCCCAAAGTGTTGGGATTATAGGCATAAGCCACGGCACTTGGCCTCTTTTTTTTTTTTTTTTTTTGACTGAGTCTTCTCTGTTGCCCAGGCTGGAGTGGACGATCTTGGCTCACTGCAGCCTCCACCTCCTGGGTTCAAGCAGTTCTCTTGCCTCAGCTTCCTGGGTAGCTGGGATTACAGGTGCACACCACTACGCCCAGCTAATTTTTGTATTTTTAGTAAAGACAGGGTTTCATCATGTTGACCAGGTTGGGCTCGACTGCCTCTTTAGAATATGCGACAGAGGCTGTTTCTGGCCCCAAAACCTAAAATATTTTTCTGGCCCCTTACACACAAGGTTTGCCAGTCCCGCCTGCTGCTGTAGAATTTTGTGATTGGCGATTACTTGAGGGCTGCTATTCCCAAGATTGGGGAATGGGGGCCCTGGGCACCAGTTTGCATTGTAACATGCCCTCCAAACAAGCCTGTTTTGGAGGTCTTTTTGCAAAGCAGAATTGCGATGTCTGTGGCGGGAGCGCTGGCCGGCTTCCTTCCTGCTGCTCCCGTCCCCAGGACACCACGCTCATGAGAACTGTGTCTCTGCAGGCTGTGGACCTCCTGCTGACGTCTTTCTGTCAGAACCTGATGGCTGCCTCCAGTGTCGCTCCCCCGGAGAGGTGAAGGCGCGGGCAGCTCCCTGAGTGGTGGGGCTCCTCTGGGTGCCACCTCTTGCTGGGCCAAGTCTGCAGACCAGGGACTCATGAGCTCGTCTCCGCAGGAGCATGCGGCGATGCTGAGTTTCATCAAATAGGACGCAGCAGAAGTTGGGAAGCACTGCAGAAGATGGGTTGTCTTCCAGAAAGACCACTGTTTTGGGGAACAGCTTGGCTCTTTCTTCGGCCGCTGGTGGTTGGATTAGCTGTTGGAGGGATGTGCAGGACTGAATGGCTAGTACTGATGGTTTCACGGCTGTCTCTGCAGGCAGGGTCCCTGGGCTGCCCTCTTCGTGAGGACCATGTGTGGACGTGTGCTCCCTGCAGTGCTCACCCGGCTCTGCCAGCTGCTCCGTCACCAGGTGAGGCTCTCCTTCATGGGGGCCACCCTTGGGGGCCCACTCTGAGGGCCAGGCTGCTACTTCTCAATTCGTCTTCAGTGCCCTGGAAAATTCCAGCTTGGAAGAGGGCAGTCTGCTCTGCCACCCTCATTCTCGTTGCAGGGCCCGAGCCTGAGTGCCCCACATGTGCTGGGGTTGGCTGCCCTGGCCGTGCACCTGGGTGAGTCCAGGTCTGCGCTCCCAGAGGTGGATGTGGGTC
The DNA here is from genome assembly GCF_000001405.40 of Homo sapiens. Lineage (NCBI taxonomy): Eukaryota > Metazoa > Chordata > Mammalia > Primates > Hominidae > Homo > Homo sapiens. Next base: position 89,769,927 of record NC_000016.10, on the reverse strand, counting down.
CTCCTGCACCTGGTGCTGGCCTTCCTGTCCCTGCGCTCTTTGACAGCCTCCTGACCTGTAGGACGAGGGATTCCTTGTTCTTCTGCCTGAAGTGAGCTCTTCTTCCACAGTCGCGTCTTCTCTCCTCTCTCTCGAAAAGTGACACATGCTCGTTTGATAAAATTAGAAGAGACAGACATGCAGACATACCACCCAAAGATAACCACTTTTTAGCATTTTGGTATATATCCTTCCAGAATTTTATCTGTCATTTGTTTATAATATGCGTGCGTTTGTTTCTTTGTTCATAAAAATGAGATCATATTATACTAAACTGCTGAAATTAATAGTAGATAGTAACTGTCTATATCGTTAAGCATTCTTTGATGTCCTGGTGAGAGCTGCTTTGTTTTGTCTTGGTCCCTTGTCTGGCCCTTGGTTGGACCAGCTCCCTCTGGTCAGGTTCTTCGGCACCCCATGGTGAGTAGCTTCCCAGTGTGTACACCTCGGGCTGTTTCTCTAGGGCTCAGCAGATGGGGCCATGTGCTGAGGTGAGGAAGGACCCTGTGGTTAAGAATGGTCTGCTCAGTGCCTCAAGGGCTCCCTGCAGCTGCCACGCACAGGCAGAAGCCAGGACAGAATCCCTTCAGCTGCCACTCAGAGGCGGAAGCCAGGACAGAGGGCTGGGAGACTCTGGTGGGAGTTGCTGGCTGGGGCTTGGCTTGTAGCTTCTGGTCTCTTGGGCAGAGGTAGCCCAGGTCGGGACAGAGCCCTGTTGCGGTGCCGGAGACCCTGTGCGGGAAAGGGGAGATCTGACATTATGACAGGGTCTGAATAACAGAGAACTTAGAAGAGGCGCAAGAAATGTACGTGGAGCAAGGAGAGGGAGTCAGATGGCAGCTGTGCGGATCCCACACCTCAGACATGGGCCTCGGGGAGCAGGCACTCGGTACTCCGGGGATACAGAGTCCCTCCTAGGCGCTTGGCCACACCAGACAGTCCCCACTCACCCCAGGCCCCAAACACTGAGTACTGGGTGTTGGCATGAGAGGCACACAGCCAATGGAGAAGTTGGGAGCTGGTGAGGAGGGAGGCATCCAGGTGGCTTGGGGGAGACAGGGCCATCCTCTCTTAGAAACACAGAGATGCCTCAGGATATATATCCAGGTGAAGAAAGCAAAATACTGAACTCGGTCTCAGATGCTACTTTTTGCATAAGAAAGGGAGAATGAAATATATATTTGGTGTGTGTTTTGTTTTTTTTTTTGTTTTTTGGTTTTTGGTTTTTGTTTTGAGACAGAGTCTCACTCTATCGTCCAGGCTGGAGTGCAGTAGCGTGATCTTGGCTCACTGTAACCTCCGCCTCCCGGGTTCAAGCAGTTCTTGTGCCTCAGCTTCCTGAGTAGCTGAGACTACAGGTGTGCACCACCATGCCCAGCTAATTTATGTATTTTTAGTAGAGATGGGGTTTTGCCATGTTGGCCAGGCTGGTCTTGAACTCCTGACCTCAAGTGATCTGCCCACTTCAGTTAGGATTACAGGTGTGAGCCTCCACGCCCAGCTCAAATATGTATTAGTAAAACAGAAGTATTAGAACTGTAAGAACACCATGACAGTGCTTTGACATCTCCATTGCCTCATGGAATCTCATTCTGAGCTTCCTTGGTTACAAGTGAGAATTTTTCACATGGGTATTGCTGTAGGTATGTATGTTGAGTAAATGACACAGGTCTCACTGTGTCCCCCAGGCTGAAGTGATCTTCCCACCTCAGCCTCCCAGTAGCTGAGACCACAGGTGCACACCCACACACCCAGCTAGTGAGAGATGGGGTCTCACTGTGTTGCCCAAGCTGGTCTTGAACTTCTGGGTTTAAGTGATCCCCTGAGCTGTGATTGTGCGACTGCACTCCAGCCTGGGCATCAGAGTAAGGCCCTGTATAAAACAAAAAATAAACCGAGGGCTGGGCCAGGCACGGTGGCTAACGCTGTAATCCCAGCACTTTGAGTGGCTGAGGTGGGCAGATCACTTGAGGTCAGCAGTTCGAGACCAGCCTGTCCAACATGGGGAAACCCCGTCTCTACTAAAAAAAATTAAAAACTCGACTGGTTGCAGTGACTCATGCCTGTAAGCCCAGCATTTTGGGAGGCTGAGGTGGGCGGAGCACGAAGTCAGGAGATCGAGACCATCCTCGCTAACACGGTGAAACCCCATCTCTACTAAAAATACAAAAAATTAGCTGGGCATGGAGGCTGGCACCTGTAGTCCCAGCTACTCGGGAGACTGAGGCAGGAGAATTGCTTGAACCTGGGAGGTGGAGGGTGCAGTGAGCCGAAATCGCACCACTCTACTCCGGCTTGGCAACAGAGCAAGACTCCCTCTCAAAAAAAAAGCACTAACAACAACTACAACAGAATCAGCTGGGCATGGTGGGAGATGCCTGTAATCCCAGCTACCTGGGAGGCTGAGGCAGGAGACTCGCTTGAACCCGGGAGGCAGAGATTGCAGTGAGCCCAGGTGGTGCCACTGCACTCCAGCCTGGGCGGCAGAGCAAGACTGTCTCACAACAAACGAACCAAAAAACGAAGGACCAATGCTCAGGCCATCCAGTTCGGAATGCACTAAATTCAGTTTTATGAAATTCAAAGTAACTTTTTCCTTCATCCCTTATTTTGTATGGATTACATTTATATGTTATAATTTCTGTTTTCAGATTTTGTACAGCAGCAATTTCTTACTCTCTCTGCAAGTTTTCTTCCCAGTCACGAGATACTTTGTGCAGCTGCTTATCTCCAGGCCTTATTAAAAAGGTAGGTTCACTCTTTTCCTATTTTTCCATTCTGCCATACGTTTCAGGTTTACGCAGCTTTCGGACCGGAAGGCCGAGGTCTGCTGCCGCTTTGTGCCCATCTCAGGGGCAGCTCCTGGGTCAGGCTGGCTGTCATGGGGCAGCTCCTGAGTCAGGCTGGCTGTCATGGCCACCTCTGCTGTCTGCTTAGGCAGCCTGACTGCTGAGTGCTGCCTTTCCTTGTGTTCTCTGAGTGTAAAGTGAAGTTGTATGAAGACAACTACAAGTCTGTAATTGTAATGAAATAGATGTTGGCATTTATAGGATAGATGAATTAAAAGATCAGTATTCATAATAAGTATCTTTCCCTGGAAAGAAGAATTCTTATTCCTCTCATCTAGTAAATGTTCCTTACATTGTTCAGACAAAGGAATTTTTTTTTTTTTTTGAGATGGAGTCTTGCTCTGTCGCCCAGGCTGGAGTGCAGTGGTGCGATCTCGGCCCACTGCAACCTCCACCTCCCGGGTTCAGGCAGTTCTCCTGCCTTAGCTTCCCAAGTTGCTGGGATTACAGGCACGTGCCACCATACCCGGCTAATTGTTTTGTATGTTTTTTAGTAGAGATAGGGTTTCACCATGTTGGCCAGGCTGTTTTCGAACTCCTGACCTCAAGTGATCCACCCGCCTTGGCCTCCCAAAGTGCTGGGATTACAGGCGTGAGCCGCTGGTGCCCGGCCCAGACAAAGGAATTTAAAGATGAGCATTGGAAACCCTGAATGTCAAAAGTAAAGGTGAAATGGCACTGCAAACCAGTGTTGTCCTTTTATAGGATTTTAATGAACGTCTCGTGTATAAAATAGTGGTTTTCAGGCTGGGCGTGGTGGCTCATGCCTGTAATCCCAACACTTTGGGAGGCCGAGGCGGGCAGATCATGAGGTCAAGAGATCGAGACCAGCCTGGCCAACATGGTGAAACCTGGTCTCTACTAAAAATACAAAAATTAGCCAGGCGTGGTGGCGCACGCCTGTAATCCCAGCTACTTGGGAGGCTGAGGCAGGAGAATCGCTTGAACCAGGGAGGCAAAGGTTGCAGTGAGCCGAGACTGCACCACTGCACTCCAGCCTGGGCAACAGAGCGAGACTCCACCTCAAAAAAAAAAAAAAATAAATAAATAATGGTTTTCAACTTCAGGCTTCACATTAGAATCAACTGAGAAGCTTTTGAAACTATAGATTCCTGGCCCCTTTCCAGATAAATTAAGTCAGAATCTGGGAGCAGCCCCTGAGGATCCAGGGTGCACGTATTTCCAGTTATTTCCTCTGAGGAACTTTGTCCCTGGTGCCAAGTTTTTAAAGAAAACATGGAGTTTGAGCTTAGGAGAGGGCAGCGTGGTTCCCACCCAGCATGCTGAGCAGGGACGACAGTCCTTGGAGCAGGCTGGTTATAAACATGGGAGGCTCTCATCTCCTCGGGGGCAGAGATGGACACGGTCACGCAGCACCAATAGTGTGTCTGGCTTGTCCAGTTGGTGTGCATTTTTGGTGGGAACGCCATTCCTGGCAGAGGCCTAGAGATGGGCTGTTTCACTGCCCGGGACCAAACCAGCCCTACCCCTGGGAGGCAGTTTTGTTCCTGCAATTCTGCTTCCAGACATTTAGCTCAAGGAAGCAGTCAGATGGCAGGAAGGTCTGCACATAGGCTCTTCCCTGGAGCACTGTGCACAGCCATGATCGCTGAGGGGCTCTGCACCCTTCCAGGGGCTGGACTGAGGTCCCCTGAACGTGGGGTTGTGTGTTGTGCCCTCCCAGGGGCTGGACTGAGGTCCCCTGAACGTGGGGTTGTGTGTTGTGCCCTCCCAAGGGCTGGACTGAGGTCCCCTAAACGTGGGGTTGTGTGTTGTGCCCTCCCAGGGGCTGGACTGAGGTCCCCTGAACGTGGGGTCGTGTATTGCGCCCTCCCAGGGGCTGGACTGAGGTCCTCTGAATGTGGGGTTGTGTGTGTGGGCTGTTGATGGTCTGTTTCCACCTGAGCATTTGCTCAGCCACTCACAGTGAAACTTGCGCAATGAAGAAACGGCCGGGTCACTCTCTGTTTCAGTTTCAGTTCCTCATGTTCAGATTGTTCTCAGAGGCCCGACAGCCTCTTTCTGAGGAGGACGTAGCCAGCCTTTCCTGGAGACCCTTGCACCTTCCTTCTGCAGACTGGCAGAGAGCTGCCCTCTCTCTCTGGACACACAGAACCTTCCGAGAGGTGTTGAAAGAGGAAGATGTTCACGTAGGTGACCGTTCCTTCTCCTGCATCATGCCACGTCCTGAGTCTAGGGTTTGTGTGTGCTCCTCGGGCAAGAACAGCAGCACGTAGGTGACCGTTCCTTCCCCTGCATCATGCCACGTCCCGAGTCTAGGGTGTGTGTGTGCCGACTGTCTCCTCGTCTCGAGTCTAGGGTGCGTGTGCCGACTGTCTCCTCAGAGGCAAGAACAGCAGCACTTAGATGGTTTGATTGGAATCTTGACTAAAATCGTTGTGGCCTCATGTGCAGCTCTTAAGAAATTATACAGATACTGGGCACGGTGCTCACACCTGTGATCCCAGCACTGTGGGAGGCCAAGGCGGGTTGATCACCTGAACTCAGGAGTTCAAGACCAGCCCGGGCAACATAGTGAAACCCCATCTCTACAAAGAATGCAAAAATTAGCTGGGCACAGTTGTGTGCACCTTTGGTTCCAGCTACTTGGGAGGCTGAGGCAAGAGAAATCACTTGAGCCCAGGAGGTGGAGGTTGCAGTGAGCCAAGATCACGCCACTCTATTCCAGCCAGGATGACACAGCAAGACCCTGTCTCAAAAAAATATATTAATAAATACAGAGAAACCCTGCTATACTTTCTCAGTTTCTCCCAACACGAACTTCTTTTTTTATTTTTACTGATATATTTTTTGAGACAACGTCTCGCTGTGCTCAGTGGTGCAGTCTTGGCTCACTGCAGCCTCTGCCTCCTGGGTTCAAGCAATTCTCATGCCTCAGCCTCTCCAGTAGCTGGGACTACAGGCGCCTGCCACCACGCCCGACTAATTTTGGTATCTTTAGTACAGACGGGGTTTCACCATGTTGTCCAGGCTGGTCTTAAACTCCTGGCCTCAAATTACCCACACGCCTTGGCCTCCCAAAATGCTGGAATTACAGGCGTGAGCCATTGCGCCCGAGAACTTGTTTTTTGTTGTTGTTGTTGTTTTGTTTTTTTTTTCTGGTGGAGTCTTACTCTGGGGCACAGTGGCGCAATCTTGGCTCACTGCAGCCTCTGCCTCTCTGGTTCAAGTGATTCTCCTGCCTCAGCCTCCCAAGTAGCTGGGACTACAGGCGCGCACCACCACGCCTGGCTAAGTTTTGTATTTTTAGTAGAGATGGGGTTTCACCATGTTAGGCTGGTCTCGACCTCCTGACCTCGTGATCTGCCCGCCTTGGCCTCCCAAAGTGCTGGGATTACAGGTGTGAGCCACTGCGCTCGGCCCCTGGGAACTTGTTTTAAACATGTCTGCCAGGCTGTGTGGTGGTCACTCAGGGTCTCTGGGCTCACCCATGTGTGCCTGGTTACTGGAGCTGGCATTGCTCTCACCAGTGTGCCTTGGTACTGATTTATTTCTGAGGATGTTTGCCTGGTTGTTTTGGTCTTTAGAAAAGAATTTCAAGGTGGCTGGGCACAGTGGCTCATGCCTATAATCCCAGCACTTTGGGAGGCTGAGATGTCAGGAGATTGAGACCATCCTGGGTAACACGATGAAGCCCCATCTCTACTAAAAATAGGAAAAAGTGATCCTTCTGCTTTGGCCTGCCAATATGTTGAGATTGCAAGTGTGAGCCACTGTGCCAAGCCTTTTGTGAAATTATTTTATTATTTTTAAATTATTATTTTTTTTTTTGGAGATGGAATCTTCCTCTGTTGCCCAGGCTGGAGTGCAGTGGCACAATCTTGGGTCACTGCAACCTCAGCCTTCTGGGTTCAAGGGATTCTCCTGACTCGGCCTCCCAAGTAGCTGGGACCACAGGTGCACGCCACCGCGCCCAGCTAACTTTTTGTATTTTTAGTAGAGATGGGGTTTCACTGTGTTAGCCAGGATGGTCTCAATCTCCTGACCTCATCATCCTCCCGCCTCGGCCTCCCAAAGTGCTGGGATTACAGGTGTGAGCCACCACGCCCAACCCTTTTTTTTTTTTTTTTTCGTATTTTTAGTAGAAACAGGGTTTCACCGTGTTAGCTAGGATGGTCTCAATCTGCTGACCTCGTGATCTGCCTGCCTCGGCCTCCCAAAGTGCTGGGATTACAGGCATGAGCCACCGTGCTCGGCCTCCTAAAAATGTTTTTAAAAAACTTAGCTGGTCATGGTGATGTGCACCTGCAGTCCCAGCCATCTGAGAGGCTGAGGGGGAGAATTCTGGAGTTCAGGAGGCAGAGTCTGCAGCGAGCTACGATTGCACCACTGCACACACTCCAGCCTGGGCAACAGAACCTGTTTCCAAAAATAAATGAAGGTATGCTACTGTGAATAGCTGTAGAATGTTGTTGTTTTGTTAGTTTCTTTTTTCTTTTTTTTTTTTTTCCTTTTTATAGATAGTTCTCACTCTGTTACTCACTGCAGCCTTGACCTCCTGGGCTCAAGAGATCCTCCTGCCTCAGCCTCCCAAGAGGCTGGGACCACACACATGTGCCACCACACCTGGCTGATTTTTAAATCTTTTGTAGAGACGGGGTGTCACCATGTTGCCTAGGCTGGTGTCAAACTCCTAGGCTCAAGCAATCTGCTGGCCTCAGCCTCCCAAAGTGCTGGGATTACAGGCATGAGCCACCGTGCCCAGGTAATTTTTAAATGAGATGAGGTCTTACTATGTTGCCCAGACTAAAATAGCCGTTTTATACTTAGAAAGAAGGATTACAGTACTAACATCTTTGTGCTAGGGAAATCCTGTAAGAAATCATTCTTGATAAAACTAAGGTTTCTTTCCTGTGGAACTCTCAGCTGCAATTTCATTATAACACAGGGACATGGAGGACTGCGTATGAGATGAAATGACAAACTGGTTTATAAACCTGTCGGTGGATTGTGTGTTCTGTCCTCATTGTATTGAATTGCTTGCTCTCTTTCTCAGTTAACTTACCAAGACTGGTTACACCTGGAGCTGGAAATTCAACCTGAAGCTGATGCTCTTTCAGATACTGAACGGTAAGTGTTGAAAAGAGCTACCCTGGCCAGGCATGATGGCTCACACCTATAATCCCAGCACTTTGGGAGGCTGAGGCAGGAGATCTCTTGAATCCAGGAGTTTGAGGTCAGCCTGGGCAACATGGGGAAACTCCATTTCTACAAAAAATAGAAAAGAAATTAGCCGGACATGCGGCACGTTCCAGTCATCACAGCCACTTGGGAAGCTGAGCAGGAGCATTGCTTGAGCCTGGGAGGTAGAGGCTGCAGCGAGCTGAGATCACACCACTGCACTTTAGCCTGTGCAACGGAGTGAGACCCTATCTCAAAAGAAAAAGGAGCTTCCCTTTAAAATGTTACACGGTTTTCCACATTGCCTTAAAGCCTATGTTTCGTCATTTTATCCTCAATTTAATGTTTGGTTTACCTGTTAATCTTTGAGCACAATTTCAATTTTTTTTTTTTCGGTGGCAAGATTTATTAAAGCAAAAGCGAAAGTAAAGCTTCCACGCGGTGGCAATTTCTGTTTTTCTTTTTTTTTTTTTTTTTCTGAGACAGAGTCTTGCTCTGTCACCCAGGCTGGAATGCAGTGGCGCGATCTCGGCTCACTGCAACCTCCACCTCCCGGGTTCACGCCATTCTCCTGGCTCAGCCTCCCGAGTAGCTGGGACTACAGGCGCCCGCCACCATACCCAGCTAATTTTTTGTATTTTTGGTAGAGACGGGGTTTCACCGTGTTAACCAGGGTGGTCTCAATCTCCTGACCTCGTGATCCACTTGCCTTGGCCTCCCAAAGTGCTGGCATTACAGGCGTGAGCCACCGCGCCTGGCCAGGTTGCCCAATTTCGGTTGTTATTCCTTTATTTAAGAAACATTTACTGAGCTCCTACCATGTGGCAGACAATTCTAGAGTGTTCTAGAAGCAGGGAGTATAGAGGGGAATAAACAAGCCTGCCCATATGGCACCTTTGTATCAATGAGGGCAGATGTGGCACGTATAAGGCACCCACTTAGACTTCACCCTACCCTGGCTGGGCTATGGCTGCTGTCCGGGAGCTGTACACCTGTGTCCAGGCCCTGGCAACACACAGGTAGATACAGAAGTGGATTAAAGGTAGGAATGAGCCCTGGAGATAACAGACAGGGCCGTGTGAGAGGAAATGACCAGGCAGGAGCAGAGGCTGGTGTGGAGCAGGTGGTGCAGACTTTGAGGAGTGATGCCAGCCTTGACTTGGGGGCACCAAGAAGTGGGTAAATGAAGCAGTGAACCCCCATGAGTCCCAGGGCTGATGACTGAGACCATTTGAGACTATTTGAGAGGCCAGATGTGCTGTTCTGGGCATAGGAGTAGGGAGCCCAGAGGACCGTTGGGTTTAAGGGTGTGGAGTTTAGGGTGGAGGTCAGGGAGAGGGGAATGTGGTCACTGCAGATATGGAGTATCCTGGTGGGTATATGGGCCTCAGGGTGCCTGCCACACCTAGACTCAGGAGAGGGTTGGCAACAGCCACCCTGTGCTCCTCGTCCTTCCGGCCATCAGGGGCCTTCCAGGCACATGCAGCACTGTCGCCTGCACCTGGATCCTGGTATCAGATTCTGGATGAAACCAATGGAAGTAATAGGAAAAGGAAAACATAGGGGCCACAAAAAGAAAACTCGCTGCTGCCTGCGGCAAAACACGTGCTGATGGTTCAGGTCGTGCCAAGCCCGCTCTGCAGGCGCTTCCTTCACTCACCCCCGTTTCTCCTCCCGGCTGCTCTCTGGGGTGGAGTCTAAGGAGGAGGTCAGAGGGAGGGGCTTGTCTGCTGCATGAGGTCATGCTGCATCAGGTCACCGCTGCGTGGAAGTTGTGTTGAGATGTGTTGCGGGATTTTCTTTCTTTTCTGAATTACTTAAGTGATACTTAGATACATTCTGTGCCAGTTCCAGACAGTGTGGGTGGAGCACCCCAGTTCCGGACAGCGTGGGTGGAGCACCCCGGTCCCGGACAGCGTGGGTGGAGCACCCCGGTCCCGCACAGCGTGGGTGGAGCACCCAGGTCCCGCACAGCGTGGGTGGAGCACCCCAGTCCCGGACAGTGTGAGGAGAGCACACACTCCCTAGCACTCACATTTGCAGGGTCGTGTGGAGCGTTTTCCTGGTTGTGGCTCTTTCTGCATAAATGGATTGCGGTATTGATGGTTCTGTGCACTGCGGATTTGTTTGTTTGTTTGAGACAGGGTCTCACTCTGTTGGCCAGGATGGAGTACAGTGATGCACTCACGGCTCACGGCAGCTTCCCTCTCCAGAGCTCGAGTGATCCTCCTGCCTCAGCCTCCTGAGTAGCTGGGACCACAGGTGGGCACTACTATGCCCAGCTAATTTTTTTATTTTTTGTAGGAATGGGGTCTCCCTTTGTTGCTCAGGCTGATGTCAGACTCCTGGGCTCAAGTGATCCTCCCACCTTGGCCTCCCACAGTGCTGGGATTACAGGTGTAGCCACTGCAGTTTTGAGTCAGTGTCTCCTTGAGCCCCTTCCCATCCGTATCCACAGAGTCCACAGTCTGGATGCAGGTTGCTTCACCATCCCCTTCTGGTGGGCCTGTGAGTAGCTCAGGTGCCCTCAGGTGACTTTCCAGGCTACTTTTTTTTTTTTTTTTTTTTTTTTTTTTTTTAGACGGAGTCTCGCTCTGTTGCCCAAGCAGGAGTGCAGTGGCATGATCTCAGCTCACTGCAAGCTCCACCTCCCAGGTTCATACCATTCTCCTGCCTCAGCCTCCTGAGTAGCTGGGACTACAGGCGCCCACCACCACGCCCGGCTAATTTTTTGTATTTTGAGTAGAGACGAGGTTTCACCGTGTTACCCAGGATGGTCTCGATCTCCTAACCTCGTGATCCGCCCGCCTGAGCCTCCCAAAGTGCTGGGATTACAGGCATGAGCCACTGCACCTGCCCCAGCCTACATTTTTGTGCTTGCCTATTCTGTTCACCAAGCTCATGTGCTGTGTGGCCAGCAGTTACCCCGTGGGATGTCATCCTGAGTGGCCTTTGATCCGTGGAAGGTGGGGTCACAAAGGTCACTCCTGAGACCAGGCCTTTCCCACATCCCCAGGCATCCCACCCTGCAGACAGTGAGGTCTCATCCCTACTCCAAGGTCCCGAGCCGCCAGTCTCAACCCAGCTCTCACTAGTGCTGTGTGTCCCTTACTATGGGCCTATTCCCTGGTTATGGGGAACCGCTGGCCACGAAGCATTTCTCAGAATTGATAGCAGTGTTTGCTGTTCTAGGCAGGACTTCCACCAGTGGGCGATCCATGAGCACTTTCTCCCTGAGTCCTCGGCTTCAGGGGGCTGTGACGGAGACCTGCAGGCTGCGTGTACCATTCTTGTCAACGCACTGATGGATTTCCACCAAAGGTTAGCAGCACACACTGTATTAGGGTTCTCTGGAGGGACAGGACTAATAGGATATATATAAAGGGGAGTTTCTGGCCATGCTGGTGCCCATCTAATTAGCTTAGGGTGGGTCTGCCTTTCCCAGCCTATACCCAAATGTCAGTCTCCTTTGGCAACACCCTCACAGACACACTCAGGATCAATGCTTTGCATCCTTCAGTCCAGTCACGTTGACACTCAGTATTAACCATCACACACCGATGAGGCCTTACTTTTAATCATGGTAGTTCTAAGAATGCATTTTTCTCTCAGTCCAATTTTGGTATGCAAAGTACACTTGAGCCTATCACATAGCAAATCTATGTCAATACAAAATAAAGCCAAGCTTCCTGCATCGGTTGTTTCTTTATGTGTATAGACTTGTCAGAAGCGACAACTTCGGGCTGGGCGTGGTGGCTCACACCTGTAATCCCAGCACTTCGGGAGGCTGAGGTGGGTGGATTACCTCAGGTCAGGAGTTAGAGACCAGCCTGGCCTACATGGTGAAACCTCCCTCTCTACTAAAAATACAAAAATTAGCTGAGTGTGGTGGCGGGTGCCTGTAATCCCAGCTACTTGGGAGGCTGAGGCAGGAGGATTGCTTGAACCTGGGAGGCAGAGGTTGCAGTGAGCCGACTGGGCGACAGAGCAAGACTCTGTCTCAAAAAAAAGATAAAAATAGCAACAACGTTGTTTTTCTGTTCTGTCACCTGGTATTCAAGGTGAGCATGTGTGAAGCACGGCACAAATGGCCTAGTAGATCCTGGGCATCACAGCCTCTCTCCATCTGAGAGGGATTCTCAGGACAGAGCAGTTCCTGAGGTGTTGCATGTGGGCCAGAAGGATGGACGGAGTGTACCTGGGGCTGTCCAGGCTTTGTCCCCAGGGGCTCTTGTTTGCAGCTTCACACTGTTGTGTTACAGCTGCAGCATTCAGTACAGATGGCAAGTGTGTATGCAGCTTCCCCCCATGTCTCCTGCCTGCGGCAACCACGAATCCATTTTATGTTCATGGATTTGCCTGTTTGGGATGTTTAATATCAACAGAATCATGTAGTATGTGGCCCTTTGTGTCTGGCTTCTTTGGCTGAGCAGAATGTTTCTGAGGCTCATCTGTGTTGTAGCACATATCAGCATACCCTTCCTTCTTATGGCTGACTGATGCTCACAGAAGGTATGGAGGCTGACGCACCTCCATCGTGGGTGACTTCTTGTTAACCCTACTCCAAGAATGCCTCCTGAGATTTCCCATTTATCTGCTGTTACCTTAAATCCCACTCTTAGGTCAAAACAACCTTGAGGCTGGGCGCAGTGGCTCATGCCTGGAATCTCAGCACTGGGAGGCCAAGGCAGGCGGATCATCTGAGCTCAGGAGCTCGAGACCAGCCTGGTGAAACCGTCTAGACAAAAAAAAAAATTAGCCAGGCATGGTAGTGTGTGCCTATGGTCCCAGCTACTCGTGAGGCTGAGGTGGGATTGCATGAGCCGGGGAGGCAGAGGTTGCAATGAGCTGTGAAAACACCACTACATTCCAGCCTGTGTGACAGAGTGAGACTCCATCTCAAAACAAAAAAGCAAATCTTCCACCATAAATCCAGCGGTTAGATTCACAGAGCATTCTTGCCTTTCCCTGAGGGGTTGACTTCAATAGTCCTTCCCTGTGGTATAGAAGCCCTGCCTGGGGGTAACAGTGCAGGGATGCATCGTCTCTCTAGGCTGCCTGAGACATGGTTTCTGTCTGTAAGTCCTTAAACGTTTCTGTCTGAGAAACTGGATTATTCAGCCTCTCTTCAGCCTTCCAGCTTCCCCAGCCTTTATGGGTAGGTTTGCACAGAGCTGCTCACTGCGGAACAGAAAGATCAGCCATATTTTGTTTATCCATTCACTTTGTTTGTTTGTTTTTTGAGATAGTCTTACTTTGTCTTATTTATATTTATTTTGAAACTGGGTCTTTCTTTGTCACCCAGGCTGGGGTACAGTGACTGCAGCCCACTGCAGCCTCGACCTCCTGGGCTCAAGTGATCCTCCTGCTTCAGCCCCTCAAGTAGCTGGGACCACAGGCACCACCATACCTGGCAAATTTTTGTAGTTGTAGTAGAGATGGGGTTTCACCATGTTGGCCAGACTGGTCTTGAACTTCTGACCTCAGGTGATCTGCCCGCCTCGGCCTCCCAAAGTGCTGGGATTACAGGCGTGAACCTCTGCCAGGCCTGACTTGATGGTAGCCATCCTAGTGGGTATTAAGTGCTATTTGATAGTGGTTTCGATTTGCACTTCCCTAATGGGTAGTGATTTTGAACATCTTTCCATTTTCTTATTGGCCATTTTAGATTTTTTTTGGAGAAATCTGTTCACATCCTTAGCCCATTTGAAAACTGGGTCACATTCATGTACTGCATAAGAATGTTCTGGTTAACAACGAGCCACATATATGACAGTAATCCCACATAGCCATAATTTTTTGTACCTTTTTTTTAAACTGTGTTTTTACCGTACCTTTTCTATGTTTAGATACACAAATACTGTTGTGTTACAGTTGCGGCATGCAATACAGTTACATGCTATGCCGGTTTATAGCCTGGGAGCGGTGGGCCGTGCCATGTGGCCTAGGTGTGCGGGGGCTCTGGTCTGTTTCTGCGCGGTGGGCCGTGCCGTGTGGCCTAGGTGTGCGGGCGGCTCCGGTCTGTGTCTGTGCGGTGGGCCGTGCCGTGTGGCCTAGGTGTGCGGGGGGCTCTGGTCTGTGTCTGTGCTCTTGGATGTTCACGTGATGAAACCACCTAAAGATGTGTTTCTCAGAATGGATCCTTGTCATTGAGCAGTTCATGACTGTATTTGTCTTACTGAGTTGTATGAGTTCTTTATATATTTTAGATAAAGTTCTTATCAAATATATGATTTGTAAATATTTTTTCCCATTCTGTTAATTCTTTTTTCACTCTCTTGATAGTATCGTTTAATGCACAAAGGTTTTAAATTTTTATAAAGTCCAGATCATTTATTTTTAGTTTAGCTCTTTAGGATTTTGATTCATTTTGATGGATCAGAAAACATTTTGGGCCAGCCACGGTGGCTCACGCCTGTAATCCCAGCACTTTGGGAGGCTGAGGCGGGCAGATCACTTGATGTCAGGAGTTCGAGACCAGCCTGGCCAACATGGCGAAACTAAAAAAATACAAAAACTAGCCAGGCATGGTGGCAGGCGCCTGTAATCCCAGCTACTCGGGAGGCTGAGGCGGCAGGAGACTTGCTTGAACCTGGGAGGCGGAGGTTGCAATGAGCCCAGATTGTGCCACTGCACTCCAGCCTGGGCGACAGAGTGAGAGACTGTCTCAAAAAAAAAAAAAAAATTGTTGTGTGAGGTCATCCAGCTTTATTCTGTTGCTTGTGGCCATGCAGTTGTCCCAGCACCATTTGTTGAAAACACTTCTTTCCCCACTGAATGGTCTTGGCACCCTTGTCAAAAGTTAGATGGCTGCTCGTGTGAGGGTTTGTTTCTGGCTCTCATTGTGTTCCCTTGGTCTGTATGTCCATATGCACTGCGTCATTGGGATGAAGCTTTGTAGTAGGTTTTAAAATTGGGAAGTGTGAGGCCTCCAACTTGGTTCTTCTTTTTCAGGATGGTTTGGCTTTTCTAGGTGCTTTGTAGTTGTGTCTTAATTTTGGGATGAGCTTGTCAGTTTCGACAAAAGTAGCTGGGACCCTGATACGGACTGCATGTGGGGCAGTATTGCCATCTCAGTGATAGCGAGTCTTCTTTCCTTTTGAATCATTTGTTGCTAACGTATAGAAACACCAGTGATTCTTGTATATTCATTGGCTCTAGTCATTTATTAGTTCTAAGAGTGTTTTTGTATCGATTCCTTAGGGCTTTGTATATATAAGATCGTGTCTGGCCAGGCATGGTGGCTCATGCCTGTAATCCCAGCACTTTGGGAGGGTGAAGTGGGCGGATCATGAGGTCAGGAGTTGGAGACCAGCCTGGCCAACATGGTGAAACCCCATCTCTACTAAAAATACAAAAATTAGCCGGGCATCGTGGTGGGCTCCTGTAATCCGTTACTTGGGAGGCTGAGGCAGAAGAATCACTTGAACTCAGGAGGCAGAGGTTGCAGTGAGTTGAGATCATGCCACTGCAACTCCAGCCTGGGCGACAAGAGTGAAACTCAGTCTCAAAACAAAAAAACAAAAGAAAGATCATATAATATGTGAAGAGAGATAGTTTCACTTTTTCCTTTCCTATCTGGATGCTTTTTCTTTTTCTTGTTGAATTGCCCCGGCTTGAACTCCCCGGGCAGTGTTGTTTTTTTTGTTGTTGTTTTGTTTTGTTTTTTTTTTTCTGAGACGGAGTCTCGCTCTGTCACCCAGGCTGGAGTGCAGTGGTGCAATCTCGGCTTACCGAAACCTTCGCCTCTCAGGTTCAAGCGATTCTCCTGCCTCAGCCTCCCGAGTAGCTGGGATTACAGGCACCCGCCACCATGCCCAGCTAATTTTTGTTTGTTTGTTTTTGAGACAGAGTGTCGCTGTGTGTCCCAGGCTGGAGTACAGTGGCACTATCTCAGCTGTCTGCAACCTCCGCCTTCCAGGTTCAGGCAATTCTGCTGCCTCAGCCTCCCAATAGGTGGGATTACTGGCGTCCGCTAACACGCCCGTCTAATTTTTGTATTTTTAGTAGAGATAGGGTTTCGCCACATTGGCCAGGATGGTCTCGATCTCCTGACCTCAGATGATCTGCCTGCCTCGGCCTCCCAAAGTGCTGGGATTACAGGCGTGAGCCACCGTGTCTGTCCCCAGTGCAGTGTTGAGTAGAGGCAGCGACACTGTTCTGAGTGTAGAGAGGACATCCTTGTTGCCCCTGATCTTAGGAGAACAGCTTTCAGTCTTTCCTCATTAAATCTGACGTTTGCTGTGGGTTTTCATCCATGCCAGGCACTAGATTGAGAAGATTTCCTTTGTTCCTGGTTGATTGAGTGTTTTTATCACAAAAGGATGTCACATTTCGTCAAGTGCTTTTTCTACATCTATTGAGATAATCTTACGGTTTTTGCTTTTTATTTTATTGATAACTGCGTTATATTGGTTTGGGGATCTTAAGCTATCCTTGTGTAGGGACCAGCCCCGGAGGGTCGGTGGGTCTCTCCCTGTGTGCGGCGATGAGAGAGTGTAGAAATAAAGACACAAGACAGAGATAAGAGAAAAGGCAGCTGGGCCCGGGGGACCACTACCACCAATGCGCGGAGACCGGTAGTGGCCCCGAGTGTCGGGCTGCGCTGTTACTTATTGGATACAAGGCAGAAGGGGCAGGGTAAACAATGTGAGTCACCTCCAATGATAGGTAAGGTCACGTGGGT
The DNA here is from genome assembly GCF_000001405.40 of Homo sapiens. NCBI lineage: Eukaryota > Metazoa > Chordata > Mammalia > Primates > Hominidae > Homo > Homo sapiens. The sequence continues at coordinate 89,753,211 of NC_000016.10, read as the reverse complement.
CACATGTCCACTGGACAGGGGGCCCGTCCCTGCCTGGCAGCTGAGGCAGAGAGGGAGAGGAGACAGAGAGAAAGACAGCTTACGCCATTATTTCTGCATATCAGGGACTATTAGTATTTTCACTAATTTGCTACTGCTATCTGGAAGGCAGAGCCAGGTGTACAGGATGGAACATGAAGGTGGACTAGGAGCATGACCACTGAAGCACAGCATCACAGGGAGACGGTGAGGCCTCCGGATAACTGCGGGCGAGTCTGACTGATGTCAGGCCCTCCACAAGAGGTGGAGGAGCAGAGTCTTCTCTAAACTCCCCGGGGGAAAGGGAGACTCCCTTTCCCGGTCTGCTAAGTAGTGGGTGTTGTTCCTTGACACCTTTTGCTACCGCTGGACCACGATCCGCTTGGTGACGGGCGTCTTCCCAGACGCTGGCATCACCGCTAGACCAAGGAGCCCTCTGGTGGCCCTGTCCGGGCACAACAGAAGGCTCGCACTCTTGTCTTCTGGTCACACCTCAGTATATCCCCTCAGCTCCTATCTCTGTATGGCCTGGTTTTTCCTAGGCTATGATTATTGAGTGAGGATTATCATAATATTGGAATAAAAAGTAATTGCTACCAACTAATGATTAATGATATTCATATGTAATCATATCTAAGATCTATATCTGGTATAACTATTCTTGTTTTATATTTTATTATACTGGAACAGCTCGTGTCCTCTGTCTCTTGCCTTGGTGCCTGGGTGGCTTGCCACCCACATCCTTGCATTCTTGGGATAAGCCTCCTTGGTCATGGTACATAATTTTTGTATTTCCTAGGTTGGGGTTGGTAGTATTTTGTGGCAGTTTTTGTTGTTTATTGTTGACTAATGTGAGGGTCACACTGTCAGAGAAGCACAGCCATCACTCAGCTCCGGAGGCAGGAGGAGAACTGGGAACTTCAGCACTATTAGGCGATACTGAGGAGGATTTTATTGTATTTTCATTTCAGCTCAAGGAGTTATGACCACTCAGAAAATTCTGATTTGGTCTTTGGTGGCCGCACAGGAAATGAGGATATTATTTCCAGATTGCAGGTGAGTTTGAGGGTGCCACAACTCAGTGCATTCACTTCATTTAAGCCGCGTGCTATTAAGATATTTATTGCCAGGCGCGGTGGCTCACGCCTGTAATCCCAGAACTTTGGGAGGCCGAGGCAGGCGGATCACACAGTCAGGAGATCGAGACCATGCTGGCTAACACGATGAGACCCCGTCTCTACTAAAAATACAAAAATTTAGCCGGGCGTGGTGGCGGGCACCTGTAGCCCCACCTACTCGGGAGGCTGAGGCAGGAGAATGGCATGAACCCAGGAGGCGGAGCTTGCAGTGAGCCGAGATTGTGCCACTGCACTCCAGCCTGGGCGGGCGACAGAGTGAGACTCCGTCTCAAAAAAAAAAAAAAGATATTTATTGTTGGCTCAGGCTTGTAATCCCAGTACTTTGGGAGTCCGAGGCTGGTGGATCACCTGAAGTCTATACAGGTAGGCAGCATGTACCTGTGTGGGTTCACTGTCAGTCAACAGGCATTTACTGGTGCTGGCCACCCGTGCGTCTTCTGTGCCAGGCCCCTGTCTCTCCCTCCGCCAGCTCTGGGGCCTCCCAACTCCTTAGCCAGATGCTTTCCCTAGACCCACCTGGCTCCTTCTCAGTGAGACCATCTGCTTTTTCCTCTTAATTGTAATCATAATTATTATTATTATTGGGACAGGGTCTTGCTCTGTCACCCAGGCTAGAGTACAGTGGTGCGATCATATCTCTCTGCAGCCTTGACTTCCTGGGCTCAAGCAATCCTGACAGCGTGCACCTGTGTGCGCCACCACACCCAGCTGATTTTTTGTAGAGACGGAGTTTTGCCATGTTGCCCAGGCTTGTCTCGAACTCCTGGGCCCAAGTGAACCACCCATCTCGGTCTCCAAAATTGTTGGATTACAGGCGTGAGCCACTGCACCTGATCTTTATTCTTCTTTAAAAAATACAGCCGGCCAGGCACGGTGGCTTATGCCTGTAATCCCAGCACTTTGGGAGGCTGAGGTGGCTAGATCACTTGAGGTCAGGGGCTCAAGACCAGTTTGGCCAACATGGTGAAACCCCATCTCTACTAAAAATACAAAACACTAGTCAAGCATGGTGGTGTGTACCTATAGTCCCAGCTACTCAGGAAGCTGACTTAGGAGAATCAGCTGAGCTCGAGAGTCAAGGCTGCCATAAGCCAAGACTGCACTGCCGCACTCCAGCCTGGGCAACCGGACTGAGACTGTCCTAACAACAACAACAACAACAAAAGACTTGTGAGGCAAAAATGATGTGTGGGGTAAAATGTTAGCCAGAGGTTAATCTGGGTGAAGGGCACATGAGTGTCCTCCTGCTGTTTTTTTTTGTTGTTGTTTTGTTTTGTTTTGTCTGTTTGTTTTTGAGACAGAGTCTTGCTCTGGAGTGCAGTGGCGGGATCTTGGCTCACTGCAGCCTCTACCTCCCGGGTTCAAACTATTCTCCTGCCTCTGCCTCCTGATTAGCTGGGATTACAGGCGCCTGCCACCACACCCAGCTAATTTTTGTATGGCTAATTTTGTTGGCCAGGCTGGTCTTGGACTCCTGACCTCAGGTAATCCATCTGTCTTGGCCTCCCAAAGTTCTGGGATTACAGGCGTGAGCCACCATACCTGGCTGTTTTTTTTTGTTTGTTTTTTTTTGAGACGGAGTCTCACTCTGTTGCCCAGTCTGAAGTGCAGTGGTGCGATCTGGGCTCACTGCAAGCTCCACCTCCCGGGTTCACGCCATTCTCCTGCCTCAGCCGCCTGAGTCGCTGGGACTACAGGCACCCGCCACCATGCCCAGCTAATTTTTTTGTATTTTTTAGTAGCGACAGGGTTTCACCATGTTAGCCAGGATGGTCTCCATCTCCTGACCTCGTGATCCTCCTGCCTTGGCCTCCCAAAGTGCTGGGATTACAGGCATGAGCCACCACGCCCAGCTGTTTTTTCTTAATTGATAAGTAGTTGATAAGTAGTACTGTAACTCCTGGGCTCAAGGAATCTGCCTGCCTCGGCCTCCCAAAGTGCTGGCATTACAGACGTGAGCCACAGCACCCGGCCTGCACTGTTCTATATTTGCAATTTCAAAGTGATTTCCAATTGAAATAGCTTGCCCCACTTGTTCCTTCTTGCCCTGTCCACTGTGGAGACCTCTCCCTGACCCCTGACGTCTGGGTCCCCGACTGGCTGGGCAGTGAGCCCCGAGGCCTTCCTGTGCCAGCATACTGCTCTTTTTCAGGAGATGGTAGCTGACCTGGAGCTGCAGCAAGACCTCATAGTGCCTCTCGGCCACACCCCTTCCCAGGAGCACTTCCTCTTTGAGATTTTCCGCAGACGGCTCCAGGCTCTGACAAGCGGGTGGAGCGTGGCTGCCAGCCTTCAGAGACAGAGGGAGCTGCTAATGTACAAACGGTAACACCTACTACCACCTGGGCAGGGCAGCACCACCTGGGCAGGGCAGCATCTCATGACGGTCCTAGAGGTTCTTTGTAGTGAGTTTGTTTCCCGTTACTTACTTGTCTGTGTGTCCCCACCCCAAGCCTGTCCATTTCTGTGGCACATGCCACGGAGAAGAGGATCTGGAGGGTTGAAAGTACTTTTGATTAAAACCTTCCAGCCAAGCGAGGTGGTTCATGCCTGTAATCCTAGCATTTTGGGAGGCTGAGGTGAGTGGATCACCTGAGGTCAGGAGTTTGAGACCAGCCTGACCAACATGGCGAAACGCCATGTCTACTAAAAATACAAAAAAAATACAAAAAAATTTAGCTAGGTGTGGTGGCGGGCACCTGTAATCCCAGCTACTCGGGAGACTGAGGCAGGAGAGTGGTGTGAACCTGGGAGGCAGAGGTTTCAGTGAGCCGAGATCACGCCATTGCACACCAGCCTGGGCAACAGAGCGAGACTCTGTCTCAACAACAACAACAAAACCTTCCTGCTCAGACGTGGAGGGACGTCGCAGAAGGAGCTCTTGTGAAAGTAGGGAAAAGTGTTCAGAAATGCCCACGGCGGCTGCATTTATAAGAAGCAGCGTGGAGTCATTTAATTTTACAGTCATAGGGAATTGCTTCACTAGACAGACTGGTGCGTCATCCACTTGGTTATCGTGTAACTGTCAGAAGTTGTTGGTTATTATGTAACTGTTAAAAGTTGTTTGTTTGGTAACACATTTTGAATGCAGTGGGCCAAACACAGTATAGGGGAGGTGGGCTCAGAGTGCAGGCTTTGGATGGGACAGAGGGACACAGGCCAAGGCTCTGGTTCCAACAGTGGCCCTGGGTTTCAGGGTGGTGGTTGCTGCTCTGAGAGTCTGAGCCCTTGGGAAGGAGCAGAGTGTACGCTGTGCTGTCGCCACCAATACAGCCCCTTCTTTCCAGGATCCTCCTCCGCCTGCCTTCGTCTGTCCTCTGCGGCAGCAGCTTCCAGGCAGAACAGCCCATCACTGCCAGATGCGAGCAGTTCTTCCACTTGGTCAACTCTGAGATGGTAGGTGCCCCGTGTGCACGTGTCCGTCCGATCTGTCAGTGCCTGTGGCGCTAACAGCAGCTCTTGCAGCCTCCATGCGTGTACTGACCGTGTGAATTACTGAGGAAAGGGTTCAAAGTCAAATAGGGAACAGTGTCTGGAATGCCATGTGAGGGAGGACCCCACCCACAGCCAGGACGGCGACCAGCACATCACCAAACCAGCTGTAGGTTGCCTTCTCCCAAGTTTGAGTTCCTTTAGTTTCCCTCAAGTTTTAATGATTTTGACACATGGAATCGTACAGACCATTTTGTGTGCCACGCACCTCGGTTCATTTATTTCTAATCTCAACATGCTTCATGTGTAAAAAAAGCCTTGTGGTGATCTGACTACCGCTGTTGCCTGCCAGGCAGCCCAGTTATCTTCCATTTTAGACACTGCCCAGCGTGAGTTGCAGGGTGATCTTAACCAGCAGGCTGGGTGCGGTGGCTCACGCCCGTAATCCCAGCACTCTGGAAAGGTGGGGGATCACTTGAGCCCAGGAGTTCGAGACCAGCCTGGGCAACATGACAAAACCCTGTTTCTACAAAAAATAGAAAAATTAGCTGGGTATGGTGGTGCACGCCTGTACTCCCACCTACTTGAGAGGCTGGGTCAGGAGGAGTAATTGAGCCCAGGAGGCAGAGTTGCACTGAGCCAAGATCCCACCACTACACTCCAGCCTGGGTGACAGAGCGAAACTCTTGTCTCAAATAAAAAGAAGTGACACTCGCTGTGGGGACGGGCAGCGTAGGGACCCAGTTGGTCAGAGCTGGGGAGACGGATACCAGCCCCTCCCACTCTACAGAGAGCAGCTTCTGCTCCCGAAGGCCTTTTTCTTGTTTTTGAAGATGCACAAATGTGAGAGATGGAATTCAGGTTCCATGCCAGCTGTGCAGCATTTTATATTTTTATTTATTTATTTATTTATTTATTTTTTGAGACAGAGTCTTGCTCTGTCGCCCAGGCTGGAGTGCAGCAGTGAAATCTTGGCTCACCCTGCAACCTCCGCCTCCCAGGTTCAAGCGATTCTCCTGCCTCAGCCTCCTGAGTAGCTGGGACTACAGGTGCCTGCCGCCATGACCGGCTAAGTTTTGTATTTTTAGTAGAGATGACGTTTTACCATGTTGGTCAGTCTGGTCTTGAACTCCTGACCTCGTGATCCACCCGCCTTGGCCTCCCAAAGTGCTGGGATTACAGGTGTGAGCCCGGCCTTGTGCAGCACTTCAAAATGTGACAAGGAAAGCAGAGGACGTGAGACTAGCAAAAGCTTTCAGAAAATCACTATGGTCTCCTTTGAATTCTTATGAATGGCTGTTTTTCAGAAAGCTCTCAGTTGGCACGTGACAGCCGACAGACAGGAAAACACCATAGACAGCACTTGGTTAGTGAAGGGACCAGAGGATGGTTGGCCCTTGGTATTAGTGTCGTCCTCACCACAGTTCTACGCTCCGGGTGCGTCCCCTTCCCTGCGGCTGCTTGTGCCTCCCTGGCTTCTTCCTGGAGCCTACAAGACTGTTTGGGCCAGAGCTGGTGGGCTGCAGGATCTGGCCGCCCAGGGAAGCCGTTAAGTTTCAGGACAGCACAGCCAGGGCGCCAGGCCCGGTCAGCCCAGGAGCACCATCCATGGTGGCCACGCCAAGCCTTAGCGAGTGTTTTTCTCAAAACTGAATCCACAGCAGCCACTCTGCATGTTGGTCTCGCCTCTCTTCCTGTGGGCTTTTCTTACCTGCCTTGAACTCTTTTGCAGAGAAACTTCTGCTCCCACGGAGGTGCCCTGACACAGGACATCACTGCCCACTTCTTCAGGGTGAGATGCTCCCTCAGCCCCTCTCGTGGCCTTCTCAGAACGCCGTGGGTGGATCCTCCTGTCAGCTTCCTGTGAGTTCCTTCACTCTACTAGTTGTGGGTCCTCACAAACCGCTGACCTCCTGCTGCGTTCTCTCCTGCAGGGCCTCCTGAACGCCTGTCTGCGGAGCAGAGACCCCTCCCTGATGGTCGACTTCATACTGGCCAAGTGCCAGACGAAATGCCCCTTAATTTTGACCTCTGCTCTGGTGGGTCAGCTGTCTTGTTTGGTGTTTTGTTTTGGGGATGAGTGGGAGACTCCACAGCTGCCTCTGGCATCTCTGCAGCACGTCTCCATCACGGGTGTTACCATCTCAGGGAAAATGCATCAGGAGACATGGAAGCCACAGTTAAAGATGCCAGCTCATAGCAGATGAGGGCCGCACATCCTGAGTTCCCAGAACCGTCCCTGCCCCCACCGCCGTCACCATGGCACCCGCAGGACTTCTCCCCTGTGGACCCCACTCAGACCCCACGGGCACCTTCATGTCCACAGGGGTGCAGGGCTTGTTTGTTCACGGTCTTGGGTTGTGCACTGGCTGGAGGCTGTACGGTGGCTGCCTGTGCCCCGTCACGAGAGCATGACTGTGGCCCACTTGCGCCTGACTATGCTTTCTTGGGACTTCGGAGCAGAGACTTCACCTCAGCTCCCGCCAGAGCTCAGCAGGCTCCCCTAGCAGCCCAGGGTCCCGAGAGTGGGAGGAGGGCAGCATTTCCCTCACTTCCCTGGCGGCTCACTTAGTCCTGAAGACCACAGCTGTCGCCCTTCCTTCTCGGTCATCAGGGACAGGAGGGCCTTTTTCTCCGCAGCACGGCATGTTCCCCAGGGAGCTCCCCAAGCAGGCTGCATTTGCACCGAGTTGTAGCTCAGTTGGTGGAATTCGTGAGAAATGAACTCTTCGGTGTTTAGAACGCCACCTCTCAGCTGAGGGCATCCAAGGACCAGGCATTCCCAGCTCAGGGCAGTGTGGTCTCTTCACTGTTTCGTTCCCAGCTCAGAGGAGTGTGGTCCCTTCACTGTTTCGTTCCCAGCTCAGGGCAGTGTGGTCCCTTCACTGTTTTGTTCCCAGCTCAGAGGAGTGTGGTCCCTTCACTGTTTTGTTCCCAGCTCAGGGCAGTGTGGTCCCTTCACTGTTTTGTTCCCAGCTCAGAGGAGTGTGGTCCCTTCACTGTTTCGTTCCCAGCTCAGGGCAGTGTGGTCCCTTCACTGTTTTGTTCCCAGCTCAGAGGAGTGTGGTCCCTTCACTGTTTCGTTCCCAGCTCAGGGCAGTGTGGTCCCTTCACTGTTTCGTTCCCAGCTCAGAGGAGTGTGGTCCCTTCACTGTTTTGTTCCCAGCTCAGAGGAGTGTGGTCCCTTCACTGTTTTGTTCCCAGCTCAGAGGAGTGTGGTCCCTTCACTGTTTCATTCCCAGCTCAGGGGACTGTGGTCCCTTCACTGTTTCGTTCCCAGCTCAGGGGAGTGTGGTCCCTTCACTGTTGCGTTAGGCCAGGCTCTTCCTTCTCCAAATTCCACGTCTTCCATGAGTGTGGGTAATAAATGCCTCATGGAACTGCTTTGAGCCTTAATTGACGTAAAAAATACTGGCTTTGGAGTTCCAGAGCGCAGGGCGAGTGTGGGCCTGTAGTGGCCTGTAGGAGCACTGGGGGCTTGTCATGGCTGGGGCAGCGGAGGTGTGTCCATCTCAGCCACCCTCATCTGTGTGCTGGTGCTCTCTCCATAGGTGTGGTGGCCGAGCCTGGAGCCTGTGCTGCTCTGCCGGTGGAGGAGACACTGCCAGAGCCCGCTGCCCCGGGAACTGCAGAAGCTACAAGAAGGCCGGCAGTTTGCCAGCGAGTACGTGTGGGTGGTGAGATGGGGTGTGCCCGCCCAGATGCACTTCGGGACCTGCTCAAGGTCATCTCCTAAACACCCTGGCTTGCTTGAGAGAAGCGGTGTGGGCAGCCTCTCGTGTGAGCAGGGAGAAAAGAACCGAGTTCTCGTGGTGGTGGGCGCCTGTAATCCCAACTACTGGGGAGGCCGAGGCAGGAGAATCAGTTGAACCCAGGAGGTGGAGTTTCCAGTGAGCCGAGATCACTCCAACGGCCAATAGAGCAAGACTCTGTCCAGAAAAAAAACAAAAAAAAAAACAGCCTCTGCCAGTGTCTCGTCTGAGTGAGGAACGGCCTCTCCCAGGCTCCCGTCTGAGTGAGGAGCTCGAGTGATTCCTTTGCACCTGCTCCCCTTCCTCTTAAATCTAATGTGGGCTCCTAGAGTGCACCGCGTGCTGGTAGGGTCAGTGTCATGGGGACCTCAGGGATGCAGATTCTCAGCCTACCCTGACCTGTCGACCCCAGTCAGATATTCACGGGTCCTTGCAAACCATCAAGCTCCTGGCGCAATCCAGGCTCACACACCCTTCTGAGGACCACAGAGCTGACAGCCACTCCACCTGCTGAATGTGGGTGCCGTGTTCTTAAGGGGTCGTCAGAGGGCACTGCTAGTACCCATCCTGCCTCCTTGGAGAACACCTTACTTTGTGACTAGTTTTGAATCACTGATGCCACACCGGGTCCCCTCAGGGTTTGGCTGCTCGCCGTCTGCTGAAAGAAGAGAAGAGGGCCCCGGCGCGGTGGCGCACACCTGTAATCCCAGCACTTTGGGAGGCCAAGGCAGGTGGATCACCTGAGGTCAGGAGTTTGAGACCAGCCTGGCCAACATGTGAAACAATCTCTACTGAAAATACAGAAATGAGCTGGGTGTGATAGTGTGCGCCTGTAGTCCCAGCTACTCAGGAGGCTGAGGCAGGAGAATTGCTTGAACCCAGGAGGTGGAGGTTGCAGTGAGCCGAGATCATGCCATTGTAGTCCAGCATGGGCAATGAGAGAGAAACTCCATCTCAAAAAAGGAGAAAGCAGGTCACACCTCCAGTTCTAATTCTACAAACACAGATCAGATTGTCTGAAGTTTTGTTTTTTGTTTTGTTTTGTTTGAGACAGAGTTTCACTCTTGTCACCCACCCTAGAGTGAGATGGCACGATCTCGGCTCACCATGACCTCCGCCTCCCAGGTTCAAGCGATCCTCCTGCCTCAGTCTCCTGAGTAGCTGGGATTACAGGCGTGAGCCACCATGCCTGGCTAATTTTGTATTTTTAGTAGAGACAGGGTTTCTCCACGTTGGTCAGGCTGGTCTCGAACTCCCGACCTCAGGTGATCTGCCTGCCTCAGCCTCCCAAAGTGCTGGGATTACAGGCGTGAACCACCACGCCCTGCCTCGTTTTTGTTTATTTGAGATTGAGTCTCACTGTGTTGCCCAGGCAGATCTCAAACTGCTGGGCTTAAGCGATCCTCCTGAAGTGCTATGATTGCAGATGTGAACCGTCATGCCCAGCTTATTTAAAGTCTCTTAAACCACAGCATTGTTTCATTAATTTCCTACCAATTTTTTAACCAGCCAGAAAACTCAGACACCACACTGGGGCCAGAGCCAGGCAGTCCTTTGTTCTCTGTTGTAGGAGGGAATGCCTGATCCACAGGGCCAGGCATGGGCAACTGAGGAAAATGAGGCCTCTTCTTCCAAAATGTAGGCAGCTGGGGCCCAAGAGCACAGGGCAAGGTAGACAGGACCAGGCCAGCTGCCTGCTCAGTCAGCAGCTCTCAGAACGCCAGGATGCTGTGGGGGCAGCACCAGCACCTGCCCACACTCTCACGTGGACCTGGGGGATGCAGACCTAGTTTCTGATGGTCCTGAAACCCTTCTCTGTCCTCTGATGGAAAGGCAGGCCCCAAAGGTGACAGGTGGGAATAAGGACTTGGTTTCTATGGCGTGGTTGTATGGTTGTAAGGCCCTGCAATGACCCCGTTCTCTCTGTCCCAGTTTCCTCTCCCCTGAGGCTGCCTCCCCAGCACCCAACCCGGACTGGCTCTCAGCTGCTGCACTGCACTTTGCGATTCAACAAGTCAGGGAAGAAAACATCAGGAAGCAGCTAAAGAAGCTGGACTGCGAGAGAGAGGAGGCAAGATAGGAAATTCTTTTACTGATTTATTTTCTCGCAAGCTTGGTTTCAATCAGTGCTATTTCTCTGGGCTTGTCTGATGAACTGTTTTTCTAAAGACAAATATGTGGCTTGGAGCAAGACTTTTTTTTTTTTTTTTTTTTTTTGTATTTTTAGTAGAGACGGGGTTTCACTGTGTTAGCCAGGATGGTCTCGATCTCCTGACCCCGTGATCCTCCCGCCTTGGCCTCCCAAAGTGCTGGGATTACAGGCGTGAGCCACCACGCCCAGCTGGCTTGGAGTAAGACTTTGACTATCAAGTTTACTAGTAAAAATAATAATTTCAGTTTTTTAAATGGTTGTATGTAGTTGAGACAGGGTCTCACTGTCGCCCAGGCTGGAGTGCAGTGGTGCAGTCAGCTCACTGCAGCCTCTTCTGGGCTCAAGCCATCCTCTTACCTCAGCCTCTGGAGTAGCTCAGACTACAGGTGTGTGCCACCATGCCCGGCTAATTTTGTAATTTTTTCTGAGATGGGGGTCTGTAGTCCAGGCATGGTGGCTCATGCCTGTAATCCCAACACTTAGGGAGGCCGAGGCAGGCGGATCACTTGGTGTCAGGAGTTTGAGACCAGCTTGGGCAACATGGTGAAACCCTGTCTCTACTAAAAACACAAAAATTAGTCGGGTGTGGTGGTGCGCACCTACAATCCCATAGCCTGTAAAGCTACTCAGGAGGCTGAGGCAGGAGGATCACTTGAACCCAGGGGGCAGAGGCTGCAGTGAGCCAAGATCACGCCACTGCCCTGCAGTCTGGGTGACAGAGCGAGACTTGTCTCAAAAAAAAAAAATTTGTTTAAAGTAAAAATTAAAAGAGATGGGGGTCTCACTGTGTTGCCCAGGCTTGAAGTGCGTTTCTTCAGCTTATTTTTATCCTCATCACAGCCCAGCGTAAATGCTGTCAGCCTTCAAGTGGTGCCTTCTGTGTTCATGCTGCAGTAGCCTTGATTCATGTGCTGAGGGACAGCCCCAGATAAGCTTGCAGTGAGACAGCTCAGACCTGGGGTGCTGGGGACAAGAGGCAGCAAGGATGGGACCGTCTGCAGCCATAGGCATAGGGAAAGGAGTGGGAGAGGCTGCTCTTGAATTCCAGGCCAGGGACCATGTTCGACTCAGACCCACTGCCCACCTGGTTGCTGCACCCTGGAAAGCCTGACTGCCCCCACAAGACCAGTGACACCCACACAGCTCTCTGTGCAGGGAGCCAAGGGTGGTGTGTGCAGAACAGGAACAGAAACAAGCATCCCACAAGAGAGCTGGAGGCAGCAGCCCTCTGTGCCCAGCCCGAGATCCGCAACGCATAGGTGCCATGTCAGCACACAACTTACACCAGCTCAAAGCTGGATCGACAGCAGCGCCCAGGGTTTTGGTGATTATAACCACCCTGCAGGGGTTCTTCTGAGTACGTCTTCAGGTTTCTTGTGTAGTTTTGTTAGAAGGGATTTTAGTGGCTCCAGGGCCTTAGGACCCTAGTGTGCAGCGAGGAGTGTCCACAGAGACCCTGCCCAGTCAGGCCCTACTTTAGGCTGGAGCCTGTGGGCTTATCTTCAAGGATTTTACAAACACTTCTGACAGGAGGCCTTGCAGGGAGATGATGCTGAGTTGGGACTGCGCACAGCCAAGGAGACCGCAGCAGTCTTCTCTTTCTGGCTCTTGTCACTTTTTCAAACTGTTTCTAGCTTTGTTTAAAGGCAAGTGTGAAATGACCCAGCCAGTAGTAATTAATTCTCAATTAAGCTGTCTCTCTAGAAGTGATTGGAAAGTTTTCTAAGATCCACTTAAAGGATTTATGGCCTAGATGTAAAAAATTTCAATTAAAGAGGAATGTGTCAGCCTTATTTAGAATGACAGCACAGGTAATTTTAATGTAATAATAAGTGCACGTTTTTATTTACAGCTATTGGTTTTCCTTTTCTTCTTCTCCTTGATGGGCCTGCTGTCGTCACATCTGACCTCAAATGTAAGTCAGACCTTACCAGCCAAGGTGTCCTCTCCCACTGTGGGCCAGGCAGGGGCACCAGGCAGCCAGCTTCCAAGTCAGGGTTTCCAGACTAGCTCAGGAGCTCCTTGTGTTTGCGGAAGTGTGAGTGAGAACTCCCAGGCCGTGGGTTTTTTTTTTTTTTTTTTGAGATGGGGGTCTCACTCTGTCACCCAGGCTGGAGTGCAGTGGTGTGATCTCAGCTCACTGCAACCTCAGCCTCCTGGGTTCAAGCAATTCTCCTGCATCAGCCTCCCGAGTAGCTGGGATTACAGGCGTGAGTCTGTCACACCCGGCTAATTTTTGTATTTTTAGTAGAGACGGGGTTTCACCATATTGCCAGGCTGGTCTTGAACTGGCCTCAGTGATCCGCCGACCTCGGCCTCCCAAAGTGTTGGGATTACAGGCATGAGCCACTGCATCCGGCCTGTGGGCCTTTCTTTTAATGTCTTATTTGAGGACGTGGTGCAGCAGCCTTGGTGTGGGTGCTCGAAGTCCCTGGCCTCCTACCTGAGCCTCTTCTGTCCAGAGGCCCAGTATTACCTTCTATAGGTAAAACTGTCACCAGTTTTAAGACTTACAATAAGCAAAGAGGAAATGCCCTCTTCTGTGCTGAGGGCTGTACCCTCCTACCCATGGGAGCACCAGGTCGGCCATTCTCAGGGTTGGTCTCCTGCGGTTTACAGAGCACCACAGACCTGCCAAAGGCTTTCCACGTTTGTGCAGCAATCCTCGAGTGTTTAGAGAAGAGGAAGATATCCTGGCTGGCACTCTTTCAGTTGACAGAGAGTGGTAAGAAACACGCTGCTGAGGCACAAATGCGGAGGGCCGCTCTTTTCAGAGGCATCTTGCAAATGGTTAAGAACGAGCCCTCCTTGAGGTTCCTTGCTAAGTAAGTTTATAAGCTCCATTTTAGTTGGGACAGATTAAGCACAAACTTGTTTAAAGCAATAAGATAATTTACTGGCTCACTGGTCAACCCCAGGACCAATGGGCCTATCATGGGGACTGCCTCTCTCTGCACCACACCCACCCTCCTGCAAGAGGTCGACCCCCCCATCCTCTCCCAGCTGCTGACAGGTACCTGGGTATCCTCAGCTCAGGCTGTTCGCCCCACACTATCCCCACAGCCAGGCCTCCCAGGGTACACGTCCCGACCCCCAGGGGTGTCCCCAGCACTGATAATAGGCAGAGATGTCCAGAGTTGCCTGAGCCACTTCTTGGTGTTGCAGACCTCAGGCTGGGGCGGCTCCTCCTCCGTGTGGCCCCGGATCAGCACACCAGGCTGCTGCCTTTCGCTTTTTACAGGTACCTCCACCCACAGGGCTGGTCAGGGCTGGGCAGTGTTTCCCAGACCCCCATCTCAGCACCTCTGGGTCCCGCCAGATGGGAAGGGTTGTCTGTGCCTCTGCTCCACAGATGAGCAGTATCCCTTGGCATCACCTGCTACCTTTCCAGCAGTCTGTAGCCATTTGTCACTATGTCTTTACCTCTAGTCTTCTCTCCTACTTCCATGAAGACGCGGCCATCAGGGAAGAGGCCTTCCTGCATGTTGCTGTGGACATGTACTTGAAGCTGGTCCAGCTCTTCGTGGCTGGGGATACAAGCACAGTTTCACCTCCAGCTGGCAGGAGCCTGGAGCTCAAGGGTCAGGCAGGTGCAAGGGCCAGTCCCACCTCCAGGGGAGCTCCCCCCAGCCGGAGGCTCCTTCTGCCAAAGAATGTTCCGGCACAGCATGCAGACTATGGGGGACACACCAGCCCTGTTTCTGTATGTCTTCTAACCTGTGAGTTTGCCTGTTTTCTCTCTAGGGCAACCCCGTGGAACTGATAACAAAAGCTCGTCTTTTTCTGCTGCAGTTAATACCTCGGTGCCCGAAAAAGAGCTTCTCACACGTGGCAGAGGTAACGTCAAGATGCCCACCTTGGGCCATGTGGGGGACATGAGAATTGACAGCTGCCTGGGCCATGTGCCTGCCTGGCTGGCAATACAACTCGACTATTTCTGCCAGAGCCCCTCCCCTGTGGTCTGAGGCCTAGTGGGCGGCATGGGCTGAGGACCTGCTCCTCTCTCACAGCTGCTGGCTGATCGTGGGGACTGCGACCCAGAGGTGAGCGCCGCCCTCCAGAGCAGACAGCAGGCTGCCCCTGACGCTGACCTGTCCCAGGAGCCTCATCTCTTCTGACGGGACCTGCCACTGCACACCAGCCCAGCTCCCGTGTAAATAATTTATTACAAGCATAACATGGAGCTCTTGTTGCACTAAAAAGTGGATTACAAATCTCCTCGACTGCTTTAGTGGGGAAAGGAATCAATTATTTATGAACTGTCCGGCCCCGAGTCACTCAGCGTTTGCGGGAAAATAAACCACTGGTCCCAGAGCAGAGGAAGGCTACTTGAGCCGGACACCAAGCCCGCCTCCAGCACCAAGGGCGGGCAGCACCCTCCGACCCTCCCATGCGGGTGCACACGAAGGGTGAGGCTGACACAGCCACTGCGGAGTCCAGGCTGCTAGAGGTGCTCATCCTCACTGCCGTCCTCAGGTGGGTTCGGGCTTCACCGCCTGGCCCTCTGTGGTCACAGAGGGGCTCGGTGGCCCAGGTGGTGGTTCCGCCTCCAGGGGCAGGGCCTTGTCCTGGGTCTGTGTCAGCGGGTGCACCATGGACATGTGTACATTGAGGTTGTGGGCCTTCTCAAACCGCCGGCCACACTGGTCACAGGCAAAGTCCAGCTCAGTCTCAGCCTTGTGTTTGGTCATGTGGTACTTGAGGGATGCCCGCTGCCTGCACTGGAACCCACAGACCTCACACCTGGGGGACAGAGGCAGATAAGAAGGTGCGAGGGCCACAGCCCTGGGAGGGGGTCCTGACTCACACTTACTGCAAAGGCTTGGCTCCCGAATGTCGCATTTGGTGGACGAGAAGGTGCTTCCGCTGCTTGAAGGTTTGTCCACATTCGTCACAGATATAGTTCCGCACCTCTGAGAGGGGAGAGTCCAGTGAGTCCAGGCCCCTGATGCTCCAACCTCCCGGGGGGACGACGATGACAATGTGAAACCATCACAGCTGGGAAGACATTTCTGCACATGGTTCACCATGCAGTGGGCCCAAGCAAGGGGCCTATGAGGGCCTCGTTTATTAAGATCTTTAAACTGCTTTATACACTGTCACGTGGCTTCATCAGCTGTGTGCATTTCAGGATGGTTTTTAAAGAAACCTCAGAAAGCTATTTCCTTAACCACAGATTCTTGTCTTTTTTTTTTTTTGAGATGGAGTTTCGCTCTGTTACCCAGGCTGCAGTGCGGTGGCGTGATCTCAGCTCACTGCAACCTGCGCCTCCCAGGCTCAAGCGATTCTTGTGCCTCAGCCTGCCAAGTAGCTGGGATTACAGGCGCCCCCCACCACGCCCAGCTGATTTTTGTATTTTTAGTAGAGACAGGGTTTACACCATATTGGCCAGGCTGGTCTTGAATTCCTGACCTTGTGATCTGCCTGCCTCGGTCTCCCAAAGTGCTGGGATTACATGTGTGAGCCACCGTGCCTGGCCTACAAATTCTTAAAGGAAGCCGTATCACTAAGGTTGTATAGAATACTGATTGTCACAGCTATGGCTGTTCTCTAGAATTCATCTCCATATGAGAGGGGTCCATACCCAGGGTCTGGGGGTATGCATTGCTGTACTGGCTCTGGAAATCTTTCTCACACCCTTGAACAAAGAGATCTCACTTGCTAGTCCACAAATGCCACATGTGGACATGCAGACCCACTCACCCTGTGCTGCCTCCACATCTGTCAAGCCCTGAAACGCTTCACAAGACAGACTTTTCTCTTCGAAGGGAAACCCTATCTTGGCATTTTACTCTACGCTGTTCTTTTTTTTTGAGACTTGAGTCTTGCTCTGTTGCCCAGGCTGGAGTGCAACAGCCCAATCTCAGCTCACTGGAAACTCCACCTCCCAGGTTCAAGGGATTCTTTTTTTTTTTTTTTTTTTGGAGACAGGGTCTTGCTCTGTTGCCCAGGTTGAAGTGCAATGGTACAATCATGGCTCACTATAGCCTGGAACTCCCAGGCTTAAGTGATCCTCCTGCCTCAACCTCTCAAGTAGCTGGGACCACAGGTGTGCACCACCACACCCAGGTAATTTAAAAAATTTGGGGGGCCGGTGCAGTGGCTTACACAAAGTGCTCAATCCCAGCACTTTGGAAGGCCAAGGCAGGCGGATCATGAAGTCAGTTCAAGACCAGCCCCAGCCCAATCAATATGGTAAAACCCTGTCTCTACTAAAAATACAAAAATTAGCCAGGTGTGGTGGCACACACCTGTAGTCCCAGCTACTCGGGAGGCTGAGGCAGCAGAATTGCATGAACCCAGGAGGTGGAGGTTGCAGTGAGCTGAGATTGCACAGCTGCACTCCAGGCTGGGCGACACAGACTGTCCCGGAAAAAAAAAAAAAAATTGGGGGCTGGGCACGGTGGCTCATGCCTGTAATCCCAGCACTTTGGGAGGCCAAGGCAGGCAAATCACCTGAGGTCAGGAACTCGAGACCAGCCTGGCCAACATAGCAAAACCTGCCTCTCTACTAAAAATAGAAAAATTACCCAGGCGTCATGGCTCACGCTTATAATCCCAGCACTTCGGGAGGCCGAGGCAGGTGGATCACAAGGTCAGGAGATTGAGACCAGCCTCACTAACGTGGTGAAACCCCGTCTGTACTGAAAATACGAAAAATTAGTTGGGTGTGGTGGCCAGCACCTGTAGTCCCAGCTATTTGGGAGGCTGAGGCAGGAGAATGGCTTTACCCCAGGAAGAGGAGCTTGCAGTGAGCTGAGATTGTGCCACTGCACCCCAGCCTGGGCGACAAGAGCAAGACTCAGTCAAAAAAACAAACAAACAAACAAAAAAAAACACCCCCGGCGTGGTGGCAGATGCCTGTAATCCCAGCTACTCAGGAGGCTGAGACAGGAGAATTGCTTGAACTAGGGAGGTGGAGGTTACAGTGAGCCAAGATCGCGCCACTGCACTCCAGCCATGGTGATAAGAGTGAGACTGTTTCCATCAATAAATTAAAAAAAAAGTTTTTGGTAAAGACGGCCTCACTATGTTGCCCAGGCTGGTGTCAAAATCCTGGCCTCAAGCAATCCTACTGCCTTAGCCTCCAAAGTGCTGCGATTACAGGCATGAGCCACTGCACCCGGCCCAATTTCAGGTTTTTAAGGAACTGCTGGTTGTGACCATCAGTGACCGGACAGATGCAGAGTCTGAAGGACCAAACCCAAGGAAGTGCTGCCATCAGGAGAGATGTCGGAGAACCCAAAAAATAACAACCCGCATGTCGGGAGATGACCCAGCAGTGAAAAGCAATCCTAATGAAAAAATACTTCAGTAAATTCAAGTAAGAATAAATAATTCTTATTCTGTAATAAGTTCAAAACCAAGGAAAACTGTGTGTGTAAGGATCAATATACAGTTGTCCTCAGCTGGTTCCAGGCCCCCCCCCACCCCTTACCAAAATCTGCTCATACTGAAGTCCCGAAGTTAGCCCTGCAAAGACCCTACAGAACCTGCACTTAGGAAAAGGCAGCCCTCTGAATACCAGGGATTCGAGTCCCTGACCATGGATATGTGGGTCCACGTGGTTCAAACAAGTTTTTTTTTTGAGACAGTGTCTCACTGTTGCCCAGGCTGGAGTGCAGTGGTGTGATCTCGGCTCACTGCAACCTCCACCTCCGCCTCCCAAGTAGCTGTGCCTACAGGCGTGTGCCACCACACCCAGATAATTTTTGTATTTTTAGTAGAGACCAGGTTTTACCATGTTGGCCAGGCTGGTCTTGAACTGCTGACCTCAGGTGATCCACCCACCTCAGCCTCCCAAAGTGCTGGGATTACAGGTGTGAGCCACCACGCCCGGCCAAGTTTGTCATTTTGAAAACATATCCTTGTTGGATTATAAAAGTAACTTGTGCATTATAGAAATTGTGAAAAATAAGACGGGCACAGAGACAGCACCCTCAGTCATAATTCCCCCATCCGCCTCCGGTCTTAATGACACGACCTACACACATGTGAAAAGGCAGAACCACACGTGCCTCCCGCCTGTCCACGTGGGCAGCTCCCCAGAGCTGGTGTGCCTTCATGCCTTCTGCCTTGCCTTTTAAGATACACTTGTTTGGGCCAGGTGCAGTGCTCACACCTGTAATCTCTGCACTTTGGAAGGCTGAGATCACTTGAGGTCAGGAGTTAGAGATCACCCTGGCCAACATGGTGAAACCCCGTCTCTACCAAAAATTACAAAAATTAGCCAGGCATGGTTGCGGGTGCCTGTAATCCCAGCTACTTGGGAGGCTGAGGCGGGAGAATTGATTGAACCTGGGAGGCAGAGGTTGTGGTGAGCCAAGATGGTGCCACTGCACTCCAGCCTGGGCAACAGAGCAGGACTCCGTCTCAAAAAAAAATTAAAAAATAAAATGACCAATTTGCAAAAGGACACCAAGATTGCTTGGCTATTAGTTTTGACAAACTGCCTAGATCCTGGGGAAGTCAGGAATTCCTTCCATCACAGGGAAGGGCAGATTCACACTGACGCCCTACTCTAGCCTTCATCTACCAACGTGACTGAGTACCAAAGACCCCATGAGCCACCTTCACGCACCCCCAACTCTTGGGGCGGGGATGGGTATGAGGAAGACTGGAAAGCAGGTCACGTGCCCCTGGCTGTCACCCGCGTGGGCGACACTGGCGATAGGCGTACCTGTGTGGATGAGCTTCACGTGGCGCTGCAGGTAGCGGTCGATCATGAAAACCTTGTTGCAGCCAGGGTGGGGGCAGGGCCGCTCCCGGACCTCCTCGTGGTGCTCCTTGATGTGCTTCTGAAGGAGAGACTCGGTGAGAGACCCTCAGAGCCGCACCCGGGCCACATGGCACGAGCCCTCAGTAGGTGACAGCTGAGGCCCCTGGAAGGCAGATCCAACTCCTCCTCCAGCGACACCACTGGCTCCTTCACAGCTTCACTCCAAGAAACTTCTAGACCCCCCGGGGGGTGTCTCAAGTGAAAGTCTGGCCTCACATCTACCCCCAAGGATGGCACTGGCTAGGACTGCTTCAGGTCTCGGTTAACCTAGGTCAAAGTGTCCTTGGGCGCAAGTCTGAGTTAGGCTGCAGAAACACCTGCTACCTCCCCCAGGTTCACACTGACAGCTGCCGGGCCTGGGTCAGGCACAGCCAGTGCTCACCTTCATGCCGTCAGCGCCTCGGTACACGGCCGTGCAGCCCTGGTAAGGACACTTGTAGATGGTGGGAAGCTCCTCCCTGCAATGAAGAGCATGCATGGAGCCCCGGCCCCGACAGGCAGGGCGAGCCTCGCGTTGCAGGCATCACCTCTCACAACGAAGCTTCTTCTTCCATCCGGGCTTGGGTCCCGGCTTCTTCCGAATTCTTGGTTCTTCAGACTTCTTGGCTTCTTTGCTTTCACTCTTCTTACCAGAGACTCTGAAAAAAAGAGGTTCCCAAATTCAATGGTTTCTGATCTCCATTTGCAAAATGTTTTTTGTCTCTCCAACCTGAGAAATGGTCTTTTCTGAAGCTTCCCTGAGTTGCTTCTGTGCTGACTGACCCTCAGAATCTACCTGAAGCCACCAAAGCCAGAGCAACTCTGGACAGGAGGCCTCAGGGGCGAGCACAGCAGAGGGCAAGGGCGCAGGACACAGCAGGGTCAGGGGTGAACACAGCAGAGGGCGAGGGCGCAGGGTACAGCAGGGTCAGGGCAAACACAGCAGAGGGCGAGGGCGCAGGGTACAGCAGGGTCAGGGCGAACACAGCAGAGGGGGAGGGCACAGCAGAGGATGAGGGCGCAGGGTACAGCAGGGTCGGGGTGAACACAGCAGAGGGCGAGGGCGCAGGGTACAGCGGGGTACAGCAGGGTCAGGGCGAGCACAGCAGAGGGCAAGGGCGCAGGACACAGCAGGGTCAGGTGAACACAGCAGAGGGTGAGGGCGCAGGGTACAGCAGGGTCAGGGTGAACACAGCAGAGGGCGAGGGCATGGTACAGCAGGGTCAGGGGCAAACGGCAGAGGACGAGGGCGCAGGGTACAGCAGGGTCGGGTGAGCACAGCAGAGGGCGAGGACGCAGGGTACAGGAGGGTCAGGGCAAACACAGCGGAGGGCGAGGGCACAGGGTACAGCAGGGGTGGGTTCTGAGAACTAAAGCTTCACCCTGTGCTACACATAAAACCCACAACTAGAGGTATCAGGACGGCAGAACAGGGATGTCCAAAGGACCACTCCTTTATCAAAACGACCTTACGCTAGGAAAAAGCTCAGAATCCACTCTCTCAAAATGGGTCAGCTTGATTCCAAGCTCAAGCCACCCAGGCAGGGCTTCAGAGGAACAGGTGATGCTCCCTGGGAAGCACACGGTGAGTAGCTGCCACCCCAGCATTCCTCAACCCCGCCTCCACTGCAGGGAGCCCAGCCTGTGTTCCTGGAGCTGCTGGCTGGGACCATGGTGGGCAGGAGACCTTGTCCTCCAAAAGTCTGGGGTCGTGCATTTTAGTTGGTCTGGCAAGTCCCTGAGGGACCAGCAAATGCAGCAGCTTCCAGTGTGCGTCTATCGGAGACTTAAAGAGAGAGACGCACTTGTGGTTCCTTTCTGGATCCAGGTAAGAATAGTTAAGGAAATATCTCAAGAACAGAAAGGAACTTCTTCACCACGATAAAACCTCTACATGAAACCCACAGCAGACACCACGCTCAACTGTGAAGGACTGAAAGCTCTTCCTCCAAGGTCAGGAACAAGATACGGATTCTCTCACCACTGCTCTCAGGGCAGCACTGGAGGCCCTAGCCAGAGTAACTGGGCAAGAAAAAGAAAACAAAGACAAATTCTCCCTATTCACAAATGACACGACCTTCTACGTAGAAAACCCTAAAGATCCACATACAAAAAACCCTAATTAATTATTTCAGCAAAGTTGCAGGGCACAAAATCCATACACAAAACCCAGTTATGTTTCTATATATTATCAATGAACAATACATATGCAATAGCATGAAAAAAGTAGTTTACACTGCCGAGTCCAGTGGCTCATGTTGGCAGTCCCAGCACCCTGGGAGGCTGAGGTGAGAGGCTCACTTGAGCGCACAGGGCTGCAGTCAGCCATGATCGTGCCAGGGCACCCCAGCCTAGGCAACAACATGAGACCCTGTCGCTAACTGCCCTTCTCTTTAAAGAGTGCATTGAGGCCGGCGCGGTGGCTCACGCCTGTAATCCCAGCACTTTGGCAGGCTGAGGCGGGCGGATCATGAGGTCAGGAGTTCGAGACCAGTGTGGCCAACGTGGGAGAAATCCCATCTCTACTAAAAATACAAAAATTAGCCAGGTATGGTGGCACATGCCTGTAATCCCAGCTACTCAGGAGGCTGAGGCAGGAGAATCACTTGAACTCGGGAGGCGGAGGTTGCAGTGAGCCAAGATCGTGCCACTGCACTCCAGTCTGGGCAACAGAGCAAGACTCCATCTCAGAAACAAGACAAAAACGCACTGAGAAGAACTGTTGACTTCGCACAGGCTGCGCCTTCTCTCCCTGTCCCTAATAACTGGTTTTCATGACCTAGCCACATGTCCCCCTCACCTGCCCTGCCTGCCTGGATTGGGTGGCCCCTTGTTTGTGAGTGGCTGGCCATGCCGTTCCCACAATGACCACTCACCTCCTCAGCACAGGAGGCTTCAGAGCACCCGCAGTCTCTGTGCCCTCGTGTTTGGGACGGGAATCTTTGCGGACCGGGTGGGCTGGGCTCAGGCCTCACTGCTGCCTGTCAGTTCTTTCCCCATGGGGGTGCAGGCCCTGGCCTTCCCCTCTGGCGGGAACCACTGACCCCTCATTAACACATCACAGAAGTCTCTTCTCATGCGCCCCCAGCTGAGGACACAGGCGGGCACGCCCGCTAGAACTCCAAGGTCAGGGTTGACAAGACTGGGAGGCAGCACACGGGCCGGGGGCTGTGCAGAGGCCCTTCTGGGTTCCCAGGGGGGTCTCACGGTGGCAGCTGGGGAACCAAGTGCCCCTGGTACTCGCCGCAGTCAGGAGGCCATGCTTGCTACCACCCAGTCCTGCCTCCTGCGCAGCGGTTTCCACTGAAGTCACCCCTTTTATTAGAGACCTCTGAAAACGTATCTCCCGTGTCTCTGTTCCAAAGCACGTCTTTGTCTGCACTCCTGGGGTCCCAGAGGGACTAGTGACACAGTCTGAGTGTGCTGTCCCTGTCACAGCAGCAGGGGCTCAGCAGAGAGGACCCTCCCCTCCTGAATCTGCCTCGATCCGGAAAAGGCTCGCCTGGCTCCTCCCATCCCAGCTCCCAGCCCTCCTCACACCAGCAGCCCCAGACCTTCTGGGCAGCAAGCCAGAGACACATTCTCAGGTGTCCTGGGATTCAGACTCAACCCGGAGGGTCACGGAGTGGGGGCTTCCGTACAGCAGCCTCAGGCGGCACTCCCAGCCATGACTCCTGGGAACAAGCCTGGGGGTAGGGACCCCCGGGCACCTTTTCTGGGCCTGACCAGTTTTCTGTTCATGCTGAAGCTGCTGCAGCCCCTCTGGCTCAGTCCTGCCCTCTGCTTCGCATCTCTCTCCGGGCCTCCTCCACTGCTCCCGTTTCTCTTTTCAGAACTTAACAGCATCAGAACTTCCATGAAAAAAGGCCGTTGACCTCTCAGTCTGCACAGCAGGGTTCTAGTGGCTGACGGTGGTGCTCAGAGCCACCTGCCCTCTGGACCTTTGTTCTGGGCTGTGAAATGCTCAAGGACAGGGACTGGGTCAGTCACCAACTACCTGGGAGTGTTCTGGGTACTGCTGGGTATAGGGCTGCAAAGAAAACAGCACAAGTGAAAACCAGCCCTCACTACCAGGGCCTGTGTTCTAACTGAAGAGAGAAAATAAAAATCCCTAAAAACAAAGTCAAAACAAGCTCACAGAAGTCATTCAACAGGGAAGTGGACCGTGGCTGCCTGGCCATGGACATCAGTGATGGGGTCAGAACTGGGAGGATGACAGAGCTGGGTCCTCGGGCCTCTGGGGACGCACACAAAGCAGAAGCGACGGGTTGGGGGCTTCGGGGGTACACTGGGGTGTGAACCCAGGGCAGGACCGGCAGAAGGGACGTAAGAGCCTCCTTCTCAAGCAAGGCGGGGTTCTGTCGACAGAGACACCTGCCATCCACTGCTGGGACTCTGAGGCAGCCTCACAGTGCCGAGACCAGGTCCCAGCTCCAAAGCACCAGGAGGACCCACCTTCTCACCTGCCCGCCTGCCCCTCCCCCGCCTCCCGCTCACTGAGGGAAGCCACGTTTCACTGGGCTCGGGAGATCCGCACACGAGAGAGTGAACTGAGTGGGCACCGGGGAGAGGCCCTGGAGCACAGGCGGGTGTCTAGGTCGCCCAACGGATGCCTCCAGCAGACCCCGGGCTGCCCACTTACTTCCTTTCTGGGTAAGGCTCAAAGGACTCGTCCGAAGACTGGGCATTTTGCTTCTTGTCATTTTCATCTTCACTCAAGACGTCTCTAGGAATTAAGAGAGAATCTTCAGCAAAGCCCTGGGCCTGGGCAGTGACAGACCCAACACGACCTCCTGCCTAAAGATACCAAATGGACCCCCATGTCCCACATTTGAGTTCTTCTGAAAATGTCTTAAATCTAAAATCCCCAAATTTCCAATCCCGTTTCCGAACACAAAGGGCCAGCCAGGCTCACAAGCCAGCAATCCCCACAAGCCATGTGCTCTGGGCACCAGGACACTGGACTTGGAAACAGCCCTTTCCACAGCGGCCCAGAAGGGGTGGAGGCGCTCAAAGGTAGCTTCCTGCTAAGCAGACTTTGAGAAATCGACCACCTCACCCCATAACTGCGAACCCTATGCAACTGATGGGTTTGCCATGAGTCACTTCTAAGTTCACAAAAGTGGCTGGGTGCAGAGGCTAACTCCTGTAATCCCAGCACTTTGGGAGGGTGACGTAGGTGGATCGCATGAGGTCAGGAGTTCAAGACCAGCCTGGCCAATACCGTGAAACCCCGTCTCTACTAAAAATACAAAAATTGGCCGGGTGCGGTGGCTAACACCTGTAATCCCAGCACTTTGGGAGGCAGAGGCGGGCGGATCACGAGGTCAGGAGATCAAGACCATCCCGGCTAACAAAGTGAAACCCCGTCTCTGCTAAAAATACAAAAAATTAGCCGGGCGTGGTGGCGGGTGCCTGTAGTCCCAGCGACTCAGAGGCTGAGGCCGGAGAATGGCGTGAACCCGGGAGGCAGAGCTTGCAGTGAGCCGAGATTGTGCCACTGCACTCCAGCCTGGGCAACACAGCGAGACTCCGTCTCAAATAAAAAAAAAATAAATAAATACAAAACTTAGCTGGGTGTGGTGGCGGGCGCCTGTAATCCCAGCTACTCGGGAGGCTGAGGCGGGAGAATCACTTGAACGCGGGAGGTGGAGTTTGCAGTGAGCTGAGGTCACACCACTGCACTCCAGCCTGGGCAACAGAGTAAGGCTCGGTCTAAAAAAAAAAGTTCACAAAAGGAAAAAAAAAAAAAAAAAAAGATTTGTGGCCTTTATGCTATAACCTCAGCTGCGGTTTTGTGTCCTGGTGGTCCTGAGGACAGTCTTAGCCACCCCAGGTGCCTCCTGGCACCTGCCCGATTTCATCACTGCACATCCCACTGGGATTGGCCCCCAAACTGGGGTGTCCTCATTTGGATGAGGTGCATCTGTGTTGCAGCCAAGGTTTACAGGAGAGGGTGGAAACGGTGCAAACCCCAGCCTGGCACAGCTGCCCTGAATGGCGCTTGGCTCAGAGGCAGGGGTGGCCCAGGGAGTTTGCAGACACTGATGAGGTCCCTTCTGAGGCCCGTCCTCCTGCAACACCTCCTCGCAGAGCCTCGGCTTCAAGCCACAACAGTGTCATAGTCAAGGGCTAAAGTCGGGGTTTCTCTACTCCAGAAACATCTGGAGCGAACACAAAACTATGGCCCTAAAACAGTAGCAGAAGCAAAGGACCCAGCCAGAGTGGTTTCAACAAACTCATTTCTAGGCTGCTCTGGGTCAGAAACCCTATCAGGCTCCCTCTGGAGCTGCCTCAGGTCTGGGAGTGCTCTCTGGCACCCAGGAAACCATCAATCAGAGACAAGAAGCCTCGGAAGCTCCCCAGCCCCTCCTCTCCCGCCACCTCGAGAGGAGGCGTGTCCCAACCAGGGCACGGACAGCCGGCCCCTGTGATGGCTTAGTTTGGTACCAGCGCATGGGCAGCCGACCCTACGATGGCTGTTTGGTTTTTGAAGGAGAAATTTTAGGCTGTTTAAACCCACTCTTCTCTCACCCCTCAGAAAGGTCACTGATGGTTTTTGAAGGAGAAATTTTAGGCTGTTTAAACCCACTCTTCTCTCACCCCTCAGAAAGGTCACTGAACTCGTCTTTTACCCGATCATCCGAGGTTGAAGATGGAAGCTGCTTCTCACCCAACTGCCCTGAGAAACAAAGAACAAGGCTCCTGTTACCAACACGGAGCACAGAAAGGTCTCACCTGCAAGGAGGCATGATTCTACTATTGATGACTAGAAGGGAGACTGGGGTCCCTGACCCTCAAGTTCTCCCCACCATGGCCCCATCCCCACCAAGGGTGCTATGCAGCCTCTGATCCTGCCCTGCCAGCCCAACGTCCAGAAGCACACAGGCAGCAACAAGCATCAGAACCCTCAGGAACAGCAGAACCAGAAAGCCCAGTCCTTCCACTGACTCCGATCCAGTCCTTCTAGGACAGCCTGGACTTGGTGGATGTTCTGAGACATTTAAAAAATTACTAGGCCAGGCACGGTGGCTCATGTCTGTAATCCCAGCACTTTGGGAGGCCGATGCAGGTGGATCACGAGGTCAGGAGATCGAGACCAGCCTGGCCAACGTGGTGAAACCCCATCTCTATTAAAAATACAAAAATTAGCCGGGCATGGTGGCACACACCTGTAATCCCAGCTACCTGGGAGGCTGAGGCAGAAGAATCGCTTGAACCCGGGAGGCAGACATTGCAGTGAGCCGAGATCGCGCACTGCACTCCAGCCTGGGCAAAAGAGCAAGACTCCGACTCAAAAAAATAAAATAATTAAAAATTACTATTCTCAGTCCGGGTGCAGTGGCTCACGCCTGTAATCCCAGCACTTTGGGAGGCTGACGCGGGTGGATCACAAGGTCAGGAGATCAAGACCAACCTGGCTAACATGGTTAAACCCCGTCTCTACAAAAAATACAAAAAATTGAGCTGGGCGTGGTAACTCATGCCTGCAATTCCAGCACTTTGGAGGCCGGGGTGGGCGGATCACCTGAAGTCGGGAGGTCGAGACCAGCCTTACCAACATGGAGAAACCCCATTTCTACTAAAAAATACAAAAATAGCCAGGCATAGTGGTGCATGCCTGTAATCCCAGCTACTCGGGAGGCTGAGGCAGGAGAATCGCTTGAACCTGGGAGGCAGAGGTTGTGGTGAGCTGATATCGTGCCACTGCACTCCAGCCTGGGTAACAAAGAGTGAAACTCCTTCTCAAAACAAATACAAATACAAATACAAAAAAATTAGCAGGGTGTGGTGGCACAAGCCTGTAATCCCAGCTACTCGGGAGGCTGAGACAGGAGAATCACTTGAACCCAGGAGGCAGAGGCTGCAGTGAGCCGAGATTGTGCCACTGCACTCGAGCCTGGGCGACAGAGTGAGACTCCATCAATAAATAAATAATACTGTTCTCTCGGCCAGGCCTGGTGGCGACAGAGCGAGACTCCATAAATAAATAAATAAATATTACTGTTCTCTCGGCCAGGCCTGAAGGTTCATGCTTATAATCTCAGCCTTTTGGGAGGCCAAGGCAGAAGGATCACTTGAAGACAGAAATTCAAGACCAGCCTGGGCAAAAGAGTGAGACCCTGTCTCTACTTAAAATAAGTTTTCTTTGTTTTGTTTTTTTCTTTTTTAGACAGAATCTTGCTCTGTCGGTCAGGCCAGAGCGTAGTGGTAGAATCTCAGCTCACTGCAATCTCCGCCTCCCAGGGTCAAGCGATTCTCCTGCCTCAGCCTCCCAAGTAGCTGGGCCTACAGGCAACCACAGCCACATCCAGCTAATTTTTTGTATTTTTAGTAGAGATGGGGTTTCACCGTGTTAGTCAGGATGGTCTCGATCTCCTGACCCCGTGATCCGCCTACCTCAGCATCCCAGAGTGCTGGGATTACAGGCGTGAACCACTGCACTTGGCCTAAAATAAGTTTTAAAAAGTATTGTTCTTGGCTGGGCGCGGTGGTTCACACCTGTAATCCCAGCATTCTGGGAGGCTGATGCAGGTGGATCACGAGGTCAGGAGTTCAAGACCAAGCCTGGCCAACATGGTGAAACCCCATCTCTACTAAAAATACAAAAATTAGGTGGGCGTAGTGGCGCGTGCCCATCATCCCAGCTACTCGGGAGGCTGAGGCAGGTGGATCACGAGGTCAGGAGTTCGAGACCAAGCCTGGCCAACATGGTGAAACCCCATCTCTACTAAAAATACAAAAATTAGGTGGGCGTGGTGGCACGTGCCCGTCATCCCAGCTACTCGGGAGGCTGAGGCAGGTGGATCACGAGGTCAGGAGTTCGAGACCAAGCCTGGCCCACATGGTGAAACCCCATCTCTACTAAAAATACAAAAATTAGGTGGGCGTGGTGGCATGTGCCTGTCATCCCAGCTACTCGGGAGGCTGAGGTAGCGGTGAGCCAAGATGGCACCACCGCACTCCAGCCTGGGCTACAAAACGAGACTCTGTCTCAAAAATAAATAAACACATAGATAGATAGATAAGTAGGTAAATAAATAGATAAATAGGTAGATAAGTAGATACATAGATATACAGATAGGTAGGTAGATAGAGAGAGACAAAGAAGTAGGAAGATAGATAGGTAGGTAGGTAGATAGATACACAGATAGATAGAATTGTTCTCAACACACTGCATACAAGTTTACAGAGCCAAGCAGCTCTAAGATGTGACACTCACAATCCCGTTCCTACCTGAGGCCCCCGAGCCGCACTGTCTCATCTGTGCACCCGTATCTAGCTAAACTATCTGGGTAGCTGTGTTTCTGTTTGGGACAGAGTCTTGCTCTGTCACCCAGGCTGGAGTACGGTTGTGCGATGTCGGCTCACTGCAACTTCCGCCTCCCAGGCTGAAGTGATTCTCGTGCCTCAGCCTCCAGAGTAGCTGGGATTACAGATGCCCACCACCATACCTGGCTAGTTTTTGTATTTTTATTAGCGATGGGGTTTCGCTATGTTGGCCAGGTTGGTCTTGATCTCGTGACCTCAAGTGATCCACCCACCTCAGCCTCCCAAAGTGCTGGGATTACAGGTAGCTACGCTTTTCGGAAGCTCCCCTCAAGACTCAAAGTGGGAACTGAGTGCTCAGGTGGGGACAGGTGCACAGAGCACACACAGGACAAGAGGCCGGAGGGAAACTGGCCCTGGCCCTCCTAAAACAACATCCAGGAGCAGCTGCACCAGCCCACAGTGCTATGGGTTCTGGGGCCCAAACAAGGGCCTTGTGTTTCCCCTCAGCCTGTCAGCAGAGAAAGCTGCGCCACACTGGCCCACACCAGGGTGTCACCAGGCGGCTGGCTGAGTGCCAGGAAATGACCTGCAGCTGGCCCAGGGCAGCAGCCGCAGAGGCAACGGCCATTCTTTTCTCCCACATCCACAGACAAGGCCCTATTCTTCCCTCTTCCTCAGTCCCCTCAGCCCCAAGCACAGGCTTAGAAAAAGACTCGACGGCTGATGAGCGTGTCTCCACAGAAACTGCTGGAACAGAGCCCTGCTCACAGAGGAGCAAGAGGCGGAGACAGGCTGGCCGCCCCTCCCTGCTCTCTGGATGTGGTGAGCAGCCGCAGGCAGAAGCCCCAAGCTCTGCTCCTTCTCACACCACACCCCAGCCACCACCTAGAGCAGTGGAGACATTCACTTTCTGCTGAAAACCCTGCCCCACTGAGGAGCACACATCCTGGTCTAGCACCAGCAAGAGGTGCCTCCTACCTGGGGCCCTGCAAAGGGGCAGGCTTGGCTGAGGTGGGAAGCCCGACCTGGGCCCCACCGCGTCGCTGTCCGAAGGAGGCTGGGCCACATCCGTGCTGGGCAGGGTCTTGGTCTCAGCCCCAACTGGGGTCCCTGTCCCTCTACCCTGGGAGGTCTGAGGGGCATCCCCAGGGTTCCACCCTCGGTGCTGGGGCAGCCGTGGCGCCGTCTCTTTGTCCCATGGCCACTTGACTGCCAGCGCACTGTCCAGCAAGAAGGCCTTGCAGCTGGAGCTGGTATCCATGGTGTAGTCGTGGCCCTGGTCGCAGCCCCACACGACCTGGATGACGCCGCAGTACTCGGAGGACAGTGTCCTCTGAAGGTGGGGCAGGGCCCCGCAGCTGGCCGCATGTCCATGCACCCACCCCACCAAGCCGTGCAGGCACTGGGGGCTGGATGTGATCAGATCCACTGCAGAGAGTCAACAGAGATGTCAGATCCACGGCTGGTCGGCACCCAGCCCACCCTCCACCGGGGGAGGACTCACCCAGACACGCTCCCTCCTCTGCCCCTGTTGGGGGCTGGGCACCGACCCTGCAAAGGATCAGTGTGGCCATGAGCAGGACAAGCAGGCGGAGGTTCACAGCGCTCGTCGTACGGGACCCTCTCGAGATCTCAAACCTCAGCGGTCCCCATAGGCAACTTTCTCTTCCCTCACCCCAGCTCCTCCCAGTTCATCTCTCCACAACAGTCCCAGGGCTGTTGGCACTGAACCCGGGCATGGCCCATTCCCCCCACCCAGAGGCTCCCGCGGAGGCACGCCCTGTCCCTCTCTCAACACCCGTCACACTGCAGTACTGACAGCCTGAACGTGCTCTGAACAGACTAGGGCGTACTTTGCACAAGGCTTCCGGCGACCAGCCGGGGAGGCGTTGACCCTCTGCAGGAAGGACTTGAGAAGGCTGTGGCACTGGTAGAACTGGGCGTGGCAGCTCTTGCAGACAAACGGAGACAAGGTGGGGTCCTGGCGGACAGCCACACCAAGCAGGCGCTGGAAGTCCCGTACGAGCACGCGCTCCTCTGCGGATGGCCTCTCCATGCTCGCTCCAGGCGCCCTCTCGGAGATGCTGCGCAGGCTTCTCGAGGAAAACTTCCCGTGGCAGAGGCGACAGTGACCCATGGCGAGAGCCCGGCCTGCTCCTGCACAGAGCGGCAGGAAGTGTTAGCAGCTGGCAAAGGAGGCTCCTGAGCACAGGGCGTCCCGGACTCCAGGTCCGAGGGCAGCGCCTGCAGCGCCCTTCGCGCGGCTCCCGGACACAGCAAGCGGCTCGGGCGCGCGGCTCTCGGCGGGACAAGCCGCCCTGTGGGGGATGTGGCCGCTGGTCCAAGAAATCTTTCAAATTTCAAAGGCCTCTAAGGCCTCTCCAGCGAAGCAACTTCAAGAGTGAAACCTGGAACTGCACCCTCCTCCCAGCGACCGCGAGACCCGGGGCAGGCGCTGCGCCCTCCAGGAAACGCCGCGGTTTCCTGTCTGCCAATTGCAGGTGCCGCCTCCTTTCCGGCTCCGCGAGGGCACGAAGCAGGGGAGGGCGATTCCCACGCGCGGGCACCCCAGGGCGACCTGCCCGCGGTGACAGCGCTCCTCACGCCGGGTCCCTTCTGGCCGAGCCCGCGGCCGGGGAGGCCGGGCCGGCGACGCCGGCGTCACGGAGCGCGAGGAAAACCGAGCCGGCCGCCCAGCGCCTATCCCGACGCAGCCCCGAGTCCGCTACGCCCTTGGCCGGGTGGAGGAGAGGCCGCGCCGGCTTCCGGGCGTCAGTGCGGCTCCTCCCACGAGCAACCCCTGCCGCGACCCCAACCCGCCACGCCCGGGCCGCGGACCCACCTGCCTCGTCCGCGCCGTCCTCGCCCGCGTCCCCGCAGGACCCCACCGGGCCCCAGGCGCGCCGCGCCGTCGCCCCGTCCACCCTCGGCCCACCGCTAAGGGAAGGGCGGCCCCGAGTCCGGCTGACGCCGCCGCCGCCGTCCGAGGCCCCGCACTGTCGGGACGACCCAGGAGACAGGAAGCGGCCCAGCCGGTCCCGCTTCATGGCAGCGGAGGACGCCAGCAGAATCCCGCGGGTGCTGCCCGGCCCGAGGTTCCTAGAGGACCCGGCGTTAGGCTCCGCTCGGCGCGCTGGAAGCGAGGCGGGGCGGGGGAGGGGCGGAGCGAGAAGCAAAGCGAGGCGGGCGGGGCGGGCCAGGGGCCAGGGGCGGGACCCCGCCGGCCGAGGTTCCACCCGCGGTGCCAGCGCCCCCGCTCGTACCGCTCCCCTCTCGGGCCCGAGGGCGGCCGTGCCCGCCTCTGTCGCCAATGGAGCGCTGGCCTGGGGCGGGGCGGTGGGCGGAGGGGCTCGCCGACACCTCACGACGAGTCCTCCAGGGAGAGGCGACGCGGCCCTCACCGCCTCTTACCGTGGGAGACGGAGGCGCGGGGCGGGCAGGCGCCGGCGGAGGCCACGCGGCGCGCAGGTGGCGGGCGGGCTGCAGAAAGGGGAGGGGGGCCGGGGTCTCACGTAGAGAGGGGCCTGGCTGCCGCGGTTAGACGCCCATGGCAACTCCGTGAGGGGCCCTTCTCGCCAGCCCCGTCTCAAGACGGCGAAGAGGCCCGGCTCCGTCGCGACAACCCACCCGGACTCTGCCGCCCCCGCCACTAACACCCGTGGGGCCCGCAGTACGCGCGGAGGGGGCCCGTCGCCGGAAGTGCGGCCGCGTCCCTTCCTGCGGTCCGCTGCTCGGGCGGCTCCAGCACCAGCGCCGGCTGCGTTCCGGGCCTCCGGTCGCCCGTCCAGCCCCTCGGCTACCGCCGCCGCCTCCCCCGCTCGGCGCCATGGCCGCTGCGGCCGGGGACGGCACGGTGAAGCCGCTGCAGAGCGCCATGAAGCTTGCCAACGGGGCCATCGAGCTGGACACCGGCAACCGGCCCCGGGTGAGGCGGGGCGGGGGCGGGGCTTGGCCGCTGAGGGTGGCCCCTGGAGGGACCCCCGCCCGGGGAGGGCGAGGACGGGGCCGGCTCGGGCTGGAGACTTGGGAGCGGGCGCCAGCCGGGATCCCGGGCCGCGGTTCCCGGGCGAGGACGGGGGCGGGGCGCAGCCGGGCGTGCAGTGACCTTGGACAGCTCAGATCCTGCGGACCTTGGCTTTCCACTCCGCTCGCTGAGCCGGTGCATCACAGCCTGGGCTCCACCTGTAGAGGAGATGTAGCAGGAGGGTCCGCCAGGCCACCTTCCAAAATCCGAGTGACGGGCAGGTCCGTGCGTTCGTGCATTTTTCTGGGCAGAGATGGTAGATTTAATCCGGTTGCCACAGGGGACGGCATGCAGAGAAGGCCACATACCTGCTCATTTGTGATGCTGTTTGCAGTCGTCTTAGGAAGGAAAAGCAGGCCGGAGGGGTGTGGCCCGTTCCTGAGATGGGGCCGAATCTAAGGTTGGCGACCAGGTAGAGAAGCTGGCCCAGCCACACCCGGCTGCCCAAGGAGGGAAGGAGCCTGCCTGTGCCTAGGAGAAGCCTCGTTCCTGAATCTGCTGCTTTCCCCAAGTTGGTTTTTAGGGCAGCAGGTGCCCCCGCAAGTCAGAAATCCTGCCTGGATTATATTTCGTCTTTCTCTCTGAGGCATAGACTTAAAGATAGGAAACTTAACAGCTAGGGATAAAACAAAAAAACATAGCATATTGCTGGGCGCTGTGGTTCACGCCTGTAATCCTGACACTTTGGGAGGCCCAGGCGGTGGATCACCTGAGGTGAGGAGTTTGAGACCAGCCTGGCCAACGTGGTGAAACCCCGTCTCTACTAAAAATACAAAAATTAGCTGGGTGTGGCGGTGCACACCTGTAATCCTAGCTCCTTGGGAGGCTGAGGGATGAGAATCACTTGAACCCAGGAGGCGGAGGTTGCAGTGACTCGAGATCCTGCCACTGCACTCCAGCCTGGGCGACAGAGTGAGACTCTGTCTCAACAAAACAAAACAAACCACCATTCTGTGGTTCCAATGACCTGTGCCTTGTCAGAGGGGTCACACAGCCTTGAAAGGTAACAGTTCTAGGCTCCTGTGTGCACTGGAAATACGTAACTCGCAGGTTCTGGGAAAGGGATTTCTCGGAACTTAAACCGGGAAGTGATTTGAAAACTTCCAGTATCACTCCCTTTATCCTCTCAGAAAAGTATTTTTTTAAGCCACTGAATGAATCACCCTTGAGTTGCACAAGAAGGAAACATTGCATAGAATGAAAAATGACAGCAAACTGCTGAGGTCACTTCCCCAGGCCCACTGAATGAGAATATCAGTTCCTGTGCTGGAGAGAAAGGCAGTCAGAGGAGAAAATGAGGTCCAGCTCGTCCCTGGCTCTCTCTCTCTCTCAGGTCCTGATGTCTTTTCCAAGTCTGGAGAGCAGCGATGCTGCCTGTGCCCTGCGCAGAAAACCGTGTTCCGGCTGCAGCTAACCACCGCAGGCTCAATGTCTCTGGGTGTATCTCAGAGATAAGCAGGTGGTGGTGTTCCTTGCTTATCCCACAAGGGCACCTGGCCGGAATAATGGAGTCACTTCCCTCCACTGGCCTGACCCCACTCTTTCTCTTTCCTGGACACAGGAGGCATACACGGAATACCTGAGGAGCATCCACTATATCTCCCAGGTGTTACTAGAAGAAGTGGAAACCACTAAAGGTACGGCTCAGCCAGCCGGGCGCGGTGGCTCACGCCTGTAATCCCAGCACTGTGGGAGGCAGAGGCGGGCTATCACCTGAGGTCAGGAGATCGAAACCATCCTGGCTAACATGGTGAAACCCCGTCTCTACTAAAAATCTAAAAAATCAGCTGGGCCTGGTGGCGGGTGTCTGTAGTCCCAGCTACTCGGGAGGCTGAGGCAGGAGAATTGCTTGAACCCGGGAGCAGAGGTTGCAGTGAGCCGAGATCACCCCATTGTACTCCAGCCTGGAACAAGAGCGAAACTCCGTCTCAAAAAAAAAAAAAAGAAAAGAAAAAGAAAAAGGCATGGCTGAGCCCTGCTGCTTCCTCCATGCTGGACAAATTGTGGGCATCCTAGCCCTTGATGGGTGCCAGGCTTCGGCGGGGGTCTCTTGTATCCTTCTAGCCTGACCATTTGTAGTAGGTGGACCAGCCCACACTCAGTGTGATATAGTGGCAGGAAGGGACCAGCGTTGTGGATAAGAAGATGGAGACTGGGGTGTGGCAAGACACTGGCTCCAGTGAGCGGCACAGACGTGGGGCAGCATTCCAGCTGTGGGGTGTGCAAAGGCCCTGAAATAGGAGTGGGCGGGGTGGGGCTGTGTGCATGCCTTGGGTGGAACTGGGGCCGTTCTGGTGTGCAGGGAAACTTGAAGAGACTTTGAGCTTTGAGGGAGAGGACAGCCTGGGAGTGGAGCCTCAGGTGAGGACTGAGGATGGCAGTGGCCAGACCACCCAGGATGGGAGCAGTAAACGGCCTCGGGGTGCGTCCTGAAGGTGGAACAGAGCAGACTTGCAGGAGGCAGATGGGGCAGGAGCAAACTGGCAAGGAGAGGAATAGCAAGTTCCGCAATGAACACATTAAGTTTGAGAGGCCAGCAGCCGCTGCACAAAGGATCACAGAGGTCAGGGGGAGCCACTGGACATAGAGCACAGAGGTCAGGGGGAGCCACTGGACGTGGGATCACAGAGGTCAGGGGGACCCACTGGACGTGGGAGCACAGAGGTCGGGGGAGCCACTGGACGTGGGAGCACAGAGGTCGGGGGAGCCACTGGACGTGGGAGCACAGAGGTCGGGGGAGCCACTGGACGTGGGATCACAGAGGTCGGGGGAGCCCCTGGACGTGGGATCACAGAGGTCGGGGCAGCCACTGGACGTAGGATCACACAGGTCAGGGGGAGCTAACAGTTGCCCCAGCTCCCTAGGGAGCCGGTGAGCTCGGCTGAGCTCTGGCGCTCCAAGATTGAGGAGTTGGGTGGAGGAGTGGCAGAGGATCCCCTGGGGAGAGCAAAGTCCCAGAAGACAGAGGAACTCCAGTGGCCCACCGTGTCTGGCAAGGTGGGGACGGGTAAGGGCAGTTTCCGGGGGGAGTCGGGGGCTAAATCGGGGCGGGATGAGAAAATGGGAGTCTATGAGAAGTTTTCTGTGAAGGGCAGCAGGGAGGTGGGTCAGGCGCTGGGGCGGTGGGTCCAGGGGCGAGTCACAGAGAGGCAGCTCCCACGGCGCGCAGAAGGGCTGTGTGAGCAGGTCCATGGTCGCGCAGAGGTGCTCCATGCCAAGCTACGGGAAGGCAGGACTTTGGGGACACAGCCGGTGGGAGATGGGTGAGGCGATCCCCTCAGCACGTCCTTGTCTCTGTAAAACGGCCACTTCCCAGAGGCCTGCAGTTGCAAGTGAAGCTGAGTGAGCACTAAAGGCCTGTTTAGGGTCGAGGCTGTGACGGGCCTCGATGAGGGGCCCACAGCCTTAGCAGACTCAGGAGGCAAAACCAGGGCAGATGATTAGAAATGCGTGGGTGGGGGGACTTGCCTGGGGTCCATGGTGGGGGCAGGGGCCTTGCCTGGGGTCCATGAGGAATAGTCGGCTTGCCCGGGGTCAGTGGGGGGTGGAAGGGGCAGTGGGCTTACCCGGGGTGAGGGGATGGGGGGGCAGTGGGCTTGCCTAGGGTCAGTCAGTTGGGGGACGGGAGGGGCAGTGGGCTTACCCGGGGTGAGGGGATGGGGGGGCAGTGGGCTTGCCCAGGGTCAGTGAGGGGATGGGGGGGCAGTGGGCTTGCCCGGGGTCAGTGGGGGTGCTGAGGGGGGCAGTGGGCTTGCCTGCCTTTTCCGTTGCCTCATTTTATCTCAGCAGTAAGTAACAGTGGTAGAGCCGACTGTGACCAGCCTTCTTGTCCCTCCCCCAGAAGCTGGGGAAACTGTGCCCCCCGACACCTCCAAGATGCTGAAGCTAGCACAGCAGTGTCTGGAGAGGGCCCAGTCGACGGCCGCCAAGCTTGGTGGGTCTCCTGCAGTAGGCGGCTCTCCTGGGGCATCCCCCAAGCCCGCATCTCCTCTGTGGGATGTGGCCCACCGCTTGACCCCTGGTTACCCATGGCTTGCAGGGAAAACACGCCTGAAGCCAACCATGCCTGCAGCTGCTCCCATTCCCCAGCCTGCCGGCCGACACCGCCGTGTATACTCCGATGAAGGAGGAAAGCTCTCTCCTTTTCTGCCACCCGAGATCTTCCAGAAGCTTCAGGGGGCAGAGTCACAAAGCTGTAAGAAGTAAGATGGACAAGATGGGAGGTGGGATGAGCCTGGGATTGGGTTTTTGAGGCTGAGAAAGATGAGCTGATGACAGCGATTTTTTTTTTGTTTTTTGAGACAGAGTCTCACTCTGTCACCCAGGCTGGAGTGCAGCGGCTCAATCTTGGCTCACGGCAACCTCCACCTCCCGGGTTCACACCATTCTTCTGCCTCAGCCTCCCAAGTAGCTGAGACTACAGGCGCCCACCACCACACCCAGCTAATTTTTTGTATTTTTAGTAGAGACGGGGTTTTGCCATGTTAGCCAGGATGGTTTCGATCTCCTGACCTCGTGATGCGCCTGCCTCGGCCTCCCACAGTGCTGGGATTACAGCGTGAGTCACCGCGCCCGGCCCCCACAGTGCTGGGATTACAGGCATGAGCCACTGCGCCTGGCCTGACAGCGAATGTTTTTAAAATGAGTCCCAGAATGGGAATATCCCCTGGCCGGACACAAGCAAATGCAGGCGGCCTGGTGGCTCACGCCTGTAATCCCAGCACTGTAGGAGGCCGAGGCGAGCAGATCACCTGAGGTCAGGAGTTCCTGACCAGCCTGGCCAACATGGTAAAACCCCGTCTTTACTAAAAATACAAAAATTAGCTGGCCGTGGTGGTGTGCACCTGTAATCCCAGCTACTCAGGAGGCTGAGTCCAGGAGAATCGCTTGATCCTGGAAGGTGGAGGTTGCAGTGAGCGAAGATTGTGCCACTGCACTCCAGCCTGGGCAACAAGAGTGAAACTCCGTCTCAAAAAAAATTAGGCATAGTGGTGTGCCCCTGTAGTCCCAACTACTAGGGAGGCTGAGGTGGGAGGCTCACTTGAGCCTGACAGGTTGAGGGTGCAGTGAGCCGTGATTGTGCCAGTGCACTCCAGCTTGGGCAACAAAATGAGACTCTGTCTAAAAAAAAAAAAAATGACCGGGCGCGGTGGCTCACGCCTGTAATCCCAGCACTTTGGGAGGCCGAGGTGGGTGGATCATGAGGTCAGGAGATCGAGACCATCCTGGCCAACAAGGTGAAACCCCATCTCTACTAAAAATACAAAAAATTAGCTGGGCGTGGTGGCGGGCACCTATAGTCCCAGCTACTCAGGAGGCTGAGGCAGGAGAATCCCTTGAACCCAGGAGGCAGAGGTTGCAGTGAGTTGAGATTGCGCCACTGCATTCCAGCCTGGGCGACAGAGCAAGACTCCATCTCAAAAAAAAAAAAAAAAAAATTTAGCTGGGAACAAGGATGAGTTATATATCTATATATATGTAGAAATCCATACATACAAAACTGAGCAGACAAGTTTATAACAGCAGAGCAGATATAGCTGAAGAGCAAATTCATGTATTGGAAAAAAGGTCAAAAGATAGCTAGAATGAATTACAGAAACAAAAAATAAAGACAGAAAACAAGAGATGGAAAGCCTAACGTGTTCGTTGGAGTTCCAGAAAGAAAATGGGAGGGAGGCCAAGGCAGGCAGATCACAAGGTCAGGAGTTCAAGACCAGCCTGGCTAACATGGTGAAACCCCATCTCTACTAAAAATACAAAACTTAGCTGGGCATGGTGGCGCGTGCCTGTAACCCCAGCTACTTGGGAGGCTGAGGCAGGAGAATCGCTTGAACCCAGGAGGTGGAGGTTGCAGTGAGCCAAGATCGTGCCACTGCACTCCAGCCTAGCAACAGAGCGAGACTCCGGCTCAAAAAAAAAGAAGAAAGAAAATGGGAGAGAGGCATTATTAGAAGTTAGAATGGCAGACAGTTGTCTAGAACTGATGAAAGATACAAAGACACAAATGCAAAAAGCCCAGTGACTCCCAAGTGGGAGAGACGAGAAGGGTCCACTCCTCCTGCCCCTGCTCTGGCGGGGCCTGGCTTCCCAGTCCCCTTGTTTCTGCAATGTGGCTTCAGGGCAGGGTGGCCAGGCGTCAGGCTCTGACTTTCCTCCTTGTCCTCCATTGTCCCTGACAGTGGGAAGGTACGAGGGAACAAAGCTTTCAAGGTGGAGTGGCTGTTGGGAACTGTATAAAGGAGACAGGACACTTCTTCCTTTCATGGGTCACAGACTAATCTGGCTGTTTGACCCACATAGTGCCTTTAAAGCAGGGGTGTCCAATCTTTTGCCTTCCCTGGGCCACACTGGAAGAATTGTCTTGGGCCACACATAAAATACGCTAACACTAACAACAGCCGATGAGCTTAAAAAAAAAAATTGCAAGGCTGGGCGCAGTGGCTCCCGCCTGTAATCCCAGCACTTTGGAAGGCCAAGGCGGGCAGATTACCTGAGGTCAGGAGTTCGAGATCAGCCTGGCCAACATGATGAAACCCCATCTCTACTAAAAAATACAAAAATTAGCTGGGCGTGGTGTCACATGCCTGTAATCCCAGCTACTCGGGAGGCTGAGGCAGGAGAATCACTTGAACCCAGGAGGCGGAGGTTGCAGTGAGTTGAGATTGTGTCACTGCACTCCAGCCTGGGCGACAGAATGAGACTGACTCAAAAAAAAAAATTTTGCAAAAAAACCTCAGTGATTTTTTGAGACAGAGTCTCTATCACCCAGGCTGGAGCACAGGCACATGCCACCACACCCGGCTAATTTTTTGTATTTTTAATAGAGACGGGGTTTCACCATGTTAGCCAGGATGGTCTCAATCTCCTGACCTCATTATCCGCCTGCCTCATCCTCCCAAAGTGCTGGGATTACAGGCGTGAGCCACCGTGCCCAGCCCTCAGTGATGTTTTAAGAAAGTTTAGGAATTTGTGTTGGGCCACATTCGAAGTCATACAGCCTCGGATTGTTGCACAAGCTTGCTTTAACAAGATTCATACTGTTGCCAAACACATATAACGGATCTCCATAGAAGTCCAGTGGTCCAGCTTCTCTTGAAAAACCAAAAGTCCGGCCGGGCGCGGTAGCTCACGCCTGTAATCCCAGTACTTTGGGAGGCCGAGGCGGGTGGATCACGAGGTCAGGAGATCAAGACCATCCTGGTTAATGCGGTGAAACCCCGTCTCTACTAAAAATACAAAAAATTAGCCGGGCATAGTGGCGGGCACCTGTAGTCCCAGCTACTCAGGAGGCTGAGGCAGGAGAATGGCATGAACCCGGGAGGCGGAGTTTGCAGTGAGCCGAGATTGCGCCACTGCGCTCCAGCCTGGGCGACAGAGCGAGACTCCGTCTCAAAAAAAAAAAGAAAAAAAGAAAAACCAAAAGTCCTGGCAATACCAAAACCTGTGTTTTCTTTCTTTTTGTTATTTTTTGTTTTGGTTTTGTTTTTTTGAGACAGAGTCTCACTCTATCACCCCAGCTGGAGTGCAGTGGCCAGATCTCGGCTCACTGCATCACCTCCCGGGATCAAGCTATTCTGCCTCAGCCTCCCGAGTAGCTGGGATTACAAGTGTGCACCATGCCCAGCTAATTTTTGTATTTTTAGTAGAGACAGAGTTTCACCATGTTGGCCAGGCTGGTCTCGAACTCCTGACCTCAGGTGATCCGCCCGGCCTTAGCCTCCTAAAGTGCTGGCATTAGAGGCGGGAGCCACTGCACCTGGCCAAAACCTGTGTTTTGGAAGGGCAGGCAAGAAGGGGCAGATGTTGCAGCCCACCCCAGATGGCTCCCCTCCTCTTTCTCCTCACCTCCTGGCCTCAGAGCAATCCGGGAGGATGAGAGAGACTCCTCTGGTGTCCAGACACCACTGGGCTTCCTGGGGTCTAGACAGCAGCTTGTCACATTTCCAGAGAGCTGACGCCACTGGAGGAGGCCTCCCTGCAGAATCAGAAGCTGAAGGCTGCGTATGAGGCCCGAATGGCGCGGCTAGACCCCAGCCAGGCCATGCAGAAGACATCCCTGGTGAGTGGGGGCTAGGGAGGGCCTGGGGGTGCGTGGGCGCGGGGCAGAGGGGAGTCGGCCTTACTCCCTCCTCCCCCCCCAGACCCTCTCTCTACAGCGGCAGATGATGGAGAACCTAGTGATTGCCAAAGCCCGGGAGGAGACAGCAGCCTTTCTGACCGCCCTGGTGGTCCCCGAGGGGAAACTCAGTGTGGCCTTGAGCCAAGGGCAGAGAAGGGGGCAGCGAGGGGAGCGGAGGTTCCGGGGTCGGGGTACAGGGCCGAGGGGCTCCCCGCTTTGCAGAGGCAGGGTCTCAGGGGAAGGCCCGGCCGCCGTCCCCCATGTTCTCTGGCCCGGCCCTCCTGGCTTGAGCGCAGGCTGCCTTCTGCCCCAGAAGCCTTACCTGGGGACAGCCCCTCACCGAGAGGAGGTCCCTGGGACGTCCCGGCCTCTCCGGGTGTGGGACGGGGTTGGGAACCGAGGGCCCGCTCAGATCCCACGCTCGGCCCCTTGACTCTGCACCCAGCTCCAGAGAAAGATGGAGGAGCGCCGGCTGCGGCTCCAGGAGGCCGCCAACAGGTGGGACTCCTGCCCGCCCCTGGGGCCGCTGCGGGGAGGGCCTGGCCCCGGCACCCACCGCGTGCCTTTCTCCCCAGGAGGTTTTGCAGCCAAGTCGCCCTGACCCCGGAGGAACGGGAGCAGCGGGCCCTTTACGCCGCCATCCTGGAGTACGAACAGGACCATGTGCGTCCCCCACGGGCCCAGGCTTTGTAGGAGGAGCCCAGCGAGGGGGGCGGGGTCAGAGCCGCCTGGGTGGGCCCCCGTGGGGGGCGGAGCCAGAGGCTGTGGGGGGCAGTGAGGGGGCGGGGCCAGAGGCCCGTGGGAGGGCCCGGTGAGGGGGCGGGGCCAGGGCTGCGTGGGGCGGGGCAGAGCGAGGAGGCGAGGTCAGGGGTCGCGTGGGAGGGTCCCAGCGAGGAGGGAGGGTC
This sequence comes from Homo sapiens, assembly GCF_000001405.40. Taxonomy (NCBI): domain Eukaryota; kingdom Metazoa; phylum Chordata; class Mammalia; order Primates; family Hominidae; genus Homo; species Homo sapiens. The sequence goes on along the minus strand of NC_000016.10, from coordinate 89,711,639 downwards.
CCTGCGAGGAGGGAGGGTCCCAGCGAGGGTGCAGGCCCAGGGTTCGCCTAAGGTTTCCCTCGGGTGTGGGTGGGGGCGGGGGCGGGTCGCGGGGCCTGCTGGCGCTGGGTCTCCTGCACCCCAGGACGGGCTCCCACAGTCTCTAGGGGTCGGCACTGGTGGGAGATGAGGCGCGTCCGGTCGTGGCGGACCCACCGTGCTTTCCTTCAAGGCCCCCTGTCCCGTAGGACTGGCCGAAGCACTGGAAGGCCAAGCTCAAGAGGAATCCGGGGGACCTGTCACTCGTGACCAGCCTGGTCTCACACCTGCTCAGGTAGCTGGGCCTTCAGGCCCCACAGAGCCCCTGCGCACCGGCCTTGGGCACCTCTGCCTGGTGCCAGGTGCCGGAGAGGGGCTGGACTGACACAGGGAGCCTGTGCCCGGCCACGTGGACACTGCAGCTCCCTTTGCGCTGAGGGCGTTTCCTCGGCTTCTCCAACCTCCCCAGCGGGGGCGGGGGGCAGACTTTCCAACATTCACTGTCAGGAGGTAATGCAAGTCGCTTCTCTGAAACCGGGCATAGCGCGGCACCTGTGGATGCCACGGAGAGGCCGAGGCTGGCCGCGTTCTCACGTCCTCTTCTCCCGCAGCCTCCCCGACCACCCGATCGCGCAGCTCCTGAGGCGGCTGCAGTGCTCCGTGTACAGCGCCCTGTATCCCGCCGTGAGCAGAGCAGCCGCGCCAGCCCCAGGCTGCTGCCCCCCGACCCCCAACCCCGGAAGCCGACGGCTGCGGCCCTCGCAGAGCCTCCATTGCATGCTGTCCCCGCCCGAGCCCAGCGCAGCCCCGCGGCCCCAGGACAGTCCCCCCACGCCCCCACTCCAACCCGGCCCCGTGGGGTCTCCCTCACCCCTGGGGGACACCGCATCTGGATTGCCAGACAAGGACAGCTCGTTCGAGGACCTGGAGCAGTTCCTGGGGACGTCTGAGCGGCAGGGCCGGGGCCGTGGGGTACAGCCGGAGCCCCAGCTGCAGCAGCTGAAGACCGCGGTGGAGGAGATCCACAATGCCGTAGGTGAGGCCAGGCCCTCCCTGGGAGAGCCGCCGCAGCTCTTCACCCCTGCTTATTGGTCCGTTTCAAGCTTCTGTTTGGGGAAGGGTCTGTTGATCAGAGACTCTGATCAGACTTACATCCACCCAGCTCACGCCTCAGCCCTTCTCATTTTGGAAACAGTGTGGTAGAAACGGAGTTTCACCATGTTGGTCAAGCTGTTCTCAAACTCCTGACCTCAGTTGATCTGCCCACCCCGGCCTCCCAAAGTGCTGGGATTACAAGCATGAGCCACCGCGCCCAGCCCAGAGTTTTCTAAGAACCACTGAGGGAGGCCCAACAGTCCAGGCGTCATTCTCACTGTGCTGCCCACACACTAAGGAACTTGGTCAGGGTCCCCACCCACAGGGGGTTGGATCTAAAGTCTTCCCTGGTTCCTGCAGTTTTGGGTAAAGCCCCTTTTGAGAAAAGGATCATTCTCCGGTTTCTTCTCAGGCTGCTGGCCCAACAGGGCAGCAGCTGTAGGTGACCGTTTCCAGTCCCGGACTCCCTGCCCTGGGCCGAGGAGGGTCAGGGGTGGGTGCAGGAGGCTTGAAGGCGGTGGAAAGAGGTTTCTTGGGCGGAGAAAGGCCCCGTGGCTTAGAGCCACTTGACCCAGCAGGGGAGGAGCCTCTGTGGACGTCCCCGGCTCTGTTCCTAGCAGACAGGCTGCTCTCGCTGACCCTTCTGGCCTTCGAAGGCCTAAACACAGCTGCCTCCAAGGACCGCTGCCTGGCCTGCATTGAGGAACCCTTTTTCTCCCCGCTGTGGCCTCTGCTGCTGGCCCTGTACAGGTATGGACCCAGCTGTACAACCACCTGCGTGGCCTAGTGTCTTCCAGCCCAGTCCCCCAGGAGGCCTGCCCTGCTCCCTGGCACTGTCTGCTCCCCTCCATCCCCAAGACTCGTGTTTGCTCCCCCTAGCCTGTGCTTTACCCTGAGGCCATCCTCAGGGGCTTCCAGTTTGCAGGTAGGATTATTGCCACTCTCCCGTGCCTGGGGTCTTGGCAACGCTGGGGCTTTTTGCTTGAGATACATAGCCAGTTTTCTCCAGGACTGAGCTCCAGCCACAGCCCTGCTTCTGTCCCCAGGGCAAGGTCCCTGGGGCAGCTTAGCCTGGCCTCTCTCTGCCCCAGGAGCGTGCACCGAGCCCGGGAGGCTGCCCTGAGCAGGAGCATGGAGCTCTACAGGAATGCACCCCCCACCGCCATTGGCATCCCCACCAAGCTCCTCCCCCAGAACCCTGAGGCCAAGGGGGCCACTGGCTACCCCTACTGCGCGGCGGCCCAGGAGCTCGGACTGCTGGTCCTGGAGAGCTGCCCCCAGAAGAAGCTGGAGTGCATAGGTCAGCAGGTTCGAGAGTCAGGGGGAGGGACAGGCTCCCATCCCAGTAGGTGACCTGGAGCCTGTGTCTTCACCACTGAGCTTCTCTTGTCACGTGCCGGTGGGGAGGTTGGGGGACCAGAACAAAAGTGGTGTCTGAGCAACATCGCCAGGGTCACCGTGGCTCTTCCCAGCCGTGCACATCAGGAGGTGGGTGGGTGGGCGGGGTATAAGGGGTGGCTCAGGCTGCTGGACGGGGTTAACTGCCCCTGAAACCCTGTCTGGGGCGCAGTGCGGACCCTGCGGATCATCTGTGTCTGTGCGGAAGACTACTGCCCCACCCCAGAGGCCACACCCCAGGCCGGGCCCCCGCCCATCGCTGCAGCTGCCATGTGAGTCCCAGGAGGGCGAGGTGTGGCCAGGGAGGAAGGGCCCTAGAAAGGCAATGGTCACGGGAGGGACTATCTTCCTGCCCCTTAGCCTTGTGCCAGCTGGCTGCACTGTAGAAGCAGGAGGGCCGTGTGGGCCCAGCCCTGGCTCCGCAGTACGGGAGCTCCCTTTAGGGACAGCCTCACCATGCCCAGCTGCCTTCCGGTGCCTCTGCGCAGAAGGGCACAGAGATGGCGGCCAGCACGGCCAGGATGGCTCCACAGCTGCTGGGTTTGCGGAGTGAGAGGCTCCTGGCCCCAACCCAAGGCCGCTATGCCCTCCCGACAGTGGTGCCGATGACCTGCTGCCCATCCTGTCCTTCGTGGTGCTGAGGAGCGGCCTCCCTCAGCTGGTGTCGGAGTGCGCGGCCCTGGAGGAGTTCATCCACGAGGGGTAGACCCTGGCGGGTCAGGGTGGGGGTCTCTGTGCGAAGAGCAGGGACCTCATCCCTCAACCTAAACGGTGGTTGTCAGTAGCAGCTGGGGAGGGTAGCGTGTGGCTCCGTCACAGCCATGCCTTCGGGCAGCCCCTGTGGGTCCACCTGTGCAGAGTGCCTGCTGCCACATGTCCCGTGGCCCTTCGCTTAGCTCAGCCTCTCCCAGACAGCAGGAGCTGGGGGCTGTCCCCTGAGCAGCATCTGCCTGGGGAGGGGATAAGGATCCAGTGCCATCCCTGGCTCTACCGTCCAAGGACGAGCACATAGTGGGTGGGAAAGGCCTCCTCTAGCCCAGCCGCCCTGACAGCCCCACCTGCCCACCCTCAGCACCCAGGTCCTGAACTGGGAGGGCAGACACTACCTTCTGGAGGGCCGGGGGTATCCTTCTGTTCGTTCAGATGACACCGGCTGCCCCTGCCATCCATGCAGGTACCTGATCGGAGAGGAGGGCTACTGCCTCACATCACTGCAGAGTGCCCTGAGCTACGTGGAGCTGCTGCCCCGGGGAGGCCTGGCCAAGTAGTACAGCTAGAGCCCAGGGTCCCTGCAGGGCCTGGCCTCGCCTCCCAGGGCTGTCTCTCCTACACCTGGAGCCATGGGATCTACTGAGGACCATCCTGGAGCCTCACGCTGCTCTGCACATGGTGGGGGCTTGTCCACTGTGGTGTGCTCTCCAGCTCTTCACCTTCCTCACCTCACATCTGACCCTGGAGCTTGGGGTTGGCACCTCTGCCCCGACAGAATGGGGCTGAATCAGCTCCAGGAGGAACCAGGCCCTGCTCTCCTGTGTAGGCCTCAGAGAGGCCAAGAAGGGAAGCTTTGGGCTTCGGTGGGTGCAGGCTCAGCGATGAACATCTGGCTGGGGCAGCTCCTGGGGAGCATCAGGGAAGAGGGGGCCATGAGCCGGCCAGCAGTGGAGACGGCAGTCCAGTTTCTCTCCCCTCTGACCCCTAGAAGGGGAGTTGTAGCCCCATGAACTAGTTTCTTGTCTGGGTCAGGAACAAGGGCCGGCTGGGGCCTGGGGTGCAGCTGGTGTCAGGGTATGCTGTTTGCTGATGGGCAGGGACACCCCTGCAGGGTCTCGGGCTCTGAGCCCAGGACATTCCCTGCCCCTTACTCACCTTGGCTGTGGGCTGTGAACATTCCGGGACCCTGGGCATCTTATCTAGGTCCGTGCAGCCCAAGGGTCAGCCCTCTTGACTGTCACATGCTGCCCCCACCCAGCCTAAAATAAAGAGCTCACTGCTGTGCTTCGCCGTGTGGCTCCCTCAATCCCCACCCCACTGGCCAGGCAGCACAACCACCCCTGCTGCCCATGGCAGAGGCCGCTGAGGATGTGGGGGACGAGCCACAGCCCAGCCCCAAACCAAGCCTGGCCCAACCTCTTGAACATCTGCCAGCCTCCGAGACCCTCTGCATAGAAGCAGGGTCCTCTTGGGGCTGTGCCTGGCCAGGCAGGTGTGGGCTTCACCCTCTTGGACAGGAGAGCTCTGCAGGGCATCAGTGGGTGGGAAGGGTGGGGTGAGGCTGGGGTCCAGGTCATCACTGGGGACCTGAGCCCAGAGCAGTCACCCGAGGGTCTCAGGAATCATCGTTCTGTGCATGGCGACACACACATGCTCTGAGGTGCACAGAAGGCTGCCGGGCGTGGACAGCATCTGCCAGGGCGGTGTGGGCAGATCAGGATGGAGGGCTCTTCTGCAAGAAAGGCACCCCTGGCACCTTGAGATGCCATGAGGAGGCAGGTGGCAGGGCTGGTGGGGTGGGAGGTCCCAACCCTAGATGCTACCAGGAGCTGGCTGGGGGGCAGTGTTGCTGTTCTCAGGGAAACAGTCTTAAAAGCAGTAGCTGTGGACCTCGGTGGGATGCTCTGTGCTTGCACCCTGAGCAGGGGCTGGTTTACCCGCCAAGGACCCCATAGGGAGACAGAAGTGTCTCTCTGGGTGGGGCAGAGCTGGAGCATCTGCCCCAGCCCTCGATACGAACCCCAGCTGGCCACGGTGCCTTGGAGCTTGGGCTGCTCCGGCCTCAGCGTTGGTGTCTAGAAGATGGGATTTTAAAGTCCGCTTCATAGAATGGTGGAGATGAGCTGTGTCTTGAACAAATCCTGGCGTGGGAGCCCCTGCTGGCTTGGCATCGGGGCCACACCTGCAGCCTGCACACTGTGGGGGCCGGGAACGTCCTGGCTCAGCTGTATCCCTGGCGCTGAGACCCGGCAGACATGTTCAAGTGCTGCTGTTTGCTGTGCAGCTTTGCCCTCGCTGAGCCTGCAGCTCCCCCATAAGACAGGAATGAATAATAGCAGCTTCCTTTTAGAAATCCTACAAATGGCCGGGCGCGGTGGCTCACGCCTGTAATCCCAGCACTTTGGGAGGCCGAGGTGGGCGGATCACGAGGTCAGGAGATCAAGACCATCCTGGCTAACACGGTGAAACCCCGTCTCTACTAAAAATACAAAAAATCAGCCGGGCGTGGTGGCCCGCACCTGTAGTCCCAGCTACTCGGGAGGCTGAGGCGGGAGAATGGCGTGAACCTGAGAGGCAGAGGTTGCAGTGAGCTGAGATCGTGCCACTGCACTCCAGCCTGGACGACAGAGAGAAACTCCGTCTCAAAAAATAAAAATAAAATAAAAAGTAATGGCTGGGCGCAGTGGCTCATGCCTGTAACCCCAGCGGTTTGGGAAGCCGAGGCGGACGGCTCTTTTGAGGTCAGGAGTTCGAGACCAGCCCGGCCAACATGGCGAAACCCCGTCTCTACTAAAAATACATAAATTAGCTGAGCGTGGTGGCGGTAGTCCCAGTTACTCAGGAGGCTGAGGCCGGAGAATTGTTTGAACCTGAGAGGCAGAGGCTGCAGTGAGCCGAGATCACGCCATTGTACTCCAGCCTGAGCACAGAGCGAGACTCCATCTAAAAAAAAATAAAAATAAAACTATTCTGCATAAGCAGTGTCCAAATCATAACAAAAATCAAATGAAAAGTAAACAAGATGTAACCTTATATCCATTGGACCGGAGAAGATGAGGAAGCTGGACGATGCTGAGTACAGGAGGGGGAGGGAGCTCACGCACACTGTGGGGTGGACACGGCAGTGGCCCCAGGGGACCAGGTGCAGTCCTGGAGTCCAGGTAAGTGTGGACGGAACCTCCGACCTGGCAAGGCTGCTGCCGGTTTTAGAGGATGTATATGCAGTGGAGGCAATGGAGTGTCTGTCCCGGGAGGGCAGGGAAGGACGGAGAATCCACACGGCAGCTCATGGAGTGTCCATCCCCGGGCAGGAAGGGAGGGAGCCGTGAATGTGTACAGCCCACGTAGCCACCGCTGCCTAACAAACTACCCCAACTCAGGGGCTTAAATACTCAAGACGCCAGGCATGGTGGTTCACACCTGGAATCCCAGCACTTCGGAAGGCTGAGGCGGGGGGATCACTTGAGCCCAGGAGTTTGAGACCAGCCTGGGCAACATAGTAAGGCCCCCCTCTCTACTAAAAAGTTAAAAATTAGGCTGGGCACCGTGGCTCACGCCTGCAATCCCAGCACTGTGGGAGGCCGAGGTAGGTGGATCACCTGAGGTCAGGAGTTTGAGACCAGCCTGGCCAACATAGTGAAGCCCTGTCTCTGCTGAAAATACAAAAAGTACAAAAATCAGCCAGATGGCTCCTCAGCATCATGGGAGGCTGTTTCTAGGTGGTAACCCAATGACCAGGGGTTGGATTCATCCGAAGAGCTGTCTGCTGTCTATGGTTGGTGCCAGCTGTCGGCTGGGACCTCATTCAGGGCTGTCGGAACGACGACGTGAGGACTGGATGTGTTGCCAGGGGCTGCCAAAACGACCACAAAATGGGTGGCTTACAGCAACAGAAATGTTCTCTCTCACCATCTTGCAGGCCTGAAGTCAAAATCAAGCTGTCAGCAGGGCTGACTCCCTCTGGAGGCTTTAGGGTAGAATTCTGTTTGCCTCCAGTTTCTGGTGGCTCTAACACAGCTGTGTTACCTTCGCTCACGGCACCCTCGTTCCACTCTGCCTCCGTCTTTAAGCGGTCTTCTCTCCTGTGCGTTCATATCTAAGTTTCTCTCTCCTCATAAGGACAGCAGTCATACTGGATTGAGGGCCCATGCCAACCCAGAACAACCTCATCCTTTTTTTTTTTTTTTTTTTGAGATAGAGTCTTGCTCTGTGGCCCAGGCTGGAGTGCAGTGGCGCGATCCCGGCTCACTGCAAGCTCCGCCTCCTGGGTTGACGCCATTCTCCTGCCTCAGTCTCCCGAGTAGCTGGGACTACAGATGCCCGCCACCACGCCCAGCTAATTTTTTGTATTTTTTAGTAGAGATGGGGTTTCAGTGTGTTAGCCAGGATGGTCTCGATCTCCTGAGTTCGTGATCCACCTGCCTCGGTCTTCCAGAGTGCTGGGATTACAGGCGTGAGCCACTGCGCTCGGCCCAGAACAAACTCATCTTGATTTTTGTCTGGAAAAACTATTTCCAAAAAAGTCCCAAGAATAGGCTGCAGGTGAATGTGAGTCGCAGGTCGAAGTTGCAGGCCAAAAGCTCTGCACACGGCCGTGGCCTTCTCACTCTAGTGGCTGGGTTCTGAGGGTGTGTTAGTCCGTCCCCATGCTGCTGTAAATAGCTGCCTGAGGCTGGATAATTTATAAAGAAAAGACGTTTAATTGACTCACAGTTCCGCATGGCTGGGGAAGGCCTCAGCAAACTCACAATCATGGCAGAAGGCGTCTCCTCACAGGGCGACAGGAGCGAGAATGAGCACTGAACAAAGGGGAGAACCCCTTATAAAACCATCGGATCTCGTGGAATTCACTATCACGAGAACAGCATGGAGGAAGCTGCCCCCAAGATTTAATTATCTCCACCTGGTCCTGCTCCAGACCTGTGGGATTACAATTCAAGATGAGATTTTGGGTGTGGATACAGAACCAAACCATGTCAGAGGCCAAGGATCTCAAGACAAGGCCAGGGTATGGCATGTTTATGATTTAGCCTTGGAATTCATTCCACATCAGTTCTATTCCATGGGTTGAGGCAGGTGCAAAAACCCACCCAGGCCTATGGGAGGAGAGCTAGGCCCACTGCTGGATGGATGGACTGGTGTTGCCAAATTCAGTGAGGACAAAGGCAGAACAGTTACCTCCACCCTCCTCCGCATCAGAAGAAGAATAAAGATGAGACTTACGAAGTTAGCTGTCCTGAGGACTGGTGTGGACCCATGGTGGCACTGGGCACCAAGAGTGAGTTCAGTAAACAGTAAGTAAAAGAGCTCCCTGTCCAGAGGTGGCCACCTAGATAACTCAGGGAGATCCACCGACTGCATCACGATTTTTTTTTCCAGACATTCTCGCTCTGTCACCCAGGCTGGAGTGCAGTGGCACGATCTTAGCTCACTGCAACCGCAACCTCTGCCTCCCAGGTTCAAGTAATTCTCCTGCCTCAGCCTCCCAAGTAGCTGGGCTTACAGACATGTGCCACCACGCCCGGCTAACTTTCGTATTTTTAATAGAGACGGGGTTTCACCATGTTGGCCAGGCTGGTCTTGAACTCCTGACTTCAGGTGATCCGCCCGCCTCGGCCTCTCAAAGTGCTGGGATTACAGGCGTGAGCCACCGCACCCGGTCATGATCACTATTTCTAAGATGCCAGCAGGGAACTTCCAGGTAAAAAATCTAAGAAAAAGGGGGGACCTCGCCGCCCAGGCCCAGGGAAAGTTTCAACAAACTTGGGCCTTGGTTTTGGTGGCCTGGAGAGATGAGGGACACAGACGTGAAGTAGCAAAGCCTGCCCAAAGCGGGGGTGTGGGGTAGGGGTGGGTTTCGGCTGGGACCTCCAAGGGTCTCCCTCATCCTCCTCTACTTCTGGGCAATGCGAGAAAGTGGCTGTAGCACAGAACAGAGGAACCCGAGCGAAGAAAACGTCCCCGGGAAGTCGTGGCCCAGATTTAGCCTGGGTGGATCCGCAGCCCAGGTCAGCTTTTAGCCTAGAGAGGGGGGCGGCTTCGCCCTGCCTCAGAGACCCGCCCAGACGATGCTCTCAAGGGCTGCAGATGGCAAGTGCAGGAGGCCGGGAAGCGGAGCCAGCATAAACAGAATCTGAGGTCCCCGCATCCACCTGAGGCTGCTGTTTCAGACGAGGCTGAAAGGCTTGTCCTTCCGCCCACCTTCCGTGCCGCGGGCCCCTCCCTCAAGGGGATGGCCCCGCCCCACAGGGGAGGCCCGCCCCCGGATCCGGCCAATCCCCGCCAGGTAATGCAGGTGGCCCCGCCCCGCAGGAAAGGCTCTTCCCAGGATCCAGCCAATCCCCGCCAGGTAATGCCGGTGGCCCCACCCCCCAGGGGACGAGCCCGCGCACCTGCTTCCCCGCGGCCGGGTCGCCTGGGGCTGGGTCCCTGTCTCGTGGGGAGGAGCGGCCCAGGCACAACGTTCCCTGAGCGCCTGCCATGAGCCCGCAGCCCTCGGCCCAGCGGCGTCGTGAACGATACCGGTCCCGCGAGGAGACGGGCGACGCGGTGACAGGAGGCTCTCGGGGTGCCTCGCGCAGGGGCTCGGCCGGGCTGACACCTCCTCCTCCCCTTTCACCAGGCCCCGCCCCTCCTAAATTATTCGGAGGCGGGGCCTGCGCCAAGCCCCGCCCCGCCCCCAGCGTCACGGCCGCGGACCCCGGGCGGAGCCGACTCCCGGCGGAAGCGCGCGGCGCGCGGGGAGGCCCGAACTGATCCGCGGCGGCCGGAGACCGCTGGGGACAGACAGGTAGCGCCGTCACCCGCGGGATCCGCAGCTCCATCTGCCGGGCGAAGGGGCTCTGGTCGGGAGAGGGCTCAGCGGGCGGAAGCGCGTCTCTAGAGAAGGGTGCGGTCGATAACCGGGGGCGCCCCTGGAAGGCCGAGGTACCCAGGCTGGAGGGAGGGGCTGGAGGTGCGGGGGCGCTCAACTGGAGGGGCCTGGATCGCTGGGTGGGCGGGCAGCTGATGGGGCCGAGGTCTCCAGCGTAGGGGGTGCCGAAGATACCGGGGGCGCCCAGCCGCTGGGGGCGGGGTCTCCAGGCTCGAGGGGTCCTGGGGACGCTGGGTGAGGGTTCGGGGAGAGCGCGGCGGGCTGGGCGCGGCCTTAGGTCCCTGACCCCCCCGACCCCCGTCCGCCGCAGGATGGGCAGCAGCTCGCTGTCCGAGGACTACCGCCAGTGCCTGGAGCGCGAGCTGCGACGGGGCCGCGCGGGCGTGTGCGGGGACCCCTCGCTGCGCGCGGTGCTCTGGCAGATCCTGGTGGAGGACTTCGACCTGCACGGGGCGCTGCAGGACGACGCGCTGGCTCTGCTCACCGACGGGCTGTGGGGCCGCGCCGACCTGGCGCCCGCGCTACGCGGCCTGGCTCGCGCCTTCGAGCTTCTGGAGCTCGCCGCGGTGCACCTGTACCTGCTGCCCTGGAGGAAGGAGTTCACCACCATCAAGGTAGGCGCCAGGCCAGGAGGAGCGCGCCCCTCGTCCTGGCCTGCGGGTCGCGGGGCCGCCGACCATGGGGGACCACGCCTTTCGAGAGAGAGGGGCTTCAAGTGTCCTCAGTGCCTGGTGGGCTCCTCAAGGCTCCGAGCGCTGAGGGGTCGTGGGCGTGTGGGGGCACCCACTCCTAGGGCTGAGAACATGGGGTGGGCGAGGGCAGGCTTGGGTGCTGCCTACGGGGTCCTGCCCTGAGAGCTTGCGTCAGTGTCTTCCCTAAGAGGCCTCGCGGCCCCAGTTGCCATGGAAATCTTAGGACGGGGGCACAGAAGGGACTTGAGTTCCCATGGTCATCCTAATTCCTCCAGGTTATGGGCCAATCCCATTTGCAGAGGAGGCCGCCGAGGCTGGGAGGACTGCAGATGGGTGCATCCCTGTGAAGTCTCAGGGCTGGGCTCAGACCTAGTGAACTCCACGGCCTGGGGCGGGAGGCTGTGCCCAGGGCTGGCCTGGCCTCTCCAGGTGAGCTCCTGGCGGCAGGAGGGGGCAGGGCCGCCGGGAGCTCTGAGCTAATTCGGAAGAGTAGGAAGCCGATGACGTCACTGGGCACGTGGGCGAGCTACGCCTCCGCCGGTTGCCATGGCAGCGGCAGTCTCTCCGCGGCTCCCCGGGGACACCTGCTGGTCGGAGGCGCCAGGACTTTCATTCATGAGAGAGGACGGACAGGCCCGCCCTTGAGGCCTCCCAGGGGGCGGGGCGGGGGAATAACCGGCTTCAGTGCCGGACAGCCCTGGTTTGGACTTAGTTCTGCTGCTTCCTGGCCGCGAGGACTTGGCCAAATTAGCTAATCTCTGTCAGCCCCTTTCCTCCTGAGACAGCGACACGGGAACAGTCCAGTTCATGGGGCCAGAGGAATGAATCAAAGCCCCGAGCTCAGTGCTGCAGGCACTGGGCGCTCCACACGTGGGCCGTGTCCAGGCATTAGATGCTAGGAGTCCCGGAGTTAGGGAATTTGAGAGTCAGGAGACGCTCGCAGTGATTGTCCTGAGCTCCTTTAGTTCTTCACCTAAGTGTAGGCTAGAAAGCACTCAGCCAGGCCGGGCGCGGTGGCTCACGCCTGTAATCCCAGCTCTTTGGGAGGCCGAGGTGGGCAGATCACGAGGTCAGGAGATTGACACCAGCCTAACCAACATGGTGAAACCCCGTCTCTATTAAAAAATACAAAAATGAGCTGGGTGTGGTGGCACGCGCCTGTAATCCCAGCTACTCAGGAGGCTGAGGGAGGAGAATCACTTGAACCTGGGAGGTGGAGGTTGTAGTGAGCAGAGATCGAGCCACTGCACTCCATCCTGGTGACAGAGTGAGACTCCGTCTCAAAAAAAAAAAAAAAAGAGCACTCACCCTTCTACCGTCCCACGGCTGTCAGCCCAGTGCATGGACAGCCTCTGGAGAGCGCTGAAAACAGACGTGTCACCCCCATGGTGGAATACTACACAGCAGGGGGAATGAACGTTACAGCTTCTGTCCTTGTCTGCAAGACTGTAGTGGAAAAAAACAAAGTTCAGAACAACACGTTTAAGAGGCTACCTGTCTAGCTTTGGTTAGAGACCTTACAAAGAGGTGAAAAAAAAGGGGGGACTACCTCATACGAGGAGCAAACGAAATCTGTATTTGGGTTTGCAAAACAAACACCTGGGCAAGTACATTCAAAACTAATTAGATGAGGCCATCTCCAGGGGTGAAGGGAGCGGTGGGACAGAAGACAGTGGAATTTCTCAGTACAGGGGCTCTTCATTTTGTTCTGATTTGTGAGCTAGGTTAATGTATTCATTGTTTTTTCCATTAAATTTAAGAAATTCGGCCAGGTGCGGTGGCTCACACCTGTAATCCCAGCACTTCGGGAGGCCAAGGTGGGTGGATCATGAGGTCAAGGGATCAAGACCTTCCTGGTCAACATGGTGAAACCCCGTCTCTACTAAATATACAAAAATTAGTGGGGCGTGGTGGTGCGCACCTGTAATCCCAGCTACTCAGGAGGCTGAGGCAGGAAGATCGCTTGAACCCGGGAGGAGGAGGTTGTAGTGAGCCGAGATCGTGCCACTGTACTCCAGACAGAGCGAGACTCTGTCTCAAAAAAGAAAAAAAAAAAAAAATTCTAGGCCGGGCACAGTGGCTCACGCTTGTAATCCCAGCACTTTGGGAGCTCAAGGCAGGCGGATCACTTGAGGTCAGGAGTTTGAGACCAGCATGGCCAACATGGTGAAACCCTGTCTCTACTAAAAATATGAAAATTAGCCGGGTGTGGTGGTGGGCGCCTGTAGTCCCAGCTACCCGGGAGGCTGAGGCAGGGGAACTTGCTTGAACCTGGGACGCAGAGGCTGCAGTGAGCTGAGATGGAGCCACTGCACTCCAGCCTGGATGACAGAGCAAGACTCTGTCTCAAAAAAAAAAAAAAAAAAAAAAAAAAAAAGAAATCATCATGTTTGGGCCTGGCCCAAGCTGGCTAAGCCTAGTCTCTGGGGTTGGGTCTGAGCATCAGAAGCTGCCAAGGCCTGAGCCAACAGATCCCGGACCCACTGTACCCTAGGGTCTGGCCTATGGGAGGGTGGGCAGTCACTGACCTGGCCGCTCCCTTGCAGACCTTCTCTGGGGGCTACGTGCACGTGCTGAAGGGTGTGCTCTCAGACGACCTCCTCCTGAAGAGCTTCCAGAAGATGGGCTACGTACGCAGAGACAGCCATCGGCTCATGGTGACCGCCCTGCCCCCCGCCTGCCAGCTGGTGCAGGTGGCCCTGGGCTGCTTCGCCCTCCGGCTGGAGTGTGAGATCCTGGGTGAGGTGCTGGCCCAGCTGGGCACCAGTGTGCTGCCAGCTGAGGAGCTGCTGCAGGCACGGCGTGCCAGCGGGGACGTGGCCTCCTGTGTGGCCTGGCTGCAGCAGCGGCTGGCCCAGGATGAGGAGCCGCCACCCCTGCCCCCCCGAGGCTCCCCTGCTGCTTACAGGGCCCCACTGGACTTATACCGGGACTTGCAGGAAGACGAGGGGTCGGAGGACGCCAGCCTGTATGGGGAGCCGTCACCAGGCCCTGACTCGCCCCCGGCGGAGCTGGCCTACAGGCCACCACTCTGGGAGCAGAGTGCCAAACTGTGGGGCACTGGGGGCCGGGCCTGGGAGCCCCCAGCTGAGGAGCTGCCGCAGGCCAGCAGCCCACCATATGGGGCCTTGGAGGAGGGGCTGGAACCTGAACCTTCCGCCTTCTCCTTCCTCTCTCTGCGCCGTGAGCTGAGTAGGCCTGGGGACCTGGCCACCCCTGAAAGCTCTGCAGCGGCCAGCCCGAGGCGTATTCGGGCAGAGGGGGTACCAGCCTCAGCCTATAGGTCTGTCTCGGAGCCCCCAGGCTACCAGGCACACAGCTGCCTGTCCCCTGGCGCCCTGCCCACCCTCTGCTGCGACACCTGTCGCCAGCTGCATGCTGCCCACTGTGCAGCCCTGCCCGCCTGCCGTCCAGGCCACTCGCTGCGTGTGCTGCTTGGCGACGCCCAGCGGCGCTTGTGGCTACAGCGTGCACAGATGGACACTCTGCTCTACAACAGCCCCGGGGCCCGGCCCTAGGCCAGCTGGGCCCCAGGTCAAGGGCTCTTGGGAGACAGCTCCCGTGGTGCTTCTCTTTGCTGGGGAGGGGTCTGGGCCTCTGGTTGCCTTGTCCCTGGGGGAGTCCTGGGCACAGCAGGGGGTTGGAGAGTCCAGGCCAACCCTTGCTGGAGGTGGGACTCTCTGTATATGGAAGGCTCCAAGGGCAGCAGGCCTAAGCCGGCCAGCAGGAGCCTTTCCACATTTCCCCACCCTCGGAACCCAGACGCATGCCCACATGTGCTGGGTAGAGGGGTCCAGCCTGTTCCAGCCAGTGCCTGAACCTGTCCCTGAGAAGGACCCTGTGCCCCAAGGCCCGTGGCTCCTGGCCTGCTCCCTGCAGTACGGAGTACGGGGCTCAGGACTTGGGGGTCCTCCACGTGTCCCAGGGATTCTCCACACGAGTGTCCTCAAGGGCCTGTTGGTGACACCGAGCTCCCCCCACCCCAAGCTCTGCTGGAGCCAATCTGCGGGGCTCTGCCGGGTGCACGGCTGACCTGGCTTCGGGGACGCCGGCCCTCCCCTTGGGTGTCACAGCAGCTGGGCCCACAGACAGGAAATGACCTGACCTCAAACCAGATGTGGAGGTGCACGAGAGGCGCAGGAACGGGCAGTGGCTGACAGCTGGGAAGGCCCTGAGCGTCACTGCTGCTGGGCGGAAGGGCCTGTGGACAGCCCGCCCAGGCGGCGGGGTCTTGGTGGGTCCAGTGGTAATGGTGCCCCTCCCCTCCATTCCCTGTGGGTGCAGCCCACAGGCTGGCGAGGAGGTGCCTCTGCCCTACCCTCGGGTCTGGCGAGGGAGAGGGCAGGGTGCATCCACTGTGACAGCCCCTCTGGGCCCACAACTCCCTGACCCTGGAAGCTGAGCCTGCTTTCCTGACCCTCCGCCCCACCCCCTCCTCCCCAGAACACTCAGAGGGACGGTCAACATCAGAGCACATTAAACGCTGGTGAAACCATGTCTGTTAAAAAAGCTTTTATCCAACAAGAGCCTATAGCTTCGCTCAGCATCAGAGCCACGGCCTCCTGTTGGGTCCTCCATGTGGGGAGCAGGGATGCAGCTCAGCCTCCAGCCCAGGGCTCTCCTGGTAGTCTCGGGGTATCCTCAATTGTGGCTCCCACCCCATACCTTGTCCCTCTTGTCCTCATCTGGAGTCCTGCCAGGCCCACCTGGGGTCCCCACAGCCAACCCATGCACGGGACAGCCCCGGGCGACTGAGAGGGGATACGAAGGTCTTCTGGGCCCTCTCATCCCAGGCCAGCGTCCACCACAACTCAAAGACAGCGGGGGGACTGCACCCACCACTCCTCCCAAGAAGCAGTGGTTGCACATTTCCAACATAGCGAGGAGGACCACATGAGACCCCTGCAGCCACGGATGGAGCCGCCAGACCTGCCCTTCCAGGGTGCACGGGCTGGGAGCCCCCCGGTGTCACCCGGCCTTTTTCTGGGGGCAGCAGTGGGTTCAGGGCAGACAGTGGGAGGAAGTCAGTGGAGGATGTTCCCAGCCAAGGGGATGAGCTGGATCCCGGGCGCCTGGTCAGCCTGGCTCGCGGCACCCTTCACAGACACCACTGATCGGAAGACCTGGTGTGGGAATACAGGCGTGTGCCAGGCCCACCGTCAGGGTTTACAGCGCTTGCTCTGGCCCTCGGAGGTGGCTGGGGCGGCCCGCTTGTTGCGGTGGTGGGGAAAGGTCGGCATGAGCTCCGGCTCACAGGCTGCAGGGAGAAGGGTTCAGTGCTGGGCGGGGCAGGGCCCCAGATAGGAGGAGCAGGCCCAGGTCTGAGTCCAGCTCTGCCTCTGGACCTGGCCCTGGGCTGTCTGTGCCTCCACATGCCCCTGTCCTCTTACCCCAGAAAGGGTGTGCCGTCAGTGAGGGCAGCAGGCCACTTCTCCACCACCCACCCCGGGCAAAACGGGCTCCCAGCCATACCCCACAGAGCGAGTCAGGAACCCTGCACACTCACGTAGGGGCTTCTCCTTGAAATAGGAGCTCTCCAGGCAGTCCCCGGCCGTCGCCCTGGAGGAGGCAGCCTGCGTTAGTGCGACTTGTGAGTGCGGCTTCCTCACCTCCCACCCAGCTGAGCAGCCTGTGATTCAAATGCTCAAAGGAAGCCAGGTGGCCACTCCGAGCGGCTGTGCCTGGGGAGGGGCCTCTCCACCGCAGTGAGGCTGGGCTCTGGGAAACGGTCTGGACAGTGTGGGTGGTGAGGGTCCCTGCCCCCCGTGCAGAGATCAGCACCTTTTCTTAGGGTCGTACATGAACAGGAAGTGCAGCAGGCGCAGCCCGGCCTCCGACAGCCATGGGAACTTGTGCTTCAGGTTGTTGTAGGGCTGCTTCCGGAGGCTGTACTGGCCGACCAGTGGCAGCTTGGAAAAGCCCTATGGGAGGCAGGAGCTGAGGCGCAGAGGGCGTGGGCACGGGCGGGGGCTGCGGGCGCAGAGGGCGTGGGCACGGGCGGGGGCTGCGGGCGCAGAGGGCGTGGGCACGGGCGGGGGCTGCGGGTCTGCCCAGGACGCCCACCGGCCAGATGTTCTCACTGGGCGTGCCCAGCAGCTGCACGATCAAGTCGATCTGGTGGATCTCGGAAGTGCCGGGGAGAAGAGGCCTGTGCGCCAGCAGCTCGGCCAGTATGCAGCCCACAGCCCTGCAGAGAACAGTGGACCTCACTGCGGCCAGACGTCTGCTGACCCCGCCAGCGCGAGGAACAGAGGACCTGACTGCAGCCAGACCTTTGCTGACCCTGCCAGTGTGAGGCACGCTGGGTCAGGGACACTGTGAAGGACAGGCAGGGACCACTGGCTCCCCTCCTGGGCCCCGCAGGCCTCCCGGGGTGACAAGTGCAGGGGCAGGCGTGCCTCCTCCAGACCTCTGTGCTCCCAGCCTGAGAACAGCAAGCTAAGTTCTCACACCTCCTCCTGGGTTTCCAGGCTCAGGCCCACCTCCCTGGGAGTGGGAGGCTGGCAAAGACCCCACTGCACTCCTGCCCCTCCCCTGAGGCTGAGCTCAGGAACCAGGTGACCCGGCTCCTGTCCCAGCCCTTCCTGAGGCCCCAGGAGCGGTAACCGTATCTCCTCACCACATGTCGATGCTGGTGGTCTGCGTGGTGGTTCCCAACAGCAGTTCAGGGGCTCGGTACCTACACACAGAAGCACCCACCTCAATACAGCCGGCTCCTCTCCCCCAGCCCAGGCCTCCACAGGACACAGCCTCCCCGAGAGCCTGTGGTGGCCTGGAAACCTGTCCCAACTCGGACCACCCTCTGCCCCAGGCCCTGCAGATCCAGGTGGCACACACAGCAATGGTTGCCGGGGGCGAGAGCTGTCACGTGCAGCGGTGTCCTGAGAGTCGCAGGGACCACGGACCCTCGGCACACAGCCACACCAGCCACTACCAACCCGTTCTCAGATGGGGAGTACACGACACTGGGGTCCTGACCTGATTCTGACCAACTCTGATATTCAGCCCTGGCTAAGCATGACCCTGTTTGGTTAAAAGTATCCAGGAGGAAGAACCAGGGAAAGCATGCAAGCTGCCTGTCCTTCAGTCCGTGAAGCAGCCTTCCCTCCAGAGATGGTTTCACGGCCACGGTGTTTCCAGCTCTCAAGGCGAGGTGTGTCTGATCTAGGCAGGCCCTTGACGCCACTGAGCCCGTCTCTCACCATTTTGTGGCACAGCCCTGCTGTGTCCTGGAGGCTGTCCTAGACCCAACGTTTCTGAGTGTGCACAGACCCTGTAGCTTAACATTCCCAAGGCCAGTTGCAGCTTCGGCCTGACATCCCCAAGGAGACCTCCACCAGACAGGCCTGGTCCCCAGGGGCCACCATGCTTCAGAAGGACTTACCAGAGAGTGACCACCTTGGGGGTCATTGGCTTTACTGGGACACCATAGGCCCGGGCCAGGCCGAAATCCGCTGCAGCAGAGAGGGGAGTGTGTGTCACCAAGTGCCATCTAGGGACAGGGCCTGGCCCAAGTTGCACCCACCTGTCTTCACACAACCCTTGTCGGTCATGAGCAAGTTGGAAACCTTCAGGTCCCTGTGATGGAAAAACAGTGGCAGGTGGCTCCCAGAGGGCCACAGGGGCTGAGAGCTCCCCCACGGCACCAATGCCCGTAGACTTCCTGCACGTTTCCTCAGCTTTGGGCTTTTTAGTATCTTTTTTTTTTTTTTTTGAGACAGAGTCTCACTCTGTCGCCCAGGCTGGAGTGCAGTGGAGCAATCCCGGCTCACTGCAAGCTCCGCCTCCCGGGTTCACGCCATTCTCCTGCCTCGGCCTCCCAAGTAGCTGGGACTACAGGCGCCCGCCACCACGCCCGGCTAATTTTTTTGTATTTTTAGTAGAGATGGGGTTTCACTGTGTTAACAAGGATGGTCTCGATCTCCTGACCTCGTGATCCGCCTGCCTCGGCCTCCCAAAGTGCTGGGATCACAGGCGTGAGCCACTGTGCCCGGCGTAGTATCTTTATTATTTTTTTTTTCATTAACTCTTACATGCTGTTGATGTTTGGACCTTTTAAAAATCGGAGTGCATGCCTGGGTGTGGTGGCTCCCACCTGTAATCCCAGCACTTTGGGAGGCCAAGGTGGGTGGATCACTTGAGCCCAAGTGTGTGAGACCAGCCTGGGCAACACAGAGAGACCCCTTCTCTATTTTAGAAAAAAACACAAATGGAGTGCGAGCAGCGGGCAGGCTGCTGCAGCTGGGAACCCCTGAGCTTTTAGTAACTCCACAGGGGCAGCAGAGTTAGGCCTCAGCCGAATTTGTGCTTCCAACTCTGCCTAGCTGTCACCCACCTGTGGATAATGAAGTTCCTGTGCAGATACTGGAGGCCCCGGAGCACCTGCAGCACGATGCACTTGACCTGTGCAGAGGGTCAGAGGTACCAGTCAGGGTGAGCCTGCAGGGAAGCCCAGCTGGGCCCTGCCACACCCACACTGGCCAGCAGGACTAGCAGTCCCAATAGCCCAGGAAACCAGTGCCCTCAGAAGGCTCTCGGCCCCGGGGCTGCACGCTCCCAGCAGCCCAGGAAACCAGTGCCCTCACAAGGCTCTTGGCCCCGGGGCTGCACTCTCCCAGCAGCCCAGAAAACCAGTGCCCTCAGAAGGCTCTCCGCCCAGGGCTCCCCGCTCCCAGCAGCCCAGGAAACCAGTGCCCTCAGAAGGCTCTCAGCCCCGGGGCTGCCTGCTCCCAACAGCCCAGGAAACCAGTGCCCTCATAAGGCTCTCGGCCCTGGGGCTGCCCGCTCCCAGCAGATGCCCCCACCACAGGAATTCCACCTCACTGAAGCTCGCTGAAACACTGGGAGGTGGAGGCAGAGGCAGCAGCAGCTCTTCAAGTCCCCAAGTGCCCTGTTTCGTTATAAATGTGCACCACAAGGGCCCATGAAGCCCATTCCCCCACCCCAGGCCCCTCTGCCACGCACCTGAGCCTCCGAGAAGGGTGTTGGCATATTCTCCAGGAGGCTGGCCAGGTCCTGCTCACAGTAACCCATCACCAGGAAGATGCTGGAAGAAACAGAAGATGCATGCCACTCTCCGGCCTTCTCCTAAGGGGTGGAAGTGGAGCCTCCCCTGCTGCAGGAGGGGACATGGGCAGGACAACCTGTGTCCCCCTCAGACAATGGGCTGAGCCAGGCGGTGAGGTGGGGTCATCTCTTCTCTGACAACCTCATGCCCAGTGACACTCAGTCCTCGCTCTGTGCAACACCTCTAGCCCAAGACACATGCTCCCTAGGGCCCAATGTGCAGACCAGGAGACCACGTACCTCTCCAGGTGGTTCCCCACAACCACCTCCTTCAGCTCCACGATGTTCGGATGACGCAGGCGGAGCAGCAGCGTGATCTCCCGCAAGCTGCTGATGGGGATGCCTGGGGAGGGAGGTGGCCTCAGCGAGCCCCACCCCAGTGATGGCGGGGAAGCCCCAACCCCAGCCACTCTTGGGCTTCACGAACACCTGATAGCAGGTGCTGCAGTGTCCCCACCTCAGGGAGAATTGGGGCGACCCCAATAAGCATTTTTTTTTTTTTGAGACGGAGTTTCGCTCGTTGCCCAGGCTGGAGTGCAATGGCACCATCTCGGCTCACCGCAACCTCTGCCTCCCGGGTTCAAGCAATTCTCCTGCCTCAGCCTCCCTAGTAGCTGGGATTACAGGCATGTGCCACCACGCCTGGCTAATTTTGTATTTTTAGTAGAGATGGGGTTTCTCCATGTTGGTCAGGCTGGTCTTGAACTGCCGACCTCAGGTGATCCGCCTGCCTCGGCCTCCCAAAGTGCTGGGATTACAGGCATGAGCCACCATGCCCGGCCCAATAAGCACTTTTAACTCTTCCTTGACCAAATACGAATCGGCACCTCTCTAAACACCGTGGACATCTATGTGGGGCATGGCAGGGCCCTGCCTGCACAGGCAGGTGCTGGGGGTGGAGGGGACAGCAGAGCTGAGCCTGCAGTGAGGTGGCCTCACCAGACAGGAGGGGGAGGAGGGGATGGAGACTGCAGAGCCCTCCTGGCAGACAGCTGAGGCTGCGTGTGGACCTGGGGGTGATGTGCTGGGCCACACCAGAACCCTCCCAGAGGCCGGCCCCCGCTACAAGCACCGTGCAGTCGCTCTGAGGAAACTTCAGGTAACTCACATCCTTCTGCCTCCTCCCAGTGCGAGGTCCCAACACCCCAATTTCCTGCTCACCATCCTTCTCCTTGTCCATCCGCACCTTCTTCAGTGCGACAATCTCATCTGTCTGGGTGTCCCGGGCCCGATCTGGAATGGAAACACATTGGTGATGACATCATCTCGATGCCCCTCGTGGGCTCCCTAGCGCTGAACGGGAGGCTCTCCCTGAGCCACAGGGGTCCCCGTTCTTTCCTCTGACAACCTCATGCCCAGTGACACTCAGTCCCCACTCTGTGCAACGCCCCTAGCCCGAGACGCGTTCCCCCGGAGGGTTTCCTCATTTGAACTGGGCAGGGGGTGCCCAACTTTGCTCTGTGCTGGACCCTGGCCTCCAGCCACTCAGTTCTGTGGCTCCAGGCTCTCCATGTCCTCCTTAGCATGCAGATCACTGCTTTGTGCTCTCTTGTAATGTCCTAAAAGCAAATAAGGTACTCTATGCAGAAAAAAGCAAACCTTATTTTGTGTGAAGATGGCTCTACAAAACATCCTGCTAATGTGTGCAGCTTCCAGAATGACCTACGCCAATTTCACATCTGTTATAACCTTTAGTTGTGTGTGGTGTTTTTGGTTTTTTTGAGACAGGGTCTCACTCTGTTGCCAAGGCTGGGGTGCAGTGGCGTGATCACAGCTCACTGCAGCCTCAAACTCCTAGGCTTGGCCGGGTGCAGTGGCTCACACCTGTAATCCCAGTGCTTTGGGAGGCCGAGGCAGGAGGATCATTTGAGCCCAGAAGTTCAAGACCAGCCTGGGCAACATAGGGAGATCCCATCTCTACCAAAAATTTAAAAATTAGCTGGGTGTGCTTATGTACTCTTGTGGTCCCAGATACTCAGGAGGCTGAGGTGGGAGGATCACTTGAGCCTAGGAGGTCGAGGCCGCAGTGAGCTATGATCATGCCACTGCACTCCAGTCTGGGCAATAGAGCAAGACCCATCTCAAAAACAAACAAAAAGAAAAAACACCTGGGCTCAGGTGACTCCTCCAGAGTTGCTGAGGTGATAGACATGAGCACCATGTCCAGCTCCTGCTGCTTCTGGAAAGTTCTGTATTTTATTTCTCTAACAGTTCTGTGTACTCTGCAGTGACACGTTTGGATTATGGGCATTAGCAACCGGATGCTTACGTTTACCCAGAAATGGTACAATGTTTGTGATAACTACATCAGGAATTGAAGTTCCTGAACAGGTTTCTGCCCTGTTTCAGAGCACAGGGTCTGAGTCCCTTCCAGCCCCAACGCGGCTGCTGCTTCGACAGTCTCGTCCCACACTGTCACAGCCACGAGCTGCGGCCACATGTCCTAGCCTTGGCCACTCACACACAATGCCGTAGGTACCCTCTCCAATGCGGTTCAGCTTCTCAAACTCCTTCACACTCCGGCATCGTCCCAGCTGAAACAGAAGGGTGTTGCCAGTGTGGAAATTTGGCAGCTGATGGAACAACTGAGGAAATTTCAAATGGAATTTGTACCAGGGAGCCCACTCACGTCTTGCTCACCAAACAGAAAGGCAACCACACGTTTGGGCTTTTTTTTTCTTTTTTTGAGACTGAGTCTCGCTCTGTTGCCCAGGCTGGAGTGCAGTGGCAAGAACATGGTTCACTGCAACCTCCGCCTCCTGGGTTCAAGTGATTCTCCGGCCTCAGCCTCCTGAGTAGCTGGGATTACAGGCAGGTGCCACCACAACCGCCTAATTTTCTATTTTTAGTAGAGACTGGGTTTCACCATGTTGGCCAGGCTGGTCTTGAGCTCCTGACCTCAAGTGATCTGCCCGCCTTGGCCTCCCAAAGTGCTGGGATTACAAGCGTGAGCCACCGTACCCGGCCTCTTGGGCTTTTCTGATGAGAAAAGGTGGTGACGATACTGGGCCAATGCTTTGAAAGAAATATCAGAGGCGGCCACTCAGATACTCCCTTTCAATCCCACATACAAAAATACATCTGTGGCAGAGGCTGCTGTCCCAGCATCCCTGTATCACTACCTCCTGGAAGTTATGAAACGCTACCCAGTGGCATCTGGCCTTGGAATGTGAGCTGAAGGGACCGTGTGACTTCCAGGTGAAAGGAAGCTTTCACCTCTTCTCACCTCAGTGACGGGAAGAAAAAATGGAACCAGAATGCCTGACCCACCTGTGCAAAACAACTGCTTCTCTCCAGAATGTTAGGGGAGAGTGAAAAAAGGCATCATCTTGAGGCCCTGTATTTTGGGGTCTCTGAACTAGTAGAGTCTGTATCCTTCTCCATGGATCTAAGAAGCACATGTAAGCCGGGCGCAGTGGCTCACGCCTGTAATCCCAGCACTTTAGGAGGCTGAGGTGGGTGGATCACGAAGTCAGGAGATCTAGAGCACCCTGACTAACACGGTGAAACTCCGTCTCTACTAAAAATATGAAAAAATTAGCTGGGCGTGGTGGCGGGCGCCTGTAGTCCCAGCTGCTTGGGAGGCTGAGGCAGGAGGATGGCGTGAACCCAGGAGGTGGAGCTTGCAGTGAGCCGAGACTGCGCCACTGCACTCCAGCCTGGGTGACAGAATGAGACTCCGTCTCAAAAAAAAAAAAAAAAAAAAAAGCACACGTAGCAAGGTTTGAAACCTCACAGCCCCCATTTCCCGGCTTCCCTTCTCTTAACCCTCAGTATCAAACCTGGGCTCAAGCAATCCTCCCACCTCAGCCTCCCAGATTGCTGAGATTACAGGTGTGAGCCACTGGCCGCATTTGTCCTCAGTCTGATTCCTTCCTGACACCTGGGGACCGAGTCAGAAGCATCTGGCCTGTCACTCACTGATGGCCTAGTCTCAAACTCCCTTTCCCGCCTTAATTCCCCTTCTCACATCCTCTGCTTGTGCTCTTCTCGACACGCTTATTTCTGGGTGTCCAAATCCTTGTCACACTTCCTGAACTCAAAGAAATGCCAGGCCAGGCTGGGGGCGGTGGCTCACGCCTGTAATTCCAGCACTTGGGAGGCCGAGGCAGGAAGATCACTTGAGCCCAGGAGGCTGACGATGCACTGAGCCGTGATCACGCCACTGCATTCCAGCCTGGGCGAGAGCGCTAGACCCTGTCTCAAAAAAACAACAAAAAAGAAAAGGCCAACTCACTACTTCACCCCAGAGTCCAGCACACGGCTCTCAACGCGGTGAGCGCCTGCTGCACGTCTGGATGAGTAAAGTGTGGCTCCTGTTGTCATCCAGCCACGATCTGTTAATGATTCTTACTGAACACGTGGCTTGGCCTCTCAGAGCACCAGCCAGCAGTTAAAAACACAAACCAGCGGCCAAAGTTCAGGGCTCTCCACCCCCACCAGCCGTGCACCTGGGCAACACCGCCCAACGCCCAGAGGCTCTCTCCTGGTCTCTGCAGAGGGAGGCACCGGCACCTCCGCAAGGGACGCGCCCAGGGTTCGCGTGAAGCCGCCAGGCAGCGCTGGACCCCGCTCCATGCAGCCCAAGCCCAGCGGGAGCCTTCAAGCTCGAACTCGTCGCGGGTGTAAATTCTCCCCACAAACAAGTGGCTCGCGGCTCAGCCTGCAAAGCCCAGCTCGGGCGCTGAACCCAGCAGCGCCCGAGCTGGATCCCGGAGCTTGCTCTTCCCAAGTCCCGGGCCCGTCTCTCCGCGGGCGCGAGGCATCCCTGAGCCCGCCCCGGCCCCTCAGATCTCCAGGGACCGGCTGTCGGGGGTCCTGAGCCCGCCCCGCCCCGGCTTCCGCCCCCGCCGCGGGGAACTCTGGGACTGTCGTTCCCGCCCGTGCCGGAAGCCTCGGCGCGGCAGCGCGACACGAGGCTCCCCAGACCCAGCCGGGCAGTGCCGCTAGCGAGGCGGGCAGAGCTGCCCGGGTGGCACCCCGCGCACCCTGTGTTCCGGAGGCACCGTGAAGAAGCCCTCCTTACGAATACACTTCAGACGGATCTGCTCGCACTCCAGATCTGGCTCCGCCATGCCGAGCGCTGGCCCCGCCTCTCTTGCGCGCAGGCGCAGACGCGGACGGCCCCGCGGCGCAGGCGCGAAAGCTCCTTCCCGGGCTTCCTCTCCTTAGCAACGGTTACCAAGAGACGCTCCCGCGGGTCCGCCCTAGGCGCTGGGCTCCAGGGATCGGCTCCGACTGCTGCAGTTCGGGCCTTATTTTAGGGTGAAGCCCGGGCAGCCGACCCGGCTGCGCCGTAGTGGGAGGCCACGGCGATTACCCAGGTGAAGGTCTTCCAGGTGAGACGGGTTCCCCCAGGTAAGAAGGTCCTCCAGGTGGGAGTCCTTCATGTGGGGAGGTCCTCCAGGTGGGGGGGGAGGGTCCTCTCGGTGGGGGGTCCTCCAGGTAAGAGGATCCTCTAGGTGGGGGGGGGGGGTTCCCCAGGTGAAGGGCCCTCCAGGTAAGAGGATCCTCTAGGTGGGGGGGGGGTTCCCCAGGTGAGGGGACCTCCAGGTAAGAGGATCCTCTAGGTGGGGGAGTCCCCCAGGTGAAGGGCCCTCCAGGTAAGAGGGTCCTCCAGGTGAGAGGGTCCTCCAGCGGAGGGGGTCCCCCAGGTAAGAGGGTCCTCCAGTTGGGAGTCCTTCAGGTGGGGTGGTCCTCCAGGTGAGAGAGTCTTCCAGGTGAGAGGGTCCTCCAGGTGAGAGGTGAAGGTGAAGGTCCTCCAGGTGAGGGTCAGGTCACTTGGTCCAGGGATGTGGCTTCAGCAAGCATTTGGGTGCCTCCTCTGTGTTCAGGACATGGGGACTCCAGGAGACTGAAGGAAGCAAGTGGCAATGTCCATGCTGTCAAGTTCTGTCACAGAAATAAGCAGGAGTGAGTGAAAGACAGGAGAGAAGCTCTGTGAGGGGTGGCATTCAAGCTTAGCTTCTGGGCAGGAAGAGGCAGCTATGTCAGCATTCCCTAACAAGGTTTGGCAAAGTAGATACCTCCCCTCACTCATGGAAGACCTGACTTCCCAGGCTGGTAGAAGCTTCTCTCACAGGCACCTGCCTCTCCAATCTCTTTCACAGCCCAGCCCTGGAAGGTGGAAAAAGAAAAGTTGACATGGAATGTTTAGGAAGCACCATTGGTCCAGGTCCAGGATCGGGGCAGCCAGCATGTCCTCTAATCTGGCTTCACTGTTGAAATCCAGTCGAGCAAGCAGGGCCCAAACCACTGCGAGACCAGCTCGGTCGGGCCCAAACCACCGCCCACTGCGAGACCAGCTCGGTCGGGCCCAAACCACCGCCCACTGCGGGACCAGCTCGGTCGGGCCCAAACCACCGCCCACTGCGGGACCAGCTCGGTCGGGCCCAAACCACTGCCCACTGCGGGACCAGCTCGGTCGTGGAGACCCTAACCCAGCGGCGCTAGAGGAATTAAAGAAACACACACAGAAATATAGGGTGTGGAGTGGGAAATCAGGGGTCTCACAGCCTTCGAAGCTGAAAGCCTCGAACAGAGATTTACCCACATATTTATTGACAGCAAGCCAGTGATAAGCATTGTTTCTATAGATTATAGATTAAAAGCACTTCTTACGGGAAATAAAGGGATGGGTCTGGCTAGTTATCTGCAGCAGGAGCACGTCCTTAAGGCACAGATCGCTCATGCTATTGTTTGTGGTTCAGGAACTCCTTTAAGCGGTTTTCCGCCCTGGGTGGGCCAGGTGTTCCTTGCCCTCATTCCAGTGTGGGAGTCATGGCCATCATGAGCATGTCACAGTGCAGCAGAGATTTTGTTTATGGCCAGTTTTGCGGCCAGTTGATGGCCAGATTTGGGGGCCTCTTCCCAACAGCCCACAGCCAGACCTAGACTCCATTCAGATTGGTTTTGATCAGCATGTAGAAAATGGGGGAGTTGAGTGTGGTATACAAAATGGGGGTGTTGGCCAGGCGTGGTGGCTCATGCCTGTAATCCCAGCACTTTGGGAGTCTGAGGCGGGTCGATCACGAGGTCAGGAGATAGAGACCATCCTGGCTAACACAGTGAAACCCCATCTCCACTAAAAAATACAAAAAATTAGGCAGGCATGGTGGCGGGTGCCTGTAGTTGCAGCTACTCGGGAGGCTGAGGCAGGAGAATGGTGTGAACCCACGGGGCGGAGCTTGCAGTGAGCCAAGATCACACCACTACACTCCAGCCTGGGTGACAGAGTGAGACTCTGTCTCAAAAAAAAAAACAAAAAAAAAAGAAAATGCAGGTGTTGTGACCAGGCACAGTGGCTCATGCCTATAATCCCAACACTTTGGGAGGCCGAGGTAGGCAGATCACTTGAGGTCAGGAGTTCGAGACCAGCCTGGCCAACATGGTGAAACCCCGTCTCTACTAAAACTAACAAAATTAGCTGGGTGTGGTGGTGGTTGCCTGTAGTCCCAGGTACTCGGGAGGCTGAGGCAGGAGAATCGCTTGAACCCGGAAGGCGGAGGTTGCAGTGAGCCAAAATCGTGCCACTGCACTCCAGCCTGGGTAACAGAGTGAGACTTTGTGAAAGGAAGGAAGGAAGGGAGGGAGGGAGGAAAATAGAGGGAAGAAGAAAGAAAGAAAACAAAGAGCACGTGGAGAGAACAATCCTAGAAAACTGACGTAGGCTGTGTTCCTCTGAAGTCCATACACAGCAGGCAGGCGTGAAAGTGGTTTATGTATATAAATAGGTACCATTATTCTCTTCTGAGGTTTAAGTTGTCTAGCTTTCGTTCGCAGAGCTTTAAGAAAAGCACGGCTTTGGCCCGGCGCAGTGGCTCATGCCTATAATCCCAGCACTTTGGGAGGCCGAGGCCGGTGGATCATGAGGTCAGGAGTTCGAGACTAGCCTGGCCAACATGGTGAAACGCATCTCTACTAAAAATACAAAAAAATGAGCTGGCCATAGTGGTGCACACCAATAATCCCAGCTACTCGGGAGGCTGAGGCACGAGAATCACTTGAACCCAGGAGGCAGAGGTTGCAGTGAACTGATACCACACCACTGCCCGGGTGACAGAGTGAGACCCTGTCTGAAAAAACAAATAAACAAACAAAAAAAGAGAAAATAATAAAAGTTGAAAAACCTTAGGCAAGGCTAGAATCTAATAACAGGTATACTATAGTTTATTTTGAAACATAATTTTTCTCTCTCTAGTCTCCTATTTTTACCAAAGTGAAATCAGGTAGTACTGATTTGTTTTCAAAATAAGTTTTAGTCTTATTGTACTTGGCCTGGTTATTTGTATAAACTGTAGCAAGAATAAATATTTACCATGTAGGCTTTTTTTTTTTTTTTTTTTTTTGAGACGGAGTCTTGCTCTGTCGCCCAGGCTGGAGTGCAGTGGTGCGACCTCGGCTCACTGCAAGCTCCGCCTCCCAGGTTCACGCCATTCTCCTGCCTTAACCTCCCAAGTAGCTGGGACTACAGACGCCCGCCACCACGCCCGGCTAATTTTTTGTGTATTTTTAGTAGAGACGGGGTTTCACTGTGTTGACAAGGATGGTTGCAATCTCCTGACTTCGTGATCTGCCCGCCTTGGCCTCCCAAAGTGCTGGGATTACAGGCGTGAGCCACCGAGCCCGGCCACAAAAATTGTATCATTGAGAAAATTATGCCAATTGGGGAAGATCTGATGTAGCCAAACCCCCTTTGACCTTTAGCCTTCAAGCTGCCTTCAGTTATTCTTGGGCTAGCTTTGGGAGATGTTTATAGTTTACATGATAATAGCCCCTCCCCAAAACTCAACTGTATTTGTAAAACTAATGAGGGGCCACCAGGCTAGGGAGAGGAGAGGAGCCTGAATTTGGCTAAGATGTAGACATAAACAATTATCAGCCATTATTCCAGAGGTCCTGCAGATAACAATGCTATTGTAACCTAAGATTGGCCTTTTGCAGTACCTCGCAAGGGTTTTTTGCATGTCTGATACCTACGGCTCCAACAGGACCCACTGACTGATGATGGCTCCACCTGGACCTGCCAACTACTCCTGCAGCCCCACCCAGAAGCGGTTCAGCACACGGGAGGATCCTGTCTCACACCCTACGATGGCCCCCCGCCCCCACAACCCATCAGCAGCAAGCACCCACTGCCAAGCTACCCCACCCCTTCCCCCAAACTACCTTTGGAACACCCTAGTCCCCAAATTCTTGGGGAGACTGATTTCAGTAATCATCAAATTCTGGTCTCCCATTCACTTGTCTCTGTGTGAATTAAACCCTTTCTCTATTGCAGTTTCCCTACCTTGATACATGGGCTCCATCTGGGCAAGAAGAATCCACTGGGTGGATACAGTATGAAGCCAGTTTTCCCAAGGGCTTTGATGGGCACTATAGGTCAACTCTGATTCCTTAAAGCCGTCTGTTTATATTTGAAAGCATGCCATTCCAGTCAAAGCCTTGGTAAAATATGCAGTGTCTCTATGTCCTATTACAAGAGAAAACAGATTGTTACTGCACGTGCACACATCATTATATTGACATTAGAATACAAATAGGGGAAGGGAGAGGGAAAAGTTTTTTTTTTTTTTTTAAATAGTGCTCACAGATAGTTCCCAATTTTTGGAGAAATCAGAAAGAAATATGCTACCCAAGCAAAATATAAAAAACAAAAAAGAAAACAGAAATATGTTCCAAATCTTCCTCACAGGAGTGTACTTTACTCAATTGCTAAAAGCTGCAAATAGCTCAAAGTTAAAAAAGTTACCAGCCGGGCACCGTGGCTCACGCCTGTAATCCCAGCACTCTGGGAGGCCGAGGTGGGCGGATCACAAGGTCAGGAGATTGAGACCATCCTGGCTAACACGGTGAAACCCTGTCTCTACTAAAAATACAAAAAATTAGCCGGGCGCGGTGGTGGGCGCCTGTAGTCCCAGCTACTTGGGAGGCTGAAGCAGGAGAATGGTGTGAACCTGGGAGGCGGAGCTTGCAGTGAGCCGAGATGGCGCCACTGCACTCCAGCCTGGGCGACAGAGTGAGATTCTGTCTCAAAAAAAAAAAAAAAAAAGTTTTCTTGGTTCTGAAAGAACAGAAAGAATCAGTAATGTTTTAAGCAAAAACATAAAAAGATTATTTCAGTCTTATATTAGTTTAGTCCATAAAATTAACTCTCATTTTGCCCAATATTGGATGAACAATCCTCATGAATATAGCAGCTCTCAATGAGAGTCTTGGAAGTTTTTTGCTCTATTCCAATGGCACAATCTCAAAAGTGATCAGAAACTTAGATTGAAGAGTACCTCAGAGTTCTATAGCTGATTATAAACTGCTCTGTGAAAGGATAAAAGTAAAACAACAATTGTGGATGACAAAAGTCTTAGAACAGCCACAGTTAAAGACATAATTGAGGCCAGGCACAGTGGCTCATGTGTGCAATCCCAGCACTTTGGGAGACCAAGCAGGGCGGATAACTTGAGGTCAGGAGTTTGAGACCTCCCTGGCTAACATGGCAAAACCCTGTCTTGACCGGGTGCAGTGGCGCACATTTATAATCCCAAAACTTTGGGAGACTGAGGCGGGTGGATCACTTGAGGTCAGGAGTTTGAGACGACCCTGATCAACATGGTGAAACCATGTCTCTACTAAAAAAATGCAAAATTAGCCAGGCATGGTGGTGTACACCTGTAATCCCAGCTACTTGGGAGGCTGAGGCAGAAGAATTGCTTGAACCCAGGAAGTGGAGGTTGCAGTGAGCCAAGATCGCGCCATTGCACTCCAAGCCTGGGCAACAAAAGCAAAACTCTGTCAGGGAAAAAAAAAAAAAAGAAACCCCGTCTCTATTAAAAATACAAAAATTATCTGGCCGTGGTAGCATGCGCCTGCAGTCCAGCTACTCTGGAGGCTGAGGTATGAGAATCGCTTGAAC
This sequence comes from Homo sapiens, assembly GCF_000001405.40. Taxonomy (NCBI): domain Eukaryota; kingdom Metazoa; phylum Chordata; class Mammalia; order Primates; family Hominidae; genus Homo; species Homo sapiens. The sequence continues at coordinate 89,680,876 of NC_000016.10, read as the reverse complement.
CTGGGAGGCAGAGGTTGCAGTGAGCCAAGACTGTACCACTGCACTCCAGCCTGGGCCACAGAGCAAGACTCTGTCTCAGAAAAAAGAAAAAAAAAAGACATAATTGACAAGCAAATTTGGTTACTTATGTGGCATACAACAATTTTACATAATAATCATAATTACTACTAATACCATATACTAAGATGTATCAGAATCACAGGCATCTCATACAATTTTGGAACACACACTAACAACACATTTATATAAATATAATCCCAAGAAAAACACCATTTCACCTTTAACAATGCTTCCTGTATGATTTCATTATACCAAATAAGCCATATATCTCTTTTTGGACTTCAGGGGACCTAATATCAAAAAATTGCCAGGTGCAGCAGCTCACACCTGTAATCCTAGCACTGTGGGAGGCCCGGAGCGGTGGCTCACGCCTGTAATCCCAACACCTTGGGAGGCCTGGCGCAGTGGCTCACACCTGTAATCCCAGCACTGTGGGAGGCTGAGGCAGGTGACTCACGCCTGTAATCCCAGCACTTTGGGAAGCTGAGGCAGGTGGATCATGAGGTCAGGAGATGGAGACTATCCTGGCTAACACAGTGAAACCCTGTCTCAACTAAAAAATACAAAAAAAAAAAATTAGCTGGGCGTGGTGGCAGGCGCCTGTAGTCCCAGCTACTCAAGAGACTGAGACAGGAGAATGGTATGAACCCGGGAGGCGGAGCTTGCAGTGAGCTGAGATCGTGCCACTGCACTCCAGCCTTGGTGACAGAGCAAGACTCTATCTCAAAAAGAAAAAAATATATAAAAATTAGCCAGGTGTGGTGGCGGGCACCTGTAGTTCCAGCTACTTGGGAGGCTGAAGCAGGAGAATCGCTTGAACCTGGGAGGTGGAGGTTGAAGTGAGCCGAGATTGTGCCACTGCACTCCAGCTGGGGCAACAGAGTGAGACTCCATCAGACACACACACACAAAAATTAATGAGGACTGAAGAAAGAATTTGATTTTGGAAAGTTTGTCAAATATAAAAAGTGTTTTGTTTTGTTTTTGTTTTTATTTGAGACAGAGTCTCGCTCTGTTACCCAGGCTGGAGTGCAGTGCTGCAATCTTGGCTCACTGCAAGCTCTGCCTCCCGGGTTCACGCCATTCTCCTGCCTCAGTCTCCCAAGCAGCTGAGACTACAGGCGCCTGCAACCACGCCCAGCTAATTTTTTGTATTTTCAGTAGAGACAGGGTTTCACCATGTTAGTTAGGATGGTCTTGATTTCCTGACCTCTTGATTTGCCCATCTCAGCCTCCCAAAGTGCTGGGATTACAGGTGTGAGCCACCGTGCCTGGCCTAGAAAAAGTTTTAAAACAGTTGCTATCACTAAATAGGATCACAGGTCATTGTAAAATAAGTCATTCACTTAGCCACAGTGATAACTCACAGATTTCTTTTTTTATTTTCTTTTTTTTTTTCTGTTTTTACCTTTCCTATGGTGCTGAGATAACTCAAAGATTTCAAAAAAAAATGTAGAAACCTTTATTCTTTGAGGGAATTTCTTCTCAAAAGATAAAGACAGCATAAGGCCAATTAAATCTCTCTAAAATTTTATAAACAAATCTATTAAATTGTAATCATCTTGAGCACAAGATATAATTTTCAGGCTGGGTGTGGTGGCTCACGCCTGTAATCCTAGTACTTTGGGAGGCCAAGGCAGGCGGATCACTTGAGGTCAGGAGTTCAAGACCAGCCTGACCAACATGGCAAACCTCATCTTTCCTAAAAATACAAAAAGTAGCCAGGCATGGTAGTGTGCGTCTGTGATCCCAGCTACTTGGGAGGCTGAGCCAGGAGAACTGCTTGAACCTGGGAGGTGGAGGTTGCAGTGAGCCGAGATCACACCACTGCACTTCAGCCTGGGTGACAGAACAAGACTCCATCTAAAAAAAAACAAAAAAAATAAGGCCATAAGGCTGGGTGCGGTGGCTCACACCTGTAATCTCAGCACTTTGGGAGGCCGAGGCAGGTCGATCACCTGAGGTCAGGAGTTCGAGACCAGCCTGGCCAACATGGAGAAACCACGTATCTACCAAAAATACAAAAATTAGCCAGGCATGGTTGTGGGCGCCTGTAATCTCAGCTACTTGGGAGCCTGAGCCAGAAGAATTGCTTGAACCTAGGAGGCAGAGGTTGCAGTGAGCTGAGATCACACCACTGTACTCCAACTTAGGCAACAAGAGCGAAACTCTGCCTCAAAAACAAAAAAGATAATTTCCATAAACATTTTTATAACTTTTTTTTTTTAATTAAAGAGTGGGTTAATGCTCCAAGAAAGCCTTGTTAATCTGACATAGGCCAAAATTGCACCACTGTACTCCAGCCCAGACAACAAAGCGAGACTCCATCTTAAAAAAAAAAAAAAAAAGCTTTTTACAAACTTTATCAAAACTTACACAAACCATTTATGATATACTTGGACTTCCTGTTTTATTCTGAACATCCCTCTTTCCAAAATAACTAGCCATTTTAGAACAAAAATTTACCACACAAGATTCTTTCTCATATGAAATTATTTTCCTTTTAACTTTTCATACTAAAAATATCTCCTTATAACTATCTTTACATCTGTAATTATTTATTTGTTTATTTAAAATAAATTTTTTTTTGAGATGGTGTCTCACTCTGTTGCCCAGGCTGGAGTGCAGTGGCATAGTCTCGGCTCACTGCAAGCTCCGCCTCCCAGATTCATGCCATTCTCACGCCTCAGCCTACTATAAAAATATTTTTTTTAAATTAGCCAGACTGGGCGGATCACAAGGTCAGGAGATCAAGACCATCCTGGCTAACACGGTGAAACCCCATCTCTATTAAAAATACAAAAAATTAGCCAGGCGTGGTGGCAGGTGCCTGTAGTCCCAGCTACTCAGGAGGCTGAGGCAGGAGAATGGCATGAACCCGGGAGGCGGAGCTTGCAGTGAGCCGAGATAGCACCACTGCACTCCAGCCTGGGAGACAGAGCGAGACTCTGTCTCAAAAAAAAAAAAAAAAAAAATTAGCCAGGCGTGGTTGTGGGCACCTATAATCCCAGCTACTTGGGAGGCTGAGGTGGGAGAATAGCTTGAACCTGGGAGGCGGAGACTGCGGTGAGCCAAGATCACGCCATTGCGTTCGAGCTTGGGTGACAGAGTGAACTCTTCTCAAAAAAAAAAAAGAAAAAGGAAAGAAAACTGTGATAGTCTTCATTTAAAGTTATTTCTCTGTTAACCATTTTCTTTTTTTTTTTTTTTCTGAGATGGAGTTTTCTTTTGATCTTTTTGCCCAGGTTGGAGTACAATGGTGTGATCTTGGCTCACTGCAACCTCCGCCTCCTGGGTTCAAGTGATTCTGCTGCCTCAGCCTCCCAAGTAGCTGGGATTACAGGCACCTGCCACCATGCCCAGCTAATTTTTGTATTTTTAGTAGAGACGGGGTTTTACCATGTTGGCCAGGCTGGTCTTGAATTCCTGATCTGAGGTGATCTGCCCACCTCAGACTCCCAAATTGCTGGGATTACAGACGTGAGCCACCATACCTGGCCTAACCATTTTTATAGCCTGTGAATTTTAGGTGTTTACCTAAGTAAGAACCTTATGGTTAAATAAATGTTCCTCTTTTTTTTTTTGCCAGCAACTCAGGATTTATCTCTTTCCATTAAACAATATTAAATGCCTTATTTATCAAGAAATTAGTCAAACATAATTCCCTTTTGTGTTGCAAGCCTTATAACCCTCATGCCAAATTTTGACAACTTACAGTATCTCGTAATGATAAATATTGAACTCCTTTACCAATAAATCTAAACAATAATGTATGTTGACAATTCTGAAGGCATTTCTATTTTATTTTACCAATAATTTTAAAACTAGCTTATTTTTTAAGGATTTACTTAAGTCACATGAACCTGAAAAAGCATTTGGGCTTAAAGTTTCTATTTTTCTGGCCAGGCATGGTGGCTCACACCTGTAATCCCAGCACTTTGGGAGGCTGAGGCGGGGGGATCACAAGGTCAGGAGATCGAGACCATCCTGGCTAACACGGTGAAACGCCGTCTCTACTAAAAATACAAAAAATTAGCCGGGCGTGGTGGCGGGCTCCTGTAGTCCCAGCTACTCGGGAGGCTGAGGCAGGAGAATGGCGTGAGAACACTGGAGGCGGAGCTTGCAGTGAGCCGAGATCGTGCCCCTGCACTCCAGCCTGGGTGATAGAGCAACATTCTGTCTCCAAAAAAAAAAAAAAAAAAAAAAGTTTATATTTTTCTGATACAGTATTTAAGTGCTTTTTTTTCCTTTAACCCAATTAATTAAAACTCTTTTATATATTTTTGGTAGTGAAACATTGTATACATGACTCATAGATACATAGATGCATTCGACACACAGAAGATGCATAAGACCCCTTCTTTTTTTTCTACTATTTTAAACTTACAATTTCTTTCTTTCGATCTTTTTCTTTTTTTTTTTGAGTTGGAGTCTCACTTTGTCACCCAGGCTGGAGTACAGTGGCACAGTCTCAACTCACTGCAACCTCCACCTCTTGGGTTCAAGAGATTCTCCTGCCTCAGCCTCCTGGGTAGCTGGGATTACAGGCACCTGCCACCACGCCCGGCTAATTTTTGTATTTTTTTTTTTTTAAGATGGAGTTTTGCTCTTGTTGCCCAGGCTGGAGTACAATGGCGCAATCTCAGCTCACTGCAACCTCCGCCTCCCAGGTTCAAGCGATTCTCCTGCCTCAGCCTCCCAAGTAGCTGGGATTACAGGTACGTGCCACCACACCCAGCTAATTTTTGTATTTTTAGTAAAGATGGGGTTTCACCATCTTGGCCAGGCTGGTCTCGAACTCCTGACCTCAAGTGATCTGCCCGCCTTGGCCTCCCAATTTGTTGGGATTACAGGCGTGAACCATTGCGCCCGGCCTAAACTTCCAATTTCTTGATAACCTGTTTCATTGTCTTAGGCAATTTTCAGCTTGATAGCCCTAAATTGACATACCAAAGGAAGAACTCTTAGGTGAAAAATCAGATAGCAAAATTTACATCTCAAAATACAGAGGGAGAGTCTGGGTGTGTTAGAGGGACATTAAAAATGAATGTTACCTGTAATCCCAGAACTTTGGGAGGCCGAGGCAGGCAGATCATGAGGTCAGGAGTTCAAGACCAGCCTGACCAACATAGTGAAACCCTGTCTCTATTAAAAATACAAAAATTAGGCTGGGCGCAGTGGCTCACGCCTGTAATCCCAGCACTTTGGGAGGCCGAGGTGGGCGGATCATGTGGTCAGGAGATTGAGACCATCCTGGCTAACACGGTGAAACCCCATCTCTAATAAAAATACAAAAAATTAGCTGGGCGTGGTGGTGGGCGCCTGTAGTCCCATCTACTGGGGAGGCTGAGGCCGGAGAATGGCGTGAACCCGGGAGGTGGAGCTTGCAGTGAGCAGAGATTGCGCTGCTGCACTCCAGCCTGGGCAACAGAGCAAGACTCTGTCTCAAAAAACAAACAAACAAACAAACAAAAAATTAGCCAGGTGTAGTGGCGGGCACCTGTAATCCCAGCTACTCAGGAGGCTGAGGCAGGAGAACACTTGATCCCTGGAGGCGGAGGTTGCAGCGAGCCGAGATCGCACCACTGCACTCCGGCCTGGGCAACAGAGCAAGACTCTGTCTCAAAAAAAAAAAAAAGAATGCCAAGTCAAAGATAAAATTATAGGCTGTGCATGGTGGGGGACTTCAGTGGGGGCGTACCCAACTTTGAGTAGGGGCTGCCCACTTTGGCTCCCCTCTTCACTGAGAACTGTTCTGTTGCTCAACAAAACGTTGTCCTGCTCACCCTCCGGTTGTCTGCATACCTTCATTTTTCTTGGACATGGGAGAAGCATTTGGGACTTGCTGAATCACAGATTCAAAAAGGGGGTGACGGCCAGGCCTGGTGGCTCACACCTGTAATCCCAGCACTTTGGGAGGCTGACGTGAGCGGATCACAAGGTCAAGAGATCAAGACCATCCTGGCCAACATGGTAAAACCCCATCTCTACTGAAAACACAAAAACTGGCTGGGTGTGGTGGCTCATGCCTGTAATCCTAGCACTTTGGGAGGCTGAGGCGGGTGGATCACCTAAGGTCGGGAGTTCAAGATTAGCCTGACCAACATGGAGAAACCCTGTCTCTACTAAAAATACAAAAAATTAGCCGGGCATGGTGGTGCATGCCTGTAATTCCAGCTACTCAGGAGGCTAAGGCAGGAGAATCGCTTGAACCTGGGAGGTGGAGGTTGCAGTGAGCTGCGATCGTGCCATTGTACTCCAGCCTGGGCAACAAGAGAGAAACTCTGTCTCAAAAAAAAAAAAAAAAAAAAAAAAAAAAATTAGCCAGGTGTGGTGGCAGGCACCTGTACTCCCAGCTACTTGGGAGGCTGAGGTAGGAGAATCGCTTGAACCCAGGAGGCGGAGGTTGCAGTGAGCCGAGACTGTGCCACTGCACTCTGGCCTAGTGACAGAGTGAGACTCTGTCTCAAAAAAAAAAAAAGGGGGGGTGACACTGTAACACACCCCCACTCACCAGACCGCAGGCGGGGGGAACAATCGAGCTGTGACACCCTTGGGGCTCTGCCGTTCCTGGCATCTTTGGGCGTTTTGTGCGCCACCACACTCCTCTTGTCCAGACTCCAGTGCTCAAGGCTGAAGCGGGTTGCGGCGTGCGCATGCGCAGTCCAGCCATGGGCTGAGGGCGGATCCCACGGCCGGGCTAGGTGGGCGGGGTACTCCAGGGCCAACCCTGGAGCCCAGGAGACCCGGGTAGGGGCACCACCGGCCACAGAGGCCTCCAGCTAGAGAAGCAGCACCCCAAAAAGTCCTGTGTCAACTATTTTAGTAAAAAAAAATCAGGTAACACAATACAATAGCAAGCAATTTAAGATCTGAGAGGAACGTGTCTGTTTCCACTCTTGGAGTTCCATAAGAAAAACAGAAGTTTCTCCCCAAAAAGGAGTCTGGTGCCTTCTTTTCTACACAGGGGTCTGTATATGTGTATGTGGCATACGGACTTAATTAAGCTACTATGTTGGAATATATCCGATATTAGCTTTTAGTTAAGTTTACTTTTGACCATTAAGCCCTTTTAAAAATCCTCTTGGCTGGGCGTAGTGGCTCACGCCTGTAATCCCAGCAGTTTGGGAGGCCAAGGAGGGTGGATCACAAGATCAGGAGTTCATGACCAGCCTGGTCAAGGTGGTGAAACCCCGTCTCTACTAAAAATGCAAAAATTAGCCAGGTGCGGTGGCAAGTGCCTGTAATCCCAGCTACTTGGGAGGCTGAGGCAGGAGAATGGCTGAACCTGGGCGGCAGAGGTTGCAGTGAGCTGGGATCGCGCCACTGCACTCCAGCCTGGGCGACAGAGCGAGACTCCGTCTCAAAAAAAAAGAAAATCCTTTTAAATCTTTAAATCTCACTACCTTATTTCAGCCGGGACAAACTGCTGATATTTCAAAAGTAACACAAATTTCAAACCAGAAAGGATGTAGGAACCAAACCCGGGCTGTCCTGGTGGAAAAATGGCGGACTCTACCTACCGAACTGCAGCGTGAGGTGACGGCACTTACTCTTCGAGTGTGGCTTGGCTGGAAAAACGTGGCCTCGTTATGCAAATAAAGCCCATCACGTGGTCAAAATCTTTTTTCCCTTTTTCTGGCTTTTTTTCCTTTTTCCCAGCTGTGGGAATTCAGCTAATTCAGAGGCTTGTTTCCCACAACTTGGAAGTTTGCTTCAGATTTGACCAAGTCTAACAGAATTCGTCAAATCCAACGGGAAAAAGACTGAAACAGCAAAAATAGCAAACACAGAAACAAACAAAAAGCAGTTAAGCAAAACAAACAATCCCACAATTTATACACTTACTGAGCATGCTAATAGTAAGAAGTTAAGACCAGCCAGTCGTTAATGTTAGCTTTAGTCATTAAGGAGAACTTCCAAGACAGAACCCCAATTCAGCCACTTACCTAGGAATGGGGCCCAGGCTTTAGACTGCTCTCCCCCATCGTGGAATCAGGAAAAACTCGAGTTGTTTCCGAGCTGAAACTCCAGGGAAGTCTCCTGCTCCCCATCATCACGGAAGCAGGAAAACTCGCCTTCTTTGTTGGAAGCAAGTAAAACACCGGAAAAGGAAAAGGCATTGTGCGCAAAATAAACTTTCGACCTCAACCAAGTTTCGGGAGATCAGAGATTCTCTGGAGGGTGGTAGGGCTCCCGGATCTCAGCAAATTGTCCTACTGTCCTGAGCAATAAAGAAGGCCCAAACTGGTCCTAAGCACCAGGAGGAAACCTGCCAAAGGGCAGGGCCACCTCCACTCTGAGTCCCTGCATGGTGGTCAATTTGTAAGCCAACAAGTATCTGAGACAGGTCTCAGCCACCTTAGAGGTTTATTAGGCCAAGGTTAAGGATGTGCGCGTGAGAGCCAACTCTGTACCTTCCTCCAAAGATGATGTTGAGGGCTTCAGTATTTCAAGGGGAGGAGCTGGAGGGGAAGGAGGGCGGGCGTGGACACATCCTTGAATCCACAAGACAAAAGAAGTCAATGATGTATTTGTCTCGTGCTCAGTAAATTGGCACTTCACCCACTTTTTGATGGAGTGGGTGAAGGATATGAACAGACACTTCTCAAAGGAAGACATTTATGCAGCCTACAGACACATGAAAAAATGCTCATCATCACTGGCCATCAGAGAAATGCAAATCAAAACCACAATGAGATACCATCTCACACCAGTTAGAATGGCGATCATTAAAAAGTCAGGAAACAGGTGCTGGAGAGGATGGGGAGAAATAGGAACACTTTTACACTGTTGGTGGGACTGTAAACTAGTTCAACCACTGTGGAAGACAGTGTGGCGATTCCTCAGGGATCTAGAACTAGAAATACCATTTGACTCAGCCATCCCATTACTGGGTATATACCCAAAGGATTATAAATCATGCTGCTATAAAGACACATGCACACCTATGTTTAATGCGGCACTATTCACAATAGCAAAGACTTAGAACCAACCCAAATGCCCATCAGTGATAGACTGGATTAAGCAAATGTGGCACATATACACCATGGAATACTATGCAGCCATAAAAAAGGATGAGTTCATGTCCTTTGCAGGGACATGGGTGAAGCTGGAAACCATCATTCTCAGCAAACTATCGCAAGTAAAATAAACCAAACACCGCATGTTCTCACTCATAGGTGGGAACTGAACAATGAGAACACTTGGACACAGGAAGGGGAAAATCACACACTGGGGCCTGTCGTGGGGTAGGGGGGAGGGGGGAGGGAAAGCATTAGGAGAAATACCTAATGTAAATGACGAGTTAATGGGTGCAGCACACCAACATGGCGTATGTATGCATATGTAACAAACCTGCACGTTGTGCACATGTACCCTAAAACTTAAAGTATAATAATAAAAAAAAAATTTGGCACTTCACAGAAGGTGAACAGAGTAGCTACCTATGGAGAAACTTTAACTTTTTATTGGTAGCTCTCTGCTTAGGAACAAAAAGGAAGCAGTTTCTTGGGTGACTCATCTTTCAGCTTTTTTTTTTTTTCTTTTGGCAGAGTGAAATTAGGGCCCCAAGTTTTGATTGGCCTTTCACAATTCCTAAGGCTCTGCGTATGTGTGTATATACTACATAGGCCTGTATGGATTAGAAATTGTACGTGTGTGGCAGGGAGCAGGCTCCCTCCCGCTGCCACCTCAGAAGTCTGTGTCCAAGACTCTGGTGGACACCCCTGGCTCCACTGGCCACTGAAGCAAGCCAATGGCAGATCACATGGAAAGCCTGCTGGCCAGACTAGAAACTAACAAAGCTAACACACTGTCACTAAATGCATCAGGCTTCCACACAGGGCAGGGCATTCTCAACACAGGGGGAAAGTCTAGCCTGAGCTGAGGGTTGCTGGAGAGGAGCAGTCACAGGAGATAACTTGTCTCGTGCCATCGTGTTCAGGTCCCTTCCGTGGCCTTCCACAATCAGGAGCCCTCATCTGTGGGCCAGAAAGACAGGACAGCGCTGGCAAGGCCACTTCCAAAGTCTCAGTGCCATGGCTGTCCCATGTGCCCAGCACACATTCCACTTTCTTCTTTGGGGCCTTTTCATAAGCTGACTCAGATTACACTCAAGCTAGGAGCCCTGGGGCCCCGTTCAGTGACTCTGGGCCTCTTTGTTCTGGAACATTACATCTTAACGTTTAGCTCTTAGAATCTGACCTTTTCCTCAAGTTTGGGAGGCATCTTATTCACTATAATTTCCAAGTATTCACATTGTCTCCTTCTGAAACGAAGGGAAGTGTTTTAACTGTGCACCACAAATCACAATGTAAGATGCCACCTGCTGTCCATCACTCTGCAGAGCCAGCCACTTCCAACATGAACATACTAATTTATTCATTTATCAATACCACAAAGCTCGCTCTCTGAGCCAGTCACTCTTGCCTCGACCGAGCTGCTAGCAGCTCTGGGGAAGGCAGGACCAAATGGCAATGGAGAACGGGCTGCGGCTTCTCACAGGGTGGGGCGGGCCTGGTGCACCCTCCCCGAGAGCACTGGAGAAGGGGGTGCAGTTTCTCACAGGGTGGGCAGGCCTGGTGCACCCTCCCCCAGAGCACTGGAGAAGGGGGCTGCAGTTTCTCAAGGCGGGGGCAGGCCTGGTGCACCCTCCCTGAGAGCACGGGAGAAGGGGGCCACGGCTTCTCACAGGGTGGGGCGGGCCTGGTGTACCCTCCCCGAAAGCACTGGAGAAGGGGGCCACGGCTTCTCACAGGGTGGGGTGGCCCTGGTGCACCCTCCCCAAAAGCACTGGAGAAGGGGCCATGGCTTCTCACAGGGTGGGGCGGGCTGGAGAGCACTGGAGAAGGGGGCGGCGGCTTCTTACAGCGTGGGGCAGCCCTGGTGCACCCTCCCCGAGAGCACTGGAGAAGGGGGCGGTGGCTTCTCACAGGGTGGGGCAACCCTGGTGTACCCTCCCCGAGAGCATTGGAGAAGGGGGCTGCAGGTTCTCACAGGGTGGGGTGGGCCTGGTGCACCCTCCCCGAGAGCACTGGAGAAGGGGACTGCAGTTTCTCACGGCGGGGGCAGGCCTGGTGCACCCTCCCTGAGAGCACTGGAGAAGGGGGCCACGGCTTCTCACAAGGTGGGGCGGGCCTGGTGCACCCTCCCCGAAAGCACTGGAGAAGGGGGCTGCAGTTTCTCACAGGGTGGGGTGGGCCTGGTGCAACCTCCCCGAGAGCACTGGAGAAGGGGCCTCGGCTTCTCACAGGGTGAGGCGGCTGTTCCCGAGACGCCTATCGCAGGGAGTAGCGAGTGCCATGCAAAGGTGCTTGTTTATTCTTTGAGATGTGAATTATAGGCGTCTGCTGTACTGGGGTTCCTGTGCCGCCGGTAGGGGCCCCAGTCCTCCGGCTCCCGAATGGTTCTCTGCTGGTCACTCCCGCTGGAACTGCAACTGACTAGCGTCTCATTCGACGCTCGCGTGATGATGATCTGTGGAACGACCACTTTCTTCCTGCTGGACTTTTGCTTTACATCAGGTTTCTCTAGAGGAAAAAACATCCAGGCATTTAGTAGATGTGTGGAAAGCTCCTTCCACGATGCACACACCTCCTGCCATTGGTCAGAGTAAAGGAATTAAGATGTATGGTTAGCAGAAAAAATGGGTGAGTCCAAAAGTGATCAAAACTGTCCATGAACATTACAGGGCTTAAGGGATGTGCAACTCAGCCATGAAGGTTGCTGATGCTGGACACCCTTTTTCAGGGAAGAAAACAGGAGAAACACTTCCACTATCCGTGGCAGGATGGTGTCAGGGCGACCAGCAAAGGAAGGAGGGAGGGCACACGTCCAGGCAGGAACCGCCTCAGAGCTCAAGGTTCAGAGACATCATTTCCACTCCAAAGGTCTCTAATTCTGCTAAAGCCCTCTGTACAGAACTTCATCCATTAGAATGTTCTAGAAATGGACATGTCTGATGTTGCTCACATTTTCTTAAACCTGTTAAGGTTACAAGGAACGCCTGAGACCTGTGAAACTGCTGAGCCTGCCGAGCGTTGCCACGTACAAAGCAAAAGTGCTCCTTCACCGGCTGCTCTCCTGGCTGGCCGGCCGCCCCTTCCTGGAGTGCCACTGCTACAAGCTCGGGCACAGCCGCCCACCCCCTTCGTGGAGTGCCACTGCTACGAGCTCAGACACAGCCGCCCGCCCCCTTCCTGGAGTGCCACTGCTACGAGCTCGGGCACAGCCGCCCGCCCCCTTCCTGGAGTGCCACTGCTACGAGCTAGGGCACAGCTGTTCAGGCTTCTGGGAGAGCAGGATGGAGCTGGCTCTCTCTGCACACATATGTGTGGTCAGGGTTAGAAGACTCAGTCACCTTTTTACAGAAACGTAACTACAGTGGTCATGTTGTTTTACAGCTTTGTGGGGACACTTGGTAGCTCACGAACCTGGATGCGAGGTAGGATGGACTGCTGGCAATGGCAGTGCTGGTTTATTATTAATCTTCTTCTTAGTTTTTGAGACGGAGTCTCGCTCTGTCACCCAGGCTGGAGTGCAGTGGTGTGATCTCGGCTCACTGCAACCTCCACCTCCTGAGTTCAAGTGATTCTCCTGCCTCAGCCTCCTGAGCAACTGGGACTACAGGCTCCTGCCACCACACCTGGGGAATTTTTGTATTATTAGTAGAGACAGGGTTTCTCCATGTTGGCCAGGCTGGTCTTGAACTCCCGACCTCAGGTGATCTACCTGCCTTGGCCTCCCAAAGTGCTGGGATTACAGGCGTGAGCCAATGCGCCCGGCCAACGGTGCTGGCTTTTATCGCGTGCCTGTTCTGAGCCCTAGAACAGTGAATAATGACACACAGCAGCTTCTGCTATAGGTCTCTGACAACCCATATTTCAGACAAAACTGAGGTACAGACAAGCCAAGCCATCTGCCCAAGGCTAGTCAAACAGGGGAGACACAGAGGCCAACTCGACTGCCCAAGGCTAACCAGATGGGGGAGGCAGAGAGGCCAAGTCGCCTGCCTAAGGCTAGTCAGACGGGGTATTCAGGCCTTGGCCTCCCCCTCTGCCTGCAGTGCTGCGTTACATAGCCTCATCTGTGTCAGCTGCCGAATGACCCACAGCTGCACTAAGCACTGAGCGATATCCCTTTTTCTTTTTGAGACAGGATCTTGAAGGTCTGTGGCCCAGGCTGAAATGCTGTGGCATGATCATGGCTCACTGAAGCCTCAACTTCCTGGGCTCAAATGATCCTCCCACTTCAGCCTTCCAAGTAGCTGGGACCACCAGCACGCACCACTGTGGGCGGCAAGTCACCCAGGTGCCGAGGCAAGAGACCGAGGGCACGAGCTGTTCCAGTGTAATAAAATATATAAAATAAGAATAGTTATACTAGATCTAGATCACAGACATGATTATATATGAATATCATTAATTAATTTGTAGCAATTACTCTTTATTCCAATATTATAATAATCCTCGCTCTACAATCATAACCTAGGAAAAACCAGGTCATACAGAGACAGGAGCTGGGGGGACATGGTGAGAAGTGACCAGAAGACAAGAGTGTGAGCCTTTTGTTATGCCCAGACAGGGCCACCAGAGGGCTCCTTGGTCTAGTGGTAACGCCAGCGTCTGGTAGGACGCCCGTTGCCAAGCAGACCATGGTCTAGCAGTAGCGTCAGTGTCAAGGAAAAACACCCACTACTTAGCAGACCAGGAAAGGGAGTCTCCCTTTCCCCAGGGGAGTTTAGAGAAAACTCTGCTCCTCCACCTCTTGTGGAGGGCCTGACATCAGTCAGGCTTGCCCGCAGTTATCCAGAGGCCTAATCGTCTCCCTGTGATGCTGTGCTTCAGTGGTCACGCTCCTAGTCCACCTTCATGTTCCATCCTGTACACCTGGCTCTGCCTTTTAGATAGCAGTAGCAAATTAGTGAAAGTACTAAAAGTCTCTGATATGCTGAAATAACGGCGTAAGCTGTCTCTCTGTCTCCTCTCTCTCTGCCTTGGCTGCCAGGCAGGGAAGGGCCCCCTGTCCAGTGGACACATGACCCACATGACCTCACCTATCATTGGAGATGGCTCACACTCCTAACCCTGCCCCTTTGTCTTGTATCCAATAAATATCAGTGCAGCCTGGCATTTGGGGCCACTACCGGTCTCCACGGCTTGGTGGTAGTGGTCCCCCGGGCCCAGCTGTCTTTTATCTCTTTGCCTTGTGTCTTTATTTCTACGCTCTCTCATCTCCGCACATGGGGAGAAAACCCACCGACCCTGTGGGGCTGGACCCTACACACCACCACACCCACCTAATTTTGAAATTTTTTGTAGAGACACGGTTTTGCCATGTTGCCCAGGCTGGTCTCGAACTCTCAGGCTCAAGTTATTCTCCCACTTCACCCTCCCAAAGCGCTGGGATTACAGCAGCCATGAACCACTGTGCCGGCCATTTTCTTCCATTTTTAGAGAAGGGTCTCACTCTGTAGCCCAGGAAGGAGCGCAGTGGCTATTCGTGGATGTGATCATAGCAAACTACAGTCCTAACCTCCCAGGCCCAAGTGATCCTCGGACCTCACTGAGTAGCTGGAACCACAGATCCCACCTATGGGACCATATATTCCCACATCACCATATCTGGCTTTTTTTTACTCTAACCTACTTGAGTATCAGAGGGCCCGACCCCCTCATGCCTCTGGTTTTCCAGATGTTTCCTACTGCTTTCATTTTTATTCATTTATTTATTTTGAGATGGATTCTCACTCTTGTCGCCCAGGCTGGAGTGCAGTGGCACAATTTTGGCTCACTACAACCTCTACCTCCCAGGTTCAAGTGATTCTCCTGCCCCAGCCTCCCCAAGTAGCTGGCACTACAGGCACCCATCACCACGCCTAGCTAATTTTTGTATTTTTAGTAGAGATGGGCTTTCATCATGTTGGCCAGGCTGGTCTTGAACTCCTGACCTCAAGTGATCCACCTGCCTCGGCCTCCAAAGTGCCGGGATTACAGGCGTGAATCACTACACTTGGCCTCATTTTTATTCTTTAGATGAACCTTTGAATAATCTGCTCATATTCCCAAAAGATCTTTTGTGTTTTGACTTGGTGTTGACTGATTTTACAGAAGTTAACGTATTTACACTATTGAAATTTTCTAGTCTAAAACAAGACTTATTTCATCTTCCTCAAAGTATAGTTTCTTCATTTAGAAATATTAGGCCAGACGCAGTGGCTCACGCCTGTAATCCCAGCACCTTGGGAGGCCGATGCGGGCGGATCACGAGGTCAGGAAATTAAGACCATTCTGGTTAACATAGTGAAACCCCATCTCTACTTAAAAAAAAAAAAAATACAAAAAATTAGCCAGGCGTGGTGGCAGGCACCTGTAGTCCCAGCTATGCGGGAGGCTGAGACAGGAGAATGGCATGAACCCGGGAGGCGGAGCTTGCAGTGAGCAGAGATGCACCATTGCAGTCCAGCCTGGGTGGCGACAGAGCAAGACTCCATCTCAAAAAAAAAAAGAAATATTAATCTTGGGCCAGGTGCGGTGGCTCACGCCTGTAATCCCAGCACCTTGGGAGGCTGAAGCAGGCAGATTGCTTGGCCTCTGGAGTTCGAGACCAGCCTGGGCAACATGACAAAACCGCATCTCTACAAAAACTACAAAAAATAGCTGGGGGTGGTGGCGTGCACTGTGGCCCCAGCTACTCAGGGAGCTGAGGTGGGAGAATCGTTTGAGCCCAGAACGTCAAGAGTGCAATGAGCCAAGATGGTGCCACTGCACTCCAGCCTGGGTGAGACCATCTCAGAAACAAAACAGAAAGAATAAATGTGACTCTTCTCAAGGTTCTTGGTACATATTGTGTGTACTTCTATTGCTGCACAACAAATCACCACCAACTTCAGGGCTGAAACCAGCACATCCACTTATCATCTTACTGCATTCGTCGTCAGGGGTGCAGGTGCAGCGTGGCTGGGACGCAGGCTGAATTCCAGGGGCCGGCTGCACTGCATTCTCATGAGGAGCTGGAGGACCCTCTTCTAAGCCCATTCTGGTTGGAGGCAGAATTTATTCCCGGTTCAAGGAATGAAGTTCCCGTTTTCTCGCTGCCCTAAAAAGCCTCTGACACTTTTACTGTCTGGCTTCCCTGATCAGGTCGGGCCCTAAAGAGCCTCTGACACTTTTACTGTCTGGCTTCCCTGATCAGGTCGGGCCCTAAAGAGCCTCTGACACTTTTACTGTCTGGCTTCCCTGATCAGGTCGGGCCCTAAAGAGCCTCTGACACTTTTACTGTCTGGCTTCCCTGATCAGGTCGGGCCCATCCAGGATCATCTCGCATTTTGATGACGTCAAACTCAATGGATGAGTGAGCTAATCGCAGGAGAGACACACCTCCCTCTTCCTCATTCCACCCACACTCGAGGGGAGGGTTACACATGGCTGTTTCCCAGGGGCAGGGATCGTGTGGGCTGTCTTGAGTCCTGCCACCTTGTTACCAAACCGCCTTCCAGGAAGATGTGTGCCTCCACAGCAACGTGTCCGAGCCCCTGATCCAGAGTCAACTGATATTCTTTGGCCTCTCATAGATGTAAATATTTTTTTGAGCTTATCATTTGTTCTACAATTGTTTATAAGAGTTTGGGGAGAGGTTTAACATTTTAACGCAGTCAAATTCTTCAATATGTGTACTGTCTTTCCTTGCTAGGAAGCATAAATAGGGTCTTACTCTGTCGCCGGGGCTGGAGGGCAGTGGCACGATCTTGGCTCACTGCAGCCCCAACCTCATGGGGTCAAGGGATCCTCCTATCTCAGGCCCCTGATTAGTTGGGGCTACAGGCACACTCCACTACACCCAGCTAATTCTTGTCTTTTTTGTAAAAATCAGGTTTCACCATGTTGCCCAGGCTGGTCTTGAACTTCTGGGCTCAAGTGATCTGCCTGCCTAGGCTTCCCAAAGTTCTGAAATTACAGGCGTGAGCCACTGTGCTTGGCTCCCAAAGCGAACGTTTTATATAACTATAGTACCATTATCGACACGAGGAAATGGACTCCGGTACTATGAGTGTATGTACAGCTACGCCATTTAATCAATCACCACCAAAACCAACAATCCCATCTTCCTCCTGCTGCCCTTCAGACACACCCACTCCCTACCCCAACCCCAAAGCCCTGCCCTTCACAGACCCCCTCACTCCCTACCCCAACGCCAAGGCCCTAGCAATCAACAATCTGTCCTCCCTGTCTATAATTTTGTCATTCAGAGAATGTTACAGAAATGGAATCACGGCCGGGTATGGTGGCTCACGCCTGTAATCCTAGCATTTCAGGAGGCCGAGGCAAGCGGATCACCTGAGATCGGGAGTTTGAGGCAAGCGGATCACCTGAGGTCGGGAGTTTGAGACCAGCCTGACCAACATGGAGAAACCCCATCGCTACTAAAAATACAAAGATTAGCTGGGCATGGTGGCGCATGCCTGTAGTCCCAGCTACTCCGGAGGCCGAGGTAGAATTGCTTGAACCCGGGAGACCAAGGTTGCAGTGAGCCAAGATCGTGCCATTTGCACTCCAGCCTAAAAAAAAAAAAAAAAGAAATGGAATCATACAGCATGTGACCTTCTGGGATTGGCTTTTTTCACTCAGCATGGTATTTTTTAATAGCCAATAGAAGTGTTCCATTTCTCTTCTTTTTCAAAATTTTCTTGCAATTAAGTATACTCTACCTTCATGAAAATGTTACAGGCCGGGCGTGGTGGCTCACACCTGTAACACTGGCACTTTGGGAGGCTGAGGCGGGTGGTTCACAAAGTCAGGAGTTTGAGACCAGCCTGACCAACATGGTGAAACCCCGTCTCTACTAAAAATACAAAAATTACCCAGGCATGGTGGCGCACACCTGTAGTCTCAGCTACTCGGGAGGCTGAGGCAGAAGAATTGCTTGAACCCGGGAGGCGGAAGTCACAATGAGCCAAGATTGTGCCACTGCACTCCAGCCTGGGCAACAGAGCAAGACTCCATCTCAAAACAAACAAACAACAAAACGTCACAAAAGTGTTCAAACAGGCTGGGCGTGGTGGCTCACGCCTGTGATCCCAGCGCTCTGGGAGGCCAGGTGCGGTGGCTCACGCCTGTGATCTCAGCACTTTGGGAGGCCGAGGCGGGTGGATCAGCTGAAGCCAGGAGTTTGAGGCCAGCCTAGCCAACGTGGCGAAACCTCATCTCTACTAAAAATACAAAAAAAATTAGCTGGGCGTCATGGCGGGCGCCTGTAATCCCAGCTACTTGGGAGGCTGAGGCAGGAGAATCACTTGAACTTGGGAGGCGGAGGCTACAGTGAGTTGAGACCCGAGATCATGCCATTGCACTCCAGCCTGGGCAACAAGAAGGAAACTCCATTTCAAAAAAAAAAAAAAGTGTTCAAACACACAAGAAAATAGAATAGTGAATGAGCACCTGCACCTATAGAGCACTCAGCTTCAATCAGTATTTTGTTATCTTGTTCTTTCTTCGTTTTTTTCCTGAGTATCTTTTTTTTTTTTGAGATGGAGTCTCACTCCATTGCCCAGGCTGGAGTGCAGTGGGATGATCGTGGCTCACTGCAACCTCTGCTTCCTGGGTTCCAGCTATTCTCTTGCTTCAGCCTCCAAAGTAGTTGGAATTACAGGTGTGCACCACCACACCCAGCTAATTTTTTTGTATTTTTTGTAGAGACAGGGTTTCACCATGTTGGCCATGCTGGTCTCGAACTCCTGACCTCAAGTGATCCACCCGTCTCGGCCTCCCAAAGTGCTGGGATGACAGCATGAGCCACCATGCCTGGCATTCTGAGTATCTTTAAGGAATTTCAGACATATGATTTTACCCATAAATGTTGCAGTGTATTTATTAGATAGGGATTGTGTTTTAGCGTAACTATAATAGCATTCCCACATCTAAGAAAATTAACACGGACTCATCCTCAAATACCCAATCTGACTGTCTCAGGAGTGACGGAGCCCAGGTCTGAGAAAATTAACACTGACTCATCCTCAGATACCCCATCTGACTGTCTCAGGCGTGACTGAGCCCAGGTCTAGGTCGCTCAGATTTCCTTCTAACATCCCCTCCTTTTTTTTCAAGTTCTTTATTTGTGGTAGAATTTCCAACATTGTGGAATAAGGTGACTGTAAATCTGTGATGTTAGTTCTCTATAATGTTTGTATGTTTGTGAATTTTGTAATGCAAAAATTTAAGCATATACAGAAGTAGTAGGGGTAACAGTATAATACATCTATCTGTATTAGTCCGTTTTCATGCTGCTAATAAAGACATACCAGAGACTGAATAATTTACACAGGAAGAAGGTTTAATGGACTTACAGTTCCACATGGCTGGGGACGCCTCACAATCACGGCGGAAGGTAGGGAGGAGCGAGTCACATCTTACATGGATGGCAGCAGGCAGAGAGAGAGCTTATGCAGGAAACTCCCGTTTTTAAAACCATCGGATCTCGTGACACTCATTCACTATCACGAAAACAGCACAGGAAAGACCTGCCCCCATAATTCAATCACCTCCCACCCAGTTCCTCCCACATGTGGGAATTCAAAATGAGATTTGGGTGAGGACACAGCCAAGCCACATCAATATCCTAACAGCTGCCACAGTGATTAACTTATGGCCAAACTTTCTCCCCATCATGGCCCTTCTGTTCTTCTCACTACTGCTTCATAGTAACTTACCCCAAACCTCAGCAGTTTAAAACGATTTTCTTTTCTCTGGATTTTATGGGTTCAGGACACGTTTGGCAGGACAGGTATCACGTGTGGTTGTCCAGGCAGTTGGAGGCATGTGAAGACTCACTGAGACGTACAGGGAAGCTCTTGGGGCTGGACACTGATGCTGGCTCCCCCTGAGGTGCATGCCCCAAGCTGAGAAGACTCAAGGTTCCAGCCAGAGCCTGGAATCACTAAAGGCTTGTTTGCTCACAGGTCTGGCTCCTGGGCTGGAAGGGCTTAGGGACCAGGACTACTAAACTGCAGTGCTTCCCATGTTCAGATTCAGGTCGAAAACCATTTCCATCACCCTCCAAAGTCCTCTTGTGCTCAGCTGTGGCCGGCTCCCATTTCTGCCCAGCAACCACTCATCTGCTTCTCTCTGTAAATGTGCCTTTTCTGGACATTCCATGGAAAGGGAACTGCAACATGAGTGGTCTTTCCTCTGGCTTGTCTCACTCAGTGTCCCACCTTTGGGACTCCTTCACGGTGTGGCAAGGGAGTCAGCAGCCTGCTCCTCACTGTCGCTCAGCCCGTCACTGCATGGAGAGCGTGCACACTTCATTTTATCTGCTGAAACTCTGTTCTCACTCTTGCTCTGCTGTTTTCCCTTCATGTCCACCTTCCTCCCCCACCCTCTGGTGTGACAGACACTGCTGGGGCCCTTCCAACAGGCGGTCCTCCTTCCCCCACTTCCGTTACTGGCAGAGGTCCTGCCCACTCCCATGCTTCACAGCTCCCTCCAGCCCCTGGTGAATTTGCACCATTGAATGAGTCCTGCAGAGGCTGGGCAGGCGAAGCCTTCCTGGGAAAGGTTTCCTTGCTAATATGAAGCAAGGAGCAATGCCTTTGCAGTAGATGCAGTCCTGCCTGCGTGTGGGGGGCTGTACACTCATCGGGGGCTGTGGACACTGAGAGTGGTCAAGAAGAGACACGCAAAGTCTTTGATGTCACTGTTGTGCTAACAAGCCAACCTGGAAGCTCCACCTCTGACCCTTCATTCGTGAGACATTAAATCCCTGTGTTAAAGCTGCGTTTAGTGAGCTTTTCTGTAACTTTCAGCTAAAAGCACCGTGACAGACAGGTAGCATTTTCCAAACTGCCACCCAAGGGTGATGCTATTCCTGCAGGGTTCCATCCTCCGGTGGGGGGTTGCGCCCTCCTGTGAGGGGTTCCACCCTCCAGTGGGAGGTTCCAAAGTTGGGAATTCAAATCCAAGTCTTTCTTCCAAGTCCAAGGCCCAGAGCCTCCTACTTTCAGCCCTTGATCCTACAAGCGTGTCAGTGTGAAGCAGTCCAGGCCCAGCTCCTCTGCCTAGCAGGCCAGTCATCCCCCTGACATTCTTTCTTGTCTGACCCGAGTGGTTCTCTCCTTATTATTTTTTTTTTTTTCTGAGACAGAGTCTCACTCTGTAGCCCAGGCTGGAGTGCAGTGGTGCGATCTCGCTCACCACTACTTCTGCCTCCCGGGTCCCGGTTCAAGGTTCGAGCAATTCTCCTGCCTCAGCCTCCTGAGTAGCTGGGATTACAGGCACATGCCACCACGCCCAGCTAATTTTTGTATTTTTAGTAGAGACAGGGTTTCACCACGTTGGCCAGGCTGGTCTTGAACTCCTGACCTTAAGTGATCCACACGCCTCGGCCTCCCAAAGTGCTGGGATTACAGGCGTGAGCCACTGCGCCCAGCCGAGTGGTTCATTCTTGTGATGAAACTTAAAACACCTCCTCCTGGCACAGGCCCCCAATCTCCTCGGACGGCAGGCTCTGCGGGTTCTCCCTGCCTGACCCTTCTGCAATTCCTACTGCAAGGCCTTGCTGGCTCCCACTGGGCCACAGCAATGGGTCTCTGACCGGGCCACCTCCCCTGCGAACTGGCTTCCCCTGTTGGTAGGCACAGACCTCATCATGCCGCCCTTGTTTTTTATTTTTAAATATTTATTTTTTGTAGAGACAGGGTCTCACTATGTTGCCCAAGCTGGTCTTGAACTCCTGGGCTCAAAAGATCCTCCTGCCTCGGCCAAATAACTGGGAGGACAGGTGTGAACTACCGCCCCAGGCAGCACCTCCGTTGTTTAAAATATTTAACGCTTCCAGCTCCACGTGGTAAAACTGATGGAAAACTTTGTATTCTAGCTTCTTCCTACTTTTGGGGCCTCATCTTCCCCACACACACCCAAAGGTCTGGCCACACTAGGCTGTTATAAAAGACACCTTTGTCGCACCCAGGTTCTACTCCTCGGTCACCCTCCGCAATGTACTTATCCCCACAGCCCTCGGAGAGCTACAGTCCAGCCTGGGACGGCCTCCCAATGCTCTGTTCCAGTGTGCGGAGGCTCAGGGATTCTCAGTGGCACCAAGATACCCAGCCCTCGAGGAGAACCTCAGGTGAGACACACGCACACTGCCCCAGCCCCTCGACCACCTGGTACGCACTTATCACTCGGGAACTGACCTACATTTTCATTAAACTTATGTTTTCAACTAAGATTTCTGGATATTTACCTCCTACATAAAGTTCCCAAAACAAACCAGTTTCATCTTTACGGCGCGTGCCTGCTACTAGTGTCCATCCGGTAGGGTCTTACAGTAGGCTCCTCACCCCAGCCCCAGATCCTCCAAGCCACTGACCTCGCTTCGCTCCCTCCCGCCGTCTCCTACCTTCCAGCGAAGCTGCCGGCGGCGGGTGCTTGGCTGTCCCGGCCCCCGGGTGGAGGCTGTCCACAGGCTTCTCCGACTCCCTGTCTGCCTGCCTGGCTTCCTGGGAATGCTTCTCCATCAACTTCTCCTTAGATTTTGGAACTGAATAGGTGGATCCCTTCTTTTGCTCCTCACCTGAAATATATGGATCATCCGTTAGACCCGGGACTTACCGAATGCAGGGCAGTGGGTCCCATCGTCTTCAGTCGCCTGCGTGGGTCCAGAATAAGCTGGCTTCAAGTCTCGAGTCTCCGCGTTTCCGTAACCGCCTCAGGCGGGAAACGCGCCGTCCGTGGCGGACTCGGCGGCAGGAACGGTTCGCACCGGGCCGAGCCTGGCGCCTGCGCTCACACCGCCCCGCCCAGCCCAGCCCCGCCCTGGGCCCGCGCCCAGGGGCGGAGACGCGGGGAGCCCAGCGCCTGCGCCTCCTTTACCTTTCCTGGGTTTCTCTTTGCTTTTGGAAAGGCCCATGGGTGAGCCCACCGCCCCCTCCGACGCAAGCCCGGGTCCCCACACCTCCGCGGCCGCGGAGCCGGGAGCGACTCACAAAAGGTCCTCGCGCCAGCGGCGTGCGTCACCATGGCGACCGCGCGCCGCGCAGCCGCGCCCCGCCCCTCTGGCGGGACCGGCCACCATCCTCTCGCGAGAGCATCCCGTGCGACCGGAAGTGGGGCGGCGACCCCGGAAGTCCCCGCCGGGTGCAGCTTGGTCGGTTCGATCGCCGCCGGGACCTGACACCGCCCGGAGTTGGCGTCCCTTCTCCCTCTCCGAGTGCTGCTCCTGTCATTGTGGCCATGGACGGTAAGAGGTCGCGGCCGTCCTCCGGGGACTCGCGCGCGGGGCGGGGCCGCTTCTCCCACTGGCGTGGGCTCCGCCCACCTGGGGCCGCGGGCAGGACTCAGGAGAGCTCGGGCCTCGACCGTCGATCCCCCGGGACCCCATCCCCAGGGCCTCGACCACCGACCTGGGACCCCTTTTCCCGGTCGTCGTCCCCCGATCCCCGACCCGGACCCCATCCCCAGGGCCTCGACCACCGACCTGGGACCCCTTTTCCCGAGCCTCGTCCCCCGATACCCGACCCGGAACCCCTTCCCCAGGGCCTAGACCACCAACCCGGGACCCCTTTTCCCGGGCCTCGACCCTCGATCCCCGACCCGGAACCCCTTCCCCAGGGCCTCTACCACCGACCCGGGACCCCTTCTCCCGGGCCTCGACCCCCGACCACCGACCGGGACCCTTCCCAGGCCCCCGACCCCCAACCCGAGATCCTTTACCCCGGGCCTCGACCCTCGACCCGGGACCCCTCCCCCCAGGCCTCGATCCCCGACCCCCGATTCGGGACCCCTTCCCCGGGGCCTCCATCCCCAAATCTCAACCCGGTATGCCTTCCCCGGGGCCTCGACCTCTGACCCCCAACCATGGACCCGGGACCTAGACTCCCGACCCAGGACCCCTTGCCCAGGGCCTGGACCCCCGACCACCGACCCAGGACCCTTTCCCCCGCCCCTGGCACTCCTCAGCGTCAGGCGCCCTTTCCCGCCAGCTCGGTAGGGGGGACTGTGCGATGCCTGTTCGGCCTTTCGGGACTTGGAATGTCGGGTCAGAGGGCACCAGAAAAAGTGACAGTTGCACCCCCTGCCCCAAACAGCATCACTGCAAATCAGAAGGACTCAGACAGAAAGCGCTCCCTGAGTGCCAGGCCCTGGTCACAGCAGCTCTTTGCGTCCATTCTCCATGTGGGGAAGCAGAGGTTTGAGCAGGAGCCAGCACAAGCGTTTCTGTGCTCAATGGGTCGCCCTAATTCTTACCTTCTACATCTGGGGCTAGCCGGCTGTGTGCTCAGGGATACCAAAGAACAGGAAGAATCTGGCAAAATGAAGTCCTATGTTTGCTGAAACATCGTTGGGCTGGTGTGATGGGCAGGCTTTTAAAAATACTTTTTGAAGGGCTGGGCGCGGTGGCTCACGCCTGTAATCCCAGCACTTTGGGAGGCCGAGGCCGGCGGATCGCAAGGTCAGGAGATCGAGACCATCCTGGCTAACACAGTGAAACCCCATCTCTACTAGAAATACAAAAATATTAGCCAGGCGTGGTGGCGGGTGCCTGTAGTCCCAGCTACTCGGGAGGCTGAGGCAGGAGAATGGCGTGAACCCGGGAGGCGGAGCTTGCAGTGAGCCGAGATCGCGCCACTTCACTCCAGCCTGGGCGACAGAGCGAGACTCCGTCTCAAAAAAAATTCTTTTAGTTAGAAGTGTGAAAAGCTATAGTACCACCGTGTCATCATCATGAAGGAAATGTGTAGAGATTTTCTGCCCTGAGAGAAGATGAAAGATAACATCTACCTCCCGCCACAAAAAATATGCTGGCCAGGCCGGGTGTGGTGGCTCAGGCCTGTAACCCCAGCACTCTGGGAGGCCGGGCGCGGTGGCTCACGGCTGTAATTCCAGCACTTTGGGAGGCCGGATGTGGTGGCTCACGCCTGTAACCCCAACACTTTGGGAGGCCGAGGTTGGTTGATCACCTGAGGTCAGGAGTTTGAGACCAGCCTGGCCAACATGGTGAAACCCCGTCTCTTCTAAAAATACAAAAATTAGCTGGGCCTGGTGGCGTGCACGTGTAATTCTAACTACTTGGGAGGCTGAGACAGGAGAATCGCTTAAACCTGGGAGGCAGAGGTTGCAGTGAGCCAAGATGGTGCCGTTGCACTCTAGCCTGGGTGATAGAGTGAGACTCCGTCTCAAAAAAAAAAAAGAAAAATTGTGGCTTTTCACTCCACAGCTCACTCAACTCTTTTGAGGGGACTTCTCTCAAGCCCATGTCAGATTTCCTCAGAGTCAGATTTTGCCTTAGCTGGGTTTTTGTGCTGCCACACACGGCTGGAAGAGAAAGCTGAGGTGAGGAAAGCTGAGGTGAGGGAAAGCTGAGGTGAGGAAAGCTGAGGTGAGGAGAGCTGAGGTGAGGGAAAGCTGAGGTGAGGGAAAGCTGAGGTGAGGGAAAGCTGAGGTGAGGGAAAGCTGAGATGAGGAGGGCGGTTTGGCCAGCATCCCACAGTGAGTTGGGTGGGACGGCCCGCCTGGCCTGCACTGTGCCATCTGGGTCAGGCTGGCTGTTTTCCAGTCACAGATAACCTTGGCCGTGACCACACCTGAACTGATAGATGACAGGTTGAACTTGGCCTTGACCACGCCTGCACTGACAGGCGATAGATTGAACGATGCCCAGAGCTTTCTGGAACCCCGGGAGATCTCATCTTGGAGCCTTGGTGTGCATTTGTGAACACTCAGTAACCTCATTCTTTTACAGGCTCCATTTCCTCGTTGTGGCTAGTGTGGTAAAGCCCTTTCAGGAATCTGGGGTCAGGGTCGCTCTCCAAATTTAGCAGTTGAATGAATTGAGATCAATCCTACTTTTTAAAAAAAATATTTTTTCTTTTTTTTTTTGAGACGGAGTCTTGCACTGTTGCCCAGGCTGGAGTGCAGTGGCGCAATCTCGGCTCACTGCAAGCTCTGCCTCCCGGGTTCACGCCATTCTCCTGCCTCAGCCTCCTGAGTAGCTGGGACTACAGGCGCCCGCCACCACGCCTGGCTAATTTTTTGTATTTTTTGGTAGAGACGGGCTTTTACCGTGTTAGCCAGGATGGTCTCGATCTCCTGACCTCATGTTCCGCCGGCCTCGGCCTCCCAAAGTGCTGGGATTACAGGCGTGAGCCACCGCACCCGGCAAAAAAATATATATTTTTCTAATAGAGATGAGGTCTGACTATATTCCCTAGGCTGGTCTGGAACTCCTGACCTCAAGTGATCTGCCCGCCTCAGCCTCCCAGAGTGCTGTGATTACAGGCGTGAGCGACTGTACCGCTGGAAATCAGCTCTTTGATGTCTAAGAGTTACCACCTTGCTATTTTTATCCATTTACCTTTGAGGAGAAAGAGTCTGTAAAAAGTAAACTGTCAAGTACTGAACTTTTAAATTGGCCCAGGCTGGCCTCAAACCCTGGCTTTAAGTGATCCACTGGCCTCGGCACCCCCAGAGTGCTGGGATTACAGGTGAACTTTTAAATTGGGAAAGAATCCCAAGGGACATTTGCAAAGTTGCATTAATTATAAACCACCATCTTTTGGATTCTAACCATGGCCAAAAGATGCTGCGTCCATGACCTCTTCTGTCCTCACACTAACCCTTTGAGATTGGCTGGTACCACCCTCATGTTCCCAACAAGGAAACAGGGAGGGAGGGTCTGCATTTGCTGGGCCCTGTGGCTAGCAAGGAGCCAGGGCTGGCACACGAATCTGTCTCGTGCCTCCCCTGTTGGGGGGGGCTCCCCGAAGGCCCCAGGCAGGTGTGGTCTGTGTGTGTGTTCTAGCTCCTGGTGTCTAGAAGGAACCTAGTGAGTCCTGCCTGCCAGAAGTGTAACGTCCCATTCCCAATCCTCAAACCATTAATTCCCTCTTTCTTTGCAGATACCCTGTTCCAGTTGAAGGTATGTACCGAATGGCCGTTCACCCCAGCCCTGTTCTGGTGAGGACAGATAGTATAAGCCACGCTCACTCAGAGCCACAGAAACAGTCGGGCAGATTATATAACAGTTGAGTGACCGCCACACAGGGCTCAGACTGCTGACCAAGGAGGGGATTATTGAGCCACCTTGGTGACATATTAGCTCTTTTCTTATCTGAGGCTAAGTGGAGGCAGATCCTTAGGGTCATCCATGAAAGCCATGAAAGAAATAGTGTTATCTTTTTTTTTTTTTTTTTTTTTTTTGAGACGGCGTCTCACTCCGTCGCCCAGGCTGGAGTGCATTGGCGTGATCTCGGCTCACTGCAACCTCTGCCTCCCGGGTTCAAGCGATTCTCCTGCCTTAGCCTCCTGAGTAGCTGGGACTACAGGCGCCCACCACCATGCCCAGCTAATTTTTTTTTACATTTTTAATAGAGACGGGGTTTCACCACGTTGGCCAGGATGGTCTCGATCTCTTCACCTCGTGATCCGCCTACCTCGGCCTCCTAAAGTGCTGGGATTACAGGCGTGAGCCACTGTGCCTGGCCCGGAGTGTTATCTTAAGAAAGACAACTTGGGGCCAGGCGCGGTGGCTCACGCCTGTAATCCCAGCACTTTGGGAGACCGAGGTGGGGTGGATCACAAGGTCAGGAGATGGAGACCACAGTGAAACCCCATCTCTACTAAAAACACACAAAAAAATTAGCCGGGCGCGGTGGCAGGCACCTGTAGTCCCAGCTACTCAGGAGGCTGAGGCCGGAGAATGGCGTGAACCTGGGAGGCAGAGCTTGCAGTAAGCCAAGATTGTGCCACTGCACTCCAGCCTGGGTGACAGAGACTCCGTCTCAAAAAAAAAAAAAAAAAAAGAAAAGAAAAAAAAAAAAGACAACTTGGGCATTAGGCCTTGGTGTTCCGCTGTGTGGACTCATTCTTTGAGATCATTTGAAGGAGAGCTTTCTGAGTATTCCTCCCACGTGGGGTGGAGGTTGCAGCTTCCGGTAATCCAGGGCAGGTTTCCGTGCATTTCCCTGGGATGTGCTCCTGGCTGCTCATCTGTGGCCAGCTTTATCTTGCCTTGTCGCTGGCTCTGAGCTACTGGGCAGGAGTGATGTGCCGGAGCTACCGTATGCAGCTTTGGGATGTTTTCCCATCACGGTGGGCCTGTCAGTTGCTGTTGGGCACAGAGGGGACCGGCTGAGGCCTGCTTGTGTCCTGCACCCTGTGGTGCTGTGGTGGCCAGGGCTACCTGGTACCAGGGCGTCTGTGGTTCCAGATGGGTTGCCAGAGGCCCTGTTTCCTCGAGGTGCTGGTGGCCAGGGCCACCTGGTACCAGGGCGTCTGTGGTTCCAGATGGGTTGCCAGAGGCCCTGTTTCCTCGAGGTGCTGGTGGCCAGGGCCACCTGGTACCAGGGCGTCTGTGGTTCCAGATGGGTTGCCAGAGGCCCTGTTTCCTCGAGGTGCTGGTGGCCAGGGCTACCTGGTACCAGGGCGTCTGTGGTTCCAGATGGGTTGCCAGAGGCCCTGTTTCCTTGAGGTGCTGGTGGCCAGGGCTACCTGATACCAGGGTGTCTGTGATTCCAGATGGGTTGCCAGAGGCCCTGTTTCCTTGAGGTGCTGGTGGCCAGGGCTACCTGGTACCAGGGCGTCTGTGGTTCCGGGTGGGTTGCCAGAGGTCCTGTGTCCTTGTGGTGTTGCCAGAGGCCCTGTTTCCGTGTGGTGCTGGCAGAGCAGTTAGATCCCCGGAAGCTGCTTGTGCTGCCCAGCAACCTCCTGCATCCACAGCATTCTCTCGAGATAACACTTTCAGGTGTGTTTTTACCTGGAGTTCTGTGTTATGACTTGGGGGTAGCCTGAAATGAGTTTCCTTCAGTCTTTCTTTGACGTTGAAAAGCCATCCATAAGCAGGAGCCGAGATCAGAGTGAGAGGTTTTTGACCCTTCCGCTCTGGAGGAGGCCTTGGGTGAGGCTGTTCACAGAGAAGACAGACACTGGAGAAAACCCAGACAGAGCCTGAGGCAGAGCAGGCAGCTTCCTCCTCCAGCTGGTGCCATCTCTCGCCGCCCAGGATGCACGCCCACAGGCTTCACGCCTTCCCTGCGGTGTGCTGGGCCCAGGCTGGCTGATGGGGGCTTAGGAACCTGTGTGGGCACAGGTGTGGGCACAGGTGTGGGGGTGTGGAGAGCCGGGCCTGGGGGATGGGCTCCGCATGTCTGACCCAGGACATTCCGGCTTCCGCTCAGTTCACGGCGAAGCAGCTGGAGAAGCTGGCCAAGAAGGCGGAGAAGGACTCCAAGGCGGAGCAGGCCAAAGTGAAGAAGGTGAGACCCTGGGGGCTGTGGGGTCATGACTCTCCTGGTTTGTCTTCTGTCCTTTTCTGCCCTTATTTTTGTGTCCTGTTTTGTTTTGATGCCTTTTGGGGAGGGGCAGGGCACTTTCTACATCATGATTTAATCGTCACCTTGAGGTACATATATATATATATTTTGTTTGTTTGTTTGTTTGTTTGTTTGTTTTTTGAGACGGAGTCTTGCTCTGTCGCCCAGGCTGGAGTGCACAGGTGCGATCTCGTCTCACTGCAACCTCCGCCTCCCGGGTTCAAGTGATTCTAGGGCCTTCGCCTCACACGTAGCTGCGATTACAGGCTTGCACCCAGCTAATTTTTTAATTTTTTTGTAGAGATGGGGTTTCGCCATGTTGGCCAGGCCGGTCTCGAACTCTTATCCTCAAGTGACCCACCTGCCTTGGCCTCCAAAAGTGCTGGTATTGCAGGCATGAGCCACTGTGCCCAGCCTAATCCTCACTATGATTTCTGAGCCTCAAAGTATTTGCTTCCCACATAAGACAAACAGGCACTCAGGAAGGGAGGTGCTGTGTGTGGTGCAGCCCAGAATGGTTTCTGTCCCTGCCCTACAGCCCCTGCCAGACCTTCCCAGCCCACTGAGGGCGTCCAGAGCACAGAGATGAGTGCATTGCCTTCATTGTTTTCCTTCTTTGCATTTCCAACATTCTGAACTTGATTTTGCCATCTGCAGGAGGAGGGCTGCTAGCTAGCTGTCTGCCACGATCCTATCTTTTTTTTTTTTGAGATGGAGTCTCGCTGTTGCCCAGGCTGGAGTGCAGAGGTGCGGTCTCGGCTCACTGCAACCTCTGCCTCCTGGGTTCGAGTGATTCTCCTGCCTCAACCTCCTGGGTAGCTGGGATTACAAGCATGCGCCACCACACCTGGCTAATTTTTGTATTTTTAGTAGAGATGGGGTTTCGCCGTGTTGGCCAGGCTGGTGTCAAACTCCTGACCTCAGGTGATCCACCTGCCTCAGCCTCCCAGAGTGCTGGGATTACAGGCATGAGCCACTGGGCCCAGCGGATCCTATCATTTTTAGCTCTCTCCTCCCTACAGAGCTGGTGTCTAGGGCATCAGGGTCTGGGCAGAGTCATGATGCCCCTGCCCCATGGGGTGGGATGGGGCTGGAGGCTTACAGGGGTGCCTCTCCAGGAGGGGTCCCCTCCCCATGATGGACAGGGCAGAAGGAGAGGAGGGATCTAGGCCGGGCGCAGTGATTCACACCTATAATCCCAGCTACTCGGAAGGCTGAGGCGGGAGAATTGCTTGAGCCCAGGAGGTGGAGGTTGCAGTGAGCCGAGATCACACTGCTGCACTCCATCCTGGGCCACAGAGCGAGATTCCATCTCCAAAAAAAGAAAAAAAAGAAAAGAAGGTAGGATCTTGTGCAGCTCTTAAAACTGCGTAATCGGTGAAGTAGGTCCCAGCGTATTGGACTTTGGTAACTCTTCACCCACAGCCAGGCTCCCAGGGAGAATGGAGCTCGGAGAACTGCCTGCCACAGGCTCTGAGTGTCACCCGCTGTGTCCCGTGCCCAGTGGAGTGCTGGAGGGGTGCGGGGGGAAGCAGAAGCCTGCTTGGGGGGCTGGGCTGGGGCCTGGGTGTTTGCATTTTTAGCTCAAACATTTCTGGGGAGAGGCCCGCCCACCGCCTCAACACTGGGCTCCTAGGGCCGGGCGCGGTGGCTCACGCCTGTGATCCCAGCTCTTTGGGAGGCCGAGGCGGGCAGATCACGAGGTCAGGAGATCGAGGCCATCCTGGCTAACACGGTGAAACCCCATCTCTACTAAAAATACAAAAAAATTAGCCAGGCATGGTGGCGGGCGCCTGTAGTCCCAACTACTCGGGAGGCTGAGGCAGGAGAATGGCATGAACCTGGGGGGCGGAGCTTGCGTTGAGTCGAGATCGTGCCACTGCACTCCAGCCTGGGCAACAGAGCAAGACTCCGTCTCAAACAAAACAAAACAAAACAAAACAAAAACTGGGCTCCTAGCAGGGGGCACACACACCACCAAGCTCTTCCAGCTGCTTTCCCCCGCGGGTTTCAGGCCCTTCTGCAGAAAAATGTAGAGTGTGCCCGTGTGTATGCCGAGAACGCCATCCGCAAGAAGAACGAAGGTGTGAACTGGCTTCGGATGGCGTCCCGCGTAGACGCAGTGGCCTCCAAGGTGCAGACAGCTGTGACTATGAAGGGGGTGAGTGCTGGGCCCTGGTGCTGGATGGGTGGCGTTCGCTGGCTGAAGCAGGAATGGGCTCTGCGGTCTGGATCTGGGGCAGCTCAGAGTTGACGGAAGGTGGATCAGCGCGGGGTGGGGAGGTTGAGGGAAGCTGGATCAGCGTGGGGTGGGGAGGTTGAGGGCTGGATCAGCGTGGGGTGGGGAGGTTGAGTTAAGCTGGATCAGCGTGGGGTGGGAAATGCTGGCAGGGACACAGGTGAGGCTGCACCCTGAGCTTGCACTGATGCCCCAGGAAGGACCTCTTGATAAGACTTGGGCTTTTTTTTTTTTAAATATATATTTTTTAGAGACTGTCTTGCTCTGTCACCCAGGCTGGAGTGCAGTGGTGCAGTCACAGCTCACTGCAGCCTCAACCTCCTGGGCTCAAGCAATCCTCCTGCCTCAGCCTCGCAAGTAGCTGAGACCACAGGCATCCACCACCATGCCCGGCTGATCTTTTCATTTTTAAGTAGAGACAGGGTGTCTATGTTGGCCACTCTGGTCTCAACCTCCTGGGCTCAAGCGATCCTCCTGCCTCAGCCTCCCAAGTAGCTGAGACCACAGGCATCCACCACCATGCCCAGCTGATTTTTTTCATTTTTATGTAGAGACAGGGTGTCTATGTTGGCCGCTCTGGTCTCAAACTCCTGGCCTCAAGCAATCTTCCCACCTCGGCCTCCCAAAGTGCTGGAATTATAGGCGTGAACCACTCACTGTCACTGTACCTGGCCAGGCCTCGGTCTTGGCAACTCCCACAAGAGGCAGAGCCTGCATGGCCAGGCTCATCTGCTGGGTCAGGGACGTCACAGCAGAGCCTTGGCTGTTGCAGGCATTTCCTTCACACAGTGCAGGTGGGCCAGGAGGGCACAGCAGTCCTGGAGACCCCACGTCGGCGGCCTTTTCTCCACCGACCCCGCGCTGGGTCCCCACGTCGGCGGCCTTTTCTCCACCGACCCCGCGCTGGGTCTCCACGTCGGCGGCCTTTTCTCCACCGACCCCGCGCTGGGTCTCCACGTCGGCGGCCTTTTCTCCACCGACCCCGCGCTGGGTCTCCACGTCGGCGGCCTTTTCTCCACCGACCCCGCGCTGGGTCTCCACGTCGGCGGCCTTTTCTCCACCGACCCCGCGCTGGGTCTCCACGTCGGCGGCCTTTTCTCCACCGACCCCGCGCTGGGTCTCCACGTCGGCGGCCTTTTCTCCACCGACCCCGCGCTGGGTCCCCACGTCGGCGGCCTTTTCTCCACCGACCCCGCGCTGGGTCCCCACGTCGGCGGCCTTTTCTCCACCGACCCCGCGCTGGGTCCCCACGTCGGCGGCCTTTTCTCCACCGACCCCGCGCTGGGTCCCCACGTCGGCGGCCTTTTCTCCACCGACCCCGCGCTGGGTCCCCACGTCGGCGGCCTTTTCTCCACCGACCCCGCGCTGGGTGTCCACGTCGGCGGCCTTTTCTCCACGGACCCCGCGCTGGGTCTCCACGTCGGCGGCCTTTTCTCCACCGACCCCGCGCTGGGTCCCCACGTCGGCGGCCTTTTCTCCACCGACCCCGCGCTGGGTCTCCACGTCGGCGGCCTTTTCTCCACCGACCCCGCGCTGGGTCCCCACGTCGGCGGCCTTTTCTCCACCGACCCCGCGCTGGGTCCCCACGTCGGCGGCCTTTTCTCCACCGACCCCGCGCTGGGTCCCCACGTCGGCGGCCTTTTCTCCACCGACCCCGCACTGGGTCTCCACGTCGGCGGCCTTTTCTCCACTGACCCCGCACTGGGTCTCCACGTCGGCGGCCTTTTCTCCACTGACCCCGCACTGGGTCTCCATGGCCTTTTCCGTCGAGTTGGTGGTCTTTCCATAGGACCCAGATGATGGCTCAGCCCAGAGTTGGGGTTTTGTGGGTCAGGGTTGGGGTGCCCCAGCTCTCCTGTCAGAGTCCAGGGGACCCGTCCCTGGTGCGTGAGCTCCACTTGCCTTTCATCCTGTTCCCTCCTGCGCTCTCTCCTGTCTCAGGTGACCAAGAATATGGCCCAGGTGACCAAAGCCCTGGACAAGGCCCTGAGCACCATGGACCTGCAGAAGGTCTCCTCAGTGATGGACAGGTTCGAGCAGCAGGTGCAGAACCTGGACGTCCATACATCGGTATGTGGCCCCTACCCTTGGGGCTGTGGCCTGGGGACAAGGAGCGTGTGTGGGCAGCTCATCGGGAGGGGTGGCTCACAGGCTGACGTGCTGTCTCTGCATACCTGTGGTTGCTCCCTGACGTCACCAAGCATCCTCTGTGCTGGGTCCCTGCCAGGACCCTGACAGGTAGGGTGGGCAGGGCGGCGGGGGCCTCCTGCAGGCACCTGGCTCCTTGTGGGGAGGCTCGGATGGCAGACAAGCATGCAGAGGTGTGGAAAGATGTCCACCCGCGGCAGCAGGCATGGCACAGTCAGAGGGTGGGGCTGGGTGGGGGGGCAGGAAAGGCTCCTGGTGGAAGGTGAGACAGAGAGAGTCACTGAGAGAACAGGGCAAGAAGGTGGCTGGCTGTGTGAGGGAACGAAAAGTGCAGTCGTACCCTTGTGAAGCTGAGTGGGGCCCCATGGGCCTGGCCCCACCTGTTGTCCAGAGCATGCCCCTGCCCCCAGGTGATGGAGGACTCCATGAGCTCGGCCACCACCCTGACCACGCCGCAGGAGCAGGTGGACAGCCTCATCATGCAGATCGCCGAGGAGAATGGCCTGGAGGTGCTGGACCAGCTCAGCCAGCTGCCCGAGGGCGCCTCTGCCGTGGGCGAGAGCTCTGTGCGCAGCCAGGAGGACCAGCTGTCACGGAGGTAGGGTCGGTCCCCGAAACGCTGTGTCACCAACCCCACGCTCTGGTGCTGTGGGAAGGGAGAGAGGGTTGTGGGTTAGAGGCTGGAGGAGAGCTTGGGCTGAGGCTCCGACCAGGGAGCCCTGATCTCGACTCAGAGGCCCCAGCTGCAGCCGCCCCCAAGCGAGCCGCCCTGCTGCTGCCCCGTCCTGCTCCGGCTGGCGTGGGGGCTTGAGTGTGTGTCAGGCATGGCGTTTACACACGTCTGCAGTACACTTTAGAATACTGCACCCTTCCTAACAGATCAGGTAAGAGTGGGACAGGGCATGTCTGTTTCCAAGGCCTGTCACTCATGTTATCTCAGGACACTGAGGAGGAAAAGGGTCACCTGTGCTGGGAGCACGTGGTGGTCAGAGGCCCCCTTCCCCTGCCCTGACCCGAGTCCTGTTGTTGGTTTCCAGGTTGGCCGCCTTGAGGAACTAGCCGTGCCCCGCCGGTGTGCACCGCCTCTGCCCCGTGATGTGCTGGAAGGCTCCTGTCCTCTCCCCACCGCGTCTTGCCTTTGTGCTGACCCCGCGGGGCTGCGGCCGGCAGCCACTCTGCGTCTCTCACCTGCCAGGCCTGCGTGGCCTTAGGGTTGTTCCTGTTCTTTTAGGTTGGGCGGTGGGTCTGTGTCCTGGTGTTGAGTTTCTGCAAATTTCTGGGGGTGATTTCTGTGACTCTGGGCCCACAGCGGGGAGGCCAAGAGGGGCCCTGTGGACTTTCACCCAGCACTGTGGGGGCCTTCAGACTCTGGGGCAGCAGACATGCTGCTTCCCATCAGCCAGAGGGGGTCAGGGCTGCCCTGTTGCCAAACAACTCCCTGAGGCCTCTCCGCACCACCTCAGCGGGCAGGAGGTCCCACCATGTGGACAGACATAGCCCAAGGAGGCACCACAGGTCTATGTGTGCTGGGGGATGTCAGGTGCCACCCAACGCTGTCCTGGTGGTATTTACAATGACATCCTCCTCCTCCATCACTCCAGGGGTGGTGTCTCGGCCGCCCCTACCAGCTGGCTGAGCCCCCTGGCCTCCTGCGCTCCCTCACTTCCCTCAGTTCCCAAAGCTGCCCAGTCCATGGGGACAGAACCGTCACTCAGATCCACATTCAAGTGTGCCCACCCTGCAGTCTTCATCCTCACTCAGCTGCTGCCTCTGGAGGTGCCTTTGGCCACATGTGCTGTGCTGTTTGTCTCCTCGACAGGGAGCCTGTCCACCAGCAGGCTGCGGTCCCAGCGGGTGCGTCTGCAGCTCCTCCCCTTGGGCAGCCTGGTTCTCCCGGAGGACCTTTCCTTGGGGCCCTGCTTCATGACGATGCTGCCTGTGTCACCCTCTACCATCTGTAAACAACTGGGTGCCTTCCCCGACCACACCCCAATGCCTTCCCAGCTTGGAAGCCAAGGCAGCTGATGAAGGGAGCTCAGGAGAGCCGTCTTCAGCTGGGCTGGGGTTGGGGCTGCTGTGAGGAAAACCTGCCATTGTGGCCCTGGAGAGTCACCAGCAGCTCTTGGGAAGGACTTGCTGGGAGGCTGAGAGAGGCTTTGGGCACAGCCTGCTGTCTTTTCCATTTCCTAAAGTTTACTTCATTGTCTTGAGGCTTCCAGGTTTTGTTTTTGTTTTTGCCAAAGTAGAAAAGGCAGGTGGTGGGCGGCTGGCAGGGAGTGCGGGTCCCCGCCCCTCTTCAGTCCTGCCCTCCCCTCCTCAGTCCTGCCCACCCCGTGCAGCCCATGCTGAGGCTGCAGTGGTGTCGTGGGTGTTACGTGCAGGAACGTGGAGACCCTGACGTGGGCTCACTGCGTTTGGTTTTCTTTTCAGAACTTGGGAGCCCCCAGGGAGGGGCTAGTGTTGGTAGGTCCTAGACGTGGTTCCCTCCAGCCTCCCCAAAATCAACCCTGGTGTTGAGAGAACGTCCTTCTGTCCATCGTGGGTAACAGCCTTGGGGAGGGTGCAGAGCTCTGCAGAGCCATGGGCCAGGTGGGGCTGCCTCAGTCCTGTCCCCTTGGGCACTGAGGAGAGGGGCCCATTCACCTTTCTCCTAGAATGCTGTTGTAAATAAACAAATGGATCCCTGGAAACTTTCTCAAGCTTTGCTTTGGAGCCTTGGGTGAGCCCCTGGATGTGGCCATCTCCCCCAAGCTGAGGAGGGGTTCCTGGAGTGTTCACTGCTAGGGGCTGGGCAGATGGCTATGCTCATTCTCGGGCCCCATCCAAACCGACAATCTCCCATGTTCAGTTCTCTGCTTACTTTGAAATAATTTAAAACTTGCCTAACAGTTGCACAGTACATGGTCTCTGTGCACCTCGGCCAAACCAGGATGCTTGCTGGGCACCGTGGTCCCCCTGAGCCTCTGGTCTGATGGGCACTGTGGTGCTCCTGACGGTCTCTGGTCTGACGTCCCTGCTGCACGTCCTTGTGCTGCCGCCTCCAATCTGGGAGGGTTCCCCGGTTTTCTTCATGACCTGAATGGTTTGAAACCTGCTGGCTGCTATTTTGCAGAATGCTCCTCAGCTTGGGGGGGTGCGGTTTTCCCACGATGCACTGGGGTCTTCATGACTGCTCGGTGGCAGGGGCGTGGTGTCCCTGTGTCTCGGTGCTGGTGACTTTGTGACCTTCACCACTGGGTGCAGTGGCATCTCCAGGCTTCTCCACTGTGAAGTTAGCATTTTCCCTTTTTATTATTTTTGAGACAGAGTCTTGCTCTGTTGCCCACGCTAGAGTGCAGTGGCACCATCTTGGCTCACTGCAACCTCTGCCTCCCGGTTTCAAGCGATTCTCCTGCCTCAGCCTCCTGAGTAGCTGGGACTACGGGCGCCCACCACCACACCTGGCTATTTTTTCTATTTTTAGTAGAGATGGGGTTTTGCCATGTTGGCCAGGCTGGTCTTGATCTCCTGCCCTCTGGTGATCCCTCTGCCTCAGCCTCCCAAAGTGCTGGGATTACAGGCGTGAGCACCTGTGCCTGGCCGTATTTTCCCTTTTTAATTCATGTGCCTCGTGGGAAGATTGTTGAAGACTGTGCAAACCTCGACCCACTTTGCCCTGAGTGTCAGTGTCCATCGACACAAATGAAATCACTGGTTCTATTGGGATTCTAGGGAGGACCCCTCCCCACTCCATTATTTCTATCAGTCTGGACCTGTTTGTTTATTGCGTGGGCTACAATGGTTGCTGTTGCTGACTTTGTGGCTCAGGTGGTGTCGTCTTGAGGGCATTTAGGTCAGCTTTCCATCCACCCTGGCAGTCTTTGAGCACGGCCTGACTCCCAGCACTGCAGGAGGCTCTGGCTTATCTTGGTCTCTCCCTGCCCCAGCCCTGGAAGCAGCCCTTTCTCCAGGAAGCTCCAATTCCTTCGAGTGGGGAATGGTATTTAGAAAACCAGGATCTGGAGGCTGGGCGTGGTGGCTCACGCCTGTAATCCCAGCACTCCAGGAGGTAAGGCAGGAGGGTCCCTTGAGCTCAGGAGTTGGAGACCAGCTTAGGCAACATAGTGAGACCCCCATCTCTACAAAAAATAAAATCAGCCAGGCATGATGGCATGCCCCTGTGGTCCCAGTCACTTGGGAGGCTGGGAGGTTGAGGCTACAGTGAGTTAGGATGACACCACCGCACGCCAGCCTGGGTGAGAAAGTGAGACCCTGTCTCAAAAAAACCAACCAGAAAACCAAGACCTGGGTACAAACCGTGGGCCTCAGTGCTGTGTGCCGCTGGCCAAGAGGCGTCTGCAGCCGCCATGGTGCACAGTGGTACACCCCTCTGCGTGCCCTGGAGCCACAGGTGCACACCGTTCCGTACGATTCGGTCCAGCCTCCCCTCGTTTGTAGCTTCTCTGAAAATTTGGCTTTGGCACACTGCCTTTCTGCTCATTTGTGCACAAATGAATTTCAGAATTGCCACCCACACTCCTGTGAGGGCCCCTAGCTAAAGAACAGCTCCGGGCCAGTGCAGTGGCTCACGCCTGTAATCCCAGCACTTTGGGAGGCCGAGGCGGGTGGATCACCTGAGGTCGGGAGTTCGAGACCAGCCTGACCAACACGGAGAAACCCCGTCTCTACTAAAAATATAAAATTAGCCAGGCGTGGTGGTGCATGCCTGTAATACCAACTACTCAGGAGGCTGAGGCAGGAGAATCGTTTGAACCCAAGAGTCGGAGGTTGCGGTGAGCTGAGATAGCACCACTCCAGCCTGGGCAACAAGAGTGAAACTGTCTCAAAACAAAAAACAAAAAATGCTCTAAGCACTGCCCCCACCCTTTCACAGTGGCTATTACATGGTAGAGCCACTGTTTTTAATTCCAGTAGTAATTAAGGTGCCGCCATCCTGATAGGTCTTCATTATTTTTTGGGGGTGAAGCGTCACTGTGGATGTGGATGTAGAGTGGGAGGGGTTGCGTCCCTCCCCTCAGCTCCAGCCACAGAGCCAGCCCCGTCGCTCCCTGGCACGCCTCCCACATCCTCACGGTCCACAAAGCTCGGGGGGCTTCCCAGAGAGAGAGGGCCCAGAGGGGTGGAGCTTGGGGTCTGCCTGCACCCCAGGATGGGGGTCTGCACCATGGGGAGGCCCCAGCCCCCTCACCCACCTCCATGTCACCTCTTGCCGGAATTCCCAGCTCTCTAGGGTTGGGTGCGCTCCTTCCCAACCTCCTCTGGAAAGGTCTGTTTCCAGCCTGAGGCTGGAACTCAGGATGCGTGAACAATGACCGGCTCGTGGGAAGGACTCTGGGAAGCAGGTGCATTCCTGGGATGCCAGTTAAGGTGCCGTCTTTCTGGACACTTTGGTGTGAATTTAATGCAGTTAGGATTATTTTCAGACTAGGATTAAAGCTCTTCTCATGAGAAAATACTTGTGGGCGGCAAGCCACCCAGGTGCCAAGGCAAGAGACCGAGGGCGTGAGATGCTCCAGTATAATAAAAAAAAATATAAGAATAGTTATACTAGAAATAGATTATAGATAATATATGTTACTAATCATCAGTTTGTGGCATTACTCTTTATTCCAATATT
Organism: Homo sapiens; assembly: GCF_000001405.40. Classification (NCBI taxonomy): domain Eukaryota; kingdom Metazoa; phylum Chordata; class Mammalia; order Primates; family Hominidae; genus Homo; species Homo sapiens. The sequence continues at coordinate 89,641,507 of NC_000016.10, read as the reverse complement.
ATAATAATCCTTGCTCTACAATTATAACCTAGGACAAACCAGGCCATACAGAGACAGGAGCTGAAGGGGCACCGTGAGAAGCGACCACAAGATGAGCGTGAGCCCCCGTTACGCCCGGACAGGGCCACTAGAGGGCTCCTTGGTCTAGCGGTCACGTCAGTGCCTGGGGAAGGCACCCGTTACTTAGCAGAGCCGGAAAGGGAATCTCCCTTTCCCCGGGGGCGCGTTAGAAAAGACTCTGCTCCACCATCTCTTGTGGAAGATCTGACATCAGTCAACCCCCCCCCGCAGCCCTCCGGAGGCCTAACCGTCTCCCTGTGATGCTGTGTTTCAGCGGTCACGCTCCCAGTCCGCCTTCATGTTCCACCCAGTACGCCTGGCTCTGCCTTCTAGACAGCAGTAGCAGAATTAGTGAAAGTACTAAAGTCTTTGAAATGCATAGAAGAAATAATGGCGTAAGCTGTCCTCTCTCTCTCTCCGCCTCGGCTGCCAAACAGGGAAGGGCCCCCTGTCCAGTGGACACGTGACTCGCGTGACCTTATCAATCACTGGAGATGGCTCACACTCCTGACCCTGCCCCTTTTGCCTCGTATCCAATAAATAACAGTGCAGCCAGGCATTCGGGGCCACTACCGGTCTCCGCGTCCAGGTGGTAGTGGTCCCCTGGGCCCAGCTGTCTTTTCTTCTCTTTGTCTTGTGTCTTTATTTCTATGATCGCTCGTCTCCGTACACGAGGAGAAAAACCTACAGACCCTGTAGGACCCTACAAATACTGTTAATAAAATTAGGCCTAATACCCTTGCAGCCCACCAGGGACCCCCCGAGTCTCCAATCCCAGACGGAAAACGCCAGGCTGGGAGGGGAACAGACAGGATGATTATTGATAAGTGGATCCTGGATGATCAGCAGCCAGGCTGGGAGGGGAACAGACAGAACGATTATTGATAAGTGCATCCTGGAAGATCAGGACGCGTCCCTTCTGGAGGCTTCAGAGCCGCCTGCAGGGGCTGCTGCTCCATGGAAGGGCATGGACCCCGGAGCCCCCTGCTCCTCGACTCAGGGCCTCCAGCCAAGGCTTGGCTAGTGGGTAGTGAAGCCTCCCAGCAGCTCCCAGGGACCCTGCCTGCACCTCCGATGCTGTGGCCACCTCCACCCAGCCTTCTCCCTGCCAAGTCAGATCTGGAAGTGACCTGGGCCCAGTGGCTTCCCACTTCCTAACGGAAGCTGAGGGAGAACTACAGAGCCTGTGGGGGCTGTGAGGGCAGTCCCCTCACCCCCAGGGCCCTCCAGGGTGGGGCAGCAGCAGCGTGGGGGGTCCTGTCCTGCCCTGTGTGCATCTCAAGACGAACCCTTGGAGGCCCATATGGGAAGGCACTGAGCCCCAAGCTCCACCTAGGAGGACCTGGTGCTGGGCAGCTCACGCCTGGACCACGTCTGTCCCTGTGGTCGGCCTGGTTCTGCTGCCCACAGTGGGAGGGAGCCTGGGGGCCACGCCGATGCAGACCCTGCCTCCCCATTTACCAAAAGAGGCTGGGCTGGGCGCAGCAGCTCACGCCTGTAATCCCAGCACTTTGGGAGGCTGAGTGGGCGGATCACCTGAGGTCGGGGTTGGAAACCAGCCTGGCCAACATGGTGAAACCTCGTCTCTACTAAAATTAGCTGGGTGTGGTGGCGCACATCTGTAATCCCAGCTACTCAGGAGGCCGAGACAGGAGAATTACTTGAACCTGGGAGACGGAGGTTGCAGTGAGCTGAAATCATGCCACTGCACTCCAGCCTGGGTGACGGAGCGAGATTCCATCTCAAAAAAATGCTGGATGAAGAGAGTGGTTCTGCCAGTGCAGGTTCCTGGGCCCTTAGCCATGTTTACAGAATCAGAATGAGCAGGTGCAGGGGGTGTGCGTGCAGGGGTGGGGTTGCTCGTGCAGGGTTGTGGGGTGTGTGCAGGGTGTGGGGTGTGTGTGTGTGCAGAGGTGGGGGTGTGTGTGCAAGGATGAGGGTGTGTGCAGGGGTGGGATGTGAATGTGCAGGGGTGTGCGTGTGCAGGGGTGGGGTGTGCACAGGGTTGTGTGTGTGCAGGGGTGGTGTGTAGGGGTGGGGGTGTGTGCAGGGGTGGGGGTGTGTGCAGGGGTGGGGTGTGTGCAGGGGTGAGGTGTGTGCAGGGGTGGGGTATGTGAGCAGGGATGGGTTGTGTGTGCAGGGGTGGGGTGTGCAGGGGTGGGGTGTGTGCGTGCAGGGGTGGGGGTGTGTGTGCAGGGGTGCGGTGTGTGCGTGCAGGGGTGCGGTGTGTGCGTGCAGGGGTGGGGGTGTGTGCAGGGGTGGGGTGTGTGTGCGTGCAGGGATGGGGTGTGTGTGTGCAAGGATGAGGGTGTGTGCAGGGGTGGGATGTGAATGTGCAGGGGTGGGGGTGTGTGTGTGCAGGAATGGGGTGTGTGTGTGCAGGGGTGCGGTGGGTGTGTGCGTGCAGGGGTGGGGGGTGTGTGCGTGCAGGGGTGCGGTGTGTGTGTGTGTGCAGGGGTGGGGTGTGTGTGTGCAGGGGTGCGGTGTGTGTGTGTGCAGGGGTGGGGTATGTGTGTGTGTGCAGGGGTGCGGTGTGTGTGTGTGTGCAGGGGTGGGGTGTGTGTGTGTGCAGGGGTGGGGTGTGTGTGTGTGTGCAGGGGTGGGGTATGTGTGTGTGTGCAGGGGTGGGGTGTGTGTGTGCAGGGGTGGGGGGTGTGCGTGCAGGGGTGGGGTGTGTGCGTGCAGGGATGGGGTGTGTGTGTGTGCAGGGGTGCGGTGTGTGTGTGTGCAGGGGTGCGGTGTGTGTGTGTGTGTGCAGGGGTGGGGTGTGTGTGTGTGTGCAGGGGTGGGGTGTGTGCACCGGTGCATGGCTGGAGGTGACTACTGGAGCCTAGACTGTCCCTAAAGACGCTCAAGCAGTGTCTCTACAAAGCCCTTTTCACACCTCCTGAGCCCTTCTGGCCTGGACCGAAGACTCGATCCAGGATCACAGGAGTGCCCCACGTCCAACCAGGAGCCATTTTCACAAAACACCCCACCTCCTGAGCCGGATGCCGATGACACGTACCCCAGGATGTGAAGGGGTGTTGCTTTTATTGCGGGCCTACTGTGTGTGTGTCCTGAACTGTCCCCAGGCATCCTGCCCCCCAGGTAAGCCCAGGCGTCCTCTCAGGAGATGCTGGTCCTTGCATGTGGGCAGCAGGGCTCCTGGCATCTGGAGTCCTGGGATGGGCGGGTCTTCCCGGAGCTCCGGGAACCCTAAAGGGGACTCTGGTCTCCCAGGTTTCACAGGAGAGACAGACAGAGGACCAGGGGAGCGAGGGAGGCCAGCAGGAGCCCCCAGTGGCGATGGAGGCTGGAAGCCCCAGAGGAGTAGCCGTAATGGGTCCTGCAGGAGCCACCCAGCTGGTCCAGCGGGATGGGCTCCTCCTCGGGAGCCTGTGTGAGGTTGCTGGCCTGGGGACAGACAGACACGGGTGGGGCAGCCTGCCTGCTGGTGGTGGTGGGGGAGACTCAGGTGGCCACCCCATCCTCACCTGTTCCACAGCCTCGAAGACCCTCAGCAGGTTGTCAGCCAGTGCGCCCTTGACCTCCGCCTCCGTCCAGTTCCTCCTGAGCAGCTCAGCGATCAGGTCTGGATACTTGGAGACGTCCTCCAGCCCCTCAGGGACCCTGTGTTGAGGCCAGGAGAACCTGGGCCCCCACACTAGGACACAGGTCCCTCCTCCAGCCACCTCATCCCTCTGACGAGGCCATGAACCTCCCGGCTCATCCACAGGACAGAGCTCTCAGCCCCTTACCTTGGAACACCATCAAAGTCCCCACCAAAACCCACGGCTCTGGCTCCTGCCACCTCCTTGATGTGATCCAGATGGTCTGTCCAGGGAGCAGCAGGTATGGGTCCCGAGTGAGGCCCTCCCCCTTCGGCCCCCTTGGCCGCTCACACCCCACCTACCGGCCACTTGGGACAGGTTGGCCTTGTTGGTGCAGGAAATGTAATTGTTGTAGAAGTTCACCATCACCAGGCTGTCTGTCTGTTTCTGCACAAGAAGGAAGACAGGGTGAAGCTGAGAGCTGGGAGGGCCTGCCCAGGGAGGCGGGGTGGAGGTCGCCCCCTCGGCCCTCACCACCAGCCTCAGGACGTCGTCAGGCACGTTGCGCCGGCTTGCGCACACGCTGTAGGCCGAGGAGTGGCTGAAGATGACCGGGGCTCTGGACAGCTGCAGGGTGGCCTTCATGGTGGCCACAGACACGTGAGCCAAGTCGATGAGGACCCCCAGACGGTTCAGCTCCTTCACCACACGCTGGGAAGACAGGGCTCCGTCCACCCTCACAGCCCCCAGGGTCGGGGCTGCGGAGGTGGACGGGCTGGACCAGATGTGAGTCATCATCCTTCGTGGCTGGAAGTCCGGGGCCACTCAGGGCTCAGCACCCACCCTGGGGGGATGGCTGCCAGCTCCATTTTACAGACAAGGACACTGAGGTCCCACGTGAGGAGATGCATTGTTCTGGTCACCCTCCAGGGCCTCTGCCTTCTCCTCGGGGGTGACTGGCCGCTCCCACCCCACTCACCTGCCCAAAGGGTGACAAGCCTTGGCTCTGGGGCTCGCTGTCTCCCGTGTCCACCAGCCAGTTGTCAGCCCTGGAGAAGCAAAAGGCAGGTGCCCAAGAGGTGAGCGGTGGTCTCGGCCTCCCATCAGCCCAGCAGGCGAGGCCCGGCCTGGGACTCACAGGCAGAGGGGATGGGCTCTGGAGGGTGGCAGGGAGTGTCTGCCCCCTCCCTCCTGACCACAGCCCGGGGGCCTCCCATGGGGAGTCACGCACCAGGGCGTGTTGCAGCTGTGGGTGAGGGTCAGGTACCGCATGCCCAGCTGATAGAGTGCCCGCAGGACGCCCAAACTGCTGTCAATGGAGTGGCCGCCCTCCACGCCGATCAGGCTGGCCACCTTCCCTTCCCGGAAGGCCTGCCGAATGCCTGCGGGGAGAGTCAGGGTGCAGGGGAGTGGGCACCTGGTATCTGGAGGGTGAGGTGTCCTGACCGGCACCTGCTGCTCAGGATGAGGGCTGGGTGAGAAGACGCAGGACCTGGAGGACCCAGGTCAGGACCCCACCTGCACTGCTGGTGACATACAGGAAGGTCTCCGGGTACATCCGGCACATGCGGTGGACCACGTCCATCTGCTCCAGCGTCCTCCGCACGGCGTCTTTGTTCTGGGTGTCGCAGGGCGTGTACACGGACCAGAACTGTGGGCCGCAGGGGGTGCCAGGAGCTGATGCAGCCAGGTCTCAGCCCACCCCCCGCATGCCTGTGGGAGTCTGGTTTCCCACCCGCTGGGAAGCCCTCCCTCGGCCTGGGCACCGAGGGACCCTGGAGGAACACCACAGGGATGGTCCCACTGTAGCCAGGCCTGAGGTAGGAGACGGGATGACCCCACACAGGGCAAGCACAAGGCAGGGCAGGCGGTACCTGGCCTCCCACAAAGCCGGCCCTCAGCTTGGGGATGTTGGTGTGTGTGCCGGCCAAGGTGGTCAGGTTGGCCCTCTCGTCCTGCAGCCGGTTGTTGAACATATCCAGCAGCTGCCAGGGGAGGTCATTGTGCCTGGAGTTTGCCGGGGAGAGGCCAGGCAGTCAGGGCGGCCACTGGGACCTGGGGGCTTCCGAGCTCCTGGCCTCTGGGCTGCTCTCCCCACTTCCTACTCCTCACGACAGACGCAGGACTGAAGTCTAGGCCGCGGGGGTGACATATCACCGGCCACCTGAACACACCTGTGCAGGCTGCATTTCCCAACTGTGCCCACCCCCAGGGCAGGGAACCCCGAGCCAGGAGCTCAGGGAGCTGGGTAGCCCATCCCTTCCAGGGCCTTTTTCTGTGGAGGAGGCTGGGGGGCAGACACATTGTCTGAGGGTGGGACACAAGGAGCCAAATGACCTCAGTGGACAGGATTGGAGACGTGAGGGGCAAGGGCCTGGGGGTGATACTGTTTCTGAGAGTTTTCAGTTTAAAGATCAAATTGCCTCTTGGGGAATATGGTGGGTGGCTGGGTAATTGGAACGGCCTGACCTTGGGGGGCCTGGGACCCCCATCCTCCTGGGGAGCAGGGTGTCGAGTACAGGCTTTGGGGGCTACCCAGGCCTCTCTGCTGCCTCTGTCCCCAGGGAAGAGCCCTGCACCCAAACTCCAATCAGATCCTTCTAAACTTCCAAAGGACTGAAGTTCTCCAAGGTTTTCCCAGGAGCTGGTGGTGGTGAGGGTAGGAGCTCTCGTGAGGAAAAATGAGAAGGAAGGGGAAAGGAGAAGGAAGGGGAAAGGAGAAGGAAGGGGAAAGGAGAAGGAAGGGAAAGGGAAGGAAGGGGAAAGGAGAAGGAAGGGAAAGGAGAAGGAAGGGAAAGGAGAAGGAAGGGAAAGGAGAAGGAAGGGAAAGGAGAAGGAAGGGAAAGGAGAAGGAAGGGAAAGGAGAAGGAAGGGAAAGGGAAGGAAGGGGAAAGGAGAAGGAAGGGAAAGGAGAAGGAAGGGAAAGGAGAAGGAAGGGAAAGGAGAAGGAAGGGAAAGGAGAAGGAAGGGAAAGGAGAAGGAAGGGAAAGGGAAGGAAGGGGAAAGGGAAGGAAGGGAAAGGAGAAGGAAGGGAAAGGGAAGGAAGGGAAAGGAGAAGGAAGGGAAAGGAGAAGGAAGGGAAAGGAGAAGGAAGGGGAAAGGGAAGGAAGGGGAAAGGAGAAGGAAGGGAAAGGAGAAGGAAGGGAAAGGAGAAGGAAGGGAAAGGAGAAGGAAGGGGAAAGGAGAAGGAAGGGAAAGGGAAGGAAGGGAAAGGGAAGGAAGGGAAAGGAGAAGGAAGGGGAAAGGGAAGGAAGGGGAAAGGGAAGGAAGGGAAAGGGAAGGAAGGGAAAGGAGAAGGAAGGGGAAAGGAGAAGGAAGGGAAAGGAGAAGGAAGGGGAAAGGAGAAGGAAGGGAAAGGAGAAGGAAGGGGAAAGGAGAAGGAAGGGGAACGCAGAGGAAGGGGGAGCTGGGGCTGTCAGAGCTGGTGGCTGAGTGAGGATCCCAGAGGGTCCGAATCCAGCTGCCCAACAGGGCCTGGCAGAGACCAGGAGCAAAGGGAATCCACTGTCGTTAGGAATGCAATTCTCAGGCCAGGCAGGGTGGCTCATGCCTGTAATCCCAGCACTTTGGGAGGCCGAGGTGGGCAGATCACAAGGTCAGGAGATCGAGATCATCCTGGCTAACATGGTGAAACCCCGTCTCTACTAAAAATACAAAAATTAGCCGGGAGTGGTGGCGGGTGCCTGTAGTCCCAGCTACTCAAGAGGCTGAGGCAGGACAATGGCAGGAACCCAGGAGGCAGAGCTTGCAGTGAGCCGAGATCGCACCACTGCACTCCAGCCTGGGCGACAGAGCGAGACTCCCTCCAAAAAAAAAAAAAAAAGAAGAAGAGAAGAGAAAAGAAAAATAGAAATGCAGCTCTAAGGGGCCCAGGGCAGGCTCTAGGCTACGATCTCATCTGTGTTTCAACCAGGCTGTGAGGAGGATGGGAAGGGGCTGAGGCCTGACCCCCGACCCTGGGGAATGCCCAGGGTTCCCCTTCCCCGTCACTGGGTCTGGGGCCTCAGTCTCCTTCCTGTAATGTGGGCTGTGCCCCTGTCTCGGGGGGACTGCCTTGTGAGGGTGTGCGCTGGGATGAGGCCACAGGGGCCCCTCCACTTGCAGTTTCCAGACCCATCCCTGTGCCTCAGTTTCCCCATCTGTAACATGAGGGTGTCTTGGTGCCTTCCTTGGAGGACAGCTCCCTCTGTGTCTCAGTTTCCCCATCTGTAACATGAGGGTGTTTTGGTGCTCTCCTTGAGGACAGCTCCCTCTGTGTCTCAGTTTCCCCATCTGTAACATGAGGGTGTCTTGGTGCTTTCCTTGGAGGGCAGCTGGGAGAGGCAGATGAGTAACTGTTAATCATTTCCAGCTGCGGGCTCTGCTTTCTGTGACCCAGCTCAAATCTATGTGCCCGCAATGAGCTTTTCCAAGGCGAATGCACCCATGGAGCTCCTCAGGGGAAAGAAGGGGAGGGCTCTGCCCTTCCTGGGTCCCAGTCGTTCCTGACCTCCCCTGGGCTAGTGCCCCCAAGCCCAGCCTGGCACGCTTTCCGGCCCCACCCCTGGGCAGATGGGCGGGCGCACGCCTGATGCTGGTGTGAGTCTCTCCCAAAGCTCCTGCGTCAGCGAGGTTGTCCCTGGCCACAGCGAGTCCACATGACAGCCTGGGCTGGCACGGGCCTCTCCCCAGCCCTCGGAGCAGAGTGGGTGGTCAGGACGCACTTGCTGAGGGAACCATGAGCTCCAGCCAGGGACCCTGCCCGGGCAGCAGCCTCATCGCTAGGTGCAACCCTACACTGGGCACTGTCCTGGGTGGGGCTGGGCAGGGCTCCCAGGAGACTTTACTCCTTGGCCTGAGGACGCAGGCGGCCCATCTCAGACATTAGCCTGGGATGGGTAGGGATTCCTAGGACCCCAGGAGCCGCCCTTGGAGGGACAGGCTGCAATGGGGCAGCTCTCTGCTCTCCCCTCCCTCCTCCTCCTGCAGCCCCTCCTTTCTTTTTTCTTTTTGAGACAGGGTCTCACTCTGTTGCCCAGGCTGGAGGGCAGGGGTGCAATCACAGCTCACTGCAGCCCCCAACCTTCTGGGTTCAAGCAGTCCTCCCACCTCGGTCTCCCAAAGTGCTGGGACCACACCTGTGAGCCACTGTGCCCCGCCAGCCCTCTCCACTCTTGCTGGAGAAAACGATGGGAAGGTGGGGCCTCTGGTTTCTCAGTGGGAGGGAGGCCCTGCCTGCCTCATGGCCAGGGCAAATGGCAGTTCTGCTAATCAGACCCACCCTCCTTATCTGTGCAGCTGGGGCAATGCCCTTAGCTGGGATATGGAAGCCGGCGTCCTGCTCCAAGGAGTGCTGGAAAGTGCTGGAAAAGCGGCAAGCACACACTCAGGCAGCTGTTCGTGGGGAGACTGCTGGCTGCCCCCGGGATCCATTCTCCTCCTTTTCCTTTGTGACTTTAAAACCCCCCGTTTTTAGCGGGCACACAGCCATTTGGGTTGAAGATACTTCCTGCCCCTGTGTCGCTGGCGGTGGCCAAGGGATGAAGGTGGGTCCCGTAACAGCTTCTAACAACTGTGACCCCCGGCCGGGCGCGGTGGCTCACGCCTGGAATCCCAGCACTGTGGGAGGCCGAGGCGGGCGGATCACCTGAGGTCAGGAGTTCGAGACCAGCCTGGCCAACATGGTGAAACCCTGTCTCTACTAAAAATACCAAAAAAATTAGCCGGGCTTGGTGGCGGGCGCCTGTAATCCCAGCTACTCAGGAGGCTGAGGCAGGAGAATTGCTTAAATCCAGGAGGCAGAGGTTGCAGCGAGCTGAGATCACGCCACTGCACTCCAGCCTGGGTGACAGGTGACAGAGTGAGACTCTGTCTCAAAACAAAACAAAACAAAAACCTGACCCTGACAGTCACCTGCTGCTTGTCCTTTTTCCCTTCTTTATGTCTCCCTCCTCCCTGCTGGCCAGCATACAGATGTGAGGGCTGAAGCTGGCATGGCCATTTTAAACCATGAGGATGCAGGGACCACCCTCTGCTCCCTTTCTGCAGCTGCCTCTGCTCTCTTAAGTTTTTTTAATTTGAGATGGAGTCTCACTCTGTTGCCCAGGCTGAAGTACAGTGGCCCGATATTGGGTCACTCTAGCCTCCGCCTCCCGAGTTCAAGTGATTCTCCTGCCTCAGCCTCCTGAGTATCTGGGACTACAGGCATGCGCCACCATGCCTGGCTAATTTTTTGTATTTTTAGTAGAGACAGGGTTTCGCCATGTTGGCCAGGCTGGTCTTGAGCTCCTGACCTCAGGTGATCCGCCCGCCTCGGCCTCCCAAAGTGCTGGGATTACAGGCGTGAACTGCCCAGCCTGGACTGTTCCCTGAAGTTCTTATGCGACAAGACATCGGGTTTCCCTGCTTTTTTCACAGTTTTTCCCCAACAAAGCCCAGAGGCATTTTCCAGGTGGAGACACCATGCCAGACACAGGGCGGACTCTCAGTGACCCTCCCACCCCAACGCGGAGCCAGTGTGGACCCTGATCTGAGTCTGGTGCCTGGAAGCAGGAGGCCTCCATGGTGACCCAGTGTCGGGGCACTGGGCCAGGAAGGGGCGGGGAAGAGGGTCGGATTCCCGGGCAGTGGGGATCTCCGCCCTGAGGAGGTCAGGACAGAAGCAGGTGACCCAGGTGCCCCAGCGAGGTCGGGGGTGGGGGCCGGGTGGGCACACAGCGCAGCACAGGCAAGGGCCCAAGTGGCATGGGCCTCCCCCCGGGAGAAGGCAGGCCGGGGGGAGTGGGAAGAGAGCCAAAAAGATGCCGGCTGAGAGGGCCTGTAGGGTGCCACCCGCACCTGCTGCTTTTGGGAGAAGCTGAGGCACAGGGTGAGATTGGGGCGCAGGGCCTCCACGTCCGCAGGCTCAGACCTCACTCTGAGCTTCGGGACCAGGGAGTGTGGCCTTGCCTCCTTCCTGCCCAGTCCCTGCAGACCTTCATCCGCTGAAGTCTTTGGGGGCCCTGAGAGACCCCACAAAGCAGCAGGGGCCAGGAAAGGGCAAGGGCCCGGCACCGTCGCAGAAGCTGAAACTGAGCCCCAACCCAAGGGCACACGAGTCTCACCCCCAGAGAAACTGAGCCCCAAGCCAAGCACACACGAGTCTCACCCCCAGCTCCCCCAGCCCCAACTCCCCAGGCCAAACTCCCCCAGCCCCGGCACCCCCAGCCCCGGCACCCCCAGCCCCGGCTCCCCCAGCCCCGGCACCCCCAGCCCCGGCACCCCCAACCCCGGCTCCCCCAGCCCCGGCACCCCCAGCCCCGGCACCCCCAGCCCTGGCTCCCCCAGCCCCGCTCCCCCAGCCCCGGCTCCCCCAGCCCCGCTCTCCCAGCCCCAGTTCCCAGTCCTGGTTCCCTAAGCACCTGGCTCAGGTGAGCACTCACCCATCAATGACAGGGGAGTCCCTCATGATCCTCTCTGCCTCGTCCCGAAAGAAGTCTGCAGTGCAGACGGCCACAAGGGGCCACAGCCACCATCCGCTCCACATGGTGGGGTCCCCGGGGACCTGTGTGCACTGCTGCCCTGGTGCCTCTGTGCTGGCCTGGCTGGCCCGTGCAGAAGGATGAGCTTCAGGCTGTGAGGAGCCACTCTGCCTGCCAGGAGAGGCACCAGAGGTGTGGGTGGAAGTGATGACAGGTGGCTGCTCTCCTGTTTATAGCTTCCCATGTTCAATAAGTAACCAGCACATTCCCCACCAGGGTGGGTAGGATGGAAGGCCGGACACTCAATGACTGGGCGTTGCTGTCTGGGCTAGGCGGAGGCATAGTAAGAAGCTGGGATCCCAGACCCAGGGGTGGAGCTAGAGCCCAGATGAAAGGACAGCAGGCTGAGAGCAGGCCCAGATGAGTGGTGAGTGGCTGTTGGCTCTAGCTGTGCTACTGTTATTACTACCACCTCCCTCAGGACCCGGGGGCCTAGATCTGCAAGCAAGACAACAGTCATTCAAATAGTGCATTCTCATAAAGCACCCCTTTCCACGTAAAAATCATCTTACGTGACTTGCCATGGGGGATAAACATTAGGGCGTTCCAGGAAGCTGCTGCACAGCCAGGTGTGCCCCTGGCGCCTGCCCTGTTGCTGAGGGGTCCGCACCCCCGGCCTGCAGCCCTCCAGCGTCACAGGGACCCACACTCCAGCTACAGAGCTTCAGGCCAAGCAGCTAGACACGTCCTTAGAACCGGGGCCTCTCTAGGACTCAGCAGAGCACATTCAAGTCGCCCGAGGGCTCCTGGGCACACAGTTCCCAGGTGGTGCCCTGACGGAAGAATCTTAATCCCAGGGCTGGGTGGTGTCTGGGGTTCTGGGGGACAGTGGGCTGAGCACTGGGGCTAAACCAGGCCTGCTGGGAGGAGCAGGAGGGAAAACTGGTCAGAGGCTTCGGGGGGGGGTGGGGGGAGCCCGGCAGGGAAGGAGGATCGCCCCAGCTGGAGGACAGTGGCTCCCTCTCGGCTCACTGCAACCTGCACCTCCTGGGCCCAAGCAACCCTCCTGCCTGAGCCTCCTGAGTAGCTGGGACCACAGGCGTGCACCACCACGTCTGGCTAATTTTTGTATTTTTTGTAGAGATGGGGTCTTCCCCATGTTTCCCAGGCTGGTCTCGAACTCCTGGCCTCAAGCAAACCTGCCTGCTTTGGCCTCTCAAACTGCGGGGATTACAGGCATGAGCCACCATGCCCAGGTCATGATAAATCGTATTTTCATTCAATATTTTAAAAAAATCAGAATTCATGTAAAAAAAATCCATAATGAACAAAGTATAAAACTTTAAAATAGCTGGGCACAGTCATTCACGCCTATAATCCCAGCACTTTGGGAGGCCGAAGCGGATGGATCACTTGAGGTCAGGAGTTCAAGACAAGCCTGGCCAATATGGTGAAACCCTCTCTGTATTAAAAAGACAAAAATTAGCTGGGCATGGTGGTGCGCACCTGTAGTCCCAGCTACTCAGGAGGCTGAGGCAGGAGAATCACTTGAACCCGGGAGGCGGAGGTTGCTGTGAGCCAAGATCATGCCACTGCACTTCAGCCTGGGCAACAGATCAAGACTCCATCTCAGAAAAACAAACAAACAAAACACAAACCGCCCCCCCTCCCCCACAAACCTTTAAAATAAAGACAGGCCCAATATTCTGATTTTTCCTTTTGCCTTCAGCTCCAATACTATCTACACAGCCCTGGACTCTGAGAACATCCATGTTCTGCTTGTCGCTTCAGAGGCAGAAACTGAGTGACAGGAGAGCATTTCCAAGAGCACCACACTCCCTCAGGTGCCACTAAGGAGAGAACTTGAGGCCACTGTATTTGTCCATTTTCACACTGCTATAAAGAAATACCCTTTGGGGGCTGGGCAAGGTGGCTCACACCTGTAATCCCAGCACTGTGGGAGGCTGAGGCGGGCGGATCACCTGAGGTCAGGAGTTCGAGATCAGCCTGGGCAACATGGTGAAACCCCGTCTCTACTAAAAATACAAAAATTAGCCAGGCATGGTGGTGCATGCCTGTAATCCCAGCTACTCGGGAGGCTGAGGCAGGAGAATCGCTTGAATCCGGGAGGTGGAGGATGCCATGAGCTGTGATCGCGCCATTGCACTCCAGCCTGGGCGACAAGAGTAAATCTCTATCTCACAAAAAAAAAAAAAAAAGAAAGAAAAGAAAGAAAGAAAGAAATACCTTTTGTGGCCGGGTGTGGTGGCTCACGCCTGTAATCCCAGCACTGTGGGAGGCCGAGGCGGGTGGATCACCAGGTCAGGAGATCGAGACCATCCTGGCTAACATGGTGAAACCCCGTCTCTACCAAAAATAAAAAAAATTAGCCGGGCATGGTGGCGGGTGCCTGGAGTCCCAGCTACTTGGGAGGCTGAGGCAGGAGAATGGCATGAACCCGGGAGGCAGAGCTTGCAGTGAGCCGAGATTGCACCACTGCACTCCCGCCTGGGCGAAAGAGCGAGACTCCGTCTCAAAAACAAACAAAAATACCCTTTGGGAGGCCAAGGCAGGAGGATCACGAGGTTAGGAGTTTGAGACCAGCCTGACCAACATGGTGAAACCCCTTCTCTACTAAAAATACAAAAATTTACTGGGCATGGTGGCCCTTGCCCGTAATCCCAGCTACTTGGAGGCTTTTGGAGGAGAATCACTTGAACCAGGGAGGCGGAGGTTGCAGTGAGCCGAGATTGCAACACTGTACTCCAGCCTGGGTGGCAGAGCAAGACTCCGTTTCAAAAAAAAAAAAAAAAAAAAAAAAAAAGAAGAAATATCCAAGACTGGGTTCCCCTGCCCTTCCTTTCCCTCTTCTCCCCTCCCCTCCTTCCTCTCTCTCTCTCTGAGACAGAGTCTCAGTAGGTCACCCAGGCTGGAGTGCGGTGGCACAATCTCGGCTCACGGCAACCTCTGCCTCAACTGATTCTCATGCCTCGGCCTCCGGAGTAGCTGGGATTACAGGCGCACACCACACCCAGCTAATTTTTTTTGTATTTTTAGTAGAGACAGGGTTTCATCATGTTGGTCAGGCTGGTCTTGAACTCCTGACCTAAAATAATGTGCCCTCCTCGGCCTCCCACAGTGCTGGGATTACAGGTGTGAGCCACCATGCCTGATCCCACATCTGACTTTTTTTTTTTTTTTTTGAGACGGAGTCTCACTCTATTGCCCAGGCTGGAGTGCAGTGGCGCAACCTCAGCTCACTGCAAGCTCTGCCTCCCGGGTTCATGCCATTCTCCTGCCTCAGTCTCCAGAGAAGCTGGGACTACAGGCGCCCGCCACCACGCCCGGCTAATTTTTTTCTTTTTTTTCTTTTTTTTTAGTAGAGACAAGTTTTCACCGTTTTAGCCAGGATGGTCTCGATCTCCTGACCTCGTGATCCGCCCGCCTCGGCCTCCCAAAGTGTTGGGATTACAGGTGTGAGCCACCATACCTGGCCCCACGTCTGACTAATTTTTTATTTTTACTACAGACAGTTTCACCATGTTGGCCAGGGTGGTCTCAAACTCCTGACCCCAAGTGATCCACCCGCCTCGGCCTCCCAAGCTGTTGGGATTACAGGCATGAGCCACCGCGCCTGGCCAAGACTGGGTAATTTTTAAAGGAAAAAAGCCTTCATTGACTCACAGTTCCACATGGCTGGGGAGGCCTCAGGAAAATTACAATCATGGCCGAAGGCAAAGGGAGGCAAGGCATGTCTTAAATGGCAGCGGGGGAGAGAGTTTGAGGGGGGGACTGCCAAACACTTTTAAAAACCAGATCTTAGGCTGGGTGCGGTGGCGCACGCCACCGCGTGATCCAAGCACTTTGGGAGGCCGAGGCGGGTGGATCACCTGAGGTCCGGAGTTCGAGACCAGCCTGACCAACATGGAGAAACCCCATCTCTACTAATAATACAAAATTAGCCAGGCGCGGTGGCTCATACCTGTAATCCCAGCTACTCGGGAGGCTGAGGCAGGAGAATTGCTTGAACCCGGGAGGTGGAGGTTGCGGGGAGCCAAGATTGTGCCACTGCACTCCAGCCAGCTTGGGCAACAAGAGTGAAACTCCGTCTTAAAAACCACCACCACCAACAAAAACAACAACAAACAGATCTTGTGAGAACTTTCTCGCTACCACGAGAACATGGGGTGAATGGCCCCACGATGCACTCACCTCCAGCGGGTCTCTCCCTTGACAGGTGGGGATTATAATCTGAGATGAGATTTGGGTGGGGACACAGAACCAAACCGCATCACTCAGCTCCACCATTCAGTGCCCAGTGCAACATGAAAATGCGGCACCCTTATTCACACATCGCAAGAATCTCAGGGCCTCTCAGGGCCTCACAGTGGCGGGAGGACGGGGGGCAGGTAGAGGGAGGCACATGTCTTCCGAGCACCAGACCGGGGCCGAAAGCCACGCGTGGACTGCATTTTGCACCGTTTCTGAGGCTCAAAGCCACGGACTTAATTCAACACGAGGGCGTCCTGGGGGTTGGGCAGGGCCCCGTGTCCTGGTAGGCTGTGGGTTCCCCTCTCACGACCACTGTTCAAGGGCAGCGTGGGTGAGCTGGTTCAATTTCTCGGCCTCAGTCTCTTCGTCTGTCAAGTAGAAGTCATGGATGTACCTACTTTACGACAGTCCTGCTGTGAGCACAAAGGTACCAGCCACTCAGATCACCCTCGGATCAAGGTAGTCACCTTACACCTGTCTTTTCCGTGGGGTTTTATAGTTTGTCCCAGAGTTTCCAGTTGCCTTTCTTCTCCTGCCCTACACTGGGTGCCCTTATCTTCCATCTTCCAAGCTCTGGACTCTGCAACCTCCCTCCCTGCCCCCAGAGCCTCCCCTCGTCCAACCTGCTACTCCCAGCCTGGAATGTCAGTGCTCACTTAATGCCTGCACTGAAGGTCTTCCACCTTTGTTTGGTTTATAGTCCTGATAGAGTTTGAATGTTTGTCCAGATCTCACGTGGAAACTGGATCCCAGTTGGGAGGTTTTGTGTCATGGGGACGGGCCCCTCATCAATGGCTTGGTGCAGTTCTGGAGGTAATGAGTTCGTTGGGAAGAGAACTGACGGTTAAAACGAGCCTGGTACCTCCCCCCTCACTCTCTGCCTCCCTCTCTGCACGTGATGCCCTGGGAGCAGGAGAATAGGGTCTGGGGGCAGGGAACTTAGGCCAATTCGTGCTGAATCAAGGAAAAACAGCGAGGCCTGGGGCAGGGAATGGGACGCTAATTTGTGCTGACTTCCTAAAAGAGAAAACACCAAGGTCAGGGGGAGAGAGTCCGAGGCCAAAGCACGCTGAATCCAGGAAAAACTTCAAGGTCTGGGGCAGGGAACCCAGGGCCAATTAACACCAACTTCCAAAAACTACACCCTGAGGAAGAGCCCCACGCCCAGTAGCAAAGGATCAAAGGCTGCTCTCGTACAGCCCCCACCACCATGTCCCAGATGGAAAGGAAAGTGCTGTGGACTGGCTGCGGGCCACCCTTTCATCTGCAGACACCAGTTTACCTCAGCCTTTGATTAGCCACGGACCAAATCTTTCATCCAGATAAGAGGTATAGGAACCATGAAAGGTGCCCTTAAGACCCAGAAAACTGGCCGAGGGGGTGGCTCACACCTGTCATCCCAGCACTTTGGGAGAGTGCGGCGGGTGTATCACCTGAGGCCGGGAGTTCAAGACCAGCCTGGCCAACAAAGAAAAACCCCGTCTCAACTAAAAACACAAAAATTAGCCGGGCGTGGTTGCGGGCGCCTGTCATCCCAGCTACTCCGGAGGCTGAGGCTGGAGAATCGCTTGAACCTGGGAGGCAGAGGTTGCAGTGAGCCGAGATGGCGCCACTGCACTCCAGCCCGGGCGACGGTGTGAGACTCCCTCTCAAAACAAAAAAAAAACAAACCCCAGAAAACTATGTAACAGCGCCCCTCTCACCCCACTCCCGACCTTTCTCGCTTTAATAAATCCCTGCTTTCGCTGCTTTCTTTCCGTGTTTTGTTCGTTACTTTGCACGTTTTGTCCACTTCTTTGTTCAAACGCCGAGGACATGGACTATTACGGTCCAGGCCATCCTTCCAGTGACACCTGCTCCCTCCCCTTCTGCCGTGATGAGAGGTTCCCTGGGGTCCTCACCAAAGGCAGACGCTGGTGCCACGCTTCCCATTCAGCCTCCACAACCATGAGCCAAACCCACCCCTTTTCTCTATAGATGACCCAGCCTCGGGGATTTCTTTGGAGCAATGCAAAGCAGACTAAACCCTATTCCATTAGAGTTGGCCCTGCAACCATTCCCTAGCAGCGGGTCGGCAGGAATTCACTCCCCAGTCCTCCTGTCTGTCTTTATTCTGCCCTCATCAGTAGTTTCTCTGGATGTGCACTTTGGGCGGGAAACCTTTGTCCCTCAGGAGGTGACCGCACCACAGTCCGTCTGTGCATGTGTGGTGGATGGGCCCGGCTGTGTGTGGGCAACCGCTGTTCCCTCCAGGCCTGGAGCTGCCTCTTTCCTCGGAGCGCCACGACTTCTCAGCCACGTGCTTTAGTGTGAGGCTTTTTCACTCCCTGGAGCGTTTCCTCTGCCTCCGGTCCAGGGAATTTCCAGTCGCCCGTATCCCTCTTCTTCCCCTCCTTTCTGAGCTCCGTCTGGCCAGGGTTTCAGGCAGGGGTTGCACTGTCTGAGCTTCCTTTCTGCCTCCTGTCCTGGCTTTCTTCCTGCTTATCCTGTGCACTCCATTTCCTCTGTTTTGTCTCCCAGCACGGTTCTTTCGTGTTTTCTTGGGGGTTGTGCGTCTGGTCTCCGGAGGGCGGTTTCCAAGGTTTGCTGTGTTCTTTTCCGCCCCGCTCCCGTCAGGGAAGCAGATCTGCTTGGACTCAGCTACACTCTGTTCTCTTCTGAGGTTTACCAAACGGAATGCAGACGCGTCTCCCATTGTTCATCTGGACCTTCTGTTGGGTTTGCAGACTTCCCTTGGCAGCGGGCAATCTTTGTCACTACAAATTTCATATTTAAAAATAAAGCAACAGCAAGGTGGGCCGTGCCGTATGTGTGAGCGGGCTCTCGACCCCAGGCTTTGTGTGGGGCGAGCTCCGGAGATGCCCGGTTACCAGGGCCCTTGAAGCCGGAAGGCATGAGCATTTTTTTTTTTTTACGAGATGGGGTTTTGCTATGCTGCCCAGGCTGGACTCCAACTCCCAGGCTCAAGCGATCCTCCCACCTCAGCCTCCCAAGTAGCTGGGTCCACAGCAGCTCCTTTTAAAGCAACTGCCACCACGCCCAGCAGCATTTTTAAAAATAGCTACCTCGATTCTCAAAAACATGTTTAGGGAAGGGCCTCCTGACCTTCCTCTGGCTGTGTGGGGGTTAGGGTGGTGTGTCTGTCTGGGTGGTCCTGGGGCCAGTTCTTCCAATTGGGAACAAACCCCGACCTCAGCGTCTTCCTCACTCCCGGCCCATCGTGCCTGCAACGTCTGAGCTGAGCTCCTCTCTGGCTCCCTGGTCTCTCGCTGGAACACCCTGGAACGTTCCCAGTGAGGCCCCCTAGTCCTCCTCACAGACACACTCTTCCATTCACTTCCTCCTTCCCAGAAATGGGTCGGAATCTTTGCCTGCAGCGGAGACTTTCTATTGTCTGACGAGTGTGTTTTTTTTTTTTTTGAGACAGAGTCTCACTGTGTCACCCAGGCTGGAGTGCAATGGCGCGATCTCGGCTCACTGCAACCTCCGCCTCCTGGGTTCAAGCGATTCTCCTGCCTCAGCCTCCCAAGTAGCTGGGACTACAGGTGCCCGCCACCACGCCCGACTAATTTTTGTATTTTTAGTAGAGACAGGGTTTCACCATGTTGGCCAGGATGGTCTTGAACCCCTGACCTCATGATCCACCCGCCTCGGCCTCCCAAAGTGCTGGGATTACAGGCGTGAGCCACTGCGCCCGGCCCGAGTGCGTTATTCTTTTCTAATTCCTTTCCTCTCACCTTCGTGGACAGGAGCAGGAGGAAATGCTTGTGCCTTACCTCACATCTTGACCCAGAGGGTGCAGCCGGCAGAGTTGCGGTGGGAAAGGTTCAGGGTGTGTTTAATTCTGTTTCTTCCACCGGTTCTGGTTGTGCGTCTTTCATGTCCCCGACTGACCAGGGTCCTTTGTCCTGCCCAGGCCCTCCTGCCTCTCCCCTCCCCTGGCCATAGTGAGGCTTAGGGAGAGAGCTGGGGTTAGTAGTCCTGGCCCCGAAAGTTAATGTTTAGAGAAGCGTTGCTAGGAGACCCCTCGGGGTGGGAGCAGTGCTCTGTGAAGAGTGTGGGCTCCTGCATGAGAGTCCTGGGTCCATCTCCAGAGATGGGTGCACCGAGGCCCCACCCCACACGCTCTCCTCACAGGGTGGTGCTGACTCGGCTCTGTCGAGACGCAGGTGACAGCCTCGACAGTGATGTCTGTGTTTCCACCCAGCTCTGTCTCCCAGAACCACACAGAAGCCCCATCCACAGCCAACATGCAGACGCCACCGTGGCCATTTCGGATGATACCACTTCTGCACAGGCAGCCACAGGCAATGCGGACCTACCCACGCCCCCCACACACAGATCATCGCAGACGAGAACACCTGGGCGCATCGCAAGCCCACACGGTCAGATACGTCCGCGTACCTAGAACAGACATGTGCAGACTTTCCCACGGGATGAGTAAACGCACACTCAGATACCTCCACGTGCACACAGACACACGTGCATGCACAGGTGAGCCGCACACGCGCACCTGCTCACCTGAGCCCTTCCTTGCATGTGCGAGGGACGGGAGCCCACACTCAGCGTGGGGCCCATCTGACCACCCATGGGGCCTGGCACAGAGGCCCCCAAATAAGCCTTGAGAAGGGAACATCGGGAGCCTGCAGCTCCACGGGGAGCCCGGCCCTGTCTCTCTCCGTGGGAGGCCCCGGTGGCTCACAGCAGGCTCAGCAGCCCCGGACTCTCTCTTCTGGCTCCTGACCAGGCTGATGTCTGCACTGGGGGAGTCCACAGGCCCCTCAATCTGCAGGCCCAGCCGTAAGGCCGGCACCCCACTTCTGCCCCCAACGCCTCCCTCCCAGCGTCCAGCCCACCCTGAGGCTGGTGGCTTCCCCACATCCCTCCTCACCCTGCCCAGGCCCCCCACGGTTGCCCCCACCACTCTGATCCCCCACAGCCCACATCTGCACCAGGGCGCGAGCTCTTCCTCCCAGTGAATCCCAGTGAAGCACTTCTCAGGGACTTCCCAACAGGCTCCCAGCTCCCATGAGGTCAGGGCCCCTCAGCCTGGCCTCCCCACCCTTGCTACCCCATCCTCCAGACACAGTCACCCCAGAAGCCACCCTCTCACCCCTGCCTGGAGCTGAGGCCCCCGCCGGTTCCATCCTCTGAGAGCCTCACCCTTCACTGCCCGTGATGGCACGAGCTGAGGCCCCCCACCCGGTTCCATCCTCTGAGACTCTCGCCCTTCACTGCCTGTGATGGTGCTCCATGCTATGCTGTAGATGCCTACTCTCTGAGGTTCTCCCTCGCTGACGGTGGATCACAGGCAGTCAGAGAGGAGAGGGGCTTTCCGCCCTCATTACAGCCCTGGGCCTCAACCTGGCTGCACGCTCCCCAAAACCACAACCCCTGGCTCCCGGCTCCCCGCTCCCCGAGACTCACCATGCGCGGGACAGGGTCCCGAGTACCTCGGCTCAGCCACCCAAGTCCCAGGGAGACAGACCCGCCTCCTGCCTCCCAGGTCACAAGGCTTGGGGGTTGTTTCTGGTGTTCAAGTTCAGTCCTGCCACCCACGGAGCTCTCCAGCTACAGAACAGCCACCTCCTTGAGGGCTCGCACAGTACCCCAGGGAGAGCCGGGCTAAAGCCTCACACATGTCAGCTGGTTCTTGTTTCCGAAGATACGCATGCCCTCAGTGAGGCCTTGAGCATCCGGCCAGCCCAGGGGCTTCTGGGACTCTCGGTCCCAGGCCAGGCAGGAGAGCTTGTGCTGGGTGATCACCCTTTGAGGCCCCCCAGGCAGTAGTGTAGGGTATCTGCCTTAGGTGGCAGCAGGTTGAGAAATGGAGAGGAGGGGGCCTGGGAGCTTGGGCCCAGCCCAACGAGCCCAGAGAGTCTCAAGTGGCCTGGGGGTCCCAGGTCGTGTGTCCCCCCCACTGGCAGACCCCAGCCACCTCCCTGACTCCCTCGGAGGACACTGACCCTGGCCCCGGAGTTGGGACAAACTCCGTCCTCAGTTTCTTTATCTGTAAGTGCGATGGGTTGATCTCCCTCCATCCCCAGCCACAATCGAGGATTGGAATGTCCTCTGGCAAAGCCACACGGGCTTTCGAAATCCAAGGAGGGTCTGCGTGTGGACCGCACTGAGCTGGAGACCAGGCTGGCTTTGGAATTCTGAGGTTGCGGCGGGAGGGGGGCATACTCAGTGGGTTCAAGCAGGCGGGGGGAGGCCAGGCCTATCCCGGACCCCACCCAAGGCAGGGTGGAGACCTAGGGCTGCTGCTGGGCTAGTCACAGGGGCCCTTGGAGTCTGACATTTTCAAGCAGCCAATGATGGGCAGCAGTGGGAGGAACAGTGGGGGCTGCAGAGAGGGGAGGGGACGCAGGGGGCTGCAGAGAGGGGAGTGGGGGGCACAGGGCGCTGCAGGGAGGGGGTGCAGGGGGCTGCAGGGAGGGGAGCAGGGGGCACAGCAGGCTGCAGGGAGGGGGTGAAGGGAGTGCAGGGGGCTGCAGGGAGGGGAGCAGGGGGCAAAAGGGGTGCAGGGAGGGGAGCAGGGGGCTGCAGGGAGCTACAGGGAGGGGAGCAGAGGGAGCAGGGGGCTGCAGGGAGGGGAGCGGGGGGAGCAGGGGGACCAGGGGGCTGCAGGGAGGGGAGCGGGGGGAGCAGGGGGAAAGCGGGCTGCAGAGAGGGGAGCAGGGGGGCAGGGAGCTGCAGGGAGGGGAGCAGGGGGGCAGGGGGCTGCAGGGAGGGGAGCAGGGGGGCAGGGGGCTGCAGGGAGGGGAGCAGGGGGGCAGGGGGCTGCAGGGAGGGGAGCAGGGGGGGCAGGGGGCTGCAGGGAGGGGAGCAGGGGGGGCAGGGGGCTGCAGGGAGGGGAGCGGGGGGGCAGGGAGCTGCAGGGAGGGGAGCGGGGGGGCAGGGGGCTGCAGGGAGGGGAGCGGGGGGGCAGGGAGCTGCAGGGAGGGGAGTGGGGGGGCAGGGGGCTGCAGGGAGGGAGCAGGGAGGGCAGGGGGGCTGCAGGGAGGGGAGCGGGGGGGCAGGGAGCTGCAGGGAGGGGAGCGGGGGGGCAGGGGGCTGCAGGGAGGGGAGCAGGGGGGGCAGGGAGCTGCAGGGAGGGGAGCAGGGGGGCAGGGAGCTGCAGGGAGGGGAGCAGGGGGGGCAGGGGGCTGCAGGGAGGGGAGCAGGGGGGCAGGGAGCTGCAGGGAGGGGAGCGGGGGGGGCAGGGGGCTGCAGGGAGGGGAGCGGGGGGGCAGGGGGGCTGCAGGGAGGGGAGCAGGGGGGCAGGGAGCTGCAGGGAGGGAGCAGGGAGGGCAACCCTCCGGAAGCCAAAGGTAGAGGGTGCTGGTGGGATGTGCGTACGTAAAGAGCAAAATAAAACCAGTTTTGTGCAGGGTTCCTACCGTTCTGGTGAAAATAAAATAAATATTAATCTATAAGTTACAAAATGCGAATTGTGCAACTTTGCCCGGGGAACAGTGCAGCAATCACTTAAGCTCAGGAGTCTGAGACCAGCCGGGGCAACACAAGGAGACCTCGTCTCTACAGACATAAAGAAACTAGCCAGGCTGGTGTGTGCCTGCAGTCACAGTTACTTGGGAAGCTGAGGTGGGAAGGTTGTTGAGCCTCGGAGCTTGAGGCTGCACTCCCACCTGGGCAACATAGTGAGACCCTGTCTCAAAACTAAATGCATAAATAAATAATGTAGGCCAGACCTGGTGGTTTATGCCTGTGATCCCAGCACTTTGGGTGGCCAAGGCGGGAGGATCGCTTGAGGCCAGGAGTTTGAGACCAGCCTGGGAAACATAGGGAGACCCCCATCTCTACAAAAAATATAAAAATTAGCCAAGCGTGGTGGCACACACTTGTGGTCTTGGCTACATAGCAGACCGAGGCAGGAAGATGGCTTGAGTCCAGGAGGTTTAAGCTACAGTGAGCCGTGATCCTACCACTGCACTCCAGCCCGGGTGACAGAGCAAGACCTTGTCAAGATGGATAAACAAACTAATAAATTAATTAAAATAAAAATGTGAATTGTACAATTTTGTTGATTCTGTATGAGTTAAATCCTATTCTATTTGCATTTAAGCCAAGTATTACACAATATGAAGATAAATGGTAAATACATGCTAATAATTTAAAATTTTAATTTTTCTTGACTTAGAATGATGATTTTTTATTTTTATTTTTTTATATTTTTTGAGACTGAGTCTCGCTCTGTCGCCCAGGATGGAGTGCAGGGGCACAATCTCAGCTCACTGCAACCTCCGTCTCCCAGGTTCAAGTGATTCTTGTGCCTCAGCCTCCCGAGTAGCTGGGATTACAGGTGCATGCCACCACACACAGCTAATTTTTGTATTTTTAGTAGAGATGGGGTTTCACCATGTTGGCCAGGCTAGTCTCAAACTCCTGACCTCAAATGATCTGCCCGTCTTGGCCTCCCACAGCGCTGGGATTACAGGTGTGAGCCACTGCGCCCGGCCTCCCAAAGTGCTGGGATTACAGGTGTGAGCCACCGTGCCCAACCTCCCAAAGTGCTGGGATTACAGGTGTGAGCCGCCGCGCCCGGCCTCCCAAAGTGCTGGGATTACAGGTGTGAGCCGCCGCGCCCGGCCTCCCAAAGTGCTGGGATTACAGGTGTGAGCCGCCGCGCCCGGCCGCCTTCCAGCATTTCTGGCACAGACCGGCACAGGTGTGGGCTCCTGTCCTTTGCATGTTGTTGGCTTTCTGTTGACCAGATGGCCTGGAGACCTCCTGGCGTGGATGCTTCCACCTCATTCTCTGTAACATGTGCGCAAGCCTCAGAGCTCATGTTAGCTGAGCAATTCTTCCATGCAGGCACCGTGCTGAGGGAGCTCCTGTGGCCTCGTGAGGCAGGAGCGCTTTTCCCCTCACCTCTCAGGGCCCTGGGCCTTGGTGCCTGCCTACCTCTCCCACCTCCACCCAGCTCAGCCGTGAGTCTTCATGCAGTGTCCTCAGGGCATCACATGAGAGCCCCAAGCACCCCATCTCTCTGCCACTCCCTCTCCCTTGTTCTAGCTCCACCCTGTCTTGATTCCTGGCAATTCTAATAAGAGAGAATTGTCCCCAACCCTGGCCAAGCAATTCCCTGACATGTAATGACCTGTGCTACCCTCACCTTGCTCGGGTGGGGCCAGACCTTCACTGCAGTCCCATCACCCCACCCCTCCCTTCCCCTTCTGCTCCAGGGCCTGCCCAGGACCTCCAGCCTCCCGCCCCATTCTCTGCCAGACTCCATCATCCCCTCTGGAGCCGTCACGCCGCTCGGTAAAACCTGCCCGCTTCCTACCCGCTTCCTGGCCGCTCTCTGCCTGCTTCCCGGCCGCTTCCTGCCCACTTCCTGCCTGCTTCCTGGCCACTTCCTGTCCGCTTCCTGGCCACTTCCTGGCCGCTTTCTGCCTGCTTCCTGCCCACTTCCTGCCTGCTTCCTGGCCGCTTCCTGGTCGCTCTCTGCCTGCTTCCCAGCCACTTCCTGCCAGCGTGCGTTTGCACTGCCCTTCGCGGAGTGTGCTGAGGGGAGAAGGCCCAGCCGTCCCAATCTGCGCTACTTTGAATTCCTGATCACAAACTTCAAGGAACCTCTTTAAGCCACCCGGGAATCCTGCTGCAGGTCCCAGTGCCAGAACCAGAAGCATCTGTGCCATCTGGGAACATTCTGGTGGAGCAATCGCCCTGTCCTCGAGGTCGGCCATACACGCTGGGTCTTCACCACCCCGGGGATGCAGATGCCTCCTGGCGACCCCCTCCTCCATCCAAGGACCCCTCCCGGCACAGCCCCGAGCACACCCGCTGTCTCCCCTCCTTTCCGCCCGTCTGTCCGATCCTCTCACAGCTGGCTGGGCCATACTGCTCTGTGAAACTGTGCCCGGTCAGCCCCGGAGTGGGTGACCCAGGACCCGCTGGCTGTGTCCTTCCAGGGCACAGGTCCCAGCCTCTCCTGTTTCGTCGACACTGGCTACCTGTGTGGGCTTGTCTGTTTCTGGGCTCTGAGCCCTATCCCCACAGCACTGACTCCCCCACCCACCTGAACCCCCAGCCCAGCCCCCGAAGCCCCACGGACCCAGCCTCCTGCTGCGCACCCCAGCTGGAGTTCAGGGAGCATTTTAAATTCACTTTTTGTGTTTTTTTTTTGAGATGAAGTCTTGCTCTGTCACCCAGGCTGGAGTGCAGTGGTGTGATCTCAGCTCACTGAAACCTCTGCCTCCCAGGTTCAAGTAATTCTCCTGCCTGGGGACACGACACGTAGGGGACGCCTGAGCCCTGCGCCTTTGGGCCTCAGTATCTGTGAAATGGGCCTGTGAAAGGGGTGGACACTCAGAGGCCAGGGCGGGCCTTGGTGCTTGGTCTCCCTCCACACAGCCCACTCCTCTCCAATTCACACCCCACCAGCCGGCCAGGACCCCGGGGCCCCCGTGTTGACCGCCTGCCTGGCTGCTGCAGCTCCTGCCCTCTGGTGGCCAAATCCCAACGTGCCTCCGTGGGGCCGGTTCCCGGCTCCAGTTCACCGGGGCCTCGCGGGGTCCTGCAAGGCGGGGTCCTGGGGGCTCACTTCACCCAAGAACCAGCTGCTCCTCCCTCAGGGTGGGCTCTGCCTGTGGGCTCTGAAGACCTGGGAAGGCTGAGCAGGTGCTCGGAGCCACCACTGCTTCCATGGGTGTCCTGCCCTTTAACCCACGCCCTCACCCCTGAGAGCAAGGCTGCTGTTACCCCTGTCTCCTACTCTTGGAAACTGAGGTAGAGAAGACAGGTCCAGCCCCCTGGCTCATGGGAGATGGAGCCAGGATGTACGCACAGGACACAGGTCCAGAGACTCCAGAGCTGCGTGTAGACCAGCACCACTGCCCTGCCAGGCCCGCCTGCCCGCTCTGTACCCAGTGGGAGCTGGGAGCCTCAGCCCGACCTGTGAGGCCACCCCTCAGGGGCGGCTCTGAGAGGCCGCTTTGGGGCTCAGTGTCCGTCCACCGCAGCCTACGTCCCCCTGAAGCTGCAAGCAGGGACTGAGGGACCCTCCCCGTCTGCTCCTGGCCTCCGACTGGAGATTTGTCAAAGCTGACCTTTTGTCGACAAGGAGACTGAGGCCCAGCGGGAGGTATTTTAGAGACACTTCCACGTTTGGAGGCCCTAGATGCCCCCTTCCACCCATGACACCCACTGAGCTTCTCCATGGGGTCAGACGCCAATCAGCAAGAATTCGCCAAGAGATGTGGAGGCTACTAGACCCTCACCATGAAAATAGCTTGGCTGTGTAAGAGCCATTGGCCGAAGTAGGTTCTGCCCTTCGCTAGCCCAGCCGCAGCTCCAGACTCCAACTTCCGCCTGTGCCCAAGGCTTTCTCTCTAGCATGTCCTGTGATAACCCTGAAGCTCCCCGCACCCTACCCGGGGAGAAGATTTTTCTTTTATTTTTTTGGATACGGAGTCTCGCTCTGTCACTCAGGCTGGAGTGCAGTGGCACGATCTCAGCTCACCGCAACCTCCGCCTCCCGGGTTCACGCCATTCTCCTGCTTCAGCCTCCCGAGTAGCTGGGACTACAGGCGCCCGCCACCACGCCCGGCTAATTTTTTGTATTTTTTATTAGAGACGGGGTTTCACCGTGTTAGCCAGGATGGTCTCGATCTCCTGACCTCATGATCTGCCCACCTCGGCCTCCCACAGTGTGGGGATTACAGGCGTGAGCCACCGCGCCCGGCCACAGCTTTGATTTTCATTCAGCAAATCCTTTCCACCTGGAAGGAAATTGTGGGGCCGGACAACAGGCCCTGCTCTTAGCTGGGCGGGAAGGCAGATGACTGCGCAGAGAATTCCAGAACAGAGAGTAAGTCCGGGGACTCGGCGCTCCTCACACAGCCTCTGAGAACTCTTCCTGGAGGAAGGGGTACGTGAGCTGAGTCCCAAGGGTGCCTAGGACCGCACTGGGCGCCACAAGGAAGGAACAGCCGGCACAGTGGACAAGCGGGGTTGTGGGGCCTCTGGAGGGCCTGGCGGGTCCAGACCTCATCCTAGGGACCACGGGGAGGGCCAGTGGGAGGACAGCGGCGGGTCTGAGAGCAGCTCTCCCACCTCCTTGAGTCCCAGGAAGCCGCCGCGTCCCCTGCCCCACACACCTGGCCCCAGTTTCCTAGAATCCCAGGAAGCAGCCGCGTCCCCTGCCCCACACACCTGGCCCCAGTTTCCTAGAATCCCAGGAAGCAGCCGCGTCCCCTGCCCCACACACCTGGTGCCAGCCTCCTAGAATCCCAGGAAGCTGCCTCGTCCCCTGCCCCACACACCTGGTCCCAGCCTCCTAGAATCCCAGGAAGCCGCCCCGTCCCCTGCCGCACACACCTGGCCTCAGCCTCCTAGAATCCCAGGAAGCCGCCGCGTCCCCTGCCCCGCACGCCTGGTCCCAGCTTCCACCCACAGTGGTGCCCTGGGGTCCCCGGGCCTGCACCACCCCAGGTGGGCACCCCAGTACCCTGGCGCACCGACTCCCCAGCCCACTCACCCTGGCCTCTGCGATGCAGACTTGCTCCCTGGCAGGGCCCGGCCTAGGCAGCTCCCACGCCAGGCTCACAGCTGGGCTGGCCCTACCCGGCCACCTGCTGCCCCTCCCAGGCCCCTCCTCAGGAAGGTGAAACTGCCCCATTTCCTGCAGGAACCCTGTGTTCTCTGAAAGTAGAAAGAGGAGGGAAATGGAGGAGGGGAGGGGAAGGTTGGAGAGAAAGGGCCAGGGGTCGGAAGGAAGGGCTGCAGGAGGGAGAGAGGAGGAGGGAGAGAGGAGGAGGGAACTTTGCTCCAGGAGATGGCTCTGCGTCCTGACCTCCCCCAAGGCTAGAAACTTCTCCAGCAGCTTCCTCATTTCCTGAGAGTGCCCTGAGATGTCCTGGCAGTGTTTTTCCCTCATGTGTGGATGTGCCACCTCCCAGCCAGGGGGGTGCGTGCACAGCTGTGCTGTCCAGCTCTGTGATGTCAGATCTTAGAGAATGCTACACATCAGTACACATAAGCCATCTGTGTCCTTTTTCTCATGCATTTTCGTTGTGAAAATACAACATGTATACCAACAAGACATATAGGTGTTGGGAGGGAAACTGAGGCAGGGCTTGCATGATGTCCTTTGGAATGTGTCTAGACTTGCTGGCTCCTTCCTTCTAGCCCTCCTAGGCCCCTATTCCCATTATCTCAAGTAGCAGAACATGCTCCATATAAATGCTAAACCGGCACAGCTGTAATCATGTGCTTAATGCAACGTGGTCTTTTGACCTCCATATTCTCACCATCTGTTTCTTTGTTGCATTACCAATAAATACCGTGGGCTCCCAGAGCTCGGGCTTTTGCAGCCTCCACAATAGCGATGGCCCCCTGGTGTGCCACCTTTCTCTCTCTGTGTTTTTCTGAATCCTTTGACTCCGCCGGACTTTGTCACCCCCACGACCTGGGGTTGGGTCTGATCACCCCAACATATAGGTACTGTACCTTTACACAGAAACTACACAGGTGTTCGTAGCAGGACAATTTAGTATAGCCAAAATGTGGGAAGAGTGCAGATGCCCAACACGGGGACAGATAAATGTGTCTCTTCACGCAGTGGAGTATTACTCAGCCATGAAGAAGAGTGACGTGCTGACACGTGCTATAACATGAAGAACCTCAGAAACATTTCGCTAAGTGGCAGAAGCCAGATAGTCGGGTGTGGTGGTGCGCACCTGTGGTCTCTGCTGTGAGGCTGAGGCAGGAGGAGCGCCTGAGCCTGGGAGACTGAGGTTACAGTGAGCTGCGATCACGCCATTGCACTTCAGCCTGGGCCGCAGAGTGGGAGCCTGTCTCAGAAAAGAAAGAAAGAAGCTAGACTCAAAAGACCACATGTCGTGTGATTCCACTTATATGAAATGTCCAGAATAAGTGACTCCATAGACACAGAAGGTGGATTCATGGTTGTTGAGGCTGTGAAGGAAAGTGGGGAGTGGGTGCTAATGGGAATGGGTTTCTATTTGGGGCAATGACTTTTTTTTTTTTTTTTTTGAGACAGAGTCTTGCTCTGTCGCCCAGGCTGGAGTGCAGTGGCGCGATCTCAGCTCGCTGCAACCTCCACCTCCTGGCTTCACGCCATTCTCCTGCCTCAGCCTCCCGAGTAGCTGGGACTACAGGCGCCCGCCACCACGCCCGGCTAATTTTTTGTATTTCTTTTTTAGTAGAGACGGGGTTTCACCGTGTTAGCCAGGATGGTCTCGATCTCCTGACCTCGTGATCCGCCCGCCTCGGCCTCCCAGTGTGATACCCAACCTTGTTTTAACCTAAGTGACCTTCTCGTAGCAGAGAGAGCGCCGGACAGACTCCATTTTAGTTTCTTCACCTGCAGCCCCCTTCACCTCCCTCCCTTAAGGCTTAACTAGTGTGACTGACTCAAAGCACGTCTGGGAATGCACCTACTGATAAGATACTGAGGCAAGCTGCACCAGCAGCTCCTCGGGACGCGCTCGGTGGATGGCACCCGAAGCCCCTGCATTTATCTCTTTGTGATAGTTTAAGCCCCTGCACCTGGAGCTGTTTATTTTTTGTAACTGCATTTGTAACCAATTAATTTTTTAACTTTTTGCCAGTTCTGCTTCTATAAAAATTGCTTCAGTTAAACTCCCCCCCCCCATTTAGACCACGGTATACAAACAAAGCTAGCCCCTTCCTCAGGGCCGAGAGAATTTTGAGCATTAGCGGCCTCTCGGTCGCAGGCTAATAAAGGACTCCTTAATTTGTCTCAAAGTGTGGTGTTTCTCTATAACTCGCTTGGTTACAACACCAAAGTGCTGGGATTACAGGCGTGAGCCCCTGTGCCCTGCGAGGGCAATGAAAATTTTTAAATTAAAAATCTGGAATTAAATAGTAGTGATGGCTGTGCGACTCTGAATATTCTAAAAACATTCAATTGTGCACACTAAAGGGATGGATTTTATGGTGTGTGAATTGTCTCAATAAAGCTTCTATAAAAATATAAGTACAGTTATCCAGGCACGGTGGCTCATGCCTGTGATCCCAGCACTTTGGGAGGCCGAGGTGGGCGGATCACTTGAAGTCGGGAGTTTGAAACCAGCCTGGGCAACGTGGTGAAACCCCATCTCTACTAAAAATGCAAAATTTAGCCAGACGTGGTGACATGCGCCTGCAGTCCCATCTACTTAGGAAGCTGAGGCAGGAGAAGTGTTTGAACCCAGGAGGTGTAGGTTGCAGTGAGCTGAGATCGTGCCACTGCCCTCCAGCCTTGGCAACAGAGTGAGTCTCTGTCTCAAAATAAACAAATACATAAAAATAAAAAAAATTATGGGCCAGGCACGGTGGCTCACGCCTGTAATACCAGCACTTTGGGAGGCCGAGGCGGGTGGATCACCTAAGGTCAGCAGTTCAAGACCAGCCTGGCCAACATGGTGAAACCCTGTCTCTACTAAAAATACAAAAAATAGCCGGGCGTGGTGACGGGCGCCTGTAGTCCCAGCTACTCGGGAGGCTGAGGCAGGAGAATCGCTTGAACCCAGGAGGTGAAGGTTGCAGTGAGCCGAGATCGTGCCTCTGCACTCCAGCCTGGGCGACAGAGCGAGTCTCCATCTCAAAAAAAAAAAAAAAAAAAGAACCTGAAAATAATGAAAGATCTGATGAGAGTTCATTATAAAAACAACACACAATGAATTCTGGTTGTTTTTGTGACACACGACGTATTAAATAACAACTGAAATCATGAACAGTAACAGAGGCGAACAGATCGGATAACAAGGGCATTGACAAATTTTTAGGACATTTATATAATTTCTGAAATAGCAACATTTTAACTATATAAATATAATGTATGGAAAGTTAAGTGTCTTTTGACAATGCTTCCCATGTAATTGAATATATCAAATAAACTGAATTAGTTTAACATCTCCCTTTTAACAAGGTGGTAGAACAAATCCTTTGAAACTGTCAGTTTCAAAGATTTGACAGTTTCAAAGGATTTGAGTTTTGAGATTTTCCAGGGACCTTCTAGAAAACTTCAAAGTCCGTTTGAGGTCAAGAAGATTTAATTTAGAATTTGATTCTGATTTTGGGAAGTTGGCAAAGATGTCAAAAGATCTGAAAACTTAAATAAAATAGGATCATATGTCATCGTGAAACAATATTTCGTTATCTGTTTAACCAAAGTGACAATAAAGATTTCAAAGGTAAATAAAGGTGATAACATAAGACAATAAACCAACACATGTATAAGAGGGAAAGAGTGTGAACCTCCAGGGCCCATCTGGAGGATAATGGTTAAAAAAAACCATGGGTTGGACACAGTGGCTCACGTCTGTAAGCCCAGCACGTTCCCATTTGTGTTTTGTTTTGTTTTGCTTTTTAAACAGAGTCTCGCCCTGTCACCCAGCCTGGAGTGCAGTGGTGTGATGTCGGCTCACTGCAACCTCCACCTCCTGGGTTCAAGCCGTTCTCTGCCTGAGCCTCCCGAGTAGCTGGGATAATAGGCATGAGCCACCAAACCTGGCTAATTTTTGTATTTTTAGTAGACACGGGGTTTCACCATATTGGCCAGGCTGTGGTTTTTTTTGTTTTTTTGTTTTTTTAAGACGGAGTCTCACTCTGTCGCCCAGGCTGGAGTGCAGTGGCGCCATCTCAGCTCACTGCAAGCTCCGCCTGCCGGGTTCACACCATTCTCTCGCCTCAGCCTCCCGAGTAGCTGGGACTACAGGAGTGAGCCACTGCGCCCGGCCAGCCAGGCCGGTCTTAAACTCTTGACCTCAAGTGATCCGCCCGCCTCGGCCTCCCAAAGTGCTGGGATTACAGGCATGAGTCACTGCGCCCGGCTGCATCTCTGTTTTAAATAAATTTATAAACTAATAAAATAAACATGGCTGGGCAGGTGGCTCACGCCTGTAATCCAGCACTTTGGGAGGCCGAGGCGGATTACATGGGTTGATTACATGAGTTTAGGAGTTCGAGACCAGCCTGGCCAATGTGGAGAAACCCCTTCTCTACTAAAAATATAAAAAGTAGCTGGGCATGGTGGTGGGCGCCTGTAGTCCCAGCTACTCGGGAGGTTGAGGCAGGAGAACGGCTTGAACCTGGGAGGTGGAGGTTGCAGTGAGCTGAGATCGCGTCATTGCACTCCAGCCTCAGTGACAGAGCGAGACTCTGTCCCCGCCACACAAAAAAAACAACAACGAGGCAGCTCCCTATACACTGACGAGCAAGTCTTCAGGATGTTGGCTGCAGGCAGCACTGTAGGGAATGAGGCATTTTGTGTCCGCGGTGTCGCCTAACAAGGTGTGGCTGGGAACACACACAAGGCAGCACCCGGGTGTTAGTGAGGGACGAATAGAGAAGACCCTGTGTGCCCCATGCTACAACCTTCACATCGCTTTGCTCCACATGAGGCTGTTGCTGGATTCACCACTTGGAACACACACATTTAAAAATTATATAAAAATGATGGTTCTAGGATGGCAGAGGCAAGCCTTCTGCGTCTGTACTGAGGACACAGACGAGGTGGATCCACCTCTGGCGCCCACGCCACCCTGAGCCAGCAGCATTTTCCTAACAGGAAACCAGTGTTATCTTTTAGAAATCAAAGACACTCAAGCGTTGCTAATATAACGCCTGCACTTTGGCCTGGCTCTGGATGTACCGGGCTCTGGATTCCTCTGCTTAATTGTCCTAGGAGGGGCCGCATTGTGTTAATGAGTAAACTGAGGCACAATAACTTTTAAAGTGTTCATTTAGCAAACAGCAATTAACGACTCGGGCAGCTCCAAACCAGCAGGTGGCCGTGGAGGCACCAAGTGACTCCAGAGGGAGCCGGGACAGACGGGGCAGACCTGAGACAACGCTTGGTGGGCAAAGGTGGCAGTGGCTGCATTTGGTCGGTTCCCTTGGAGGCCACGCGGCTCCAACTGACCTTCTGAGTTTGTGGGTTCCCCATGTGCAGAGTAACCAACACAGACTGAAACTTTTGGAAAAAAATTCCAGAAAGTTTCAAAAAGCAAAATTGGAATCCGCTGCACATCCATCCTAAAGTGCAGTGCGGGCGTCCCGCTAGCCACGAGCACCTCCGAGCTGAAGACGACGGGACACACACAGAGACAGTTACGTGCAAAGATGACACCAGTTTCTATCAGGGACTTGAGCATCCATGGATTGTATGATCTACTGGGGTCCCGGAACCCATCCCCGCAAACGTCAAGGGCCACTGTGCTGAGACCAGCTCGGCTGTGGAGACCCTAACCCAGCGGCGCTAGAGGAATTAAGACAAAGACACGGGGACAGAGTATAAAGTGGGGATCGGGGGCTGACAGCCTTCAGAGCCGATGGGGATCGGGGGCTGACAGCCTTCAGAGCTGAGAGCCCTGAACAGAGCTTGACCCACACGTTTATTGACAGAAAGCCAGTGATAAGCATTGCTTGTATAGATTATAGATCAGCTAAAAGCATTCCTTATGGGAAACAAATTCTCAGTGAGGAACAGAGAAACAGGCTCCGGCTGATTATCTGCAGCAAAAACATGTTAAGGCACAGGCCGCTCCTGCTATCGGTTGTGGTTTGAGCAGTTTTCCGCTCCGGGTGGGCCAGGTGTTCCTTGCCCTGCTCCAGTAAACCAACAACTTTTAGCAGTGTGTGTGACAGCCATCACGAGCATGTCACATTGCTGCAGAAATGCTGTTTACGGCCATTTCTTGAAGGCCTGTTTAGGCCAGGCTCAGGGTCTCTGTTCCCAACACCACTGTGTACGTATATTGGCTGCTTCTGATGTGTTGAGCCTAAGTCCTATTCTTCTAGCTCAAGTAAAGTTTCAATTATGTTTACGAATCAAACAACATTGAGGTTACTTATGAGGCCTAATTGGTTCTGTCTGTGCAGGATTCTTCAGGCCTGGTGTCCCTTGAGATTTAATAATTCTCACCTCTGGCTGGGCGCAGTGGCTCACGCCTGTAATCCCAGCACTTTGGGAGGCCGAGGCGGGCGGATCACGAGGTCAGGAGATCGAGACCATCCTGGCTAACACGGCGAAACCCCGTCTCTACTAAAAAATAGAAAAAATTAGCCAGGCATGGTGGCAGGCACCTGTAGTCCCAGTTACTCAGGAGGCTGACGCAGGAGAATGGCGTGAACCCGGGAGGCGGAGGTTGCAGTGAGCCGAGATCGCACCACTGCACTCTAGCCTGGGAGACAGAGCGAGACTCTGTCTCAAAAAAATAATAATTTTCACCTCCGCAGGCGTGGTGGCTTACGCCTGTAATCCCAGCACTTTGGGAGGCCGAGGTGGGTGGATCACCTGAAGTTAGGAGTTCAAGACTAGCCTGGCTAACATGGTGAAACCCCATCTCTACTAAAAATGCAAAAAAATTAGCCGGGTGTGGCGGTGTGTGCCCATAATCCCAGCTACTTTTTTTTTTTTTTTTTGAGACGGAGTCCCACTCTTGTTACCCAGGCTGGAGTGCAGTGGCGCGATCTCGGCTCACTGCAACCTCTGCCTCCTGGATTCAAGGATTCTCTGCCTCAGCCTCCCGAGTAGTTGGGATTACAGGCGCCCGCCACCACGCCCAGCTAATTTTTTGTATTTTTAGTAGAGATGGGGTTTCACCATGTTGGCCAGGATGGTCTCAAACTCCTGACCTCAGCTGATCCACCTGCCTCGGCCTCCCACAGTGCTGGGATTACAGGCATGAGCCACTGTGTCCAGCCAATCCCAGCTACTCTTGCTGAGGCAAGAGAATCACCTCCAGCCTGGGAGGTGGAGGTTGCAGTGAGCCGAGATCACACCACTGCACTCCAGCCTGAGTGACAGAGTGGGACTCTGTCTCAAAATAAATAAATAATAATAATTCTCACCTCATCCTGGCAGATGGGTCTCTTTTCTGCCCCTCCTGGAGCAGAGCTGACACCCAGGGCTGGGGGAACAGCCCTGGAGGCATCCCAGATCCTCTCCCCGCCCCCCGGAGCCTTCTGACCCAGGTTAGTCCAATCCCATCCCTCCCCACTCTGGCCTGCCCCTGCCTTGGCCACCACCTGCTCCTGGGCTTCGTGGCACAGATGTTTCCAGAGAGGAGCTTTCTTGGCACGGCCGGTGGAGGTGACGTGGTGGTGAGTGCGGGGACTCGACCTCAGGCACCTGGGCTGTTCTGCCGTCCTCCCTGGAGGCAGGGGAAGGGGAAGGCAAGACAGCATGAGGACTGATGGCAGGGGCTGCCTGGGAATCCAGACCCACCCCTGCCTGCGGGAGCCCCCCCTCACACCAGCCCAGGCCGGGCAGCTGCTACGTGAAGATTGAATGGAGGTTTTTGCCTGGGAGGTGAGGACTGTGGCAGAATCTACCACGGCCGCCCCACCGTGGCTCTGAGGCTTCTGGGAGGGAGACAGGTACTCCCCAAGGGCCCTTCCCACCGGAGGCCCACGCATCCCAGCCACGCCCGTTTGCCACTGAAGAGCAGACTACAGGGACCGTGGGTGGTGCTGGCAGCGGAATCCCACAGCCCCGGGGCCAGCGGGTACTTGCCCAGAGCACCGTCTCTCTCCTGCTGAGGAAAGGCCTTCCCTGGCCAAGGCGGCAGGCAAGGCTGACGAGGGCTGAGGCTGGTCCTGGGAGGGCACCTGAATGTGGGCCTCTGCTAGTATTTAACGGTGGGGATGGCGGAGCTGGTGTCCACCTGCTAGAACCTGCCTGGGCCTCTGGTAGGGCACGTGTGGATAACAGACCCCCCCACGGAGCCCTCCGGCTGCACTCCCTGCCTGCGCCACCCGGCAGGCACTGACCCACAGCAGAGGACGCAGTAGACAGGGACGTGGTCCAGGCCATCACCTGCACCTGCTTGCCAGGGAACATGCGCGCCCAGGAGCCCTGGCAGGACGCACGTAACTTCCAGTCCCAGGACACCGACGTCCACCTGGTGACATTGCCCAAGTCAGGTAAGGTGCGGTGGCTGGGGCGAGGTCTGGGCAGGATGGCTCACACTACACCATCCACACTGCCCCAGCAGGCCTCAGTCCCCCCAGACACTGGGGACTGAACCCCACCACCCGAACCCCCTTGCAGGCACCTGTGCAGCCCATGGGAGCCCAAGGGCTGCCTCTCCGGCCTTGTAACAGAACGGCCTTCCAGACAAGGGAGTACGTCTGCCGTGGTCAATTTCAGGCACCAGTCAACACCTGGGGCCTCCGCAGAGCCTTCATGGTCTCCTTGGCAATGCATCCCACCAACCTGGCCGCCTAGGCCCGACTCCCCAGCCGCAACGTCCTCACCCAGGGCCACCCGCAGCCGCTGCTCCCCACCCCACCCGCTCTTGTGTGTCTGTTGGCCCACAAGTCTGTCTGGACTTTTGTGTGGACACCGATGTGTAGCTGTGTGTCTGCAGGAAGGACGTTAACTGGGTGTGGGGATCATGTAGGGTGTATGTGCACAGAATGGGGGGTCCCGGTGGGGACGTGGGGTTCCACCTATGGCTGTGAAATGGAAACTTTTTCAGCTGTGGCTGCCTGAGGAAGGCCCTGTGTGCCCAACCTGAGGCCCTGGCTTTCACCCACGGGATGAGGAGAACAGTCCCTTCCAGCCCTGGCCTCCAGCCCTCAATGCTCCCCTCCAGCCCCCAGTGCTCCCCTCCAGCCCCCACTGCTCCCCTGCAGCCCCCAGTGCTCCCCTCCAGCCCTCAGTGCTCCCCTCCAAACCCCAGTGCTTCCCTCCAGCCCCCAGTGCTCCCCTCCAGTCCCCAGTGCTTCGCCTCCAGCCCTCAGTGCTCCCCTCCAGCTCTCAATGCTCCCCCTCCAGCCCCTAGTGCTCCCCTCCAACCCCCAATGCTCCCCCTCCAGGCCTCAGTGCTCCCCTCCAACCCCCAGTGCTCCCCTCCAGCGCCCAGTGCTCCCCTCCAACTCCCAGTGCTCCCCTCCAACTCCCAGTGCTCCCCTCCAGCCCCCAGTGCTCCCCTCCAGCCCCCAGTGACCCCCTCCAGCCCCCAGGGCTTCCCCTCCCACCCCCAGTGCTCCCCTCCAGCCCCCAGGGCTCCCCCTCCAGCCCCCAGTGCTTCCCTCCAGCCCCTCCAGTGCTCCCCTCCAGCCCCCAGTGCTTCCCTCCAGCCCCCAGGGCTCCCCTCCAGCCCCCAGGGCTTCCCCTCCAGCCTCCAGTGCTCCCCTCCAGCCCCCAGTGCTTCCCTCCAGCCCCTCCAGTGCTCCCCTCCAACCCCCAGTGCTCCCCTCCAGCCCCCAATGCTCCCCTCCAACCCCCAGTGCTCCCCTCCAGCCCCCAGTGCTCCCCTCCAGCCCCCAGTGCTTCCTGCCAGCCCCCAGTGCTCCCCTCCAACCCTCAGTGCTCCCCTCCAACCCCCACTGCTTCCCTCCAGCCCCCAATGCTCCTCTGCAGCCCAGGGCTTCCCCTCCAGCCTCCAGTGCTCCCCTCCAGCCCCCAGTGCTTCCTCCAGCCCCCAGTGCTCCCCTCCAGCCTCCAGGGCTCCCCTCCAGCCCCCAGGGCTTCCCCTCCAGCCCCAGGGTCCCCTCCAGCCCCCAGGGCTTCCCCTCCAGCCCCCAGTGCTCCCCTCCAGCCCCCAGGGCTTTCCCTCCAGCCCCCAGGGCTCCCCTCCAGCCCCCAGGGCTTCCTCTCCAGCCTCCAGGGCTCCCCTCCAGCCCCCAGGGCTTCCCCTCCAGCCCCCAGTGCTCCCCTCCAGCCCCCAGGGCTTTCCCTCCAGCCCCCAGGGCTCCCCTCCAGCCCCCAGTGCCCCCCTCCAGCCCCCAGTGCCTCCCTCCAGCCCCCAGTGCTTCTCTGCACAGTGGGATGATAATGTACTGTCCTGGTGGAGTAATGGGGCACCAAGACCTTGCACGTCACTTGCTCCACCTGGGGTCTGGATGCTGACTGCCTGGGATGGGGAGGGCTGGCAGTGTGGCCAAGTCCCAGTGCAACTGGGGCTCCTAAAGATGTTTCAGTAAAGCAGTGAGGACCAACACCCCCACTCCAGCCTCTTCCACATGCACAGGGCAACACATCTACACCTGTGCACACGTATGCACCCATACATCCATGCACACACATGCATGCACACACATGCACACATGCATACATGCCTATGCACACACAGAGCAACACAGATACACCCATGCACACATATGCACCCGTGCATCCATGCACCCACACATGCCTATGCACACATGCACGCACACATGCCTAACAGACACACATGTGCTCAGCCAGGACCTAGGGGCTCCAGGCTGAGTGCTGGGAACCCAGGGGCCAGACCCAGCTCGCCACCCTGCCCTGCCTCCCCAGCAGTGCACCTAGGGTTTTTCTGAGGTCGGCCGTCCCGTCAGTGAGATGCACTCACAACAGTCAGCCAGGCGGGGTTGTTGTGGGAACTTAGCTCAGTGAGTACTGGAATACTCAGTACTCCTGGGCTGTGGTGGGTCTTGATGGGGTGAGGGGAGGGAGGCACCAGCTGGACAGGGGTCCTGGGTGGGCTCTGATGGGGGTGGGGCCCCA
This sequence comes from Homo sapiens, assembly GCF_000001405.40. NCBI lineage: Eukaryota > Metazoa > Chordata > Mammalia > Primates > Hominidae > Homo > Homo sapiens. The sequence goes on along the minus strand of NC_000016.10, from coordinate 89,602,748 downwards.
GTGCAGGGACAGGTGAGGCGTGAGGTGGCAAGGAAGACAGCTTTCGCCCACGGCCCTGCTGTGCCAGGGGCCGGCGGTACTCCTGTCTGACAGCCCTGCCACAGCCCCCGCACCAATTACAAGCACTTAGTCACAACTTCCTGCCTGTACTCGCCTCGGCAGCAGGAGAAAGAACAGCCTGGACGCTGAGCTGCTGCTCTTCCCACTCCCTCCAGCTGCCCCCCCCACCCACCGAGTCAGAGCCCTCATCCGACTCCGCGCATGGGTGGGCAGGGGTTGACCCCGCGTCCTCAGCCTGTGAGGCCCAGGCAGCCGGTGGCCAGCAAGACAGGGTGGGGGATGCTCAGCAGCTGTGATTGGTGGTTCCTGAGAATAAGGAGAAGCCGGCTCCCCTTGTGAAACTGACACCTATTTATCCAGCAGGGGCTCCTGCATCCCTCGTTCATTCCTCACAAGATCCCTGGGAAAGAGGATGTGTCTGTTACCTCCTGCCCTACGACTCATCACGCCCAAACCGAGTGGCTTCGAACAGCAACCGTGGATTAACCCGGGCCACGACCTGGGTCAGGAATCCACACGAGGATTTGCCGTGTGGCTTTGGCTCAGGCCTCTCGTGAGGATGCAGGCAGGGCATCCTGCCCGGGGCTACAGGAGCTGCTGGAGGTGGTGCACTCGCATGGTGGCCCCTGGCACTGGCTGCCAGCCGGGAGCTCAGCTGGGGTGCGGGCGCTTGAGCTTCCTCGCAGCATCGTCAGTTTCCCGGGAGCCACATCTCCTGAGCACGGGAGCAGCGCCCAGCATTCTTACCGTGGGGTGTCAGAATCCACGTGGGGGCCAGGCACAGTGGCTCACGCCTGTAATCCCAGCACTTTGGGAGGCCGAGGTGGGTGGATCACTTGAGGTCAGGACCAGCCTGGCCAACATGGTGAAACCCTGTCTCTACTAAAAATACAAATAAAAATACAAAAATTGGCCGGGTGCGGTGGCTCACGCCTGTAATCCCAGCATTTTGGGAGGCTGAGGCGGGTGGATCACGAGGTCAGGAGATCGAGACCATCCTGGCTAACACGGTGAAACCCTGTTTCTACTAAAAATACAAAAAATTAGCCGGGCATAGTGGCGGGCGCCTGTAGTCCCAGCTACTCGGGAGGCTGAGGCAGGAGAATGGCATGAACCTGGGAGGCGGAGCTTGCAGTGAGCCAAGATCGCACCACTGCACTCCAGCCTGGTCGACAGAGCCAGACTCCGTCTCAAAAAAAAAAAAAAAAATACAAAAATTAGCCAGGTGTGGTGGCACGCGCCTGTAATCCCAGCTACTTGGGAGGCTGAGGCAGGAGAATCACTTGAACCCGGGAGGCGGAGGTTGCAGTGAGCTGAGATCCCACCGCTGCACTCCAGCCCGGGTGACAGAGCGAGACTCCATCTCAAAAACAAACAAAAATAAGCCACATTGGACCGAAGTCTTCCTAGGTTCAAGAAGAAGGAACATAAACCAACTTCCAATGGAAGGGGCTGAGGAGTCTAGAGCCATGTTTCAAAGCTGCTATATCCGCGTGACAGGCAAGGAACAAGGCTCTGACTCACTGAGACTGTGATGGCTTGTCCAGGGTCACACAGCGGGAGCTGGTGTCCAGCTTGACTGAGGCTGTTTCCAAATCTCAAATCCACCCCCGAGGAGGAGCTCCTCCGCCTGCTGCAGGCAGTCCCTGGACTGGGTCCCATGGTGGCCCTTGCTGTGGGGTCCTGGCAGCTACACACTTTCTGCTTCTTATTTGGGAAATAAGTCCACATCCAGGCAGGTCATACCCAGGCTATTCTCAGCAAGGGTCAGGCTCTAATTCGAGGTCAGGAGGGGCTGAAGACTCAGGGAACCCATTGGTCTCACCTGGGGGTCTCCACACCGGCCGGCAGGACCCCTGACTGCCCTGCCCTAGGGGCCCCTCTGGGTTTCAGAGCCGGATGTCACACCCCGGGGAGGAAGATGCCTGACAGGTGGACCTACAGGAACTGCAGAACTAGCATCTCAATTCCTAGGACTCAGCCTGGAGCCTGCAGGTCCCGGCTAAGCACGTGTCCGTGTGGATGTGTTAGGCATGTATGCACATGTCTGTGCATGGATGCGTGGGTGCACGTGTGCGTGCGTGGATGTGTGGGTGCGTGTGGGTGCATGTGTGTGCATGGATGTGTGGGTGCGCGTGTGTGTGCACAGGTGTATACATGTTGCTCTGTGTGTGTGTGCACACCAGCTACACAAAGCTAGCACCTCTGCTTCTGACTGGCTGTGTGACCTTGGGCAGGGCACCTCACTGTGCTGAACCCTGATTTTCTTGTCTGTGAAAAAGGAGCATCTGTCATCCTTTTGGGGCAGGATCCTTGGGTGGCAAATGACAGAAACCCAGTCCCACCTGAGCTAATCAGAAAGGGAGCTCATGGCTCCTCAATGGGAAGTATCGGCTCAGGAGCAGGCCTGACAGGAGCAGGCCTGAGCATGCACCTGCCACCAGCTCTCTGGGTAGTGTCCTTCCCAGGCAGGCCCTGCCCATGTGACCCCGCTAAGTGGTCACTGTCCACAGCTCCTCAAGCCAGGAAGAAACAAGGGGTCCCAGAACTGAGTCTCACGGGCCAGCTTGGGGCACGTCCATCCCTGGAGCAAGCACTGTGGCCAGGAGGCAGCAGCCCCTGCCTGGCCAGGCCTGGATCCTGTGTTCATCCCAGTGACCCACGGGGTTAGGGGGAGAAGTCAAATTATTATTGCGTGCGTCTCTGAGCAACGTTGGGCTGCTTTCTCAGGCTGGGAATTGCTGGCGAAAGTCACATTCTCAGAGCTGAGCTGGCAGACGCCATCCTGTCCCTGCTGTCCCTCGATGGTCTCAAACACACCCCAGACACCCAGCAGCACAGAGACCAGGGTGGCCCAGCCTGCCCACTGGCCTGACCCCAGGGCTGCTGCCTTCTGCCATGGGAGGACGGCAGGAGAAGAGAGGGTGGGAGGAGGGGGCTGGGGTGCTCACAGCCACTCCCTGCTTGCTCCATAGGGGTCTGGGAGTGGCCACATCCCTGTAAGGCAGCAGTTCTGGGAAGGGACACACTCCCTCCAGGGCGCCAGCTCACCGAGTGACCTGCCCATCCCTGTCTGTCTGAGGTCAGCTCCCTGGCGCCCCACTGTGGCCGCCCCAACCCTGTTCTGAGGTAGACTCCTCGGCACACCTGCTTCCTGCTAAGATCTCAATGGACCAACACCTCTCGACTTTGAGTCAGCCCAGAAACCGTCTGACACTTTCTGGCCCAAAAACCACAGGCAGGTGGCACAGGGCACCAACACTCACCCTCTGTCCCAGCCCCTGAGACCCCCGACCCGCTCAGGGCCCCAGCCCCGATACTCACCCTCTGCCCAGCCCCTGAGACCCCCAATCAGCACAGGGCCCGGATACTCACTCTCTGTCCAGCCCGAGACCCCCTGACCTGCACAGGGCCCTGACACGCAACCTCTGCCCAGCCCCCGAGACCCCCGATCAGCACAGGGCCCTGATACTCACCCTCTGTCCAGCCTGAGACCCCCCCACACCTGCACAGGGCCCTGACACCCTCTGTCCAGCCCGAGACCCCCGATCAGCACAGGGCCCTGACACGCACCCTCTGCCCAGCCCCTGAGACCCCCGATCAGCACAGGGCCCTGATACTCACCCTCTGTCCAGCCTGAGACCCCCCCACACCTGCACAGGGCCCTGACACCCTCTGTCCAGCCCGAGACCCCCGATCAGCACAGGGCCCTGACACGCACCCTCTGCCCAGCCCCTGAGACCTCCGATCTGCACAAGGCCCGGATACTCACCCTCTGTCCAGCCTGAGACCCCCCCACACCTGCACAGGGCCCTGACACGCACCCTCTGCCCAGCCCCTGAGACCTCCGATCTGCACAAGGCCCGGATACTCACCCTCTGTCCAGCCTGAGACCCCCCCACACCTGCACAGGGCCCTGACACGCACCCTCTGCCCAGCCCCTGAGACCTCCGATCTGCACAAGGCCCGGATACTCACCCTCTGTCCAGCCTGAGACCCCCCCACACCTGCACAGGGCCCTGACACGCACCCTCTGCCCAGCCCCTGAGACCTCCGATCTGCACAAGGCCCGGATACTCACCCTCTGTCCAGCCTGAGACCCCCCCACACCTGCACAGGGCCCTGACACGCACCCTCTGCCTGGCCAGCCCCTGAGGCCCCCCGACCGGCTCAGGGCCTGAAGCCTCAGATGTGGATGGAGGGGTGATCTCTGGGCCTGTCCATCCCCAAAGAGACCAACATTGATCCTTCTGAAATTCACAGACTGGCCAGGTTACCATGGCGATACCCATGATCCCTGCTTAACAGAGGACGAAGCAAGAGCTAAAAATAGGCCCCAGAGTGGATGGATGGACAGATGGGTGGGTGGGGGGATGGGTGGACGGATGGGTGGACGGACGGGTGGGCGGATGGGTGGACGGATGGGTGGGCGGGGGGATGGGCGGGGGGATGGGTGGGCGGATGGGTGGATGGATGGACGGGTGGACAGATGGGTGGATGGATGGGTGGGCGGGGGAATGGGTGGACGGATGGGTGAGTGGACGGATGGGTGAGTGGATGGATGGGTGGACGGATGGGTGGGGGGATGGGTGGACGGATGGGTGGACGGATGGGTGGGTGGGGGGATGGGTGGATGGATGGGTGGGTGGGGGGATGGATGGACGGACGGGTGGGTGGGGGGATGGGTGGACGGATGGGTGGACGGATGGGTGGACAGATAGGTGGACAGATGGGTGGACGGATGGGTGGGGGATGGATGGACGGATGGGTGGGTGGACGGATGGGTGGATGGATGGGTGGACAGATGGGTGGGTGGGGGGATGGATGGACGGATGGGTGGACAGATGGGTGGGCGGGGGGATGGGTGGACAGATGGGTGGGCGGGGGGATGGGTGGACGGATGGGTGGGCGGGGGGATGGGTGGACGGATGGGTGGGCAGGGCGATGGGTGGACGGATGGGTGGGTGGATGGACCGATGTGGGGATGGGTGGGCCTGGATTCAGGGTTAGGACAATTTGTTTTTCTCAGGCAAGATCATTCAGGGGAAATCTCAAACTCAGGGCGAGGAGGTCCCAGCAGGTGGGAGATGCCCCGGCTCCACGAACATCACATGGAGGCTTCACCCTCCAGCCCAGCTCCCTGCGGTGCAGGCCATGTGGGAGGCTCCTGGCACCCCTGCATCACGTCCACAGTCCTCACTCACTGGGTTTCAGGCCTGGGAGTCCCAGGAAGCCGAGTGGAGCTCCTTCGCGGGTGGAGGCAGCCATGGTGCGGATCCCCGCTCTCTGCCCCTGGCAGCCTGTGCATCCCGCATCCCATTCAGTCCAGGGAGGATCCTGGTGTGCTGGGCCTGGGAGAGCCCCTGCCTCAGATGTGGGCACTTTGGAAGCCAGGCCCAGCCCTCTGGGGGGTTGGGGAAGGGACTGAAGGCACAAGAGAACTACAAGGATAGGGTGACACTTTATTACTCCTGAAGCCCCACCGGCAGAACCCACAGGCCAGGCAGACCCCGCAGACCCCGCAGACCCCATGGACCCAGGTGCAGAGGCCCGACGGCAAAAAGCACAGGGTAGGTGGGTGTGGGGGCACCAGCAGGGACAGGAGGCTGACTGTGGGGACAGGATGTCTGGGTCCCCAGGCTTTGACTGTGGGGACAGGTGTCTGGGTCCCCCAGGCTTTCTCGGGCGTGGGGGGACTGCCTTGCTGGCCCTCCCCCACAAAGGTTAGACGCAAAGCAGAGCCCCCAGTCCCTGCCCCTTCTCATCGGGGCAGGGTCTCCCGTGGATGAACTCCCAGCTCCCTCCAAGTCCCTCATGATCTCCCTCCCTCCACCCACCTGGCTCAGGCAGGGCCAGGCATGGGGGCCTGTATTTTGTCACCCTTCGGCCTTGGGGGCCCCAGAGCCGGGCCCAAGCCAGCAGGATCCCAGGAGGACTGGGAGTGGGGCCTGGTGGGGACTGGAGGCTTCTGGGAGGTCGGAGGGAGCTTAAGGGACCCCAAGCATGTTGCAGACAGAGGCTGTACGGACCCATTCCTCACTGCCCCCACCCTACGCCCTCCACATCTTCACGGTGTGCAGCCTGGGCTGGCCTCTCCGGCAGGGACACCCAGGCTTCTCGGGGGCAGGCCTCTGTGGCTGTAGTACTCCACCACCTGCTTCGGGACCTCGGCCAGCACGCACTTGGCCAGCGCCGCAGGGGATGCCTGGAGGATGGGACAACGCAGTTACCTCTGGGACCTTCGAGATGGAGATCATCCGTCCCTGCAACTGGATTATGGCCCAGGCCTCATCCTCCAGAGCCGAGTGGTGACTACCCACCCCCACCAGAGGCTCACCTGGGTGCCGGGCAAGACTTGCTGAGGATGTCGGCCACATGAGGCTGCACGTGGGTCTTTCCAGCCCCCCAAGCACGGAGATGAAAAGTGCTGACACGGGAGGCGAGGCCACCTCCATGGTCCAGGCCCCACCCACACTTCCCCGGCAAAGCCTGAGCGTGTCTGTGTGATGTGACTCACTGCAGAGCTTCATGTGTCTGTAATATGCATGTTTCACTGCGTAGAATGTCACGTGTCCGTGTCTTCATGCATGTCTGTGGTGTCTTGCTGTGTAGAACTTCACATCTATGTGGCATGCACGTCTTGCTGTAGGGCCTCATGTGTGACATGTGTGTCTTGCCTGGTAGAACCTCACGTGTGTGCTGTGCGTCTCACCGGGTAGAACCTCACGTGTGTGCTGTGTGTGTCTCGGCGGGTAGAACCTCACGTGTGTGCTGTGCGTGTCTCGCCGGGTCGCAGAGGTTGGCAGCAACGGGGGAAGCCGCGTGGTGGATCCCAGGAGCCCCTTGTGCTGTTCTCTGCTTTTGTGTAGATTCGACAAGTTTCAAAACGGTGGAGGGTGTTTCAGGTGCTCAAAGTCCTGGCTTCAGATACTGCTCTTGACTGGGGGGAACAGCCCAGGATCCCCCAGACACAAGAAGGGACCTGCCACATCCACTGGCGTGAGCCTGGCCTGGGAAGGTCTTGGGCAGTGACATGAACAGGGACCCCCAAGCCGGCCTTGACGGAGCCCCTCCAGGACACTCACGTTCTTGAGCTCCCGGAAGGGCACGAACTGTACGATGTCCCGGAGCGCGGGCTCACCCCGTGGGGAGCGCAGGACGCCGTCGTCGCCGTCCAGGACCTGCATGTCGGTGAAGTCGGCGTTGCCCACGCCCACGATGATGATGGACATGGGCAGGCGTGAGGCACGCACAATGGCCTCCCGTGTGTCGGCCATGTCGGTCACCACGCCGTCCGTCAGGATCAGCAGGATGTAGTATTGCTGGGGGCACAGGAAAGGCATCAGCAACACCACACCTGCCATGGCCCACATGCGCCCTGCAACCCACGGGCCCCCAGACAGCCCAGAGTGCCTCCGTGCGTCAGAGCTTCCTAGAACCGCCTTCAGAGTGTGATGCCTACATCACAAACATCACGAACAACAGTGGGTCAGGAGCCCCCTCCGTGGCGGGCACTCTGGGCCTCCTGTGCCCAGCTCAGGAAATCTCCACGAGTCTCACGGAGGGCTGTGGAGGGGGTGCTACGAAGTCTACATTTTACTGATGAGCTCACAGTGCCTGGATGGGAGGTCTGAGGCCAGAGGAGAAATCTGCGATCCCAGGAGCCAGACCTGCAGCCCACACACCCTGCTCCAGTCTCTCCAGGGTGCCCGCTGTGCTGCCACAAGACTGAGTGTTGGCCGGACGCGGTGGTTCACGCCTGTAATCTCAGCACTTTGGGAGGCCGAGGCGGGCGGATCACCTGAGGTCAGGAGTTCGAGACCAGCCTGGCCAAAATGGTGAAACCCCATCTCTACTAAAAATACAAAAACTAGCTGGGCGTGGTGGTGGGCGCCTGTAATCCCAGCTATTCGGGAGGCTGAGGCATGAGAATCGCTTGAACTTGGGAGGCAGAGGGTGCAGTGAGCTGAGATCGCGCCATTGCACTTCAGCCTGGCGATAGAGTGAGACTGTCTCCAAAAAAAAAAAAAAAAAAAAAAAAAAAAAGGCAGAATGGAACTTCAAATAAAATCAACTTCCATTGTTTAAAAAAAACCCCACTCAATAATCTTGCCCAAACTGTGGACAACGGGAAACATAAAGAGAAGCAGGGCTCGCCTGAGCAGCAGAGCGGGAGCCCACAGCAGCCTCCCCTGGGCTGGCCTTGACTGAGCCCGTCCCACTGAGGGCAGATGTGTCCTGGAAACGAACAGGGGCCCCAGGACCCCACTCAGAGTCGCCTTCTCCAAGAGGCTCTCTTTTTGTGCCCTCCCCATCTCCCCCTCTCTGAGCCCCACACCTGTGGGAAGAATTACCTGTTTGCAAGGCAGTCTCTGGTCCAGGCCTACAAGCACCCACGGCTGTGCCCAGCCTGGCTCTCGGCCTCCAGATAAACAGCCCAGCCTCAGAAAGCCCCCCACCCCCTCCCAACCCCAGATGAGGCCCCCACCCCCCTCTGCCAACTGTGCGAGCACCAGGCACCAAAACCCACCGTGGGGCCCCACTAGGGCGGGAGCTTCGTGTCCAGGAGAGGGACCGAGGGCTCAGCTGATCATGTCTGAGTCCTCGTTTCAACCCAATTCTAACCACAGAAAACCATGTCACGGGTAAGACAACAGGAAACACAAACACCAGACGGATGTGCAATGCCAGGAGTGGTGGTTAGGTGTGATCAGGTGTCGTGGCTGCTTAAAAAGAGGCTTATCTTTATTAGACGCTGATACTGACATTTACAGATGAAACCGTCTGAGACCCGCTTCCCAGCCACACAGGAACATAACAGCTGAACGCAATCCTCGACTCCGGACTGGCTCCTGGGCCAGGAACAATACTGCTTTGAAAGTTATGATTGTGCCAATGAATGAAATTGGAATATAGTCTATGTATTAGATAAAAGGATTGTATCTAAATTCAATTTCCTGAAATCTGTATTTGTGCTATGGTTATACAAGAGAATATCTTTGATCTTAGGAAATATACACTGAAATAGTAAGAGGTAGGCCGGGCGCGGTGGCTCACGCCTGTAATCCCAGCACTTTGGGAGGCCGAGGTGGGCGGATCACGAGGTCAGGAGATCGAGACCATCCTGGCTAACACAGTGAAACCCCGTCTCTACTAAAAATACAAAAAATTAGCCGGGCGTGGTGGCGGGCGCCTGTAGTCCCAGCTATTTGGGAGGCTGAGGCAGGAGAATGGCGTGAACCCGGGAGGCGGAGCTTGCAGTGAACCAAGATCGCGCCACTGCACTCCAGCCTGGGTGAAGAGCGAGACTCCATCTCAAAAAAAAAAAAATATTAAGAGGTAAAACCGTGATGTTGCAACGTGCTCTCGGACGGTTCACAAATGTGTGTGTGCAGTGCCAAGTTTTTTAAAAAGCATCAAAGTCTTTATCACGATACTATCTGTATAAATTAAAAATAGATGCAAACAGATATAGGGTTCCCATTTGGCTTGAAGATGTAAGTAGACGGGTGATGTTTGATCATCATGAATGTACCTCGTGCCTCTGAACTGGATACAATAAAATGGTTACAGGCCAGGTGCGGCGGCTCACACCTGTAATCCCATCCCAGCACTTTGGGAGGCTGAGGCAGGCAGATCACTTGAGGTCAGGAGTTTGAGACCAGCCTGGCCAAGACAGTGAAACCCCATCTCTACAAAAATATAAAAATTAGCCGGGTATGGTGGCGGGCGCCTGTACTCCCAGCTACTCAGGAGGCTGAGTCAGGAGAATGGCGTGAACCCGGGAGGCGGAGCTTGCAGTGAGCCGAGATCACGTCACTGCACTCCAGCCTGGGTGACAAGAGTAAAACTCCATCTCAAAAAAAAAAAAAAAAAAAGAAAAGAAAAAAATGGTTACAATGGTAAATTTTAAACTGTGCATATTTTATCACAATAAAAAAAATTTGGGCTGGGCGCGGTGGCTCACTCCTGTAATCCCAGCACTTTGGGAGGCCGAGGCGGGTGGATCACAAGGTCAGGAGTTTAAGACCAGCCTGGCCAAGACTGTGAAACCCCGTCTCTACTAAAAATACAAAAAATTAGCCGGGCGTGGTGGCGGGAGCCTGTAATCCCAGCTACTCGGGAGGCTGAGGCAGGAGAATTGCTTGAACTCGGAGGGTGGAGCTTGCAGTGAGCCGAGATTGCACCACTACAGCTTGGGTGACAGAGCAGGACTCTATCTCAAAAAAAAAAAAAAAAATTGAAAAAGAAAACATACAAATACAACAACTACACAGACGTGAAGCAGGAGCGCAATGTGTGAGCAGCTGTTGGCCTCACGGGTTGCAGGACCTCAGAGCTCTTGTAACTTTTTGGTGAGTTTAAAATTATTTTGGGCCGGGCGCGGCGGCTCACACCTGTAATCCCAGCACTTTGGGAGGCCGAGGCGGGTGGATCACGAGGTCAGGAGATCGAGACCATCCTCGCTAACACGGTGAAACCCCGTCTCTACTAAAAATACAAAAAAAAAAAATTAGCCGGGCATGATGGTGGGCGCCTGTAGTCCCAGCTACTTAGGAGGCTGAGGCAGGAGAATGGCGCGAACCTGGGAGGGGGAGGTTGCAGTGAGCGGAGATTGCGCCACTACACTTCCAGCCTGGGTGACAGAGCGAGACTCCGTCTCAAAAAAAAAAAACAACAAAAAAAAGAATGCCGGGCACGGTGGCTCACGCCTGTAATCCCAGCACTTTGGGAGGCCGAGGCGGGTGGATCATGAGGTCAGGAGTTTGAGACCAGCTTGGCCAACAGGGTGAAACCCCGTCTCTACTAAAAATACAAAAATTAGCCAGAAGTGGTGGCGGGCGCCTGTAGTCCCAGCTCCTTGGGAGGCTGAGGCAGGAGAATGGCGTGAACCCCGGGAAGCAGAGGTTGCAGTGAGCTGGGATCACATCACTGCACTCCAGCCTGGGTGACAGAGTGAGACTCTGTCTCACAAAAAACAAAAGAAAAGAAAAGAAAGCAGCAGGCTGGCTGTGGCCCCAGAGACACATACAGGGCCACACGGTGGCAGAGTAGAATCCAGTGCAGTTCTCGGCACCGTATCATTTGTGCAAAGGAAAGACACATGTAAACAAAATGACGATACACACACAGCCAAACAGTAGACATGTGCGCGGCCTTGTGGTGCCCAGAGGAAGAGGAGAGGGGCAGCCTCGCTGCAGCCATGGCCGTGACCGTGTGAGGCGATGGACAGCCCTGTGCCCGAGACACCTGCACCTTTGAGGGAGACGTAGTCAACCAGCTGGGCCCCCGCCCTCCTGAGCTCTGTCCTGCCTGGGGGCCTCTGCGCTGGCTGTTCCCTCTGCCAGGTGCCTCCCTGACGTCCACGCGCTGGTGCACACACAGCCGACCCCACACCAAGCATGCACCACACCCCCCGGGCACCTACAGAGGCTTTCCCGGTGCTCTCCTCGGCCGCCGCCACGCGTGCCACCTTGGAGATGATGGGCGCCACGTTGGTGGGGCCGTAGAGCTGGACCCTGGGCAGGCAGTTCTGGTAGGCCTCCACCACGCCCTGGATGCCTGTGGGGGGCAGGGGGTGAGCCCGGCCCCCCTGCACTCCCCTCCCCAGGCCTGCCTCGAGCTCCTACCTTCACACTCATCGTCCTCAGGGTTGAAATTGATGGCAAAGTCATGGGACACCTGGGTGGGAACAAGAGGGCTCAGTCAGCTGCTCGTTGCAACACACCCCACTGGCCCCATGTCCCTCGGTCAGCTGCTCCCCCCGTCCCCAGCCCCCATGTCCCCCAGTCAGCTGCTCCCCCCGTCCCCGCCCTCATGTCCCCCGCCTACTAAAGAGGGCTCGGTCAGCTGCTCCCCCCGTCCCCGGCCCCCATGTCCCCCAGTCAGCTGCTCCCCCCGTCCCCGGCCCCCATGTCCCCCAGTCAGCTGCTCCCCCGACCTGGCCCCCATGTCCCCCACCTACTGAGAGAGGTAGGCTTGGAGTTTCTAGGGGAAGCCAAACCCATGGGTGACCATGTTCTGCAGAGTCATGAAACAGAGAGGGAGGCAGACCTCCCTGGATCCAGCAGTGCCTGAGGCTTACATTAGCCAATAAATCCCCACACACCATTTTTTCTGCTGAAGCCAGTTGAAGTTTTTTGTTGTTTTCTTTTTTCTTTTTTAAAACAGAGTCTTGCTCTACAGGCCAGGCTGGACTGCAGTGGTGCGATCTCAGCTCAGTGCAACCTCTGCCTCCCGGGTTCAAGCAATTCTCTTGCTTCAGCCTCCCGAGTAGCTGGGATTACAAGCATGTGCCACCACGCCCAGCTAATTTTTGTATTTTTGGTAGAGATGGGGTTTCACCATGATGGCCAGGCTGGTCTGGAACTCCTGACCTCAGGTAATCGGCCCGCCTCGGCCTCCCAAAGTGCTGGGATTACAGGCGTGAGCCACCACGCCTGGCCGAAGCTAGCTGAATTGTTATGTGCAATAGAGGATTCCACACTAACGTCCTTCCCTATCTCCTGAAGGAACACGGAGTTGGCCTCCAGACACCCCTCAAGCTAACAAGTCCTAGGAGGCCAAAGGCCAGCCTCTCTGGCTAGAAGGCTGGGGTTCCCGCTTTGCACCCCAATCCCATCCTACAGTCTCCGGTTCCCAGCAGGCAGCCAGGGCTCCCTGGGCCAGGCCGTCCTCTGCCTGGGAGGGCACGAGAAGGGCACAGCTCTGAGGTCTCAGGTTCTGGGCTCTCCTACCTCATACTTGGGAGGGATCCGGGCTCCAAACCCCAAAGCGGAAAACCTCTTGTCACTGGAAGAGAGGCAGGAGGTCACCAGGAGGCCCTGACCTCTTGTGGCTGCAACAGGGGCCACTTCTAGGGAGACATGACTGGCGCCCAAAAGACTGGGGGTGCCCAGGCCTGGTACCACGGCAGTAAGCACCTGCCAGAGGTGGGGAACCGAGGCTCAGGGCAGCAGAGGCACAGGCCTGTGTGCAAGGGGACACGGTCCTGCCGCCCGCGAGCCTGCCTCCCAACTCCACGTTTGTGTACATGCTGTCCCCCTGCAGACGCCTCCCCGGGGGCTCTCAGACCACGGGAGGGGTCCTGTGGGGCCAAGGAACCCACTGTGGCCCTCACCAACCCAGAAAGAGAGGTCTGTAGGGTAGGGAGCTCAGGGCATCCTCTCCCAAGCCCCAGGCCAGGGGTCTGTGTTGTGGTAAGAAGCTCAGAGCACAGGGTTTTGTGCCGGGCCCTCCCTGGTAAAGCATACGCGGGTGAGCCCCAAGCCTCTGTGACTTCGGTTTGCTATTCTGGCAAAGCGGGACACAGACGTCCCCCCAGGACCATGTGCAGAGTCTATGCGGCAGCCTCCAGTAGGGCTACCCAGCCCTTCCTCGCAGAGTCTCTTTTTTTTGAGACGGAGTCTTGCTCTGTCACCCAGGCTTGAGTACAAAGGTGTGATCTTGACTCACTGTAACCTCCGCCTCCCGGGTTCCAGTGATTCTCCTGCCTCAGCCTCCTGAGTAGCTGGGATTACAGGCATCTGCCACCACGCCCAGCTAATTTTTGTATTTTCAGTAGAGATGGGGTTTCACCATGTTGGCCAGGCTGGTCTCAAACTCCTGACCTCAGGTGATCCACCCGCCTCGGCCTCCCAAAATGCTGGGATTACAGGCATGAGCTACCGCGCCCGGCCCCTCACAGTCTGACAAACTCACAGTGCCCACCTCATGGTGCCCCGAGGCCTGACCTGGAGCCCAGGGGGGTGAGGGAAAACCGGCCGGGTGCACCTGTCATAGCTGACCTGGAGACCAGGGGGGTGAGGGGGAAGACGGCCAGGCGCACCTGTCATAGCTGACCTGGAGACCAGGGGGTGAGGGGAAGGTGGTGGGCGCACCTGTCATAGTCCTGGCAGATCTCGCCCACGGACACCAGTGCCTTCAGGTACTCGTTCGGCTGGTAGGGGTTGATGTAGTGCAGGGAGCAGCTGTTCCGCGGGTCTCCATTGGAGGCGGTGAAGTCAATGGCCACCTGCAGTGGGCCGGGAGCCAGGAGCTGTGCTGGGCCGGGGCTCCCCGAACCCGCTCCTGACAGGTAGAGAAACCACGCCCAGAGTGGCCAGGACTCAGGGTCAGGGGTCGCGTAGGTGGGTAGGGCTGGGGGGCTGCTGTTGGGGCTGACCCACCTGCTACACAGGGCCAGGAGAGGTCTCCTCAAAACCTGCCAGCCCCTAGGCTCCCTGGATCTCCGGGAGGACACCCCACCAGGATCACCCTGGCCTTGTGGGGGCCCCGCCCATCCTTCTTAGTGGCCGCCCAACCCCTCTACCACCCTCCCCGGCAGGGCCTAAGTGGACCAAGCCTGGTCTGGGTCCCCCCACGTTTCCCACTTGCTGGCTTCTCCCAAAGCCATTCTGGGGCTCGTTCAACAAAACACGAACCAGCGCATCTGCAAATAACACGCGGGTGACACGGGGGCCGTGTATCTGTGGGTGACACGCGGGTGACACGGGGGCCGTGTATCTGTGGGTGACACGCGGGTGACACGGGGGCCGTGTATCTGTGGGTGACACGCGGGTGACACGGGGGCCGTGTATCTGTGGGTGACACGGGGGCCGTGTATCTGTGGGTAACACGGGGGGCCGTGTATCTGTGGGTGACACGCGGGTGACACGGGGGGCCGTGTATCTGTGGGTAACACGGGGGGCCGTGTATCTGTGGGTGACACGGGGGCCGTGTATCTGTGGGTAACACGGGGGGCCGTGTATCTGTGGGTGACACGCGGGTGACACGGGGGCCGTGTATCTGTGGGTGACACGCGGGTGACACGGGGGGCCGTGTATCTGTGGGTAACACGGGGGCCGTGTATCTGTGGGTGACACGCGGGTGACACGGGGGGCCGTGTATCTGTGGGTGACACGGGGGCCGTGTTTCTGTGGGTGACACGCGGGTGACACGGGGGCCGTGTATCTGTGGGTGACACGGGGGTGCTATGGGGGTGACACGGGGTGTGCGTATCTATGGGTGACGCGGGGTCTGCGGGTGACATGGGGGTGACACGGGGTCTGTGCCGGGCTCCTTGGATGACACGTAGAGACTGTGGCTGGTTCACTCAAACGCTCACTCCAGTTTCTCCTCGTTCACGTTTTGTCTGTTGTTAAATGTGTTTGTGGAAGGTAAGCCCTGGTGATGTCACCTCCCAAGGCGGGCTTGGGGCTGCTTCCTGAACCCCAAGCCCGTTTCCTCGCCTGCGCAAAAGGGAGGACCCCCAGGAGCCGCGCATGGAGACATCGGCTCACGGGGAACCGCCAGTGCCCTTTCACCCGCCAGGCTGGGACCCCTCGGGAGCGGGGCGGGGGCGGGGGCGGGGGCGGGGCCACGGACTGAGGGGGCGGGGATGGGCGGGGCCACAGACTGAGGGGGCGGGGATGGGCGGGGCCACAGACTGAGGGGGCGGGAGGGGCGGGGCCACGGACTGAGGGGGCGGGGATGGGCGGGGCCACAGACTGAGGGGGCGGGGAGGGGCGGGGCCACGGACTGAGGGGGCGGGGCGGGGCGGGGCCACGGACTGAGGGGGCGGCATGGGGCGGGGCCATGGACTCACGGTGAAGTGGATCTGGCAGCCGCCCATGATATAGT